>NC_000002.12:74792625-75417625 GCF_000001405.40 Homo sapiens | reverse complement strand
TTGAGAGTCTCTTCTGTACCTCGTATCTTTTGATTTCAAGATGAATGAAAAACAAGCACTGGTTTTCTGAAAGATTTATTATAAAATATAAACTCAAATTCTACCTTTTTATAACAATAAAAGTGAGTTGGAGATTGCCAATCCGCTGACCATCCCCATAAGCAGAAATTTCTTCTAAAGGAAACAGAAACACAATACAGTCCCAAAATATCAAGACTTTATATCTGTCTGAAGGAGAAATGATTATTTGCTCTTGGTAATATGGGACAGTTATTCTAGCCAAATAAGTTAAATATGTTTGTCTTCCCAATATTTGAGACCTGGAGCTTGCTTTCTTATTTCTGCTCTGAGAGTGTTTGATTTGGTTAATGTTTAGCAGAAGGAAAAAGAAGAGAGAGTGTGTGTGCATGTTTGAAAATTGCAGTCACTTTTCTTCTACAGCCAGAGGCTATGATGTCAGGAAGTAAATGATAGAAGATGTCAGCTCTCCTATCTATAACCTCAGCTTTGCAGTTTCTCTGGGGGCCTCATGCACTCTTACAGCTTCTTAAACAGGAAGTAGACCTGGCAAAAAATTTAAGTGCGTTTTACACTTGATATACCACAGACTCGGCCAGAACAGTTCTAAACAGAAGACTTCACAGAAATCCTGACACTTTGTTTTTTGCCAAAGAACAGTGTCTTTTTCAGAAATGCTGATTTTGGGATCATGGACATTCTCCTTAATTTCTCCTTAGCAAGTCTGTTGGAAGGAGGAAATTGGTGCCTTTGAGCAGATTATCCCCCCCACACAACAGCGCTTGATAAGGGACGGTAAGAAGCACAGGTGAGTGCTGTTAGAAGGTGGGGGTGGGAAAGAGGAGGAAGGCACAGGAGGAGTCAATAAGAGGTTAAATAGAAAGACCAGAGCAACCCGAGAGAGCCTGAGAGCACTGGGTGATGAGAAGACCTGCAGGAAGGGAATGGTGAGTTAAGAATGTTATAATGAAAACTTTTGTCTACTCCATATCTTTGTCTACTATAGACAGCTGGGCTTTTGTACAAACTGTGTTCTCATGAGAATCCAGAGCTGACTGCTCTGAGCATTTCATGGTACATACTGTGGGATTTTGACTAATGCTGGCAAAGATCTTTAATTTCTTCCAAGGATTGGAGTATACAGGAATTTGGTTTTTATTACATAGATCAATCATTAGAAACAGCTTAGATGATATTATTCATGCAGTTAACCTGAAACGAGTATGATAATAGTTGCAGGAAACAACCATTACCCTCATAAACTTGGAGATTAAATTAAATCATTTTTGTTAAACTCATTTATTGAAAAATATTATCGATTCTCTCAGTAATAATGTGATTCTGTGAATTGAATTTTATGTTATTTAGGAACTTCAGAGTAAAATTATTCCAAGGCTTGTTTCTCTTGGATGAAGGGCTGTAAAATCTCATTATGGATGTAGAATATTATAATTGCATAAATTACTCAGGGTTTATGATGTGAAGTTTTGAAGAAAAGCAAATAGTTTGTTTTGTTTTTTTTGTTTTTTTTTTTTGTTTGTTTGTTTTTGCTTTTAAAAATTCTGGGAGTATGTGGCTCCCTGAAGAGATGTTTCTTTTCAACCTCAAATCAACTTTATTTCTTGGCTCTTTCATGCACTTTCCTTCCTGTGCTACAAGTTATTTCCAAGGGAGATTGTGTCGTGTGTTTTTAGATTCTGCCAAGAGAAAGTACTCCATTGCTCATAGTTGCATTTATATCATCTGGTTATTGTCTATGATAGAACATAGCTAAGGAAAGAGGTCAATACTGACTTCTTCTTAATACTGTATCCATAAATGTTGACTGTGTAGTTGAATTGGCCTTATAAACAGGTAAGTTAAGCAACTAAATTTGCAGTGAAAATTTCTACACCTGTTCACTAATTTCTGAAATTCTTAAGTGGGTAATGTCTCTCATAAGTGTAAATTGTTTTAGTCTAAGTCGCCTCAATATGTCAAATCTAACACAACAACTTGCATACAGATAGTTTATTCTGGAAAACGATCACAAAGAATGAAAGTAACGAATAGGGAAGAGAGGAAAAATAATCCAAGGGTGTGTTATTGAAAGTTTTTACTGCTGTAGGCAGCTGAAACTCAATCCACGTGGGAACATCTGAGGAGCCAATGATAATTCACCTGAGAGTTATTCACTCAAGGGCTTCAAGGGGAGAATAGTTATCAAGCAAATTCTGTTCCCCATTGGTGAATGCTTCATGGGATATTAACTCCATCTTACTTCCAGGTTTGCCTGGAGACCAGAATAGCTGAACAAGTTTCGGCAGGTATTAGGGAGGCAGTGGTGGAGAAGTGCTAAGAGGCAGAAATCAAGAGATTTATGGTGGAGCTGAACAGAGGTGCTGTCAGGCTACATTCTCAGGCATTGGTAGCCATACCAAGGGCTAGAGTGAAAAAGGAGCCTAGAGAATATGAGACAGAGCCCAAGATGTCCAGAGATAAAGCTTAAAAGATAAACATTTATATTCTTAGTATAAGAAGGTCTCATTAGAGCATATCTGTGGAAGGTCAGTGATACAGAAGACGGTGAGTAACTGAGGGAGGCAAGTGCTAAGCCACGGCACATAAGGAAGACCATACTGGGGATAGGTAGAGGGCTTCAAATGACCAGCTTGGCCTACTTTGGATTTTCAACTAAGGCTAAGACTGCCTGAAATTCATTGAAAAGTCTGCAGAATTATAGTGAATTCAGGGTCATCTAGTTTACTTCCCATCTGTAGCTTAGACCCTCTGTCAGCAGGCATTGACCTTTGCGTAAAGTTCTCTCATGTCAAAGCACTCACGGTCTTCTGAGTTAATAGCTTGAGACATTCCTAACTACTAGATGTTGTGGCAAAAACTTATCTTTCTGAGATTCCTGCTTATGAGTTTTGGATCTTTGGGGCCATGCACAACTATTAAGATCTGAAGAGTTATCATGGCTTCCTGAATCTTTAATCATTAGGCTAAACATCTCAAATTTCTATAGGCACTTATTCCTCAGTTAATAGTATTTATAGGTCTTGCTCCTCCGAAATCTTCTCTATTGAGGTGCCCCAAATAAAGTGCTAGACAATGCATTGTAAACTGACGAAGACTGGAGGGGTATCATTTCCTCCCTAAGGCTAGGTGACACAGTTCTAGTAATATAGGTTGAAACTGACAGAACTTTCTTGGAAGCTGCTACGCACTGCTATGTGTAACTGAGTTCACTGCTGACCAAAGCCCCTGACTCTTTTTCATATGAGCTACAGCTAAACCATATTTTAATCTACCTTTGTACTTTTATTAGTTGGTTTGATTTTTTGGAGGGGTGGGGCAAGGGAAGAATCTTACATAAATCTTTATTGAAATTAATCTTGTTAGATCAGTCGATTATTTTGACCTGATAAGGCCTTTCCTAGCCATAATTTGACATTCAACATGTTTGTTATTGTTTTTAGCTTCTTATCACTGGCAAAGAAAAGGAAAAAAAGATTTATTAAGACAGGACTTGCTTTACTGCAAGTAGAAATGTCTGTCTGGTAATGGCCATTCAGCCAGTTATTAAACCTGTCAAATGTACTAGCATATAAGCCAAGGAGAACTGGAAAAGTTGTAGGTCTTTATCTTTGAACAGGAGAAGCCAATTGATATGGTTAGGCTTTGTGTCCACACCCAAATCTCATCTTGAATTATAATCCTCATAACCCCCACAATCCCCATGTGTCAAGGAAGAGACCAGGTGGAGTTAATTGGATCATGGGGATGGTTTCTCCCATGCTGTTCTTGTGATAGTGAGTGAGTTCTCTCGAGGTCTGATGGTTTTATAAGCATTGACTAGTTCCTCCTGCATTCATTCTCCTTCCTGCTACCTTGTGAAGAAGGTGCCTTGCTTCCCCTTCGCCTTCTGCCATGATTGTAAGCTTCCTGCGGCCTTCCTAGCCATGCTGAACTGTGAGTCAATTAAATCTTTTTCCTTCATAAATTACCCAGTCTCATGCAGTTCTTTAAAGCAGTGGGAAAACAGACTAACACACCAGTAATCCTCAGAAAATGCATCCCAGCAAGTAAGATAAGACTCTAGCCCAATTTGAGCATTCATCAGTGTCTACTGGTGGTGGCAAAGTGAAGACAGCACTTTTGTATTTCTGAGAAGAAGCATTGTATAGTGGCATGTATAGTTGAGGTCATTAACTAGAAGTTATTTTGGTGGGAATCACAGGAAAATCTAATAGAGCTCACTGCTTGGAGAAATGGCTGTTAGGAATAAAGCAAGAAAAACGCCCTCCTTTTCCTTCCCCCACCCCGTACAGGATGGGATGGAAAGTACAGTTTTCAAATTGTCACAGGTTTCTAAGGAATATTTTTGTATGACCCGTGAGTTTTGCCTTTAAGAGTGGACAACAACAACAAAATGTTTCCAAATTCCATTTGCCTTTTAGCATCCTTCTGCCAGGCTACTTCACTTTGCCTACTTTGGGGCAGGGCCAATGGAGTCAGGACTGAGCAGGAATTAGCACCTAAGTGCATACAAAATATGTCAATATGGGCATGAATTTTTGTCATTATCCTCACCCAACAAAAACAGCTCCCCAACTCCCTCTGTGAGTTCCCAAAACACATAATAAGTATCACTTTTAGTTCTGAATCTACATTCTATTTCCTCACTAGAACCAGAGCTCTGCCATGCACCCCAGTTCATTTTCCTGGGGCCATGATACCTTGCCTGTCTCTTTTTCAATAATCTACCCTTGGGACACAATATAGACAGAATAATGGCCTCCCAATGATGTTCACATCCTAAGCTCTAGAATCTATTACATTATACAGCAAAGGGGAATTAATTAACATTGCAAATGGAATTAAGGTTGGTATTCAGCTGCCTTCAAGATAGAGAGATTATCCTGGATTATCAAGAGAAGCCTTGTGTAATTATAAGCGTCCTTGAAAGTGGAGGAGATAGGCAGAAGAAATCACAGAAGGAGACGTGATGATGAGAGGAAAGTCAGAGTAAGGTGTTATGAGAAGGTCTCAATAGACCATTGCTGGCTTTGAAGATGAAGGAAGGGGCTATGGGCTGAGCATTTCAGGTAGCCTCTAGACACAGGAAAAAAACAAGGAAACAGATTCTTCCGTAGAGATTACAGAAGGGAATGCATTTTTGCCTGATACCTTGATTCTAACCCAGTGAAACCAATGTTAGAGATCTAACCTTCAGATAATAAAAGAATAAATTTGTGTGGTGTAAGCAGGTAAATTTCTGGTAATTTGATTCAGCAACAATAAGGAACTAATACAAAACTATATAATGTTTCTTTCCCTTTCAAATAATTATTGGGATTCAACCTGAAACCACGGCTCTTCAAATCATGACCAATCTTTGTTAAAATAAAAAAAATTAAATTAACAAAATTATATATATTTATCTTAGACAGCATGATGTTTTAAAATATATACGTTTGTAGAATAGCTAAGTCATCCTAATTAATATATGCATTACATTGCATAACTTTTTTGTGGTGAGAACACAAAATGTATTCTTAGCAATTTTCAAGAATAAAATACATTGTCATTAACTATAGTCACCATGTTGTACAATAGATCCTTTGAGCTTATTTCTATCTAACTGAAATTTTTGATCCTTTCACCAACATCTCCCTAAATTGCTTCCCACCCACCTCTTAGTAATCACCATTCTACTCTCTGTTTCTGTGAGTTTAACTTTTTTAGATTCTACATATAAGTGAGATCATACAGTATTTATCTTTCTGTGCCTGGCTTATTTCACTTAGCATAAGAACCTCTGAGTTCATCTGTGTTGTTGCAAATGACAGAATTTCCTTCTTGTTTAAGGCTGAAGAGCATTCCATTATGTACATATACAACGTTTTCTTTATCCATTCATCAGTTGATGGACACTTAAGTTGATTGCATATCTTGGACACTGTGAATCGTGCTGCAGTGAACATGAGAGTGCAAATATCTCTTCAACATACTGATTTCATGTACTTTGGATATATGCTCAGTAGTAGGATTAAAAGTAATTATTTATAGGTAAGGATTTACTACTGTCATTTTGCTGCTTTCTGATTGTTTTATAGATCCTTCTTCCTTTCTTCCTTTCTTGCTGTTTTTCTTTTTATTAGATGATTTTCTCTAGTTCTATGCTTTGATTCCATACTTTTTATCTGTTGTGAATCTACTATAGATTTTTGCTTTGTGGTTACCTTGAGGCTTGTAGTTATAACAGGCTATTTTTAACTGAAACAACTTAATTTTGATTGTACTTAAAAAACTCAACCTTTTTATTTCACCTCCCCCCATCTTATGTTTTCAAAGTTATAATTTATACTTTTTTATATTGTGCATCCCTTAACAAATTATTGTGGTTGTTATTAATAGTTTTGTTTTTAAGCTTTCTACTAAAGAAATAAGTGACTTACACACCATAATTTCAGTATTAGAGTTTTCTAAATTTGATTATGTACTTACTTTTGACAGTGAGTTTTATACTTTCATATGTTTTCATGTTATTAATTGGTGCCTCTTTCTTTCAGCTTAGAGGAGTCCCTTTAAGATTTCTTATAAGACTTCTGGTGATGATGAACTCTTTCAGCTCTTCTTAGTCATTTCTCCTTCATTCCTGAAGGACAGATTTGTTGGGTACAATATTCTCAGTCTGCAATATTTTTCCTTTAGCACTTTGACTGTGTGAAGCTACTTTTTCCTTGCCTGTCAAATTTCTGCTGAAGTCTGCTATCAGCCTTATTAAAGCTCTGCTTACATGTGATTTGCTTATATTCTCTTGTTGCTTTCAGGAGCCTATCTTTGTCTTTGAATTTTCAGTTTGGTTATATGTCTTAGGATAGTCCTGTTTGGATTGGATTTCATTTGAGGCTTTTGACTTTCCTCTTCTTGGATATTTACATTTGCCCCAATTTGGAAAGTTTTCTGCTATTATTTCTTTAAGTAAACTTTCTATCTCTTTGTCCCTTTCTTCTCCTTCTTAAACTCCTATATCTCAAACATTTGCCGTTTTGATGCTATCCCACAAATCCCGTAAGATTTCTTCATTCCCTTTCATTCTTTTTTATTTTTTTCTCGGATTGTATATTTTCAAATAACCTGTCTTTAACTTCACAGATTTTTTTCTTCTGCTTTATCAATTCTGTTGTTAATGCTCTCTGTTACATTTAAAAAATTTTTATTTATTGTGTTTTTCAGCTCCATAATTTGTTTGTTGTTTTTTAAAAATAATTTCAATCTCTCTGTTACATTTATAATTTTGGTCATTTATTGTTTTCCTGACTTAATTAAATTGTTTCTCTCTTATTTTAAATTCCTTATCAGGCACTTTTTGTATCTCCATTTTCTTGGGGTCAGCTATTGGAAATTATAGTGTTCTTTTGGTGATGTTATATCTCATTGATTTTTCATGTTTCTTATTGCCTTACACTGATATCTGCACATTTGAAAAAGTAGAGACTTATTCTAATATTTGCAGATTGGTTTTGTCTGGGAAAGCTTTCCTCAGTCAGCCCATGTAGAGATTTTGGGCAGGGGCAGGCTATCTGGTGTGGTCTGTGGGGAGGCTTGCTGCTGGAGTCTTTGGGGAGGTTTGGTCAGCAGGTGGATGCCTGGCACCTAAGTTCACAGGGGCTTACCAGGTGCTGGGGTGGGCCTTGAGTCTAAGTCTGCAGTGGCCAGCCTGGTACTAGGATGGGCCTGATAGCTGTGTTCACTGGGACAGGCCTGGAGCCTGAGTCCACTGGGATGGGCCTAGAGCCTGAGTCCATAGGCGCTAGCTTGGGACTGGGGAAGATCTGGAGCCTGAGCAAATGAAGATAGGTCTGTGTTCTGGGTCTTCAGGTATGGATCTGGACCCTGGGTCTGCTGGAACATGAGGCAATAAGGGCCAATATGGAGGATGCAGCTGCAGGGACCAGCCTGGAATCAGGCTGGAGTCAGCCAGGCCTGGAGTCTGTGTCTGTATGTGGCAGCCTGGTGCCTGAGACCAGAGATGTGCCTCTGGTGCTAGAAAAATAAATAAAAAGAAATTTGCAACTGAACATAGTGGAGTTAAAGAAAACCTAAAGGTAAAGCGAACACCTCAAAAGTAGTCAGAGAAAAAAGGACAGAGTTTCCCAAAAGAGCAAGGTTTAGACTAACAATTGACTTTTCAACAACAGCAACGAGGACATAAAACAGTTATGTGATATTTTCAACTTGCCGGAAGAAAAGAACTGCCAATCCAGGCAGTAAAAATATTCTTATAATATTCTTATTCTCAAAAAATTCTTAAAAAATCAAGACAATTTGGAACATTTCCAGGCAAATAAAAATAGATTTCACTATTAGCAGACCCATGCTAAAGAAAATTCTAAAACATATTCTTAAGACAAGAGGAAAATGATCAGATAGAAAGATTCAGGAGAAAAATAAAAAGTCATAACATTGACTGTATGTTCCATAATGGCAGGGCTGGGCTCCATCCTGTCCACTGCTGACCTTAGCCATTTAAAGGATGAATGAGATAATAAAATAAGCTTGACATAAAGATGAGATTTCCAGTCATCAGAGCTGCTTACAGATGGAATAAACTGTCCCAAAAAAATGTGATATAGAAGCAGAAACAAGCTAACTGATGTATTCCAGGTCTTGACTTTAATCCAGGAACTTCTGGATATTTAACTTTATCATTGACTGAGCTCCAGTGAGCTAAATATTTTTGCATGCATTATCTCACTAAATCCTTATATCTACACCATGAAGTAGGTAAAATTATCTTTATTTTACAAATAATGAACTAAAGCTCAAAGAGGCCACAATCAGGGGAAAGAGGTGTACAGTTGGGGAAAGAGGTGCAATTAGGGTTCTATAAAGCTCAAACTAAAGCTCAAAGAGGGAATAGTTGGGGAAAGAGGTGAAATTAGAGTTCCATAAAGTTTGTATACAAGGAGCGTCAAGCCTATGGCAAGGTCCATACCTGTCATGCCCCTCGTATGTCTCAGCATCAAGTGACAACCCCACAAACTTACGCATACTGTAGGTTGTTATGGAGTTTCATCTGTGAGTTCTTATGAATTACCATAGCTTTGTTGAACCATCCTATGAATAAAATTCACTGTTACTGTTGTGAGTGAGACCTGTCACCTACTTCCTAAGATGTGAACCTCATTTATCATGAGAACCCCCTTTGCAAATGTCTTCATAAAACATACATCTGTGTCTTATTAAACTGTTAGGAACTTCTTGTTAAATATGTTTACTTCTACTCCCTTCCCAACTCCTATAAAACTGACAACAAAGGAATGAAAAAGTACAACTCAATGTTTTTAAAAAAGAAGAAACGAAGTCAGTCACAGTAGATTGTAAAGGTCTATAATATTTAGAAGATGAATTGAGAATAGATGAGTCTTAAATTACTGAAGAGATTAAAGAAAACCGAAACTCAAATACCTGGTATTGGTGGTAGTGCGAGGGGAAGAAGTATTGGTTTTTAGGGATGACACAGGGAAGCAAAAAAAAAAAAAAAAATCAAGGGGAGTTTATTGAAGAAGACTAAAGTTATGGGTACAAGTCAGCACTGGAAATAGAAGAATTTGCCAAAAGTCAGTAAAACAAACAGCCACCCCCATCCTCACAGTACACTCACAAGACCATTCCTCCCACACTGGGATAAAAAAACTAGAGAAGTTATAACTCTTTGCAGAAATCGAAGTCTCAGGTTTAGCTAAGAGTTGGAGTGCCATGCCAAAAACACAAGAGCTAAACGAAGTCAGAATACTAAGTGATGAGGCCCCTTTTGGCTCCCAGAAATCTGAAATCCAAGCTTCTACCTCTGCTGCCATAGCCTCTCTCCATGACAGGCAAGATATTGGAAGGTTCCTCTCTATGAAACTGACTAGTGTAATAAGACTTAAGCATATTAATATTTAGGGTGTCTTCCAAAGAAACAGCCCAATCCCCACCCCTCTTTTCTGAAACTCACACATCAACAAGCCTCTCTCATGCACAGAAAACACCCAATCAGCTTTGTAATACTTTACTCTCAAAATTGAATGGAGAGCCAATGATTGCCAAACTATTGAGAAAATCCTTAATTTATTTTTTCTTTTTCTCTCTTTTTATTAAAAAATGCCATCATGAAAGCAACATTTTTGCTATGAGTCATACCTTACCTTGTAAAAACCCATTTATGCCATTGGAGTAAATTTATTGTTGCTCTGGTGTAAGGTTTTAGTCCTTAGTTCTTTAAAAAGTGTTTCTATTTCTTTCTATGAGACCAATCTACCTCTTCCTGCTCTCGTCTAATCTCCTCAATGACAGATTTTTCACTTTGACATTTATTGAGCCTTGGAACTACTTTATGGGATATGACAGCCCCAATTCCCATTGTGCGTTGTTTGTTTTTAGTATAGTTATTTTGCTGAGTGTTTTACTGGGTTGATATTTTTTCTCATTTTATCCTATTTTGTCTCTTTGCTATGCTATAGATGTATATATTGAGAATAACAAATATTTTAAAACTTAAAAAATTAAACCTCTCACGTGTTTTTATAGTTAGCTGTATTTTGTTGAACTTATTTTATTGGTGCTATAGTCATCACAATATGTCTTGTCAACTGGCACCTTCCATTAGGGTCGGGAAGACTTAACAATTTCATGTCATTAGTTTATTTTGGGATGCAATTCAGTAGCTGAGATAGTGTGCTTTGATAAATAAGAAGTTTAGGTAATTTTAGAAAGTTCAGTAAGACATAAATTTTTTACCTAGTCTATGCTTCATGGGAAAATAAACTTCAGAAACATTCTCATTTACTTTCTATTTCTTTTTTGTTACACATATGTAGAATGTTCATCTACAGAGAGCTCTCTCTTATGTGCATTTAAATGTGGTTATAAATTTTTGTTTATTAATTTAATAAAAGAAAGAAAAATAGACAACGATGTGCAGAAGGAGACGGAGCATGGCACAGAGCCCTACAAATAGGCAAGATTTTTCTGCGCCCAGAGATAAGGAGCAAAGAGCCATCATACACTGAAAGCATGTTTCCCTGAGAATAATGAGCCATATAACTACTCTCATGTGATTTTCAAAACATAAATCTTCAGGATGCAAGGGCAGGTGGTGATGAATTACTGGAACAGAAAATAGTTGAAGGGAAAGGGCAGCAACATCAGTGTTATGCACATTTATGCAAATTCAACTTCTAAAATATGAAAGGGTTTTCTCTGTACTATGAAAGTGACTGAAATTAATGGGTGAGAAGCAGGGAGATTTTGTATGTCTGCTTAACTCTGCCTATAGAGTCCTTTTGAATGGATGCATACAACACAAAAGGCTGAGCCATCTTTCACAGGCTCCACACTATTGTGGGTTTCGGCTGACAGCCCAGATAGCAAGAGTCAAAAGGCAGATGTGTTTTGTGAAGACTTGAGTGGAATAAAAGAAAATAATGCCAGGCTCAGAAGAGAAACTTCGCATGGATGGAAATGGGTAAAAAATACTCAGAAAATAGAATTCTAGTGAGCGGTGGGAAACTTTAGTAACCTTGAAAACACTCAGAACTCTCCTGTAGTATGTAGAATGCCTTTAGAATCCTAGAGAAGTCAGAAAAGACCCCAAAAAGCTAGATTATATTAATATAGAAAATGTATTATGATAAAGATAAGAGCCTCCACATAAAGGTCAATGAAAGATTTTAAGTTCATCTCAAAGTATTTCATTTTGGCCTGGATTTACATTGACATAAAATCTCAGAGACTCATTCCAGCTTTTCTGGGGCCAAGATGATTATCTCCTCCTGCAGATCCCCCAATATAGTTAACTTTTCCGTGAGGTGAAGTGTGATATAAGCCTTCATAAGAGCCAGAAGCACACAGTAAGAGATACGGCAACTGACAGGGATATTCTGGAACACTTACTTAAAAAGTTTGAAAATACAAAAGGGAAATCTACATGCAGATAAGCATTCTAGTTTTTATTCTGCCTTCAGATGATGCCAAAATCCTTGGCAATACGTGGAAATGGGTGAGTGAAATTCTAATATTTTTCTGCTTGTTTATAGTTTATTACTTCTCATTTTAGTATTAATCACCTATAATTACACCATATGTTAACAATAACATGTGGAAAACTAAGGAAAGGGCAGATAGCCAAAGAAAAGCTATTTGAACCCAGAGGGAGATTTTCAGGAAAGAAAAGATAGTTCGGCAGTTAGAGCTTATAAGATATGTGTGCTCAAGAGAAAGAGCCATGACCCAGATAAGAAAAATAAAGAGTATGCCTTAGACTGGGGGAAAAAAAGAGAAAGAGCTTACATCTCAAATGAGAGAGAGAAAAAAAAGAGACAGAGAGAAGGAGATTTATGATGGATGGATGCTCTTTAGCTGTCTAGTACAGTAAAATTTTGCCATCAAATGTGACAACAGGAAGCTTCTAACAAATTGATATGTGATGCCTTAATGATATTTCTACCCAACCTGAATGGGTCACATAGCCTCTCTCTGGCTCGAAATTCTTTAATCTATCCTGGAGTATTTTGCAATTTCTTCTGCCTCCAGTTGTACTGCTTAGTCAGTGATAGGCAATCGTTTTGCATAGATCTTAACAATAGAACATCATAATAGAAAGTCACCTACTCATGCATACCATTCTTTCTTAGGTCCTATAAAGCATTTGGTTGTTGCTTTGTAAGAAAATATGGAAATGCAGTTGTCCTTAAAACAATGAGTATGTGCATTACTGATATAAAATTTATGCCCTGAGACACTATTTTCATACCTTTCTGTGTACTTAATAACATTTTGTTTCAGTGATTAATCAGTGTATTCAATTTGGGTACATTGCACATGTCAATTAAATTTAATGCATAGAGCATCAACAATGAGCATAATTCTTTTGAAGTGGTAACAATATGAACAGCTATGAGGAAGCTCCTGCATGCACAGGAGCTTTGGTTATTCGAGATCTTTGGTGGTTTCACACAAATTTTAGAATTGTTCTTTCTATTTTGTGAAGAATGTCACTAGTATTTTGATAGAGATTTTATTGAATCTGTAGTTAACTTTGAGCACTATGGTAATTTTCACGATATTAATTCTTTCAATCCATAAACGTGAATGTTGTTCCACTTTTTTGTGTCCACTTTAATTTTGTATTAGATTTATAATAACAACTATATCACAATACTGATAACAATTGTATGATTCCATTGATTAGAAGATGTAGTCTTATTTTAGAGATGTTAGTACGTGAATAAAAGTTTCAGAACCATTGCAGTATGGTAATGTGATGTATAAGATAGAGTGACGAACCCCATTTTATTATATCTTCATGTGTTCACACAGTCATGAGGAATTTGGGAAATTTACTCCACCGGGTTAAAAGAATTTTTGCCTGGGACCCTGATAGGCGTGATATACAGAGAAATTGTTGCAATTCTCAGGATAAACCAGTAGAGGGAGGAATTCTCCACAGTCAGGAGCACACTCAGCAAGCAAGAAGCAACATAACCTAATTTAGACCAACGAGTAGATGTTGTAGGGTCTATCTGTGGGAGTGTAAAGTATGACTACGGAGGCGGAGGTCGCAGTGAGCCGAGATCATGCCACTGCACTCCAGCCTGGGCAACAACAGGAAAGTCTGTCTCAAAAAATAAAAATTTTTTTTAAAAAGATGGGGTGACACTTGAGTACAGTGGTTCGCTAACTCAATATAACTAGTATCCTTAAAACGAGAACGCCATATGAAGAGAATAGACATGCATACAAAGAGAATACCATGCAAACATGAAGGCAGAGGTTGGGATGACGCATCTACAACCAAGGTACGCCAAAGAGCATCAGCAAATCACCAAAAGCTAGAAGAGAGGCACAGAACACATTCTCCCTCACACAGTTCAGAATGAACCAAACTTACTTACATGTTAAAATTATACTTCTAGCCTCCAGAACGGTAAGACAATAAATTTCTGTTGTTTTAAGCCACCCAGTTTGTGGTAGTTTGTTGTGGCAGCCCTAGGAAACTAATACACTCAGTAAGAGACAAAAAAGCAGGATCAGAAACAAAAAAAGCAAAATGAAATATAAATGAACAAAGTTTAAAAGATTACAGAAGAAATTTTCCTTTCTCCAATGTCAGAAATCAGTTAGGTCTAAGTGTGTGGAATTATTTCTGGGTTCTCTATTCTGTCTCATTGGCCTATGTGTCTATCTTTGTGCCAGTACAATGCTGCTTTGGTTACTATAGGTTTGTAGATATTTTGAGGTCAGGTAGTGTAATTTCTCCGGGTTTGTTCTTTCCCCACCCCCTCCCCCCGCTCAGGATTGCTTTGGTTATTCGAGATCTTTGGTGGTTTCATACAAATTTTAGAATTTTTCTTTCTATTTTGTGAAGAATGTCACTAGTATTTTGATGGAGATTTTATTGAATCTGTAGTTAACTTTGAGCACTATGGTAATTTTCACGATATTAATTCAATCCATAAACATGAATGTTGTTCCACTTTTTTGTGTCCATTTTAATTTTTTATTATATTTATAATTTTCATTGTACAGATCTTTGACATCCATGTTTATATTTATTCCTAAGTTTATATTTTTTGTGTGACTATTGTAAATGAGATGGGTTTCTTGATTTTTTCTTATTTTTTTGCTTTTATGATTTTTTAAATTGACACAGTACATTTACATATTTATGTGATATAGTGTGATATTTTGATACATGTATACAATGTGTAATGATTGAATCAGGGTAATTAGCATACCTATCACCTCAACCATTTATGGATGAGAACATTCAAAATCTGCTGGAGAGGATGTGGAGAGGATATGCTGGAAGAAAGGGAACCTGTGTGCTGTTTGTGGGAATGAAATTAGTATAGCCATTATGGAAAGCAGTATGGAGGTACCTCAAAGATCTAAAAATCTAAAAATGGTACTACTATAGGATCCAGCAATCCCACGACTGGGTGTATGTTCAAAGGGAAGGAAATCAGTATGTCAAGGGGATATCTGCACCCCCACGTTTATTTCAACACTTTTCAAAATGGCCAAGGTATGAAATAAACCAAAGTGTTTATCAACAGATTAACGAATAAAGAAAATGTGGCATATATACGCAATGTATTACTATTCAGCCTCGAAAAAGAATGAAATCCTGTGGCAATATGGGTGAGTCTGGAGGACATTATATTAAATAAAATAAGTCTGGCAAAGAAAGATAAATACCACATGTTCCCACTCATATGTGGAAGTGAAATAAGTTGATCTCATGGAAGTAGAGAATATAATAGTGTTAACTAGAAACTGAGAAGGGTAGTGGGGAGGAAGAGATAGCCAAAGGCTGGTTAACAGATGTAAAATTACAGCTAGGTAGGAGGAATTCTTTCTAGTGTCCTTTAGCACTGCAGGGCGGCTATGGTTAATAATAACTTATTCTATATTTTCAAATAGCTAGAAGAGCAGATTTTGAATGTTCCCAATACAAAGAAATGATAAATTTTAAGGTGATTTATATACTAATTACCCTGATTTGGTCATTATACATTGTATGTATGTATCAAAATATCACACTGTACCCCCATAAGCATGTAAAACTATTACATGCTAATTTTAAAAAGATTACAGAAAGAAGGAGAGGAATTAGGAAAAAATAATAGCAATAGATTGGAAATAAGAATGGAGGTCTTATGAGATTAAACCTATGCATAGTTAATGTTCTTCAAAAGAGAACAAAACAAATGTAACAAAAAAGAATTTGAAAGGTATCATTCAAGAAAATTTCCCAAAGATGTAAAAGGACCTGACAGGGTAAGTCTTAGATTGAGTAGACAAAACAGTGTATACAGAGATTTTCAGAACAATTAATATTAAGACATGTCCTACAAAATTTTGGGATCTCATAGATAATGAAAAGAAAAAGCTATTGTGCATCCATTCAAACCTATCAACTTAAATGAGAAAAAAGAATCAGTGTGGTTTCAGGTTTCTCTAAGAACCATTCAATGTTAAAAGACACCAGTGTCTATGAAATCTTCAGGTTTAGCTGAAAAAAAAGTATTGCCCAAGAATTTTATATCCAATTAAACTGTAGTTCTAATATAAAGGAAAATACAGTTCCCATAAAAGCTTCTTGAAGAAATGACCAAATGAATTTTAGCCAACAGATAGATGAATGAGGAAACCAGCAAACAGATTGACAGTGAGCATAAAGTCGATTTAATTGTAAGGCTGAGATTAAAACAACTCTACAAGTTATGGTTGTAACTGTAAATATTATGAAATACAATAATTTAGAAATTATAAAACGAACTTGGAAGGTTGTATTAGTCCATTTTCACGCTGTTGATAAACACATACCTGAGACTGGGTAATTTATTTTAAAAAAGAGGTTTAGTGGACTTACAATTCCACATGGCTGGGGAAGCCTCACAATCATAGTGGAAGGTCTTACATGACTACAGACAAGAGAGAATGAGAGAGCCAAGCAAAAGGGGAAACCTCTTGTTTTAAAAAACCATCTGCTCTCTTGAGGCTTATTCACTACCATGAGAACAGTATGGGGGAAACTGCCCCCATTATTCAATATCTCCCACCGGGTCCCTCCCACAACACATGGGAATTATGGGAGCTATAATTCAAGATGAGATATGGGGGGGGACACAGCCAGACCATATCAAAGGTTAAGAAGGAAATAATTTACAAGGTAATGTAAGCATAGACATTAAATTAGCTTTTAAAAACAGATATTTATAAACCAATTAGTGCATTAAATACAGTTAGAATTAAAAATAAACACTGGATAAGCTAAGAATAATAATATGATATAATCAGCAAAGACCAAGCAACAGAGGAAAGGAAAGGGTAGTAAGGGAGTGAAATATGATAATTTTATCAATACAATGGATCTATTTTTTTAATGAAAGAGTTAAAATATATGAAGATATATTTAAAATAATCTCTGAAATATCAAGAACAGAATATACTAAAAATTTCCAGAAGGAATGCACATAGAAAACACAGGCCACAGAATGAAAGACATAAAATGAAAGATTAGGAGATCAACTTCCAGCATTATAGCGTAAGGAGCACAAGACAGGGTGGAAAAAAGCTGACATTCTGCTCCTTAGGATAACAGCCCTCCCACAGGGAGCTGAAGGAGTACTGTGTCCTTGGCTATACCAGTATGAAGTGGAGTTTCCAACTTGCTGATGGGAATTATATTGAATCTGTAGATCACTTTGGGTAGTATGGACATTTTAAGAATAGTAATTCTTCGACTCCATAAACATAGGACATCTTTCCATTTATTTGTGTCTTCTTCAATTTATTTCATCAATGCCTTACAGATTTCAGCATACAGATATTTCACCTCCTTGGTTAAATTTATTTCCAAGCATTTTACTTTTTTGATACTACTGTAAGTGTGATCATTTTCTTTATTTTTTTTCAGATAATTCACTTTTAGTGTATAGAAACACCACAAATTTCTACTTAATTTTTATTTCAGTAGTTTTGGGGATATAGGTGGTTTTTGGATACATAGATAAATTCTTTAGTGGTGCTTTCTGAGATTTTGGAGCACTCATCACCTGAGCAGGGTACACTGTACCCCATATGTAGTCTTTTATTCCTCACCTTCTCCAAACTTCCCTGCTGAGTCCCCGAAGTCCATTATATCAATCTTATAACTTTGCACCCCCATAGCTTAGCTACCACTTATAACTTACAAGTGAGAACACAGGATATTTGGTTTTCCATTCCTGAGTTACTTCACCTAGAATAATAGACTCCAGCTTCATCCAAGTTGCTATAAAAGACATTATTTTATTCTTTTTTATGGCTGAGTAGTATTCCATGGGGTATATATGCCACATTTTCTTCTTTCACTTGTTTGTTGATGGGCACTGAGGTTGGTTCCATATCTTCGCAATTGCAAATTGTGCTGCTATAAATATGCATGTGCATCTGTCTTTTTCATTTAATTACTTATTTTCCTTTGGTTAGACATCCAGCAGTAGGATTGCTGCATCCAATGGTAGTTCTACTTTTAGTTCTTTAAGGAATTTCCATACTGTTTTTCCACAGTGGTTGTACTAGTTTACATTCCCACCAGCAGGGTAGAAGCATTCCCTTTTCACCACATCCACACCAACATCTATTAATTTTTGACTTTTGAATTATGGCCATTCTTGCAGGAGTAAGGTGGTATCTCACTGTGATTTTAATTTGCGTTTCCCTGATAATTAATGATGTTGAGCATTTTTTCATATGTTCGTTGGCCGTTTGTATATCTTCTTTTGAGAATTGTCTATTTATATCCTTTGCCCACTTTTTGATGGGATTATTTGTTTTTTTTCTTGCTGATTTGTTTGAGTTCCTTGTAGATTCTGTATGTAAGTCTTTTGTTGGATGCACAGTTTGCAAATATTTTCTCCCACCCTGTGGGTGGTCTGTTTACTCTGCTGATTATTTCTTTTGCCATGCAGAAGCTTTTTGGTTTAATTAGGTCCCATTAATTTATTTTTGTTTTGTTGTATATTAGTCTGTTCTCACACTGCTAATAAAGACATATCTAAGACTGGGTAATTTATAAAGAAAAAAAGGTTTAATGGACTCACAGTTCCACATACCTGGTGAGGCCTCACAGTCATGGCAAAAGATGAAGAACAACAGGACTTCTTATATGGCAGCAGGTGAGAGAGAACTTGTGCAAAGGAGCTCCTCTTTATAAACCCATCAGATCTCATGAGACTTATTCACTATCATTAGAACAGCAGGGGAAAGACCCACCCCCATAATCCAATCACCTCCCATCAGGTTCCTCCCACCTAGGAATTGTGGGAGCTACAATTCAAGATGAAATTTGGGTGGGGACACAGCCAAACCGTATCAGTTGCATTTGCCTTTGCGTTCTAAGTCATGAATTCTTTACCTAAACCAATGTTTAGAAGAATTTTTCTGATGTTATCTTCTAGAATTTTTATGTTTTCAGGTCTTAGGTTTAAGTCTTTGATCCATCTTGAGTTTATTTTTGTATAAGGTGAGAAATGAGGATCCAGTTTCTCTTCTACATGTGGCTTGCCACTTTTCCCGGCACCATTTATTGAATAGTGTGTTCTTTCTCTAATTTATGTTTTTGTATGCTTTGTGAAAGATCAGTTGACTGCGAGTATTTGGCTTTATTTCTGGGTTCTCTATTCTGTTCCATTGGTCTATGTGCCTATTTGTATACCAGTACCACGCTTTTTTGGTAACTATTGCCTTGTAGTGTAATTTGAAGTGGGGTAATGTGATGCCTCCAAATGTGTTTTGTTGTTGTTTTGTTTTTTGCTTAATATTGCTGTGGCTATGTGGACTTTTTTTGTTCCATATGAATTTTAGGATTTTTTTTCATAATTCTGTGAAGAATGATGATGGTATTTTGAATTGCATGGAACCTGCAGATTCCTTTGGGCAGTATGCAGTTGTCGCAATATTGATTCTATCCATCCATGAACATGGCATGTGTTTCCATTTGTTTGTGTCATCTATGATTTCTTTCAGCAGTGTTTTGTAGTGTTCCTTGTATAGATCTTTCACCTCCTTGGTTAAGTAGACTTCTTCTAAGTATTTTATTTTTTTGCAGCTGTTGTAAAGGAATTGAGTTATAATTTGATGCTCAGCTTAGCCATTGTTGTTGTATAGCAGTGCTACTGATTTGTGTACATTGATTTTGTATCCTGAGACTTTACTGAATTCATTTATTGGATCTGGGAGCTTCTTGGATGAGTCTTTAGGGTTTTCTAGATATACGATCATATCATCAGCATTTAGGTTTTTCTAGATATACGATCATATCATCAGCAAACAGTGACAGTTTGACTTCTTCTTTACCGATTTGAATGCCCTTTATTTCTTTCTCTTGTCTGATTGCTCTGGCCAGGACTTCCAGTACTATGTTGAATGGAAGTGGTGAAAGTGGGCATCCTCATCTTTTTCCAGTTCTCGAGGGAATGCTTTCAACTTATCCCCATTCAGTATGGTGTTGGTGGTGGGTTTGTCATATATGGCTTTTATTACTTTGAGGTATGTCCCTTATATGCCTATTTTGTTAAAGGCTTTTATTATAAAGCGATGCTGGATTTTATCAAATGCTATTTCTGCATCTATTGAGATGATCATATGGTTTTTGTTTTTAATTATGTTTATGTGTTGTATCATATTCATTGACCTGTGTATGTTAAAGCATCCCTGCATCCCTGGTATAAAATCCACTTGATCATGACATATTCTTTTTGATGTGCTATGGATTCAGTTAGCTAGTATCTTGCTCAAGGTTTTTGCATCTATGTTCATCAGGAATATTGGTCTGTAGTTTTCTTTTTTTGTTATGTTCTTTCCTGGCTTTGCTATTAGGGTGATACTGGATTCATAGAATGATTTAGGGGAGGTGTGATGGTTAATACTGAGTGTCAACTTGATTTGACTGAAGGGTGCAAAGTATTGTTCCTGAGTGTGTCTGTGAGGGTGTTGCCAAAGGAGATGAATATTTGAGTCAGGTGACTGGGAAAGACAGACTCACCCTTAATCTGGGTGGGCACAATCTAATTAGCTGCCAGCACAGCCAGAATAAAAAGCAGGCAAAAGAACATGAAAAGACTAGACTGGCTTAGCCTCCCAGCCTACATCTTTCTCCCATACTGGATGCTTCCTCCCCTTGAACATCGGACTTCAAGTTCTTCAGGTTTGGGACTGTGGAATGGCTTGCTTGCTCCTCGGCTTGCTGATGGCCTGTTGTGGGACCTTGTGATCATGTGAGTTAATACATCTTAATAAACTCCCATATATATCCGTTAGTTTTGTTCCTCTAGAGAACCCTGACTAATACAGGTTTTGGTACCAGGAGTGGTTCTAGAGGAACAGAATATTAAGGATGGAGTTCTTTCGTTGGTTTGGGGGTTTCTGGAGTTGGCTGCTTAATAAGATTAGACCCAAAAATGCTAAGGACTCTACTTCTAATAGTATGGAGGACATACTACACATACTACATACTACGCATAAACACAGAGTTTAGAGTTTATGCAAAATAAACTGTGTTTAGAGTTATGCAAAATAAATGCATTTGACACTCCTGATTCACAGCTGGTGACAGGCAAGGAGTTTAATGACTCTATACATAATACTTTTGACTCTATGTAGAGAACCAAGGAACATAATGAAGTTGGCTGGTTATTCCTAAGTTCACTAGACAAAATGATGAAAGAAAATGATGAACACAGGGATTGTAACTCCCAGTTTCAGAAGCAGATACTGAGCCTCAAATCTGCTAAGGTGGCCCTGAGCAAGAGTCTTATCTCCTGTATAGAAAGCAGAAATTGTGGAAAATCAGACACAAGCTCTTATCACATGAGTGGCTGACCGCTGACCTACAATGAAAGTTGCATGCACAGCCTTGCCCAGGTATCAACCGTTAAAGTGAGGGCATTGATTGGAAAGGAATGGGACCCTGCAACTGGGAATAGGGATGTGTGGGAGGACCTTGAAGAAGCTGGGGGCACTGAGCTTGTAAACTCTGATGAACCTTTTTTGCCAGAAGAAACAGCTTCCCCATCCCCAATTGTGGCAACATCCGCTCCCCGACCCATGCTGCTATCAGCCTTTCCACCTTTGTCTAAGGCGATAAACGCTGTGCTGCCTGAGGCAACAGTGTTGCCCTCCCCTGAGGCAGTTGCGAGGCAAGATAATGTTGATTCTCCTCAGGGGCCATCCCCAACACCTTTGTTTGCTTCTAGACCTATAACTAGACTAAAGTCCTAGCAGGCCCTCAGAGGTGAGGTTCAGAGTGTGACTCATGAGGAGGTGCGCTACACTCAAAAAGAACTGCTTAAGTGTTCTAATTTATTTAAGGAGAAATCTGGAGAACAGGCATGGGAATGGATATTAAGGGTATAAAATAATGGTGGAATGAACATAGAGTTGGATCAGGCTGAATTTATTGATCTGGGCCCACTAAATATTGATTCTGCATTTAATATTGCAGTTCAAGGAGTTAAAAATTTTTCTAATAATTTATTGGCTTGGTTAGCTGAAATATGGATTAAAAGATGGAACTTCCTGTCGAGATATTCCTTTTAAGGTAAAGGATAAGTTGCAGCATTTGGCTCCTCCTACAACCAAGAAAGAAGCACAAGGCCTAGTGGGCCTATTTGGATTTTGGAGGCAACACATTCCTCATTTGAATGTGTTACCCTAGCCTATTAATCAAGTGACCCTAAAGGCTGCCAGTTTTTAGTAGGGTCCAGAACAGGAGTAGACTCTGCAACAGGTCTAGGCTGCTGTGCAAGCTGCTCTGCCACTTGGGCCATATGATCCAGCAGATCCAATGGTACTTAAGGTGTCAGTGGCAGATAGGGATGCTGGTTGGAGCCTGTGGCAGCCCCCCACACGTAAATCACAGCAGAGTCCTCTAGGATTTTGGAGCAACTATCTGCCATCTTCTGCAGATAACTACTCTCCTTTTGAGAGACAGCTCCTGGCCTGTTACTGGGCTTTGGTGGAAACTGAATGTTTGAATATGGGTCATCAAGTCACCAGGCAACCTGAACTGCCTATCATGAACTGGGTGCTTTCTGACTCATCTAGCCATAAAGTGGATCATGCACAGCAGCATTCCATCGTGAAAAGGAAGTGGTACATATGTGATCAGGTTCGAGCAGGTCCTGAAGGCACAAGTAAATTACATGAGGAAGTGGCTCAAATGCCCATGGTCTCTACTCCTGCCACCCTGCCTTCTCTCCCCTAGCCTGCACCAATGGCTTCATGGAGAGTTCCCTATGATGAATTGACAGAGGAATAGAAGACTGGGGCCTGGTTCACAGATGGTTCTGCATGGTATGCAGGCACCACCTAGAAGTGGACAGCTGCATCACTACAGCCCCTTTCCAGGACATCCCTGAAGGACAGTGGGGAAGGGAAATTTTCCCAGTGGGCAGAACTTTGAGCAGTGGACCTGGTTGTGTACTTTGCCTGGAAAGAGGAAATGGACAGATGTGCAATTATATACTGATTCATGGGCTGTAGCCAATGGTTTGGCTGGATGGTCAGGGACTTGGAAAAAGCATGATTGGAAAATTGGTGAAAAAGCTGGGGAAGAGGTATGTGGATAGACCTCTCTGAGTCGTCAAAATCTGTGAAGATATTTGTATCCTGTGTGAGTGCTCAGCAACAGGTGACCTCAGCAGAGGAGGATTTTAATAATCAAGTGAATAGGATGACCCATTCTGTGGGCACCACTCAGCCTCTTTACCCAGCCAACCCTGTCATTGCCCAATGGGCCCATGACCAAAGTGGCCATGGTGGAGGGATGGAGGTTATACATGGGCTCAGCAACATGGGCTTCCACTCACCAAGGCTGACCTGGCTATGGCCATTGCTGAGTGCCCAGTTTGCCAGCAGTAGAGACCAACACTGAGCCCTTGATATGGCACCATTCCTCAGGGTGATCAGCCAGCTACGTGGTGGCAGGTGGATTATATTGGACCTCTTCCATCATGGAAGGGGCAGAGGTTTGTCCTCACCGGAATGGACACTTATTCTGGATATGAGTTTGCCTATTCTGCACGCAGTGCTTCTGCCAAGACTACCATCCGTGGACTCACAGAATGCCTTATCCCCCATCATGGTATTCCACACAGCATTGCCTCTGACCAAGGCACACACTTTATGGCTAAAGAAGTGTGGCAGTGGGCTCATGCTCATGGAATTCACTGATCTTACCATGTTCTCCATCATCCTAAAGCAGCTGGATTGGTAGAATGGTGAAATGGCCTTTTGAAGTCACAACTACAATGCCAACTAGGTGACAATACTTTGCAGGGCTGGGGCAACATTCTCCAGAAGGCTGAGCATGCTCCAAATTGCATCCAGTATATGGAACTGTTTCTCCCATAGCCAGGATTCATGGGTCCAGGAATCAAGGTGTGGAAGTGGAAGTGGCAACACTCACCATCACCCCTAGTGACCGACTAGCAAAATTTTTGCCTCCTGTTCCTGTGACACTATGTTCTGCTGGCCTAGAGGTCTTAGTTCCAGAGGGAGGAACACTGCCACCAGGGGACACAACGTTTCCATTAAACTGTAAATTAAGGTTGCCACCTGGACACTTTGGGTGGGCTCTTCCTACCTTTAAGCCAACACACTAAGAAGGTGTTACAGTGTTGGCTGGGGTGATTGACCCAGACTATCGAGATAAAATCAGTCTACTACTCCACAACAGAGCTAAAGAAGAATATACATGGAATACAGGAGATCCATTAGGGCATCTCTTAGCATTACCATGCCCTGTGATTAAGGTCAATGGGAAATTAAAAAGCCCAATCCAGGCAGGACTACGAATGGCACAGACCTTTCAGGAATAAAGGTTTGGGTCACTCCACCAGGAAAAAAAACATGACCTGCTGAGGTGCTTGCTGAAGGCAAAGGGAATACAGAATGGGTAGCAGAAGAAGGTACTCATTAATGCCAGCTATGACCATGTGACCAGTTGCAGAAACGAGGACTATAATTGTCATGAGTATTTCCTACTTCTTTTTTTAAAAACTATGTTTGTGCACATATACACTTGTACTAAGAAAATATCTTCATTTTATTTTCTTTTTTCCTTTATCATATGACAGAAGATTTATTGACTTCATGTCAGCATTTAAGTGTTAACTTTATGTAATAACATTTAGGTTGGGGATTGGTGTATTTCCAGTTGTATGAAGGATAGTTGTATTGTGTTTGGCATAATTATGACCTTATCATTGTCTTTATTCTAATATTATGTATGATCTCAGGAGATGTGTATGGGTTCAAGTTGACAAGGGGTGGACTTGTGGTGGTTAATACTGAGTGTCAACTTGATTGGATTGAAGGATGCAAAGTATTGATCCTGGGTGTTTCTCTGAGGGTGCTGCCGAAGGAGATTAACATTTGAGTCAGTTGACTGGGAAAAGCAGACTCACTCAATCTGGGTGGACACAATCTAATCATCTGTCAGCAAGGCCAGAATAAAAAGCAGGCAGAAGCATGTGAAAAGACTAGGCTGGCTTAACCTCCCAGGCTACATCTTTCTCCCATGCTGGATGCTTCCTGCCCTTGAACATCAAACTTCAAGTTCTTCTGCTTTGTCCTCCTTGCTCCTCAGCTTGCAGATGGCCTATTGTGGGACCTTGTGATTATGTGAGTTAATATTCCTTAATAAACTCATATATATACACACACATATCATATTAGTTCTGTCCCTCTAAAGAACCCTAATACAGGAGGATTCCCTCTTTCTCTATCATTGGAATAGTTTCAGCAAAATTGGTATCAATTCTTCTTTGAATGTCTGATAGAATTCAGATGTGAATCCATATGGTCCTAGACTTTTTTTGGTTGGCAGTTTTATAAGTTACTGATTCAATCTCATTGCTTGTCATTAGACTATCTGAGGTTTCTATTTCTTCCTGATTTAATCTAGGAGGGTTGTATATTTCCAGAAATATATCCATCTTCTCTAAATTTTCTAGTCTGTGCATGTAAAGGTGTTCATAGTAGCCTTGAATAGTCCTTTGTATTTCTGTGATATCTGTTTTAATATCTCCAGTTTTATTTCTAATTGAGCTTATTTGGATCTTCTCTCTTCTTTTCTTGGTTAATCTCACTAATGTTCTGTCAATTTTGTTTATCTTTTCAAAGAACCAGCTTTTTGTTTCATTCATCGTTTGTATTTTTTGTTTGTTTTAATTTCATTTAGTTCTGCTCTGATCTTTGCTATTTCTCTTCTTCTGCTGGGTTTGGGTTTAGTTCTTCTCTATTCCTTGAGGTATGACATTAGGTTGTCTATTCACACTCTTCCAGACTTTTTGATGTAGGCATTAAATATGAACTTTTCTCTTGGCACCACTTTTGCTTTTCCCAGAGGTTTAGATAAGTTGTGTCACTATTATCATTGATTTAAAATTTTTTAAAATTTCCATCTTGATTTCATTGTTAATCCAAAATCATTCAAGAGCAGATAATTTAATTTCTGTTACAGTAGGTAGTTAGGCATAAGCAGGACAGAAGAGGGCTCCCCCCACCCACCAGGTATGTCAGGCAATTATCAGGTCATGGTCATGCAGTTGTCACACTGCCTGTCTAAAATAATATTTGGTCACAGCAATGCTAGGGAGAGGCCATTTTCCAGTACATCAGAAGCATCTGAAATTGGTAATTAACAGCTTTCAGGAATTGGGTGGGTAGGCTCAAGCACGTGCATTAAGAGGCAAAACAGCAGAGTATGACCTTCTTCTGGGGGCATTCCACCATAAAAGGGAAGAAAGCCTCAGGTGAGCATGTGTACAACTCCAGTAAACCCACTGTGCATGCTCACCTCCCAAGTACTAGCAGGCCATCATGCATGCAGGCAGCTCACCCTAAGGGAGGAATCAAGGGAAAAGGGGTGCAAAACACCAGATGGCAGTAGCATATAAAATCCTAGGTTCAAGGTCACACTGGGCACTTGACCTCCAAGATGCCCACTTGGGCCTCTTCCAAGTGTACTTTTGTTTCCTTCCTTTTGTTCCTGCTCTAAAGCTTTTTAATAAACTTCACTCCTGCTCTGAAACTTGCCTTGGTCTCTTTTTCTGCCTTATGCCCCTCAGTCAAATTGTTTCTTCTGAGGAACAAGAATTGAGGTTGCTGCAGTTCCAAAGGAATTCACCACCAGTAACATATTTTGGTGCCGGGTGACATGGATAACTTCCACCACTTTCCTAGTGGTAAGAGATCTCTACACCTCACCTTCTTCAGCTAGAGGCATTCAGCCCCTGTATGCAGTTTTCTTCTCCCCTTTCTCTCTCCTCTTTACTAACCAACCTCCAGAACAATTCTTCTTGACCGTAAGTGACTCTGCCCACCTCCTGGTGGGTTTCTCAGCTCGTTCTGATGGGTGGCTCACAGGGGTGGGAAGGAAATTAGGTTCTGCACCAAATAGATCTAAGGTACTAAAATGACCCTCCTGGACAGGAGGCTCAAGTGGTAGGACTAAGGCCTAAAACCATGCAATGTTTTGGGTTTCCTCTGCTTTTTCAACTAAAATCAGCTCTTTCCCAAAGACCTGCACCTCCCATTCTCCTCTTTTCAATGTGTGTATTCCGAGATGGCCTTGCGTACCTGCCAGATCAT
This sequence comes from Homo sapiens, assembly GCF_000001405.40. NCBI lineage: Eukaryota > Metazoa > Chordata > Mammalia > Primates > Hominidae > Homo > Homo sapiens. The sequence goes on along the minus strand of NC_000002.12, from coordinate 75,390,427 downwards.
CCATTTCCAGGGGCAAGTCTCTGTCTTTGCTTTCACTTTGCATGCCATGTGACTTCTTAAACAAATACTCCTTGTTATTCTTGTGCCCACGGCTCTCTGCATATATGCAGCAGCAGAGACATGGGCTCTCTTGTAGATATCCCCTGAAATTGATACTTGTTTTTACCCTAGCAGCTCAAATAACCTCCAGCCCTTCTCCTGCCCATTGGCATATGGCTGGGACAGATACTAATTGGAACTCTGCCTTTGCCAGTTCCTTATGACTTAGTATATGCTTTTTGTTCCTGTTATGCCCCAGGACTGAGTTTTTTGGTGGCTTTCAAAGCAGATTGTCAGCGTGCATACTGGACTTAAATCCTTAAAGGACTCTGGTCCTATAAGGAGTCCACCTATTTTCTTTTCTTCTTTTTTTTTTTTTTTTTTTTTTTGAGACCGAGTCTCACTCTGTCACCTAGGCTGGAGTGCAGTGGTGCAATCTCAGCTCACTGCAAATTCCGCCTCCTGGGTTGATGCCATTCTCCTGCCTCAGCCTCCTGAGTAGCTGGGAATACAGGTGCATGCCACCATGCCAGGCTAATTTTTTTTGTATTTTTAGTAGAGAAGGGGTTTTACTGTGTTAGCCAGGATGGTCTTGATCTCCTGACCTCATGATCCGCCCACCTCAGCCTCCCAAAGTGCTGGGATTATAGGCGTGAGCCACTGTGCCTGGCCTTTTTTTTTTTTTTTTTTCAAGTAAGCACCCCTTTGGGAAGAGGGGAAATTCTTCCTTTGCCATTTTCGAGTTCTTTTCCCACACCTCAAGTCCTCCAGACATTACTACTTTATGTCCAGAGGGCAAATAAATGTTTCCCTCTTGAATCCAAGGGCTGCTGTTTTCACGAGCATGTGAACACTTCCCATGAGTATTGCTCTTACTTTCTCTCACTTCCTCCTGTAGACTCCACTTCTCTTAATCTCTTACACACCCTTATCATGCATCACAACCTTCAAGGTCATATCCCAAGGGAGTGGAGAGGGAAGTACAGCCTCCTTTTGGCAGTTAGCTTTAAAAAACTGGCTTCTCATCTACTTACAAGAACATAGGAAATGGAAATCTAAGAAAAGAGATAATCATCTTATTACCAAAATGCTGTGAGTGAGAGTCACTATAAGGCCAAGGAGATAAGGCTCTAGTCAGGCCCAAGGCTGCACATGCAAGAGACTCACAGAACAGAAATGAAGGGTGGTCTCAGCCTAATGGATTACCATTGGAACACAGATGAAAGATTAGGCGGGGTAACCAGTAAGACCAGTTATTTAGGAACCTCAAGGATGAAGAGGGAACCAAATCTTCACTCCAGATCTCCTCTGTTGTCAAGTAATTGTGATGAGATGGGACCAAGGGTACACAGTAAAGCCGGTTCATTCCAGAACTCAAGGACGATGGGAGATGCCCCATTCAGGATAATAAAAAAAAAAAAAAGGGAGGGACACCTTCTTTTTTCTTTTTCCTTTTCTTCTTCCTCTGTTTTTTTCTTCACAGATTGGTAATTGTATCTCCATCCCACAAAACATGCTGCTCAAATCCATCCCCCAAAACTGCAGTTTAATTCCCCCAAACCTTAAAACAAAAAAACTAGATTTCCTTTGTAATATTGCTTGGCTTAAAAATGAACTGGGAGGAAATTACAAAAGCCAGCCTTGGAACCCAGTGTCTTTGTGCAGGAGGTCCTCAGATTAGCCTCCTCAGTCTTTTATAACTGAGAGCAGAATAAGGAGGTCAAGGCTAAGCCTGTTGGGTAATTGGGGAAAATGACATCCTCTCCCTCCAAAACAAAAGATTCACACCTCTTTATTTTGCTTAAGGGACTAATTATCATTCTCCCACCAGTCCCTGGTAATGTCTAAATGCCCCACACCTCTTTGGGGCAAGACTGTGTGTTCCAAGATCAGTGCTCACTTAATATTTACCTGACCTCTGAATTCATCTTTCTAATAGCCCTATTTCTACAAGGAAAGCTACCTAAATTCTTAGCCAATAACTCCAATACTACCTGGACAATACTACCTCAGGGGTTTAGAAGTAGCCCAAACTTATTTGGGCAAGCCCTAGCAAAAATCTAACTGAGCAATCCTCTTGAAGGGGGATAACTTCTACAGTATGTAGATAACCTCCTTATCTGCTCCCCCTTCACAGGACATGCACAGAAACATGCAGTTAAATCCTTAACTCTTTAATAGAAGGAAGATGACTTTCATCTAATTCAAAGCTTATAAAAGTAAAGAGGAATTTTTGGTAAAGAAGGTTATAAAGAAAAGAGATTCCACTTGAAAACCAGCACAAGAAGAGGATGCCCTCTCTCACCACTCCTATTCAACATAGTACTGGAAGTACCAGCCAGGGAAATCAGGCAAGAGAAAGAAATAAAGGGTATTCGAATAGGAAGAGAGGAAGTCAAGTTGTCTCTATTTGCAGATGACATGACTGTATATTTAGAAAATCCCATTGTCTCAACCCAAAAACTCCTTAAGCTGATAAGCAACTTCAGCAAAGTCTCAGGTTGCAAAATTGAAATGCAAAAATCACAAGCATTCCTATACACCAGCAATAGACAAGCAAAGACCCAAATCATGAGTCCCATCAAACTGCCATTGATATTCTTCAAATAATTTTTAAAAACTACTTTAAATTTCATATGGAACCAAAACAGAGCCCATATGCCCAAGACAATCATAAGCAAAAATAACAAAGCTGGAGGCATCACTCTTCCTGACGTCACACTATGCTACAAGGCTACAGTAACAACAACAGCATGGTACTGGTACCAAAACAGAAATATAGACCAATGGAACAGAAAAGAGGCCTTAGAAATAACATGGCACATCTACAGCCATCTGATCTTCAACAAACCTGGCAAAAACAAGAAATGGGGAAAGGATTCCCTATTTAATAAATGATGTTGGGAAAACTGGCTAGCCATATGCAGAAAACTGAAACTGGATCCCTTCCTTACACACTATACAAAAATTAACTCAAAATGTATTAAAGACTTAAATGTAAAACCTAAAACCATAAAAACCCTAGAAGAAAATCTAGGCATTACCATTCAGGACATAGGTACAGGCAAAGATTTCATGACAAAAACACCAAAAGCAATTGCAACAAAAGCTACGATTGACAAATGGGATCTAATTAAACTAAAGAGCTTCTGCACAGCAAAAGAAACTATCATCAGAGTGAACAGGCAACCTACAGAATGGGGGAAAGTTTTGCAATCTATCCATCTGACAAAGCTCTAATATCCAGAATCTACAAGGAACTTAAACAAATTTACAAAAAAAAAAAAAAACCCCCACTAAAAAGTGACCAAAGGATATGAACAGACACTTCTCAAAAGAAGACATTTAGGCAGCCAACAAACAGATAAAAAAAATCTCAACATCACTGATCGTTAGAGAAATGCAAATCAAAACCACAATGAGATACCATCTCACGCCAGTCAGAATGGTGATTATTAAAAAGTTAAGAAACAATAGATGCTGGTGAGTCTGGAGAAACAGGAATGCTTTTACATTGTTGGTGGGAATGTAAATTAGTTCAACCATTGTGGAAGACAGTGTGGTGCTTCCTCAAGGATCTAGAACCAGAAATATCATTTGATCCCGCAACCCTATTATTAGTTATACACCCAAAGGAATATAAATCATTGTACTATAAAGACACATGCACATGTATGTTTATTGCAGCACTATTTACAATAGCAAAGATGTGAAACCAACCCAAATGACCATCCATGACAGACTGGATAAAGAAAATATGGTATATATACACCATGGAATACTATGCAGCTGTAAAACGAATGAGATCCTGTCCTTTGCAGGGACATAGATGAAGCTGGAAGCCATCATCTTCAGCAAACTAACACAGGAACAGAAAACCAAATACTGCATTTTCTCACTCATAAGTAGGAGCTGAACAATGAGAACACATGGACACAGGGAGAACAACACACACCGTGGCCTGTCAGGGGATAGGGTCAAGGGGAGGGAGAGCATTATTAAGACAAATACCTAATGCATGTGGGGCTTAAAACCCAGATGATGGGTTGATAGATGCAGCAAACCATCATGACACATGCATACCTATGTAACAAACCTGCACATGTATCCCAGAACTTAAAGTAAAGTAAAATAAAAATTAAAAATTAAAAAAAAAATAAAAAATCTTGCATGGTAAATTCTTGTCCTAAAATAAAATGTCTGGTTGTTTAAAAAGAAGAATATTTAGAACAAGTCAGAACATTCAAGCATGTCATAGAGGGTCTGTGTAATTTTTGAGACAAGACCCATGAAGAGAATTTATGAAAAAAAAGTTGTACCATTTAAAAGCTATTAGGTCTACTAAATGCTTTATAAAATGCCACTATGACTCTTATCTGTACAAGTTGCCTGCTCTACAGCTAGTTAAGTCCTTGGGACATAGAGTTATCCATGCCCTAGCCATGCTGGAAAGAGTCAGACTTTATCTGCACTTCTGTCTGGTGTCCTGGGCTCCACGTCTAGTACATAAGTAAAATCATGTACTTACCAGGTTTTTCACCAAAAGTCAAAGTTGCTAAGAGTTAACAGTGTAACATGTATTTAAGACTACTGGAAAGACAATTTTACATCTTTTTCCCAATGCGTATTATGTTACCTGTGGGCTTGTAATATATGGCCTTTATTGCATGGAAGTACATTCTTTCTATTCCTAGTTTGTTGAGAATTTGTATTGTAAAAGGATGTTGAATTTTGTCAAATGCTTTTTCTGTATCAATTGAGCTGATCATATGGCTTTTGTCATTCATCTTCTTAATGTGGTGTATCATATTTATTAACTTGCTATGTTGAACCATCCTTGAATCCCAGGTATAAATCCCATTTAATCATGGTGCATAATCTTAATGTGCTATTGAATTCAGTTTGCTACTATTTGAGCTGTGAGAGTGGGAGATGGAGCAGTCCTGGTTCAAATACCAAAGACTTTCGCTGTTATTATTAAATTTTAGTAAATTTTTTGGAATATATATTTCTTCATTTGTTCTATAATATAGGTCCATTTCCAGAGACTTTAAATGGCTGTTTTAAAACAGTCATATTCACCAGTTTTGCTAGTTTGTTAGTTTGCAGAGCTCCTGAGGCTGTGCTGCAGAACACAAAGAAGTTTAAACTTAAGGGGACTCTCAAAAACAGTGGAGATTGTAGTGAACAAAATCGGAAGAATATTGGGGTAAGAAATCGGTAGAATATTATCAGATATAGGCTAAATTGCAGGCAAGAAAATTTATAGGACAGAATCAGAAAAAAGAGACAGCTGGGAGAAACTTTTCTGGGCTTAGAACATATCTCAAATATTGACCTCAGAAACTATCCCTTCAAAGGAACTTGAGTTTGATTGGATTATTCTATAGAGCAATTTATGCACCAGGACATTGTTGAAAGCAATAGAGCCATCAGCCAGTTAGTTGTAGAGTTATAGCTGGGTATGGTCAGGAAAAAAGATGGTCAAAGAGAGCCCTGCTAAATCCCATTGTCATCCCAAGATGACTAGGCTACCCAAGGCTTTGTCTCCCAGGGAGTAAATTCAGCAGTTTAGCATTGAAGAAGGGAAACAGATCTCACTAAATAATCCAGCCAGTCATCAAACAAATAAGCAAAGAACTTTAACCGGTGCTAGAAAGGAGTAACAAGCACCCAGAGTTGCTACAAGATATTATCTAAAATGTCCACTTTCCAAAAAGAAAATTTTAAAGATATGAAAAGAAACAGGAAAGTATGATCCACACATTAGGAAAAATATAGGCAACAGAAACTGCCTGGGAGAGAAGCAAATGTTAGATTTAAGAGACAAAAACTTCCAAGTAGCCATCATATATATGATCAAAGAACTAAAGAAAACCATAATTAAGGAAGTAAAGGAAGATCTGATGATAATGTTGAATCAAGTAGAGAAAATTAATGAAGAGATAGAAATTATTTTTCGAAAACCATCAAATGGAAATTCTGTACCTAAAGCATACAATACCTAAAGTTAAAATTCAGTAGTAGGAAGTTTGGCAACTCATTGTATAATATCAGTATAACTCTAATACTCTGACCAAACCAAGGCTTCAAGAGAAATCTACAAACCAATACCTGTTATTTATATGGACCCCCCTAATCCTCAGCAAAATTCTAGCAAATCTAATGCAGCAAATACAAAAATAATTATTTAACATAATGGGGTAGAATTTATCCAGGTATGCAAGCTTAGTTTAACATCTGAAAATCAATTAATGTAATGCACCATTAAGTGACCAATAGAGCACAAACAAAAACTACAATTTCAATAGATGCAGAAAAAACATTTGATGAAAGTCAGCATTCTTTCATGGTAAAAACACTCAAGAATAAGAGGGAACTTCCTCATCTTGATAAACAGGATCCCCAAAAAATCCATAGGTAAATCATGTTTAAGGGCGGAAGACTGAATTCTTTCTTCCTAAAAATCAGAAAATCTGTAGAGGCAGAAAGTAGATTAGTTAGCAGTAGATTTCTTAGGGCTGGGGGGCATGGAAGGCTAGGGAGGTTTCCTAAAGGGTACATGTTTTCTTTTTGAGGTGATAACAAATGTTATAAAATTGACTGTGGCAATGGTTGTACATATCTGGAATATACTAAAAACTATTGAATTGTTTACTTAAAATGGGAGAATTATATCATATGAGAATTACAGCTCAATAAAACTGTTACCAAAAAAGAAAGATAAAATCAGACCTACCTTTTATAGCAATGCATGTAAACAGAAACTCTCCATTACAGAAAAAGAGCTCTGAAAGTCACACTGCAAAATCTTGCTCTGTATAGAGAACTGTTTTATATAATGAACCTATCTAAGCAAAGCTGAAAGTTAAGGGATATTGAGGGTCTACCAGATAATTGCAAACAAAAAGAGAACATGTTCACAGTATTAATATTAGACAGTGTTAAATTTAGTGGAAAAGCAATAAATGAAACAAATAGAATCACCATATAATAATAAAAGGTAAAATCCACAATAAAGATCCAGTAGCTATGAATACCTATGTAAAAATAGTAATATCAAAATTCATAAATAAAAAATATTAAATATACATTAGAAGTAGGAGACTTTAATTTGCCATCTTCGGCCCCCCAAAAAAGAAATATACATATGGATATAGATGATCTGATTGAATTTTATACTTGGACACAGAATATTGCTATCTTCAATGTCAATAGAATACCCACAAATGGACCACAAAAAAGACATCTATAATTTCCAAAAAAGTCAAAATTCATTCCTTTTTAATGCAACATATTTCAATGCTAGATAATAATAGCAAAACAAGAAACAGAAGAAAACAACATTATGCTACTTGGAAACTTGAAAAAAGTCTCATAAGGAATTCTTGGGTCAAAGAGTAAGTCAAAATTGAAATGGATAAATAAATATAAATTAACAATAAAATACTACATATCAAAACCTATGGAATATAACTAAAGCTCTTCTCAGTAAATTTCATAACTTAAATACTCATATTACTAATCAAGAGAGTATAAAAATAAATGGCAAGTCATCCAAATCAAGAAGTCAGAAAGATAAAGCTAAAATAATTAATAACTATAATGCAGAGTTACAGATTTAATAAGGTTGATGAGGAAGAATAAGCAGGTATATTCATAAGAAATAAAATGGGACCAAGAGAAGTAGAGAAAAGAATTATGAGATTATTTAATGTAACATTAATTAGATGAACCTGAAATTCCTATAAAGTAGGTAATCTTTGAAAACAAACATAAAAATTGACCCTGAAAAAATTACAAAATTAAATAGACAAATTAATGCAGAGGACTCAGAGCTGCAATGGGATTCTTTTCTAGTATACTATTAGATAATAAAATCAAACCAAAAAAGGGCACAAAAATACAAATTATTAAAGAATTTTCCTGTAAAAATACAGAGGAAAATCTTGGCAAACGGAATCCTGCAGCACATTTAAAGCATGTTATGCTGTGGCTCAGTGGACCTCACGAAGAATTCAGGGATAGTTTACTTTGTGGCAATATAGGAACATATTAAATTAATAGATTTATAGGATAAAGATAAAATAATTAGCTTTGTAGATATTTGTCTTAGTTTAGGCTGCTGTAAACATACTATAAACTGGGTGGCTTTTAAGCAATAGAAATTTACTTTCTCACAGTTCTGGAGGCTGGAAGTCAAAGATAAAAATGCTACCATAGTCAGTTTCTGGGTTCTTATCCTGGCTTGTAGATGGCTACCTTCTCACTGTGTCATCACATGGGGGAGAGGAAGCAAGTGAGTTCTCTGTTGTTTCTTTTTATAAAACCGTAGTCCCATCATGAGGACCCCACCCTCATGTCCTCATCTAAACCTTATTACCACCCAAAGGCCCGTGAATTTCCAAATACTATCCAAATTTCCAAATACCATCACACTGTAAGTTAGTGCTTCAACAAATGAATTTTAGGGAGAAATAATTCAGTCCATAGCAATGTTCAAAATGTATTTCATAAATTTAGCATATACTTTTATTAAAGACAATTAAATGAATTTATCTCAAAAGTCAGCATCACATTTAATGAGGAAACTAAGATCATTCCAATTGTAGATAAGAATAGAAATTGAATTTTCAATATCACCACTATTCTTTTTTTAAACCAAGAAGAAAGAAAATTTACATACCTTGTATGAAATGCTTATATTTTAAGTTCACAATTTGATAAAGTTTGACAAATGTATACACCTGTGTAACTACAATGCCCCCAAAGTTTTGATTACCTCAAAAAGATTCTTTCTGCTTTTTTTAATTGGTCATAAATTCTACTTAATTTTATGATTGTTCCCTATTATTTCATATAGTTTTGGAGATTAACCCTAAACAATTAGAAAATAAATAATAAGTGTAAAATTTAGAAAGGAAGAGATAAAATAATCATTATTTATAGCTAATATAATTGTAAATCTGGAAATCAACTGAAAACCAATGAAGAATATTAAGATGGTTGGGTAAAAATATAATATACCCAAGTCAGTAGTGACACAGGAATTCTCTTGGTCACTTTATCAGCCGGGACCTCTAGCCAGTGACACACCCTCGCCCCCCACCCCCTTGCTCTGCCCCAGACGTGCCACTGGAGGCATCCCACCCACTCAGCCGCCTGAGCCGAGTCTGGCTTGCACGCCAGCTCATCCCGCAGCTGGGCCAAGTACACCCTAGTCCACTGTATTATAGCTTGTAAACACGTTGGAAGGTTCCCAAGCTCTTGTCCTGTACCCAAGAAAAGTGAAGATATGCTGACAGTTGAAGGGTGAGGATGGGCGGAGAAGAATTTTATTGAGCAATGGAACGCTCTCAGTGGGGAAGGACGAGGAGGGTTTATGGGGGGGATGGTCCCCACCTCCACATTGGGGTAGTTTTTTCCTTTTTCAGTGTTCTTGGGTCTGGGGCTTTTTATGGACTCAGAATTGGGAGTGCATGCTGATTGGTTTGTGAGTATGCAAAAAAGGTTAAAGACACCACTCAAAGGTGGGCATCACAGTGCAGAAAACCAATTAGGAAAGGGTAGGCATATGTAAAATAGGTGAAGGGTGGGGATGAATCAGAGGAAAGTGCACCAAACAGGAAAACAGGTTCTCAGTCTGGTCCAAGGATTTACCTTGTAGTTTGGCTTTCAGGCCAATTTTCCTTGCCACCAATCTCCAATCTTTTTCCTTTAATATCTCTGAAAAAATCTAGCTTTCAGGCTTTCAGGCTTTAAACTGTCTTCGGCTTGGAGGTGGAGCTTCACCAGGGACCCACCCCTTTCCGCCTAAGCGTTTGACTGCCTTCTTTCACCGTCAGTAGCTTTCCTATATTCAAATAACAACTAACTGAGAAACCTTGCAACATATATTTCTTAACCTTTTAGAGGATCTATAAAATGAGTGATTCTTAAGTTTCCCTAGTTCTACTTTGGATTTTAATTTTCTGTTCTGTACTATTTGCTTTCCAGCTTCCAAAATGTTGCATCTTGTCCATTCTTCCTATCCTTGTGAATTTATGCCCTTCTAAAATTGTTTACTCTAAGTTCATTTGTGATATAGGAGGAAATGTAAGTAGGTGTTTGTGTTCAATTTATCATCTTTACTTGGAAGTTTCCTAGGAAAGATTTCTAAGGGGATATGACTCTACTTATTTATCAATTATCATTTGAAAAAAATAAACTACCTCCCTAACTTAGGGGCTTACAACAACAACCATTTATTTAGCTCATGAGTCTGTAGGTCAGCAGTTTAGGCTAGGCTCAGGTGAGTGGTTTTTCTGGTTTTGATTGTGCTCCGTTATGTGGTTATCCTAGGATCACCTACATAAATCGGCTTCTGGGATTTGGCTGGCTGTTGGCTGAGGCATGCTTATACATGTAGCAGTAGCAGAGTTCCAGAAGAGTTCATGAAAGCACACAGACCTTCTAAGGCTTAGACTGGCAATGGACATATCACCACTTTCACTGCATTCTGTTGGCCAAAGCAACTGGTCATAGGCCCAGTTAGATTCAAAAGGTGGGGAAATCGACTCCGTCTCTTAATCAGAGGATTTGCAACATTATAGTCCTATTATAAGGGGTGTGGAGTCAGGGAAGGGTAAGTAATTGGAAACAATTTCGCAATTAGTCTATCATAGCAGGCATGCAATATCAGCCTCTTTCCATTTCCCTCCTCTGCCTGATTAGAATGAGGATGTGCCTGAAAGTGTAGCGATTATGTTATGACCATAAAGACAAAGCCCCATGATAAGAAGAATAGAGGAACACCGTGTTAGCCTGGAACTCTCTTTCTTTAGACTTTTTGTTGCATGAGATCAATACATCCCCATCTATTTAAGTCATTGTAGTAGATTTTACTGTTGTTTGCCATTACATGCAAGCAACAAATATTTCTTCAGTCCATGGGGCAAAATATATTTTCTTATTGTCCTCCTGCTTCTCTGACCATTTCTTCCTTGACTTTAAGAGCTCTAATATGTCTACCTTTTAAATGTGTTTTTCACAAGGGTTTTGTCCTCAGCCCACAGGGTTGTGTGTGTGTGTGTGTGTGTATGTGTCTGTGTATATATATATGTGTGTATATATATATATACACATATATATACATATATACATATATACATATACATATATACATATACATATATACATATACATATATACATATACATATATACATATATACATATACATATATATACACATACATATATACATATACATATACATATATACATATACATATATACATATACATATATACATATATATATACATATACATATATATACATATATATATATATATATAAAAAAAATCACCAGGATCACCTGGAATGGTTTCAATGCATGACGTGCATGGCCATATGTGGCAGCCATACTCCCTACATGCTTCCCTTTGTTATTTAATCTATTATGATGAGTTGAATTCCACCAAATAATTCACTATTCTTACATCAACAGGCAATTCTAGTTATCTATCCTGCATTCAGGTGCATCTCTCAAGATAATTGTTGGACATTTACACCTGGAAGTACCATATATATGCAGTCTCAACATATTTCAAAAGATCTTATCATCTTTTCTTCTAAATGGAGCCCTCCTCTGTTTCCCTAGTGGGCTATTGGTATTAATAATATCAACTGAATTAGAATACACCATTATTACCAATGGCCTACTGGGGAAACAGAATTTCTCTGACTCTCTCGCCTTCAAATACCTAGTCTTGTTAATTTTACCACTAAAAGGTCTCCTAAATTTGTCTCCTCAGTTCTGTCTAGATGAACATTACTCTGTTTAGACCCTTATCATTTCTCGTGTGAACTACCAAAAGAACTTGCTGCTTCCATTTATATCCCAGTCAAACCCATTCTCCACACAGCGGCCAGTGTGATCTGTTTAAAATGCAAATGAGACCATGTCATCCCCCTGCTGAAAACCATTTAATGGTATTCCATCATCTATATGATAAAGTTCAAGCTCCTTAATATAACACATAAGATCCTACATTATCTGTCTCCTGCAGACTCTTCCAGCTTAAACTTTAGTGACTCTCTGCTTTGAAATTCATGTTCTATCCACACCCAAATATTTGCCATTATTCTCATCTAACATCCTTTCCTGCCCTATGTCTCCTGTTTTCTTTGTAATGACTTTTTTAGACACAGCTCAGGCATTACCTTCTCTAGGACATTTCCCTAAGCCCTTCTTTATCAGGCAGCATTTTAGCTGCAATCAACAAAAATCAAATGCGGCTTACGTAAGAAAAAAACTTATTTAATTAATATTTGGTTTCTTATGGAGTTTCCAGGATTCTGAGAAAATCAGATTCAGGTCTATGCAGTCAGGACCAATAGGTAAAAAGCACGGAACTGGTCCATTAGGACAACATTGCTGCATAGTAAGGAACCAGAGGTTGGAGATGCCAGACTTTCTCACTACATTTTATATCACTTACCACTTCCCCCAATGGTATTAACCCAGTTACTGGATTTGCCTTCAAGCCCAGGACCTCTAGCTGTGTTTATAACTTCTCTAGGTTTGTAACAATCCCTACCTTAATATTTCATAAGCTATGGATCAGAGTGTTAAGCTAACCATTACTAACATACTCATAAAAATGCGAAATTATGGGGCAAAGGAAAAGGAAAAATTATTTTATTTTTGAGTTTTAAAATCAGCTGATGCGTAACTTACATGTAATCAATGAACACATTTTAAGGGAACACTTTAATGAGGTTTGACTAATAAGTACCTCAATCAGGAAACCGTAGAACATATCCATTATCCCAGGAATTTCCCCAAGACTCCTTTATTTATGTAACTCCCATGCCCTCCCTCAAGCAATCATTGATCTGATATTTATCTGATTAATCTTGCCTGTTCTAGAACTTCCCATAAATGGTATCAGTTATTGTATACTCTTTTCGTGCTTGACTTCTTTGAATCAGCAGGTTTTTTAGATTCATTCTTGCTTTTGTCTGTTTCACTAGTTCATACATATTGCTGGTTAGCATTCCTTTATAAGAATATGCCTCATTTGTTTATCCACTCAACTTGCTAATGAATATTTAGATTTTTTTACTATTATGAATAAAATTTCTTTTTAATTACCTAGGAGTAGAACGCTAGGTTATACAGTAAATGTATATTCAACTTTATAAGAAACTGTCAGACTATTTTTCAAGGCTGTTGGACTATATGGCACTCCTACCAACAATGTATGAGAGTTCCAGTTGCCCCAAATCCTCATAAACACTTGGTATTGGTAATTTGTTTTGAACTCTAACCATTTTAGCCAGCATACAGTAGTATCTCCGTATTTTAAGTTTATATTGCATAACTAAATATATAGAACATCTTTTCATCCATTTGTTTGTCATTTTTAAAATGTCTCCTTTTGTGAAACATCTTTTCATGTCTTTTGACCATTTAAAACATTTAATTTTATAGAATTTCTAAGAGTAAATACATATTTTTCGCAGCTGCTGCAGTGATAGGATTACTCACTCCCTTTTTTTTTTTTAACCTTTTTGCCTAATGACATGAAAAACTCAGAACAGTCTGAAGGAATATTGGTTTACTAGGTTAGGTTTCCTTCCTTGGGTAGTAAGACCTCTAGAGCCCAAAGTCATAGGGCGAGAAAAGAGAAAAGTTTTGTAAGCAGTTCGTTAGGTATAATAATGAGACATGCAGCTTCACTGCATTTCCTCTTCTTAGCTCCTGGAACCACATTTCCTGACTATAGGAGAACAAATACCATATAGAACAGCATATCATCCTCACTAAGTGTGGTCTTCCAATGACATTCCAAGTCTTCAATAGACTGTTCCATCATTTGCTAAAGCCAACTAATTTTAGGACATGAAATACATGGTATAACAGTGAATACATGGGCATCAGTTTCTTTCTTTCTCATTGTAAAATAAATTTTCTTGCTAGAAATCATGTTGTGTTGAGTCTCACATGGTGCATAAGATGATTAGTAAATTCACACATGGTGTTGCTAGCAGAATATTGGCAGGCAGAAAAAAGAAAAGCTTTGTAAGTGGCTCAACAATAAATGTTTATTCCAGAGGGGGATATCATTTTCCACCCCATGATGAAAAGAGTCCAATGCAATCAACTTACTGCCAGCTGGCTGGCTGATCCCCGAGCCATTGCAGTCTATTAAAGACTAAGCATTGGTCATTGCTGCTGGCACAGTAAGGACCCAGCTATGGCGATAGCTGGCTGGGTCAGTCTTAGTGAAGTGAAGTGCTTATGCTGAGCCCAGGCTTAACCCTCATGCCTGTCACCATGGGTGCTTTGTTATTGAGCATACTGAACAAGGACTTGGGGAAACTGGAGAAGGAGGCTGACTGGCATCTTCAAGTCAGTGATTTCATCCACTTGACTACTGACAATTTCCACCAAAGCTGGGACCTTTTGTTGTGTATTCAATGATGAACCCCATATGGGCCAATTTTGAAAGTTTTATTCATATAACTCATACCCAGTTTCCTTGCCACCAATCTCCAATCTTTTTCCTTTAATATCTCCGAAAAATCTAGCCAAGCCATTAGTCACTTCCCATGAATCACTATAGATGGATACTTCAGGCCATCTTTCTCTTCATGAATTAAATTCTACCTCCTGGGAGGACTATCCTGAGTGAATCTGTATTACAACAACATATCATCCAGAGCATTTGCAAATGAGGCTTAAGTTTTCTTCTTCTCTCTTAAGGAATTATAAGACGTTCTCTGGAAGACTCGATTTGGGTGAGGAAGAGATTGCAGTGTGGTAGCAGCAGGCACACTAGGGATGTAATTCATCTGCTTATGGAACCTAATTGGGCCTTCAGGATGTTCTTGATTCCCTCTCTGACTGTAACATTTCCACTAGTTTGTGGGGTATTGTTGGACATGAACAATCTTATAATTTGACGAATCACATAAAATCCTGCACATTATGGGCAGCTCAGATTGTTTGATGACCAAATGTTTCATACTTATGCATTCAGTCTCTACTAGGGCTCAGAAGCAATCACGGTAGCTATTTCTGGAAAGGAATATAGTTATATAGAGAGAAGGCATACCTTAATTCAAGAGGAAACTCTGCTTTGATTTTTCAATTCTGGCTTGCCACAGACTTTATTTAACACATGAATCTTCTGCAGAATATCTGCTAGGTCTTAAGCGCCAAATATCCACCTGGATCAGTTGGAGTCCCACTTCTTCCTCTGAGCCTGAGTCAAAGTTTTCAGGCTTTTGATTCCCTTGATAAGTAGGTTGGGACAGCACATACATCTATGTTGTTACTTTAAAAACTCAGAGACTTGGTTACTTCCAACATGGCCAAATAGGAACAGCTCTGGTCTGCTGCTCCCAGTGAGATTGACGCAGAAGACAGGTGATTTCTGTGTTTCCAACTGAGGTACCCGGTTCATCTCATTGGGACTGGTTGGACAGTGGATGCAGCCCACGGAGGGCAAGCTGAAGTAGGGCAGGGCATCACCTCACCCAGGAAGTGCAAGGGTTGGAGGATTTCCCTTTCTGAGCCAAGGGAAGTCGTGACAGACTGTATCTGGAGAAACAGTATACTCCTGACCAAATACTGTGCTATTCCCACAGTCTTAGCAACTGGCAGACCAGGAGACACCCTCCCTTGCCTGGCTCAGCAGGTCCCATGCCCATAGAGCCTTGCTCGCTGCTAGCGCAGCGGTCTGAGATCAACCTGTGATACTGCAGCTGGATGGGGGGAGGGGCATCTGCCATTGCTGAGGCTCCAGTAGCTCACAGTATAAACAAAGAGGCCTGGAAGCACAAACTGGGTGGAGCCAACCACAGCTCAGCAAGCCTTCCTGCCTCTATAGATTCCACCTCTGGGGGCAGGGCATAGTAGAACAAAAGGCAGCAGACAACTTCTGCAGACTTAAACATCCCTGTCTGACAGCTCTGAAGAGAGCAGTGGTTCTCTCAGCACAGCCTTCAAGCTCCAAGAACAGATAGACTGCCTCCTCAAGTGGGTCCCTGACCTCCGTGTAGCCTGACTGGGAAACACTTTCCCAGTAGGGGCCGACAGACACCTCAAACAGGCGGGTGCCCCTCTGGGATGAAGCTTCCAGAGGAAGGATCAGGCAGCAGTATTTGCTGTTCTGCAGCCTCCGCTGGTGATACCCAGGCAAACAGGGTCTGGAATGGACCTCCAGCAAACTCCAACAGACCTGCAGCTGAGGGGACTGACTGTTAGAAGGAAAACTAACAAACAGAAAGGAATAGCATCAACATCAACAAAAAGGGCATCCACACCAAAACCCCATCTGTAGGTCACCAACTTCAAAGACCAAAGGTAGATAAAAACACAAAGAAGGGGAGAAACCAGAGCAGAAAAGCTGAAAATTCCAAAATAACAGAGTGCCTCTTCTCCTCCAAAGGATCACAGCTCCTTGCCAGCAAAGGAACAAAACTGGATAGAGGATGAGTTTGACAAGTTGACAGAAGTAGGCCTCAGAAGGTCGGTAATAACAAACTTCTCCAAGCTAAAGGAACATGTTCTAACCCATCACAAGGAAGCTAAAAACCTAGGAAAAAAAGGTTAGACAAATGGCTAACTAGAACGAACAGTGTAGAGGAGACTTTAAATGACCTGATGGAGCTGAAAACCATGGCACGAGAACTTTGTGACACATGCACAAGATTCAACAGCCAATTCGATCAAGTAGAAGAAAGGATATCAATGATTGAAGATCAAATTAATGAAATAAAGTGAGAAGAGAAGATTAGAGAAAAAAGAGTGAAAAGAAACAAAGCCTCCAAGAAATATGGGACTATGTGAAAAGACCAAATATATGTATGATTGGTGTACTGGAAAGCAATGGGGAGAATGGAACCAAGTTAGAAAACACTCTTCAGGATATTGTCCAGGAGAATTTCCCTAACCTAGCAAGACAGGCCAACATTCAAATTCAGGAAATACAGAGAATGCCGCAAATATACTCCTTGAGAAGAGCAACCCCAAGACACATAATTGTCAGATTCACCAAAGTTGAAATGAAGGAAAAATGTTAAGGGCAGCCAGAGAGAAAGGTCAGGTTACCCACAAAGGGAAGCCCATCAGACTAACAGTGGATCTCTCTGCAGAAACCCTACAAGCCAGAAGAGAGTGGGGGCCAATATTCAACATTCTTAAAGAAAAGAATTTTCAACCCAGAATTTTATATCCAGCCAAACTAAGCTTCGTAAGTGAAGGAGAAATAAAATCCTTTACAGACAAGAAAATGCTGAGAGATTTTGTCACCACCAGGCCTGCCTTACAAGAGCTCCTGAAGGAAGCACTAAACATGGAAAGGAACAACCAATATCACCGACTGCAAAAGCGTGCCAAATGGTAAAGACCATGAGTGCTATGAAGAAACTGCATCAATTAATGGGCAAAATAACCAGCTAGCATCATAATGACAGGATCAAATTCAAACATAACAATATTAACCTTAAATGTAAATGGACAAAAAGCCCCAATTAAAAGACACAGACTGGCAAATTAGATAAAGAGTCAAGACCCATCAGTGTGCTGTATTCAGGAGACCCATCTCATGTGCAAAGATGCACATAGGCTCAAAATAAAGGGATGGAGGAAGATAAACCAAGCAAATAGAAAGAAAAAAAAATCAGGGGTTGCAATCCTAGTCTCTGATAAAACAGACTTTAAACCAACAAAGATCAAAAGAGACAAAGACGGCCACTACATAATGGTAAAGGGATCAATTCAACAAGAAAAGCGAACTATCCTAAATATATGTGCACCCAATACAGGAGCACCCAGATTCATAAAGCAAGTCCTTAGAGACCTACAAAGAGACTTAGACGCCCACAAAGTAATAATAGGAGACTTTAACACCCCACTGTCAATATTAGACAGATCAATGAGACAGAAGGTTAACAAGGATATCCAGGACTTGAACTCAGCTCTGGACCAAGCAGACCTAACAGACAATTACAGAACTCTCCACCCCGAATCAACAGAATATACATTCTTCTCAGCATCACATGGCACTTATTCTAAAATTGACCACATAATTGGCAGTAAAACACTCCTCAGCAAATGTGAAAGAACAGAAATCAAAACAACCTGTCTCTCAGACCACAGTGCAATCAAATTAGACCTCAGGAATAATAAACTCACTCAAAACCACACAACTACATGGAAACTGAACAACCTGCTCTTGAATGACTACTGCGTAAATAGCGAAATCAAGGCAGAAATAAACTTGTTCTTTGAAACCAATGAGAACAAAGATATAACATACCAGAATTTCTGGGACACATTTAAAGCAGTGTTTAGAGGGAAATTGATAGCACTAAATGCCCACAAGAGAGAGCAGGAAAGATCTAAAATTGACACCTTAACATCACAATTAAAAGAACTAGAGAAGCAAGAGCAAACAAATTCAAAAGCTAGCAGAAGACAAAAAATAACTAAGATCAGATCAGAACTGAAAGAGATAGAGACAGAAAAAACCCTTCAAAAAATCAATGAATGTAGGAGCTGTTTTTCTGAAAAGATCAACAAAAAAGACCACTAGCAAGACTAATAAAGAAGAAAAGAGAAAATAATCAAATAGATGTAATAAAAAATGATAAAGGGGATATCACCGCCGATCCCACAGAAATACAAACTATCATCAGAGAATACTATAAATAGCTCTATGCAAATAAACTAGAAAATCTAGAAGAAATAGATAAATTCCTCGACACATACACCCTCCCAAGACTAAACTAGGAAGAAGTTGAATCTCTGAATAGGCCAATAACAGGTTCTGAAATTGAGGTAGTAATTAATAGCCTACCAACCAAAAAAAGTCTAGGACCAGACAGATTCACGGCCGAATTCTACCAGAGGTACAAAGAGGAGCTGATACCATTCCTTCTAAAACTATTTCAATCAGTAGAAAAAGAGGGAATCCTCCCTAACTCATTTTATGAGGCTAGCATCATCCTGATACCAAAGCCTGGTAGAGAAACAACAAAAAAAAGAGAATTTTAGGCCAGTATCACTGATGAACATTGATGCAAAAATCCTCAATAAAATACTGGCAAACTGAATCCAGTAGCACATCAAAAAGCTTATCCACCACGATCAAGTTGGCTTCATCCCTGGGATGCAAGGCTGGTTCAACATATGCAAATCAATAAACGTAATCCATCATATAAACAGAACCAACGACAAAAACCACATGATTATCTCAATAGATGCAGAAAAGGCCTTTGACAAAATTCGACAGCCCTTCATGCTAAAAACACTCAATAAACTAGGTATTGATGGAACGTATCTCAAAATAATAAGAGCTATTTATGACAAACCCACAGCCAATATCATACTGAATGGGCAAAAGCTGGAAGCATTTCCTTTGAAAACTGGCACAAGACAAGGATGCCCTCTCTCACCACTCCTATTCAACATAGTGTTGGAAGTTCTGGCTAGGGCAATCAGGCAAGAGAAAGAAATAAAGGGTATTCAATTAGGAAAAGAGGAAGTTAAATTGTCTCTGTTTGCAGATGACATGATTGTATATTTAGAAAACCCCATCATCTCAGCCCAAAATCTCCTTAAGCTGATAAGCAACTTCTGCAAAGTCTCAGAATACAAAATCAATGTGCAAAAATCACAATCACTCCTACACACCAATAATAGACAAACAGAGAGCCAAATCATGAGTGAATTCCCATTCACAATTACTACAAAAAGAATAAAATACCTAGGAATCCAGCTTACAAGGGATGTGAACAACCTCTTAAAGGAGAACTAGAAAACACTTCTCAATGAAATAAAAGAGGAAACAAGCAAATGGAAGAACATTCCAAGCTCGTGGATAGGAAGAATCAATATTGTGAAAATGGCCATACTGCCCAAAGTAATTTGTAGACTCAATGCTATCCCATCAAACTACCACTGACTTTCTTCACAGAATTGGAAAAAACTACTTTAAAGTTCATATGGAACCAAAAAAGAGCCCACATTGCCAAGACAATCCTAAGCAAAAAGAGCAAAGCTGGGAGCATCGTGCTACCTGACTTCAAACTACACTACAAAGCTACAGTAACCAAAACAGCATGGTACTGGTACCAAAACAGAAATATAGACCAATGGAACAGAACAAAGACCTCAGAAATAACACCACACATCTACAACCATCTGATCTTCAACAAACCTGACAAAAACAAGCAATAGGGAAAGGATTCTCTATTTAATAAATGGTGTTGGGAAAACTGGCTAGCCATATGTAGAAAGCTGAAACTGGATCCCTTTTTTATACTTTATATGAAAGTTAACAAGATGGATTAAAGGCTTAAATGTAAGACCTAACACCATAAAAACCCTAGAAGAAAACCTAGGCAATACCATTCGGGACATAAGCATGGCCAAAGACTTCATGACTAAAACACCAAAATCAATGGCGACAAAAGCCAAAATAGACAAATGGATCTAATTAAACTAAAGAGCTTCTGCACAGCAAAAGAAACCATCATCAGAGTGAAGAGGCAACCTACAGGATGGGAGAACATTTTTGCAATCTATCCATGTGACAAAGGGCTAATACCCAAAATCTTCAAAGAACTTAAACAAATTTACAAGAAAAAAACAAACAACCCCATCAAAAAGTGGGCAAAGGATATAACAGACAGTTGTCAAAAGAAGACATTTATGCAGCTAACAGACATATGCAAAAATGCACATCATCACTGGTCATCAGAGAAATGCAAATCAAAACCTCAGTGAGATACCATCTCATGCCAGTTAGAATGGTGATCATTAAAAAATCAGGAAACAACAGATGCTGGAGAGGATGTGGAGAAATAGGAAAGCTTTTACACTGTTGGTGGGAGGGTAAATTAGTTAACCATTGTGCAAGACAGTGTGGAGTTTCCTCAAGGATCTAGAATTAGAAATACCAGTTGTCCCAGCAATCCTATTACTGGGCATATACTCAAAGGAATATAAATCATTCTATGATAAAGACACATGCACACATATATTTATTGTGGCACTATTCACAATAACAAAGACTTGGAACCAATCCAAATGTTCATCAATGATAGACTGGATTAAGAAAATGTGGCACATATACACCATGGAATACTATGCAGCCATAAAAAAGAATGAGTTCATGTCCTTTGCAGGGACATGGATGAAGCTGGAAACCATCATTCTAAGCAAACTATCACAAGGACAGAAAACCAAACACTGCATGTTCTCACTCATAGTTGGGAGTTGAATAATGAGAACACATGGACACAGGGCGGGGAACATCACACACCTGGGCCAGTTAGGGGGTGGGGGACTGGGGGAGGGATAGCATTAGGAGAAATACTTAATGTAAATGATGAGTTCATGGGTGCAGCAAACCAACAAGGCACATGTATACCTATGTGACAAACCTGCACGTTGTGCCCATGTACCCTAGAACTTAAAGTATAATAATAAATTTTTAAAAAACCCAGAGACTTGCCAACAACATGCCTTTAAATCTGGGATTTGATGGGGACAGGGAGAAAAGGTATAGGAAGCTGTCTTTCAATTTGGAGAGAATGTTTCACAATGTCCTCACCACTGAGTCCTGCAAACTTCCCTCTGGTGGCTCAAGTCTGTATTTTTATGAAAAATACCTCCTGTCTTCTGACACAAATTTATCCCCTATGCTTACCTAGAGCACTATTATATCTTGCTGTACTTCCTACAAGTATGATATAATTATGGTAGGATCCAGTTGATGTTCTGCGGTAATGTTGAGATGAAGAAGATGTACCATACAAAATAAACATCACTGAGGCATATAATTATCAGGTTTTCCAAGGTCAATGCTAAAGAAAAAGCCATAAAGGCAGCTAAAGGAAAAGGTCAGATCAGGTACAAAGGGAACCCTATCAGGCTAACAGCAGGCTTCTCAGCAGAAATCTTATAAACCAAGAGAGACTGGGGCCCTATTTTCAGGATTTTTTGTTTGTTTGTTTGTTTGTTTGTTTGTTTGTTTGTTTGTTTTTCCCCTTATCACAGTTTATTCTAAACACAATGGTAGGACTATCATAGGTGAAGATTACAATATTTTTTCATTGGACTTTGGTATTTTATGCATTAAATAAATACAGCTTTTTAAATTTTGCTATCTTCTGAGAATTTAAAGGAATTACTTATTGAGGTCTACCAAAGAAAGGGAAAAATAGTTGGATATGAATTTTTTTTAGTTTGTAGGAATGCTGAATTGTAAAAATCTTCCTTGTCTTCGATGTTCACTAAATAACACCCTTAGTCCAATTAAGAAATTTCATCTGTAGAAATTTCTTACTTTGTCTACTCTGATATTCCCTTTCTGTCAACTTGTTGGGTGGAATTTTGAAGCTCTCTGTCCCATGAGGAGATATTTGTTATCACAGTCTAACACTGTTCAAGGTTTTGCAACAGGTCCACATATCTCCAAGGCCTCACATAGCTAAGCTTGGTTTATACCTCATGGTACTCTGACACTCATAATACCCTGGCTAAAAACTCCTCTCAATCTCTACATTCAGCATACCTGGATAGCTGGAGAGATGGGTAGCAGGCAAAATTTCCACCTGTAGTCCTAGCAAAAGAGACTTCTAAGCCTTCAGTGTTATTGTCTTCTTAGAGCAGAGAGGAGAAAAAAATCCATATCCCCCCTCACAAATCCAGGGAGGAGAGTAACATCATTCAGAAAATAGAAATTGCCTGAGGGTTTTGTTTGCACAGTTGATGCAATCAACCACCCAGCCTCTTTAACTTGTCTGAGCTCACAATGATACTACTTCTGCCCAGGAATTAATTGCTGATTTTTCATTATTATTGAAATGTTCTGAAGTCATTGCGCTGCCAGGTCCTGCAAACTGTGAGCACCAATAATGCCCTGTAATGGCAGGAATGTTTGTTCAGAGCCATGACCTCCTTCCTCTCTAAGCAGTCATCCTGGGGTATCAGATCCTGGTGTTCCAGCATAGGACATATTCCCCCATTTTCAGCATTCTTAAAGAAAAGAAATTCCAAACAAGAATTTCATGTACCACCAAACTAAGCTTCATAAATGAGGGAGAAACAGAATCTTTTCCAGACAAGCTTACCACTAGACCAACCTTACTAGCGATCCTTAAGGGAATTCTAAACATAGAAATGAAAGAACAATACCTGCTACCAAAAAACACACAAGTGCATAGCCCACAGACCCTATAAAGCAACCATGCAATAGAAACTATAAAGCTAAGAGCTTCATGACAGAATCAAAACCTCACATATCAATATTAACCTGAAATGTGAATTGTCTAAATGTTCCACATGAAAGGCACAGAGTGGCAAGTTGGCTTAAAAAAACAAGGTCCATTCATCTCCTGTCTTCAAGAGACTCATCTCACATGTTACTCCCATAGGCTGAAAGTAAAGGGTTAGAAAAAGACCTGTCATGCAAATGTAACAAATAAAAAAGCAGGGATCACGATTCTTATATCAGATAAAATAGACTTTAAACCAATAACAGTAACAAAGAACAAAGAAGGACATTACATAATGATAAAGGGTTCAATTCAACAACAGCACTTAACTGTCTTAAATATATACACACTCCATCCACACTGGAGCCCAGATTCATAAACAAGTACTTCTGGATCTATGAAAAGACTTAGCCACACAATAATAGTAGAGGACGTCAATACCTCACTGACAGCATTAGGCAGATCATCAAGGGAGAAAACAAATAAGTTTTGGGCTTAAATTTTACATTTGACTAATTGGACCTAATAGACATCTCTACAGAATATTCCACCCATCAATCACAGAGTGTACATTTTTCTCATCTGCACATGGAACATACGCCACGATTGACCACATGCTTAGCCATAAAGCCAGTCTCAGTAAATTTTAAACAAATCAAAGTCATACCAAGTGGAATAAATATAGAAATCAATACCAAGAAGATCTCTGAAAACATTGAAATTAAATAGTTGATCCTGAATGACATTTTGGTAAGCAGTAAAATTAAGGCAGAAAAAAATTATTTGAAATAAATGAAAACAGAGACACAACATACCAAAATTCCTGGGATGCAGCAAAAGTGGTATTAAGAGGATACTTTATAGTACTGAACAGCTATCTCAAAAAGTTAGAAAGGGTTCAAATTAATGATGTAACATTACACTTACAAAATCTAGAAAAACAAGAACAAACAAACCCTAAAGCTAGTAGAAGTAAAGAAATAACTAAAATCAGAGCAGAACTCAATGAAATAGAGACCCAAAAGGATAAACAAGATTGATAGACCACTAGCTAGATTAAAAAGGGAAAAAAGAGAGAAGAACCAAATAAGCACAATCAGAAATGATGAAGGTGACATTCCAACCAATCTCACAGAAATATAAAAGTTTCTAAGAGACTATTATGAATACCTCTATGCAAACAAATCAGAAAATGTAGAGAAAATAGATAAATTCCTGGAAACACACTATTTCCAAATATTGAATTAGGAAGAAATTGAAACTCTGAACAGACCAAAATAAAGGTGTGAAATTGAATCAGTAATTTAAAAAAAAACTACCCACCAAAAATAAAGCCTTGGACAAGATGGATTTCACAGCTGCATTCTACCAGATGTACAAAGAGGAGTTGATACCACTCCTACTGGAACTATGTCAAAAAAATCAGGGAGAAAGGACTCCCCCAATATTCATTCTATGAAGCCAGCAATACTCCAATACAAAAACCTGGTGAAAACACAGTAAGAAAAGAAAACTACAGTCCAATATCCCTGACGAGCATAAATGTAAAAATCCTCAACAAAATACTGGCAAACTGAACCTGGCAGCATATCAAAAAGTTAATACATCATAATCAAGTAAGCTTCATTCCTGGGATGAAAGGTTGGTTCAACAAATGCAAATTGATAAATTCATCACATAAACAGAATTAAAAACAAAAGCCATATCATCATCTCAATAGATGTGGAAAAAACTTTGGACAAAATCCAACATCCCTTCATGACAAAAACCCTCAAGAAACTAGGCATCGAAGGACAATTCTTCAAAATAGGTGGCTCACGCCTGTAATCCCAGCACTTTGGGAGGCCGAGGTGGGCGGATCACGAGGTCAGGAGATCAAGACCATCCTGGCTAACACGGTGAAACCCTGTCTCTACTAAAAATACAAAAAATTAGCCGGGTGTAGTGGCGAGCACCTGTAGTCCCAGCTACTCGGGAGGCTGAGGCAGGAGAATGGCATGAACCCGGGAGGCGGAGCTTGCAGTGAGTGGAGATCGTGCCACTGCACTCCAGCCTGGGCAATAGAGCCAGACTCCGTCTCAAAAAAAAAAAAAAAAAAAAAAAAAATCAGAGGCACCTATGACATACCCATAGCCAATATCATAATGAAGGGCAAAAAGCTGGAAGCATTCCTCTTGAGAGCTGGAACAAGACAAGGATGCCCCCTCTCACCACTCCTTCAACATAGTACTGGAAGTCCTAGGTAGAGCAATCAGGCAAAAGAAATAAAAGGCATTCAAACAGGAAAAGAAGAAGTCAAACTATATCTCTTTGTGGATGGCATGATTTTATACCTACGAAACCCTAAAAACTCCACAAAAAGGCTCCTGCAACTCATAAA
Organism: Homo sapiens; assembly: GCF_000001405.40. NCBI lineage: Eukaryota > Metazoa > Chordata > Mammalia > Primates > Hominidae > Homo > Homo sapiens. The sequence goes on along the minus strand of NC_000002.12, from coordinate 75,364,727 downwards.
CAACTTCAGTACAGTTTCAGGATACAAAATCAATGTATAAAATCAGTAGCATTTCTATACACCAATGATGTTCAAGCTGAGAGCTAAATCAAGAATGCAATCCCATTTACAATAACTACAAAAAAAATATAGGAATGCATCTCACCAAGGAGGTGAAACATTTCTACAAGAAAAACTATAAAACACTGCTGAAAGGAATTATAGACGACACAAACCAATGGAAAAACATTCCATGCTCATGGACTGGATGAACCAATATCTTTGAAATGGCCATACTGCTTAAAGCAATCTACAGATTTAATGCTACTCCTATCAAGTTACCAACGTCATGTTTTCACAGAATTAGAAAAAATTATTTTAAAATTCATATAGAACTGAAAAAGAGCCCAAATATCTCAAGCAATTCTAAGCAAAATGAATAAAGCTGGAGGCATTACATTACCCAATTTCAAGCTACACTATAAGGCTACAGTAACCAAAACAGCATGGTACTAGTACAAAAACAGACACATAGACCAATGGAACAGAATAGATAGGACTGGAAGAAAGGGCTCCATATTCAATAAATGGTGCTGAGATAGCTGGCTAACCATATGTAGAAGAATGAAATTGAATCCTTACCTTTCACCATAGACAAAAATTAACTCGAAATGAATTAAAGATTTAAGTGTAAGAAAGACCTCAAACTAAAAGAATCCTAGAAGAAAACCTAAGAAACACCATTCTGGATATCAGCCTTGAGAAAGAATTTATCACTAAGTCCTCAAAGGCAACTGCGACAAAACAAAAATTGACAATTGGGACCTAATTCAACTAAAGAGCTTCTGCACAGCAAAATAAACGATCAACAGAGTAAATAGACAACCTAAGGAATGGGAGGAAGTATTCATAAAGTGTACATCTGAAAAAGGTCTAACATCCAGAATCTATAAGAAACTAAACAAACAAAAAACAAATAACAGCATCAAAAATGGGCAACAGGAACTTCTTAAAAGAAAATGTGCAGGCGACCAACAAACATGAAAAATGATCATCATCACTAATCATAGGAGAAATGCAAATAAAAACCACAATGAGATACCATCTCACATTAGTTTGAATGACCATGTTTTAAAAGTCAAAATATAACATATCCTGGTGATGCTGCGGTGAAAAGGAAACGCCTATACACTGTTCGTCAGAATGTAAATTAGTTCAGCCACTGTGGAAAGTAGATTGGAGATTTTGCAAAGAAATTAAAACAGAATTACTGTTTGACCCAGAAATCTCATTATTGGATATATGTCCAAAAGAAAATTGTTCTAACAAAAACACATGCACTTATATGATTATTGCAGAACTATTCACAATAGCAAGGATATGGAATCAACTTAGGTGTCCATCAACAGTGGATTGGAAAAAGAAAATGTGGTACATATATACCATGGAATACTACACAGCCATAAAAAGAACAAAATCATGTCCTTTGCAGCAACATGGAGGCAGCTAGAGGCCTTTATCTGAAGCAAATTAACGCAGGAACAGAAAACCAAATACCGCATGTTCTTACTTAAAAGTGGAAGCTAAACAGTGGGTACTCATGGACATAAAGATGGTGACAATAGACACTGGGGACTACTAGAAGATGGAGAGAAGGGGCCAAGGGTTGAAAAACTATTGGGTACTATGCTCAGCACCTGGGTGATGGAATCCATCATACCCCAAACATCAGCATCACACAGTATACCCAGGTAACAAACCTTCACATGTACCCCTTGAATCTGAAATAAAATTTCAAATTATAATAACCAGACAAACAAAAAACAAATAAATAAAGCATACTCAAAATGACAAAAAAGGTATCTGTGGACTAAATAGAGGTATAGATCTGAAGAATTAATGTAACTCTCAAGCAAGATAGAGAATATACTCCTGTCCCTTCCAGATTAAAGCAATGTGCTTCTGGGTGTGCTCTCCTTTTTGAGACACAGCAATAAGTGCTCTATATCTGTAATTCTTAAATTTTAAACATATATTAGACTCATCCAGAGAGCTCATTAAAGCACAGGCTACCAGACAACAGCCCCAGAGTGTCTGATTCAGTATGTTTGGGTTAAATGGAGATATGATAGGGATCACTACCCTTAAATATTTCAGACCATTGACAGTAGCATTAATTCCTTTGTTCTCCCAGGAATGTAGTATTAGTTTTTTTTATAATTTTGCCATGGATCAAGGAGCTGATATGGTACTTTTGCCAATTACTGAGTAAACTCCTTCCTGAGTAAATACTCAAGAACTAGACAAATAGATTCACACTATAGTATAAATCCTGGACAAACCTTAAACATTTATCACTTACATAACTATTGAAGCAGAGTGGCATCTGGGTTCCCAGGAATCAAGCAATTAGTTCAAAATCAAAGTTCAGAAAGTCTTAAAATATCTGTGTAATTTTTCCAATGTACAGATACCTTGGTACATTGTACAGGGTATTTTTTTCTAATGTATAGATACCCTGGTACCTTTAGAAAAGGACAGAGAGGAAATTATGATGCACACTTGGGCCATAGGTCCTTTAAGGAAGCAGAGAGACAGTGTCATACAACAAACTTGTGCTATTACCTCAAGTATACTAGACTTCCATTTAGACAAAGAACTCTGGATGTGTGAATTAACACAGGTCTGAGATTTTAATAAGTTTATTTCACTTTTACCATGGCTCCAGTCAGACTTCTGTCGGTCAGCTCTAGAGGGTTTTTTTTGTAAAAACAAACAAACAAAAAAAATATATATATATATAATTATGCAGGTACCTTAGACTGACCATCTAGTTTAGTCCTAATGGCTTTATAATTAATTAAGCAGTACCAGAGATCTGTGTTGATTAGATTATTTGCTTATCAACCCCAGCCCTGGGGTCTATTATAATAACAATTTCAATCTTGTCTTTATTGGGTAAGTGCTACTACTTGGCCTCTCTCTACTCAGGATCCCACCATCTCCATTGAAATTATACAGCCTGTTTCAATGATGACATCTCTTACCCACATCCTTATCAACAGGAAACAGCTATTAAAGTTCTTTTTGAAAATGCTGGTGCTCCCTTCACCAATGTATTTCTCTATGTAACTGTGAAGTGAGCATTTTCTGAGACTCTTGTGGAAGATTGAGGGGGTGGTTCTAGTTAAGGGATAAATCTCACTTATCCTACACACCTGTCTTTATAAGTTATTGGATTTCTTTCTTTATATTTCAACCTTGTCAGCTCGTTAGTGTCAGGTGGGGAGTTAAAAATCCTGTCGTACAAGTTGTACCTCTATCCAAGACTTTTTAGAAGTGGGATCCAAGCAAAAGTATTTTTCAAAATTCCCCAGATAATTCCACATTGCAATTACAAAACTGATGTATAGAATCTCAGCTTCATTTTATGTAGGTCATATTGAGTCTGGATATCAGCATTCAAATGACCAAACAATTTAAACCTATTCCAACTGCTCAAGCAAGTACATTAAATGCAGACCATATGGTAAGTGCACCCATACTGATAAAATCCACCTAATCTGAAATTAAATGTCTTCCTTTCTGTTCTAATACCCTTATAATTATTGCCACCTATGCATATTTCCCAAGTTCTTTTCATTAAAGTATAATACACATAGAGAGAAAAATGCAAAAATTTTAAGGCTATAGCAACCATGAATTTTGCAAAGTGAACCCATTATTGTAACCATTACATTAACCAGAACATTAATACCGCATAGAAACTCCTCTGTGGCCCCTCATAATTGTTACAACTTCTACAAAATTAACCGCTGTTTTTTAACTGTCATTGCTATAGCATAGGTTTTCCTGTTTTTGAACTGTAAATGATAGAACACATACAGTATACATTCTTTCATATCTGGCTTCTTTTGATTAACAGCGTGTCTATGAGATTTATCCACATTGTTGCATAGCATAGTAATTGGTTTTTTCATGCTGAATAGTACTTCATTTTTAAAAAAATTCACATTTTATTTACTAATTTTATTTTTATGCCATTTGAGTTGTTTCCAGTTTTTGAATATTAGAATGTTGCTATTGTGAATATTCAACAGAAATGCATACATATAATGGCATTACATTTAATGGCAAAAACCACAATTACTTTTGCACCAACCATATATATATATATCTTTTGGTATGTGCACTATATGTATGCATTTCTGTTGTATTATCAGCCTTTAATTTTACTCATTCTGATGGATGCATTACAATATCTCATTGTGGCTTTAATTTTTATTTATCTGATGATAATTAGTACTTTTCATTTGTTTAAAGAATATTTATATGTCCACTTTTATAAAGTTTATGTTTAAATATTTTGCCTGATTCTCTATGGAATTGCCTTTTTTTCTTATTGATGATTATGAGTTTATCTTTTTTGAAATATATTTCGTCAAATATGTGTACAGGAAATACCTTTTCCCACTCTATTACTTGCTTTTTTCACTCTTTTAATTGTGTCTTTCGCTGAATAGAGATTCTTAATTTTAGCAAAGTTCAAATTATCAAGTTTTTAATCTTTAAGTTAACACTGTTTTATCTTCTTTAAGAAATTTTTGTCAATCCCAATTTTATAAAGATCTCCACCAATGTTATCTTTCAGCAGTTTTATTTTTTGGCTTCCTCATTGAGACATGAAATTTATTTTTGTGCAGAGTAACATTTAAATTATTTTTACATAAATAGGCAATTGACCCAACAGAATTCATTGAAATGGCCGTTATTTTCCCGCTCTGCTACAGTGGCTTTTTTGTCACAGAGCGAGTAAATATGTATATGTGGATCTCTTTTTATTCTCTCTGTTCCATTCTGCTGGTCTCTTTTTTTTATTTTTGCACCAATATTACATGGTCTCAATTACTGCATGTGTATACAGTAATAAGTTTTGATATCAGGTAATATGTCATCCAACTTTGCTGTTGGATATTCTTAGCTGTTCTTGATAGTCTGATTCCCATTTAAATTTTCAAAACAGTTTATCAATTTCAGCAACAATAAAAGACCTGCTGAGACTTTCATTAGAATTTCATTAACTCTTTGGATCAATATAGAGACAATAGTTATTTTTAAAATATTGAGTGTTACTGTCCAAGTATATGCTGTATATTTTTATTTACTGAAGTCACTTAAAATTTATTTGAGAATGTTTTCTATTTTTCTGCAGAAAAACTATGCATATTTTTGTTAAAAATTTTCTTAGGCTAACTTATATTTATACAAAGTTTTTTATTTTCTGATTTTTTGTTGCAAGTGTTTAGAAATGCAATTGATTTTATACATTGACTTTTTCTCAATGGTGTCACTAAATTTACTTATTAATAGTTTATAAATTATTTTACATGTTATATGTACATAATCTTGTTATATATAAAACCTATCACTCTTCATTTCTTTATTTTTAAACTCCATGCCTTTTATTTCTTGCCTTATTGCACCATGCAATGCAATAAATTATTGAATAGGAGTAGTAATAGTACACATCTTTGCCTCATTTATGATCTAAGGAAGAATGTTTTTAATATTTTGTCTTTAACTTAAATATAAAGTGTAAAACTATAAAAACCCTGGAAGACAACCTAGGCAATACCATTTAGGACATAGGCACAGGCAAAGATTTTATAACAAAGATGCCAAAGGTAATTGCAACAAAAGCAAAAATTGACAGATCTAATTAAACTAAAGAGCTTCTGCACAGAGCAAAAGAAATGATCAACAGAGGAAATAGACAACCTACAGAATGGGAGAAAAATTTTGCAAACTATGCATCCAACAAAGGTCTAATATTCAGCATCTATAAACAAATTTACAAGTAACCTCATAAAAAAATGGGCAAAGGACATGAACAGACACTTTTCAAGAGAAGACATACATGCGGTCAACAATCATATGAAAAAAAGCTCAACATTACTGATCATTAGAGAAATGCAAATCAAAATGACAATGAGATATCATCTACCACCAGTCAGAATGGCTATTATTAGTAAGTCAAAAAATAACAGAGGCCAGGCACATTGGCTCACGCCTGTAATCCCAGCACTTTGGGAGGCTGAGGTGGGTGGATCACAAGTTCAAGAGATGGAGACCATCCTGGCCAACATGGTGAAACTCCGTCTCTACTAAAAATACAAAAATTAGCTGGGCATGGTGGCAAGCGCCTATAGTCCCAGCTATTCAGGAGGCTGAGACAGGAGAATTGCTTGAACCCAGGAGGTGGAGGTTGCAGTGAGCTGAGATTGCACACTGCACTCCAGCCTGGTGACAGAGGGAGACTCTAAAATAAAATATAAAATAAAATAAAATAAAATACAGATGACGGCAAGGTTGTGGAGAAAAAGAAATGCTTATACACTGTTGGTAGGAGTGTAAATTAGTTCAGCCATTGTGGAAGACAGTGTGGTGATTCCTCAAAGACCTAAAGACAGAAATACCATTAGACCCAGCAGCCCCATTACTGGGTATACACTCAAAAGAATGTAAATTATTCTATTGTAAAGACACATGCATGCATATGTTCATTGCAGCACTATTCACAATAGCAAAGACGTGGGATCAACCTAAATGCCCTTCAATAATAGACTGGATAAAGAAAATGTGGTACATATGTACCATGGAATACTATGCAGTCATAAAAAAATAATGAGTTCATGTCCTTTATAGGAACATGGATAGAGCTGGTGGCCATTATCCTTGGTAAACTAATTCAGGAACAGAAAACCAAATATCGTATGTTCTCACTTACAAGTGGGAGCTAAATGATGAGAACGCAGGGACACAGAAGGGAGCACACACTGGGACGTTTTTGGAGGGTGGAGGGTGGAAGGAGGGAGAATATCAAGAAAATCAACTAATGAGTATGAGGCTTCATACCTGGGTGATGAAATAATCTATACAACAAACCTCCATGACACAGTTTACCTATGTAACAAACCTACACATGCACCCTTAAACTTAAAATAAAAGTTAAAAAAATGTATTTTGTCTTTAGGTATTATTTTGAGTTACATTGTGTCCACCCAAAAGATACACTGATAATTGAAGTCCTAAACTCCAGTAACTGAATATCACCTTCTTTGGAAATAGAGTCTTTGTAGATATAATCAAGTTAAGATCAGGTCATGCTAGACTAGGAAAAGCCCTAATCTAGTGACTGGTATTCTTACAAGAAGTGGGAAATTTGGGCACAAAGACACAGATATGCTCAGGAAGAATGTCATGTGACAGCTAAGGCACAGATTGTCGTGATGTATTTTCAGCTTGTTTTATCAGTTACTGAGATAGATGTGTTAAAAATTGTTGCCATGTTTGTGAATTTGCCTATTTCTCATTCCATTTCTATCAAATTTGCTTTATATATTTTGAAGCTATGATATTAGGTACATACACATTTTGTATTGCTACATGTTCTTCTTACTTTTGGAATTGCTTTTTGCCTTAAAGGTTATCTGATTCTGGTAGAGCTACACTGCTTTTTGTTCTGGTTTATGTTTTCATATTATATCCTTATTTCACCATTTTACTTACCCTCTCTGTGACCTTTTATTATCTCTTGTAAGCGGTATAAAGTTAGACAGAAGATGCACAGCAAAGCCTGGAACATCTTGCCATGCCAGATAGCAAGGTGGCTGTAAAAAAACTCTTGGAACAATGCCAAAAAAAAATGTTGGGAGCCAACTTAAAGGGGATCCCATTAGCCACAGCTGGTGCACCTTATGCATCAATAAGGATAATAACTCCAATGGACTGACAAATATCAAATAGGTTTAAACGCAAGAATTCATAATAATACTAACAACAAGCCTTTACTGGCCTATGTTAGAGAAAACAAAGAAGCCAATCAATTACTTGAAAACAAAAAAATGAAGGGGAATAAGATCAAACATTTATTCTGCCTTTTCTCTATAAAATACCTTAGGTAACTAAAGCATTAGTAAGGAGATAATCTCTCTTTATAGAAGTTTTTCAAATAATAAATGAAGATGGAATGATACAACTAGACTATATCAACCTTTCTCAACCCTTAATGAATTAATAGATCTAGAAAATTATTATCATTGGTCACTAACACTAGTACTATTAACATTGGCTACTAAAAGATAAACCAAATATTAAGTTTCTTCTGATGGAGGCACACAATGCCACTTACTAAGTATTCTTGAGGGAAAATATCAGTCTGAATCCAATCAAATCTCCGTATTTAACTACCAATTTATAGGAAATACAGAGGAAAAGGAACATATTAAACAATTCCTAGGTCTTCTGTGAGAGGTAGCACAAGAAGCTGCTATTATTGATATAGATTTGGTTAAAACAGGAACAATCACTTTGAACTGGGTCTCAATTGTGAATGGATGGTCTATCCCAAAAAGAAAAAGAGCTAGAAAGTCAACCAGTTATTAAAAAAAAGTGGCCAGTTATAAAAAACAACAACAAAAATGAAACAAACAAACAAAAAAATCCAAAGCCCTGCAGGAGAGGATAAACAAATGCTGGTTCATCATCAAGAATGTCCATTATTCAACTGTGATGGTTAATTTTAGGTGTCACCTTAACTAAATTAAGGAATACCTAGAGAAATGGTAAAGCATTTCTTCTGGATGAGTCTGTGAGTGTGTTTCCAGAGGAGATTGGCATGTGAGTCAATGGACTGAGTAGGAAAGATCCACCCTCTATGTGGGCAAGCACCATCTAATCAGCTAGGAGCCCAGATTAAACAAAAAAGGAGAGAAAGGGTTTCTCTCTCTCTCTCTCTCTCTCTCTCTCTCTCTGTCTCTCTCTCTCCTGGGGCTGGGAGGCTCTCCTCATCCTGCCCTTGGACATCAGAACTTCAGGTTCTCCAGCTTTGGTACTCCAGGACTTATACCAGTGGACCCCTGGGTTCTAAGGCCTTTGGCCTCAGATTGACAATTATACCATCAACTTACCTGGCTCTGAGGATTTCTAACTTGAACTGAACCACACTATGGCCATCCCAGGATCTCCAGCTTACAAATTATATGTCATGGGACTGACTATTTCATAATCATATGAGCCAATTTCCTTAATAAATTCCATATCTATCTATCTATCTATCTATCAATTATCTATCTATCCATCATCCTATTGGTTCTGTCTCTCTGGAGAACCCTGACTAATGAATCAACTTAAGGGTCATGAGCTCAATAAATATTTGTCTTATTGGATTAGAATCCCACAGCTAAAAACAAGACTGGGTCTCCAAGTGGGAGCTACTAATAGACAGTGAAGGAATTTGAAGAGTTCCCAGCATCTTCATGATGAAGGCAAAATATCTCTTTGAAGCATTGATTTCACTGATTGGGGCATAGAGGTGAGGAGACATGAGTTAAGTGCAGGGACACAGTACTGACACCAGCAAGAGGAGTGTGCACAGAAGCTGAACAAGCTGGTTTCTCCCCCACCAGGAGTCCTAGTTAACTAAGAGATGAGCCTTAGAAACTGCTTGGTCAAGCTTAGAAAAATTCCTGGCAATAGTGATTTAAATGCTTCATTAGCCCTGGATAAAGACACCTGTGGCTCCTTAACAGCAATACTATCAAGGGTAACTATGGTTTATTGAGAATTTAGTGTGTCAGGCTCAGCAACCACCCGTCATTTGCTTTAATGGTTTTATGTTCACATAAAAACTTTGAGGTAGGTACAGTTGGTGTATTTCCATTATTTTATGGATGAATGAAAAGAAGCCCACAGAGCTGGAGGAACTTACCTCTGTTCTATAGTTAGTAAGTGTGGGGCAGGACTAAACACAGACATGTCCAAATTCAAACCTCAGGTTTCCCACCGTCATGCTGAATTGCCTTCCTAAACTCAGAGAAAAATGTGATTCAGGACAAGAAACTTTGTATGGGGGAGAGAGTTAAGGAGAAAATCATGGAATCAGAGACTCATGGGTATTTTATGAGAACAAATATCAGAATATTTAAACAACTGTACATTTTGCAGAATACCACCCCAACAGTGAAATGGGCCCATGAGAGAGAACAGCACCACAAGCATAAACTTTACCTGTCAAGCTGTAGTCAGGTTTGCCTCTATCTCATGTAAAAATTCCAGTATGTAAAATCCAGCTTCATTACCATCCTGCCTGATCCTTGTTTTAACAGGAGTCAGTCTGACTGCCTTTCTTCTGCCTGTCTCTGCTGTAGCTGTTACATTAGAAGGATCCCCTGTGGCCTTCCCTATGGTGTTCGTTTAATCAGCCCCAGCCAGCTCTGTCTTCTGCCTCAGTGGAACTGCATCCCATTCTGTGCACATTCAATCCATGAGCCTGGAGCAAGTCCAGGGGCGGCTTTGGTAGTTGGTTTTGAGATAGGATACTTTTAATTTGTCTTAATTAGGTATCAGAGAAAAATCTACAAAATTATCAAAATGCTTCTTAAAACAATACCTTATGGGCTTTGGGGTTGTAAGTATTTTTTTTTCTTACGAGTATTTCAACGGTATCTTTATAGTCACAACTGTGAGAAATGTTGACTCCAGGATTCATTGTGGAAAGATGTGTAAGATGAGAAGGCTACATCTGTCTGCTGTACTTTTGATACGATGCATTTAAAATAAAATATCACTCTCCAGAACAATGTATGATCATGAAAATGAGCTAGTGCTAGGGGACTTGTATTATAAATCTTTTCTTGAGACAGAATTATGGCAAGCTGCTCCATTTTTCCCATAAAGGAAGAAAACTGTAATAATTTGGTATCCTTATAGCAAGGTATGTTTGTGCCTGAGTTGGATTAATTAGGAACAAGGGATAAAGGGCAATACCCATTATAGAAAGAACAACTCAGTGATGTAGCCCATGGTCCAGAATATTTCCAAGGATTGTTTAGATGCTCTAGGACTGTCCTCAATGTGGAAGGAGGATCCCAGTCCATAAATTAAAAAAAAAAAAAAAAAAAAATCCTGTTCTGCAACTAGCTGTGGTATGCTCCATATTGTCTCCCCTTTTAATTTTCTCGTCTAGTTATCCAGTTTTCCAGTTTGAAAATCTTATTCATTGGCCCTCTAGTTGTTGGACCTGGCTCATACAGTGAAACATGGGTTGGTCCCACATGCAGCAACAGTACCACTTATCAAAGTTCAGCCTACAAGCAAGCAACTACGAGAATATTTATTGGTTTCCATAAGGATGAAATCCTGTGCACTTCTGAGTCAGTGTGTGGCTAAACTCTACCTCCTTGCCCAAGATTCATCCTTATTTAATACTTCCCTCTGCATGAAGTTTAATGGGGACTGGCAGGTCTTATCTAGAAAGCCCAACTCTCCAGCTGAGTGCATGCCATGATGTATACATTGAGACACTGAGCAAACTTGTCAACTGAGCATGGTACAACTATCAACATGCCACAAACTCACCTGGCCCAGAGAGACATCACTGATAGCAACTCATGTCTGGGCCATTTTGCACAAGCTCATGCATGCTTTCTCTTGTTTAAGTAGCTTCTCCACATAGAGTCCTTCCAAAAAACTGAGTTTTATGGGTACAAATTCAGAGTAGTGAACTGCTCTAATTATTCCATTGAATAATTATAAATTGTATAATTTATAATTATTTATAATTTTTGAATTATTTATAAATTATTAAAATTATTTATAAATAATTATTTATAAATATTTATAATTATTGAACTCAAGAAGCAGTAACACTTTAATGAGACTTCAGTGATGGACAAAGCTTTCAGAAAGCTGAAGCAGCTTTTTACATCTGTAATGATATTGACCTGTCATAATCTTTAAAGGCTGTTTATGGTAGAGAAAAATATCTCTAGGGTTGTATGGAGATTTTTTTTCCCTGAATTGTTAGGCCTTCCTACCCTGCATCTTTTTCTACCATATTGGGATTGGGCCCCCCACCTTGAATCTTTTTCTAGCATAAACCAATTCAGAGGCTTCAAACCTAAATGTTGTTATACTTGATTTGATTCCTTGTGAAGATTTGAGCCTCTAGGATGCTGTCAGTGGTAGATACAGGAGGAGTTTTGTTTAAATAATGGGTCTCCAAGAATGCCTCCCATGGGAAGACAGGGATACTACACTATGTCCTGTCAAGAAAGCTGGAGTTCCATGGGGTCCTGGAGCCTACTCCACTTAAGAAGTCTTCAACCTTAGGAAGAGTCTGTGTTTGTGATAGTCGATCTAATTGTCCCTGAGCCCCCACCCACCTTTCCCCACTCTATCTCAGGCATTCTTAACTGGGAAGCTTAAAAAAATTACCAGTGCCCCTCGAGATTCTGATTTAATTGGTCTACCATAGGCCCTGGCACTGCTATTTAAAAAAATTTCCCAGGTGACTGTTTTCTATCAAGATATAATTTATGTGCAACAAAATTTACACTTTTTAATGTACAATTTTGTGAGTTTTAATGAAGATATATTCATGTAACTACCACCACAATCAAGATGTAAATTACTTGCATCACTCCAAAAAATTCCCCCATGCTATTTTGTAGTCAGTGCTTCCCACCATTCTCAGCTTCTGTTAACCAGTAAACTGTTGTCTGTCCCTCGAGTTTTACCTTTTCTGGAATGTCTTATAAATGAACTATGCGAAATTTGACTTTTCTTTTCACTAGCATTATGCATTTGAGATTCATTTGTGTTATTGTATATATTAGTAGTTTGTTCCTGATATAAGTTTGAATGTTTGTCTTCTCCAAATCCACGTTGAAATGTGATCCCCAATATTGGAGGCAGAGCCTACTAGGAGGTGTTTGGGTCATGGGAACAGATCCCTCATGAATGTCTTGGTGCCCTCCCTACAATAATGAATGAGTTCTTGCTCTACTAGTTACCACAACATCTGATTGTTAAAAAGTCTGGCACCTCCCTCCCCTCTCTCTCTCTTGTTCCCTCTCTCACCATGTGACATGCCTCTTTCTATTATGAGTGCAAGTTTCCTGAGGCCTCACTGGAAGCCAAGCAGATGTTGATGCCATACATCTTGTACAGCCTGCAGAACTGTGAGCCAAATAAACCTCTTTTCTCCATAAATTACCCAGTCTCAGGTATTCCATTATAGCAATGCAAAGCAGACTAATACAATTCCTTTTTATTGTCTGTTGTATGGATGTACCATGGTTTGTTTATTTGTTCCACAACTGAGGAATGTTTTTTTCTCCCAGTTTCCAGCAACTACAAATAAAGCCTCTATAAACATTCATGTATAGATTTTTGTGTGAACATTCCCAGATATTTTTGTGTTCCCCAAGACTGAGAATGAATACTCTCATCAAATGCTCACTTCAGCTTTGAAATCTTCTTTAATTACAGTCCTTCCAAGTTTCACATCCTAGTTGATCGGCTTTTTTCTTTGCTTCTCTTTTCTCTATGTCCTCCTTCTTTCTATTATGATGCTTATTTTGATGGTACTTAAGTAAAACAATGAATTAGCTTGATTCTAGGATTGCTAGTAAGCAGTCTAGTTAGTTTGGATTTGGATTTCTATTCCAATGTAGAAGGAAGGAGTCCCTTTCTCTTTCTCCATTTACCTTATAGTTCTTCAGAAAATGGAGTTATGAATCTAATTGTGTGAGTTTCTAAGATGCTATCTGGGTTGTACCATTCTCTTCTCCTTTATCAAACTGTATGTTAGAAGTAATGTCAAAATGACTTAGGACTCTAGGGCTCATCAGATCAAACTGTGCAATGTCAGATCCTAGTCATGTTTTCTTGGCTAGGGAGTTCCTGGAAAGCTCATAGTAATTTCAGAACATCCCAAATAAATCTCCCAAGACTGGAAATGATCTTAAAGTTCAGGTTGTTGCTGGACTCTGAGATGTCTAAGGTTGGGATTCTCAGATGACAAATGAAAGAGACAGACAGAGAGAGAGAGAGAGAATTCATATGAATGGGAATATGTATATATTTTCAGGCTTCTCCCTGGCTCTCTTTCCTCCCAAACTGACTACTAAACACATCCCACAAACATACAAAGTTTAAGCATCTCTGTAAATCTGAATCTTTTTCCAATTGATCTTACCCATCCTTCCATGTGACTAATCACTATCCAATCAGCATCTGGTAGACCATCATTAAACAGACATCTGGTTGACCTTGCTCATTATAGTGACTGTGTCTAAAATTCTGAATTCAAAGGTAGTTATTACACCAACTGGCCTGCTAGGCCTGGGAAAGACCATTCTTAAAGACTACCTGCCATTAGAAGGGCAATGACATGAAATAATAGTCCTACTTCCAATGTGCCACTTCATTTCATTATTATTATTATTATTATTATTATTATTATTATTATTATTTAATGAATGAAACAAAAGAGCAATAGCATAAATGACTGTAGTCCTTGTTGGAAAACAAACAAAAGAATAGAAACTGAGAAATTTAATGAGCCAGCAACTTACCCATATCATAGAAACAGTATAAACCACCAGTCTGATAGGAAATCTGATTTGCTAAGTCCTGTGTTCTACCATCCTGCTCACTGATTTTAACTTAAATATTGTTGGTCAACCTCATGAGCCAGAAACTGAAGCTGGGATTTTTGTCTGGCTTGCTGCCCGATCTATATTGGAGTAACAAAGTCAGTGCGCAGAGTATGGAGTCAAACACTTTGGATTTAAATCCCAGATCCAACTTAGTAGGTATGTACTCATCTCCATATTAGTTAACTTTTCAACCTCAATTTATAAAGTAAGGGAAAAAGTCACCTGTCATTATACAGTTGAGATATATATCTCAACTTTTTGAATATATATCCCAACTGTGGAATGGAGAAGTACTTATTTTATTGTGAGAAATACTTGAAAAAGAGAAGGGGGGAGCAAATGTTATGGTTGCAGCAAATCAGTGGACAGAGTCCTTGGTGTTGGTCCCATTATGGAACAGGAAACTCATGATCAGACTTAGGTGGTGTTCAGCTCAGTTCAGATGGAGAAAGTAGAGGTAACAAAAGCACCACAGACAGATTCTGTGACTTCAAGCAGCTACATCATTTATAGCTATGCATCAAACTTGTATATGGCACCACTTTAAGAGCTCTTGATTTTGATGGTCTTAATGTTACTGCTGATTTGATTTGAGCCGGTGCCTCCTGCCAACAAACATAGGTCCCTGTTGACCCCAGACTTAGGAATTATTGTATCACTGTGTTCCAAGTACTCATGAATTTCCATTAACAAAAGCAGCATCCTCTTTCAAAACCCAAGCGTCAAGACCTGGAGCCTATCAATATTCCCAGTGGAAATAATCTTTCCATTTATCAACCTAAACTCCAGGATAGGGAATTAGCTTTGGCAGTTCTTTCAACAAAGGGGATAGGAAGGATAAAAGATGACTGAGAAAAGGATTAGAAAGATACAATTTAGTTGGCGCCCTCATAACATGCCTCTGAATATTAAAGCTGACAAGTAGATTTTGAGTTTTTATTAAAGTCATTAGTGAGGAAACATTCCCCATCTTACAATCTGTTCTGTTTTCAAGTTCCAGAAAAAAATAGCACAATATTTTCTTTAATGTTTCTAGCTCCCTATATCTCAAAAGATACATTCAAAATATTTTTGAGTAGGATGAAAGGTTCTGTTGGAGAGCATCTCCAAACATACATATTTCTCTCATTTTTTTTGTTTAAATGTCACTTCCTCCATCTGACTCTTAGTTTGGAAGAAATGCCCCTCCTATATTCTACCAAAATTTACCCCATTAAACTATTTTAGGCATTTACACTTATAGCACTGTATTAGGGTTGCCTATTTACTTGTCTGTACCTCCCTCAAAGACAGGCCATGCCTCTTGCAGTGACATACTTGGTGCCTGCTCAAGACTTCACACATAGTAGGTGTTCAAAAAATATACGTTAAATAAAAGATTACTAATATTTTAAATTCTTCATGCATAAACTTTTCAGGTTAGGAACTGAAGCTGTGTTTGTTTTGCCAATGAGCTGAGAAAACAATTCTTGGCAGAAAACCATGAAATGGCCTTATACTCGAGTTAGTGCCACATACAAGATGGGAAGGCCTGGTATGAGACTGCTACAGCAACGGGTGAGAGATAATGAGGTCTGTGAACCACATGTCAGTGAGGGTAGAAAAGAAGAAATAGATTGAGATATTTAAGAGGTAGAATTGAAAGTATGTGGTGATGCTGTAATATCATTACTGGATTTAGTTTGCTGCTCATTCTAGAATCAGCATTCATTGAATGCAGTGTCCTATTCACATTTATTCTTCCCTGGGCCAACTAAATGCAGTGTCTTGACACATAATAAAACTCAGTGAATATTGAAATGAATAAATGAATGAATAAAGAAACATTGTATTAAGTTCACCAATCCAATTTCTACCCTGCAGATAAGTCTTAAATCTGTCTCTTCTCACACAATCTCCCCTTCAGTAATTCAGTTGAGACCCTCATGATCTTCCTCTTGGAATTTGACAGTGGTCTCCCCAGTGGCAGAAGCCATATGGTACTCTTAAGACACCTCCCCTCACCTCTGAAAACAGCATGATACAGTGGTAAGAGACAGACTTGGATTTAAATCCTGCATCAAAATTTCACTGGCCGTGTGACCTCAGACAAATGGTTTAATCTCTCTGGACCTCAGTGTCCTCCTGGGTAAAATGGAGATATCAGTAAATGCCTCCACAGAGTTGTCTAAGGATTTACTGAGATTATGCATGTAAATAATTGGCACATTGCCTGTGAAACAGATATTCGGTAGGTGTGGATATGCCCTTCTCCTCCAGGATGAAAGCCATCACATGTACAGGTGGTCAATAAAACCATTCTGTATCCTTTGAAGAACAGACGAGTGCCTGATTCGTCTTCCTCTTGCATTTGTGAGAGCTGTGTCTCTGCCTGCTGCCCCAGGCCCCTGCCCTGGCTTTCACCTAAATAAATGAATGTAAAGTTTAGGCTCCACATCTTAATCTATTTGGGCTGCTATAACAGAACACCTAATACCAGAAAGTAGGTAGCTTATAAACACCAGAAATTTATTTCTAACTGTTCTGGAGGCTAGGAAGTCCAAGATCAAGAAACTAACAGATTTGGTGTCTGGTGAGGGCCCATTCTCTGGTTCATAGATGGTACCTTCTCACTGTGTCCTCGCATGGCAGAAGGGCAAATAATTCTCTTGGCCCCTTTTATAAGGGCACTAATACCATTCATGAGGCTCAATTCTCATGACCTAATGATCTCCCTAAAAATCCCACTTTCTAATCCTATCATCTTGGCAGGTAGGATTTCAACATATGCATTTTGTGGGGGCACAAACAGTCAAAGCACAGCATCCCACCATAAGCTTACCTGCCAACCTGGTCTTTAGTCATTCATTCCTTTATTTAACCATTTCTTCAACAAATGAATGGACAAATATCTGTGGAGAACATGAGCAAGGCTGTGAGGGCACAGTTCCTTATCTTCACAGAGCTTTCAGTCTAGTGCAAGATACACATAAGTAAACAGAAATTTGCAATATCATGTACTAATGCTATTATGGGGGAAATATAGGAAACTATGGAAGCAGGCCAAAGGGTAACTAACCAGGATCGAAAGGCCAAAGGGAGCATCCCTGAGCATTGTGATCAGATGGGAGGGGTGAGTAAGATGTCACCATTTGAAGAGGCAGGTGGGAGGAAGAGAGGAGAAAAGGGAACTCCATGTGCCAAAGTGCAGAGCTGAGAGAAATGATGTGTGCAAGGAGATGGAAGGACTTCATAGTAGGTGCAGACTACAGAGCACTGCAAGAGGTAAGCAGATATGCGGTTGTGGTGTCAGTGTCCACATGCACAGATGGTACCTAGAGGGCAGAGAAGGGAATGGGATGATAGGAGTTCAGGGAGATCTTTATCGTACACAGGACTGCCACCTATTTATCATTCACTCACCACCCCACTCTTTTTCCTATGCTCTATCTTCCTTCTCTGTCTTTTACCCTTCACTTGTACACTGAAAAGAAATGGATTCTTGTCAGTTGCTTTAAGCATGGAGCTGAAAGTCCATCTACGAGGATCTTTATGCTATGCTTATACTCTCCTGTGACAATGGGTAAAGTTTTGTGTGGAGTTATGGGCAGACTGCAGAGATCACCGGCTCATCCTTCTTGGCTGCCTTATGCCTGTGAAAGAAAAAAAGAACATTCAAAAACTTAGAAATCTTACACATACAATTCATTCTAAACTGTGTTGGAAAGACCCTGCACTCAACAGTGAACATGGCTGGGCCTTGTGAACAGGTCAGAGGGTCAGAGGGTGCCAAGCTCTCATTGGAGATCTATCTCCTAGAATGCCTGCCCCTCTGAGTGCTCGATGCATGGTCACGTTCCTGCCTATAGTGGCTTGGGTTAGCACAATAAGCCCCTATTTTTTAGAAAAGTAAACTGAGACACAACACTTGCATATTAGCCACATTTTTGTTTTTCTTATTTTACTTATTACCAGTTATCTGTGACTAAACCAAAATAGCATAGACCCACTCCACATGTAACATGTATCAGTTGATATAAATTAAGGTTTTATTATTGATTTAACTACAGCTGTCTTAATGATAAGTTAATGGTGGAAAGTGTAAGTGTATTTGTGGTTTCCCTCTAAGTAATGTATATCACCTCATTAGTTCAACATGAATTCATCTACCATAAATTGAGGGCTTACTCTGTATAAAATGTTCTGCCAAACACAGGAATGAATGTTCCATGGCATTTGACCTCAGAGAATATACCGTCTGGAGGGAAAGATGAACACATGCATAACTAGCCAATTTCCAAGTCATTCTGTGGTCACACCAACCTGCTTGTGATTGGATTCCCAAATTACACCTCTGGACCTTTCTGTCTCTCTTCTGTCGGCTCAGAACCATCTCTGTGCCTTGCTTCCAGGCCTGCCCTAACATTTCTGCAGCCCAAGGCAAGAGCATAAATGGAAGCACACCTATCAAACATGCATACATTTAAAAGTTATAAATCAAGCCAACAAACTGTTATGTAAAAATGCATTCTGTCTTCCTATGTGACAAATATATCTTCATAATGACCTGAAGGCCAAGCTCAGATTTAGAATTTTCAGGCTCCTTGGATTTTTCCATGCTGGAACTTACTGCTGTAGAATATGCCAGCCCGCTCCACTGCTCTCTGCTCCCTGGCTTTCTCCAATTCAACAAACGCTTTTGGGTATAGATGTATGGACCACTTAATCTAAGCTCCACTCACCCTCCCCAACATCACCCCAAAGCTTGGGCCTAGGGTACACACACTATCAGCACATTCTGGCCTTTAAGAGTACGGACTTGGGGAAAAGTCCAGTGCAGGCCTGGAAGGGAGTTTGGGGATGTTTGGGTAGGGAACTCTGGGGCACTGGGTGGTTGAAACCGGTTCTAGAAAGCAGAAACATAGGGTGGTGCAGAGCTAGAGAAAGGACACAGCAGGATCCTGAAAGCATGGGGTACCCTTCTTGGCCCATGTAAGGACAGTACTGCCAACCCCATTCTTTACTTGTGTGGTGAACTTGGGCTTATTCCTCAAGATCTAATGCAAGTATTTCCTCCTGGCTAAATTCCTATCTTTGTGACATCACAGTCACTATACCTTACACATCCCTTTTGACTGAGGGTTCTGGAAAGCAGAGACTATTTCTGTTTTTCATCACATTTTTGCCCCCAGCACCTACATAGGGGTTAACATTGGAAGAGCTCAATAAATTTCTGTTGAATGAATGCATGAATGTAATCCCAAATAGTGATGTGGAATTGTAATGAAAGATATCAAGTGACCAGGAGGCTCTGGAAGGTCCTCCAAAAGGAGGTGTTATTGGAGCTGAGCTTAGAATGAATGAATAAGATTCTGGGAAAGAATTCAAGGAAGGAATTTCAAAACAGAAGGGAAGATATTTTCCATATACACAACTCAAAATAAAGTGTGTAGACCAAGCATTTCATTCAGATATCTACCTAATATACATGGAAGATATAATCATTTATAGCTTTGCTTAAGATTTTTATTCTGTTTTATTTAAGTAAGTTTTCAAAATCTACACATTGCAAAAGTAGTTGTGGCTCTTTTAAGATCGAGGATGTTCTGCCAGACTGATGAGGCGGGGAAAACGGCTGGAAGCCTGCTAAATTGTTAGAAAGGAGATTAATGTTATGTAAATGTAAGTAATTAATCAGCAAGCACCTAGAAGCCAAATACCTGATGTGAAGAGACATTCTTTGAGAAGGGAAAATTGCTCTCCTCTGATTAAAAATGGACTATCAGACAGCATTCAGATTCATCTTTTGCTTCTAACTTTTTCCAAGCTGTCTGAAGTTGAATGTAATCTTCCCCCGCTCCTCAACATAAAGAAACAAAAGAGGAGCTGTAAGACTTGAGCTGAGAACTAGTTGAAGCTCATGGCTAAAGAAAGAGTAAAGAGAACAGCAACACCAACTGAGCTCTCTAGGGAGCTCAGGGTTTTGAATTGATGTCAGGCAATCATGTTACAATTGAAAGTATAGGACATTCAAAATTATGAAAACAATGATTTTGCAAACATCTCTTACCTGTTGCCTGCCCCAATATTCATCCTCTGGTCTTCTGAAACAAACCTTCCTACATGATGGGCACCAGCCCAGGTGGTGGAGGAGAGCTGCCCCCGTCATTACACCTCACTACAGAGGTGTGAACATGCCCTCATTACAGAGGTGTGATCATGCCCAGGCCTGGAATCTTAGAGGAGCTCATCCTCCCAGCCTCAGGAATTGAGTCAGAAATGGGCTGAATTGAGCCTTCCTAGTGGCTTTACTTGGGAAATATATTATTTCTTGGAATTGCTAGCTGGTAAATCCCATACGCTTGTAGCTGCTATTGACATCTTTCCTGACATGAGCAGAGGGCCTTAAGAACTCCAACACAGAAGAAAGCAGATTCAAAAGATGGAGCAAGGACAATAGATCCTGACAACATCGCTTGTGATCCTGTTGTGTTTGCCTGGTGCCTGTTAACCCACATATGCCACCCTAAGTCCCCTCTATTTACTCAAACAAATTTGCATTTCTGTTGCCTGTAATAGCAACTGTTCAGATTAATAGAACACAGAGATTTCCAGTGGTTACTCAGATTCCTAAAGTAGATGATTATTTCTTGTCCTGAAAACGATATTTTCTATAGACTGCCTTTATGTGTTTAATAAAATTTATGCAAACCTATTATGTTCCTGTAAGCATACATGTCTTAGATAATAAAAAGATGAATAAAACTTAACTTATGTCTTAATAGAGAACACAATTAGTCAAAAAAAAATCAGTCTAGGAGGATAAAGACTCTTAAAAATAAAATTTAGGTTTGAAGTATTCCATTAATAAATTTCTAGGCCTTAATTTTAATCACATAAAATTTAAAGTATTTCAAGTGACTGTGGTTATTATTCAAAGCCAGAAGACACACAGGCTTTGTATGAAAAGTTTTTTGCTAGCTTAAATGTGTCTGTTTCTTTTGTGACACATAAAATGACTGAATATATTTTAAGCTTACGATAAAAATACAAACTATTTATAAAATGAAAACGTAGAACATTACATATAAAAACACATGAAAATGCAGCCACAGCAGTTACCAGAGATACATGTTTGGCTGTAAATACGGTCATTATTGAAGAAAACAATTACTATAGATTCATTAAGAAATTAGAAAATAAGTATAAATATACTAGAAAAATGTAAATAATAAGATCAGAAGCTAATATACTTAAAAATAGAGGGAAAAAGCAGAACTGAGATATTCAAGACAAACTCTCTACATATAAGCAATAGAATATACACATATGACAAGTCTAATGAAAAAAGTGAAAACACAAAAATCCAAATTAGAAGAGATTCAAAAATTATAAAAGAAGATTATGCATAACTTCACTCAATTTGAATATCTCAATGAAACTGATGAATCTCTGGGTCAAAATAATTACTTCAAATTGAATCAAGGATAAGTAGAAACTGAAACATATCTAATATGGTTTCTGGCAGAGGGCAGGCATTCAACAACTTGAATGCATGAACAGAGAGGAATTGGAACAGGTGTCAAAGTACAACTTGTAGATTATTTTTCATGAGAAGTAAATTCACACTTTCAAGGGCTTAACATCTATCACACTATTCAAATTGTTTCAGAGTTCAGAAAATGACATAAGGTGTACAATCTATTTTATGAAACCAGCATTATCTAGAACAAAACCATAGATAGCAAAAAAGAAAATTACAAACAAATCTTACCTATGAATATATATTAAAGCATATGAATATATTTTCATCTGTTTGTGATGATATCTCATAAAAGTGGATAATTGGATTTCCACAAATCTAAAGGCTCTGTTTGAATTGTCTGATTTTAAACTAAGACTTTTGGGTATAAAGAGCATTTGTTCTGGGTGTTCCAAGAATGCATCTCAAAGACATGGGCAGTAATTTTCTACATAAGCCAAGATGGGTGGGGGTGCATGCGTGAATGTCAGGAGAAAAATCCTGTGGAGAGTACAATGACAGGGAGAGAGGAGCAAGATGCACACACACACAGGAAAACAAACAACACAATGGTGATGTCAAAAAATACTCCAAGTCAGAACTCAGGGGCATCTTTCCAAACTGCAGACCCTAATTATGTTCAAACTGCTTCTCACATGGTTTTCATATAGAATAATTTATTTATCATGGTTAACATTTCTCCTTAGCAATGTGGCAGTACAATGCAAGTAGACTGATTGCTAAGAGAACAATTCAAATATAAAAATTATAATACTTAGAAATAAGCATAGTTAGAATTGTATAGAACCTTTGTGAGTAAAATTTAAAACAAAAACAAAGAAACAAAAAGACTTTGAATTAAAAGTCCAACATATAACTGAATGAAAAAGATTTCATTTTAAAAAATTGACAATGTTCACCAAATTATATCTATTAGACTTTTTAATCAAAATTCTAAAGGGAGATTTTAGGAATTTGACATATATATTTAGACTTTTCTGAATGAATAAAAGGGCAAGAATGTCCAATAACATTTTGGAAAAGAAGACTAATAAAATTATTTGTCTTACAAGATAATAATAATTATTTTGAAAATAATTATTTTTATTTTATATATTTAAGAAACACTTAATTTACCAATAATCTATGTGCACTCACTATAGAGAAGATCGCCCAAACTTATTTTGGTAGAAAAGAATAACAAATTATGCATTTTTATATTTATATCAATATGATTGCTTTAAGTGATATGTTCCTTGCTTTATTAAAAAAAGAAAAAAAAAAACAAGGCCAATCAATAAATCTTGAAAATGTGTTTAAATTTTCACATCTTATATTGTATAACAGCTACGCAGTCATTGTTATAAGATTTTTTCTTCCGATCTATTTTTTAAACCATGGAACGACACACACGCACATATAAAAAATGTATTTTTTTCCCCAGAAACAAAGTGCAAACCGAAACCACAGCTATGATTTTATTTTCTTTCCTAGTCACCAAATTACCCAATTTGCCCCAGTAATATAAGGAAGTATTGGCAGCTCCCTCATGGCTGATAAGAACTTGAAGAGGGGACAGATTTATCAGATAAATGTAAATTGTCAGATACTCTTTCCAGATGACCTCAAGATTAGTTTTGCCTGCTGGTAAGGGTTGCGCCTTTTGTTCAACTGCATTAAAGAGTCCATTTAGAAAACTTCAAAACTCTTTATTTCTGCCCGAGGATGCTGTCCTACCGACTGCCCCTCTGGAGATGATGCAAAAAATCTCCACTTCTTTTTAAATATGGGGAGTAATTTACCCAAGCAAAGCAATAAATTGTGTTCAGAAGTAACTAAACTCAGCGTGCCCTGTAGTTACTGCTTGGTTCTGCAATTTCAAACCTATAATTAGATACGTTGTTAGGTTTTGCCAAGCTTTAATGACCTCCATTCTGTTTATGACAAATGCTGGAGAGCCACCCCCTGGGGGAATCCTGTGGGGCAAATGCTGATGACTTGATGAGGGCTCGCTTTATTTATTTAATCTTGAGATACAATTTCCCCATTTTCAGATTGTTAAACATTCCAGCATGTCAGCATAATGTATGTGCATCATGCATGGTATGTGTGTGGTGGATAGTGTGGGTGGAGTATGTATTGGCAGCATGGGGAGTCATCAAAATTAATCACTAAATATGCAAAGACTGGATTGGAAGTCATAGACCTTTGGGTAATGCTCTCCATGGCTGTACTTTTGATTCTCAAGAGGTGGTTAATGAAAAGTTGGGCAAAGTTGTGTTTAGTTATGGTTATTTAATAAGTAGATAAGCATTTATCACGTGAGTAGTACAAAATGACCGTTCATAACCTCCTTGGGAAGACAACACAACATAAACAAAACAGATAAGGATGAAGCAGGCAATGGAGAGCTCTTCAGGAAAGACTTCCCTGATCTTTCCAGGCAGAATCAAGCCCTTACACAAGCCCCATTACTATACTTAGTGCATTGCAATAATTACTTCTTTACACACTTGCCTCATTCACATATAAGGTAAGCTCTCTGGGCACAGAAACTATTCTTGTTAGTATTCCATTCTTAGTGCCTTACATGGTCCTGACATGAGACAGGGGCTCAGAAAATGGGAGTGACCATGTGAATTAATGAACATGGTACAAGGTCACCTCTATACTGGAGGAAAGATCCTAATGGTTGTTGGTAGAGAGAGTCAGTAAAGGAAGCCTTCAAGGGTGGCCTAAGATGCATAAGTAAGACTTTATACCCACTCTAGATGCAACCACTGTGACTAAAGGACTGGTATAAACACCGGACACTTTCAGTTGCATGGGGTTATTAGAGAGTATCAGAAAAGGTCTCCTTGTCTTCCCCAAAAAAGTATTTCATTAATTGGCCTTAAACTCTTCTGGAGTAAGATAATTCTGTTGAAACTGAAACACCTTTGAGAGACTAAATGCATCAACATCTTATAAATCATCACTATATTAGATGATATCGTTTCCGGAACACTTTTTCCCCTTAAATGGAGGAAGGAGGATGAGGATTGACACACGGTATTCTGCGTGAGGAAGTAGGTCTGGGAAGGATCCTCAGCACAACCAGAAGTGGCCTAAGAACATCACCCGGAAGTAGGTTTCTAGAAGTAGTGGAAGGCAGCAAGTGAGCAGAACCCCCAATACAAGCTCAATAATTTGCCATTTTGTTTTGAGCTAATCCTTTTTACTGAATACACAGACACAGGAAAGTAGGTTGCCTTTTGCATTATCCCTACTTTCTGTGTTTGCCTGTGTCAATGGAAAAGTGACCTGGAAGTTACAGCAGAGGAGGGCAGAATCTGGAATTTTTGATCTAATTTGAATAAGAAGTGTTCGGAGAGTAAAGGATGATTTGCAACTCCCCATAGCTACAGGGAATAATGGGTCTTAACTGTATAACAAAGAGAAAGAATCAAAGCACAAATTTGGAATTTTATTGTCAAATTTCTGAAAGCAATTTATTTAAATATGTAATTTTATTACAATTAATGGTTCTAGTTAAGGTGGAAAAATTAGTCTATGGACAAGGTTGCAAGCCTCCTTAGGTTATGAGTCTAAGTGGCTGCTAGAGGAGAAGAGAACTCAGGCAAAATCATGACACAAAAGTAGAAGAAGGCACAGAGAATGGGGTCCAACGCTTTGAAGCCCAGTAGAATCTGGGTGGAAGGCAGTGAATAAAAGGAGGGAAGAATCGTGAGAAAAGTTAACGCAGACAACAGTGAGACTCTTCACAAGGTGCCAAAGGAGGGCTAATAATTTGGCACCCCTTCAAACTGATATGTTTACATTAGCTTTACCTGATGTAAAGTAACCCACTCTGACTGAACTTAGTAGCCATTGATAACATATTAGCAAATTATATTTAAGTTTATATATACATATGTCTAATTTCATTGTGCAGTCAAATAACCTTTTTTTCTCAGTTACGACTGTTAAGGAAACCGATGACAGTGCTTGTCAAAACATCACAGAGTGGAGAGCTAATTACAGGTTTCAGCACCTTTCTTCAAAAGTCTGTCTTTGTGACGTAATGACCACTGAAAAAGCGAAGCAGATGGGAAACTCTTCTTTTGGATAAGAAAAGCATATTTGTATGAGATTTTGAAATGCAAAATACACAAGATAGAATATTCTCCAGCTTCCCTCAAGGCTTGCTCTCCCAGCCGGTCTTTTCTTCTTTGCTCTCCCATGTTGATTACAGCTCCTTGTTGATTATTCATTTCTGGTTCTCTTTTTGATTAGGTGCTCCACATTTGGCGATTCTTCTCATTCCAATCGTTCCTTAGTGTCTTCAGCCCATCTCAATTTTTTTTATTCTAATGAATTTGGTCTCCTCTTTACAGTTTATTACCATTCTTCTCTTACAGTTTCTAAAAATTCTTACACATAGTCTTTCCATTTTCAGGGCCATTACATTTTAAGCCTTTATTTGGTGAATCAATGCTCATAACCATAAATGATTCTAAAGATTGCATTATCATATTCTTCATTGGCTCATCATTTTCAGTGCTTAATAATGAACAGGCATGGGTTTGCCAGTGAGTGCTGAGGCCTTTAATGATTATTGGCTGGAGTGATCACGTGAAACCACACTCAAACTTTGTGGAAACATACCAAAGCGCTTTTTACATATAGATATTTATTCAATTCTTAGTGAAGAAGAAAACAACCTAAATTACTACTAATAAAAGTGTTATACTCCATGTTTTATTTTACAATTAAGGAATGTATTACATGTGATTTTTCAGAGCAGACAGTTCCTGGGTAAAGCATATTAAACCAGTTAAAATTATGGCTAATTCAGCTTATTGCCTTTTTCAGGCAATCAGCTTTTTGTTATGCATCACTTAGTTTCAGAATTGTAGCTTGCCTGACCTCTGGCTTCACTGGTCTTGGAGGCAGCGTTTGGCCTTGGGTTGCACTATGAAACTTACACAACTGCATTACAGAAATGGCCAACAAAGGGAGATGGTGCTGGTGAGGAGCATGCTCCCAAAAATTTCCATGAAGTTTGGTGGAGAGAGGTTCCAATTTATATTTCACTACTGAGAAAACTGAATTAATCGACACCATTATTCAGATCTGCATCGGTGGTATTTTTTAAAAAGGTATTACCTGCCAAAGTATTGCTTAGGTGAATCAACCCATTCACCTAAAATATAAATTTTAATCAAGTACCCCACAAAAAAACATTAATCTCAAGCCACCTACCTCTACCTTTCCCAGCCCACTTTTGCTTGACTCTGATTCTGAAGAGACTAAAAGTTTTCAGTAATTCCAACATCTTTTGTATAAAGATTTTATTAAAGTATTTTAAAATTTATCTACTTTTCCTTTCTGACTCCCGAATCAACAACCCTTCGATCCTGACCCAAATGTGAGTCAGTTGATTCCAAATAAGGCTGAAAACTCTTGAAAAAGTAAAAATGCAAACATTTTTTTTCTTTAGCCCAGACAGGAATTAGAAACTGCTGACTGCATCCGTTTTAAACTAAATTTAAGAAATAAACAACTTAGCTACCCCAGTGATTGTTGACAAGGGACCAGTTACATCCCACTCCCACACTTTCCCTGCTTAGGCTGCCTAACCACTAGGTTTTGTGAATTAAAGAGGAAAAGAAAGAAGAGAGATTGAGCTCATCATTGAAAACGAAGCTATCGGCAGATCTGTTTGGTATCTTTACTTTCTAAAGATAGCAAGGTTAAGTTCCACTGTGGAAATGATGACCTGAGGAGGGAGATGGAGGCTGGGTAGAGTTAACGTGGTCCCGCTCTTGGTGCGTGCTTGGTTGGAGAACTTTGCGGTGCCCTTAGCATGAACGGGGTCCTGTGCTAACACCTCATTTGCAGGCAATGCTACAGTGCCGAGGTTACAAACTTGGCGGCTTGAGGCCTGTGTCCAACCCATCAGACTTATTTGTTTGACCTTCACAATCTTAAATAAAAATTAAGCCAACATTTAAAGATCAGACAATTACATATTAAATCTCCTATTTCTGCCTTTAAAAAAAAAATCAGAAAAGGCAACAAACTCCAATTCCCCAGAGCTGAGTAGCAGCTGTCCAGCCTCCAGCTGGGCCCAGTCTCACCATTTACAGCTCTTCCTTTGATACTGAGTTTCCTTTGCCATTTAGCATGATGTTTTTTCGCTGCTGCTTTTCTCAGTAATCATTTAAAAATTATATCTCAAAAGTCAGAAAATGAAAGGCAGATTGAGAACTTTCTCCCCCAATATAAATGAGAGAACATGTTTACTTGTGGAAGTGAAAAATATATCCATTTGCTTAATGAACAAACAAGTTAGGTCTGTGTCAAAAGAAGACAGCTTAAGGTTCCCAGCTATGCTACCAATTTATGTTACCCTCATGGCTCATGTGGGTGTTGGAGTTTGTAACCCCTGAATTGTTTATTACATTCTCTACATCAGTGGTTCTCAACAAAGGGGTACAGAAGAATATCACAGTCAACCAGGTGGCTTCTTCAAACTACACGTCCTTCCACATGGATGATTCTGGGATGCCTGCCCCTCTGGAGCCCTATCTGATTACAATTGTTGTCTAGGAAATTCTGATGTAATTATCTAATAGAGAATTCCTCATTCATATTCAACTCCTTGTTCATATTCTGGTCTTCAGATGACATTTATTGAAAAGCATCTTGATGTCTTTATTTCAATTCTTCTGCCCTGCTTCACCCCAAAGTAAGATCGCTGACAACTCTGGCATTCAGGTATCATACTGACCACCCATAGGGTATGTGTATAAATGGTGGGAAGCTGCCAAGAAGCCCCCTCTGATTGTGAAGTTCTTGTTTCAAATGGTGTGTGGTAATCAGAGTGGGAATAAAAACTGCCTGACACCTTTGAAACTGCAGTAGGATGGTTAGCAAAAACTCAGGATATCTGTAGATGTGTGGCTAGCCAATTTGAGAACCTGGGGAGCTTATTAAAATATTGGTGTCCAGGCCTCATTACATTGTTTTTAATTAATAATTCTGGGGTAGATGTTGAGAGACTGAATATACAAATGGACAATGGCCAGAGCTACATAAAAATAGAATTCTGACCCACAACCTCTGTAGCAACCAATCCAGGAAAACAAACCATAACCTCTGTAGCAATCAGCCCAAAATGGCCAGGATTTGGTTAGCTTCCCTAATGTGTGTCTTCCTTCCAACTTAAGACCAGCTGGAGAAAGCCAAATATGTACCCCTAACCAATTGCATGGGATGCTCTGCTTTTAGTTAGACCATCTACGGCATGCCCCTGCCAACACCCTCCAATCAGGACACAACTGAACCCTTCCCTTTTGCTCACTATACAGCTTTTACACTTCCCCGCCTGCCTTTGTGTTTCTGCCAAATGCAAGTGATAGTGGCTGGCTTCCTTGCTGTAATGAGCTCTGAATAAATAGCTTTTGCTTGTTCCTATCTGGGTAGTCTTCCCTTATTTTCAAAGGTTCCAGGAGTCAGTACATTTAGCAGCCTCCCCAGACAATGCTGTTGCACAACAACATTGAAGAGTCACTGCTATAGAACACTCCTGTGTTTCCCAAATTTTTCAAGAATCACTGTATGTGTGCATATGTGTGTGGGGAGTAAGTACAGATTCTCGTATCTCGCCCCAAGATCCAACTGAAATAGAATTTCTGGGAAGTGGCCTGGGGGTTTTTTTTCTTCAACTTTTTAAGTTCAGGGGTACATGTGCAGGATGTGCAGGTTTGTTACATAGGTAAATGTGTGCCACCGTGGTTTGCTGCACAGATCAACCCATCACCTAGATATTAAGCCCAGCATAGGATTTTGTTTTTTAAAAAATAAGCCTCCTCCTCCAGGTTGTTCTTATTATCAAGGACATGTGGGAGACTCTGGTCCATGGTGCTGTCCATAGGCTTGTGCCAGGTCACAATAAAAGCACCTAGAACATTTGTTTTAAATAGAGACTTCTAAGCTCTACCATAACGTTGTAAGTCTAGGCTCTCCTAGTGATTCCAATAGGTCACATGTTCTGGGAGGCCATACTCTACTTATATGATTCGCAAATGGTAACGTTCATACATATCCCCTGGGAATCTTTTAAGAAGGCAGATTTTGATTCAGAAAGTCTAGGTACGGCTGAGATTCTGTATTTCTAACAAGCTCCCACATAACACTTCTGCTGCTGGTCTGCTAACTAGGCTTGGAGTAGTTAACATTGGCTGCATAGTGGAACCACATGAGGAAAGAGCCCCAAGTGTGAGACCTAGTGGGCAGCCAAGATTTGGAAGACTAGTTCGTCTACACACTGCTCAGCCACATGACTGGAACAGTGTTTTCACAGGAATGGCAGCACAAGCGATCTGAACAGCGCTCTGATGAAATCAGCACTGACCTGTGCCTGACGTCCTATACTCCTCAGCATGGCTTTATGGGTTCTTGCAATTTTTCCTGTGGGTGTGAAAATGCCTGGAAGTCCACTCAGTGAGCTTTGCAGTGGTTGCTCCGTAGGATTCCTGTTGAACTGCCTGGCCTTCAGCCATGGGGAGATTTTGCTGAGGGGTAGGCTTAATGGTGGCCCTGAATATTCCTGCTGCCCAGCAGCTGGGAAGTAGTTAGCTGAGCAAGATTCATCTTCAATGACGAAGGGGATTTCCACAAGGTAAATTGTTCTAACCTCAGAGATGAGTGTGATTGGATGCTCCCAACTTAAAAAAGAAAAAAAAAAGGTACACAAAAAAAACCTGGTGGTCAGATTGGTTTATGTTCAATCTTTTGTCCCTAGGCTTTCACGACCAATTACAGGGGCGAATGAGACAACAGTGTTGTTGCTGATGAGAAGGCAAATCTGGATGGGTTATAATCACAATCCACCCTTCACCAGATGGCTTCCTCTGTTGCCAGGCATTTGATGAGCCATTTCATGAAGCCTCTTATGGGGATGGGTTAATGCCTGAAAGCCTGTGGATTTGAATGGACCAATGTGAAGGTGCTTAATAGATCCTTGGATGCTTGGCTCATTTTTACTTAGAGGATAAATAAGCTGGTACATAATACAATCTAAGAGAGCTTTTCCAGAATAAAACTACCTCACACCTGAGGATTATGTAGCTTTCAATTGATCATGCATGACACCAGAAAGGAGCAAATTTGTGATAATAGGCCTGGAACCATATTACCATGAGTCCAGGGACACATGTTTTTAAAAATCATCTTTCCAAAATGTGTTACATCATAATAGATCAATTGCAAAGGTCTCATGGCTGATAAACACCCCACTCTGCCTGTGCTCTGTAATTATCTAGAGCAAAACATTCTGTTTAGTGAATGGCCTTTGTTTTCTTTTCTATTTTTTTTTTTTTTTTTTTATCTTTTTGGAGAAGAGTCTTACTCTGTCTTCCAGGCTGGAGCGCAGGGGCACAATTCAGCTCACTACAACCTCCCTCTCCCAGGTTCAAGAGCTTCTCATGCCTCAGCCTCCCAAGTAGCTGGGACTACAGGCACATACCACCACACTCGGCTAATATTTTTTTTTCTTTTATGCATTTTAGTAGATGCAGGGTTTTGCCATGTTGCCTAGGCTGGTCTCAAATTCCTGAGCTCAGGTAAACTGCCTCCCTCAGCCTCACAAAGTGCTAGGATTACAGGCGTGAGGCACCGTGCCCGGTGGCTTGTTTTCAACCACATTGAAATAACGTATAAATAAAAGGTATCTCTAAGAAATATTCAGATATCTGGAGCCTGGATCATGTTAGAAGAGGCCAGGAGAAGCTAGAGGCTGTTTGTAATTATTATGATGTGCTACCTAATTCTCAGGCAGAGGTTGGGAGGTTAGCAGGGAGAAGGCAGCAGAATGTCCATGTGGAAAAAAAATCTTTATCATCCACAAACCAGTGCATGTCTGGTTTCTGAGAAACAAGATCTCTCTCAAATATTGATATCCAGAGGCTGGTCTAGTGGTCATGAATCACTGGACATGAGTCATTTCTATATATATAGATAGATAGATATTATAGAAATATATATATATTTTTGTAAAAAGTACACCAGGTACCTTTATTTTAACAACAAACTTGATGTGTGTTCAACTCTTTTCTGAACAGAGAGTTCCCAAAATAAACTAAGTAGCAGATTACCTTATTTCAATGTTTAGCAGACGGTGAGTGATACAGAAACTCCAGACCAACCAAAGGAAAAAAATTTATAGTAAAGTTTTGCACTATACGATGGTATAGTAGACTAATATTGCTTTCTTTATCTTATCTCACCACTGTATTTTAATACCCAAGAAGATACAGAACAAGAAAGAAAAACTAGCAAAAGTACTGAATTCAGAGATACAAGAAACCCGCACGACACAGTCTGGAGAATTTCTTTTTTTGTTTGTTTGGTTGGGTTTTTTTGTTGTTTTTTTATTTATTACTATTATACTTTAAGTTTTAGGGTACATGTGCACAATGTGCAGTTTAGTTACATATGTATACATGTGCCATGCTGGTGCGCTGCACCCACTAACTCGTCATCTAGCATTAGGTATATCTCCCAGTGCTATCCCTCCCCCCTGCCCCCACCCCACAACAGTCCCCAGAGTGTGATGTTCCCCTTCCTGTGTCCATGTGTTCTCATTGTTCAATTCCCACCTATGAGTGAGAATATGCGGTGTTTGGTTGTTTGTCCTTGCGATAGTTTACTGAGAATGATGATTTCCAATTTCATCCATGTCCCTACAAAGGACAGGAACTCATCATTTTTTATGGCTGCATAGTATTCCATGGTGTATATGTGCCAATTTTCTTAATCCAGTCTATCATTGTTGGACATTTGGGTTGGTTCCAAGTCTTTGCTATTGTGAATAGTGCCACAATAAACATACGTGTGCATGTGTCTGTATAGCAGCATGATTTATAGTCCTTTGGGTATATACCCAGTAATGGGATGGCTGGGTCAAATGGTATTTCTAGTTCTAGATCCCTGAGGAATGGCCACACTGACTTCCACAATAGTTGAACTAATTTACAGTCCCACCAACAGTGCAAAAGTGTTCCTATTTCTCCACATCCTCTCCAGCACCTGTTGTTTCCTGACTTTTGAATGATTGCCATTCTAACTGGTGTGAGATGGTATCTCATTGTGGTTTTGATTTGCATTTCTCTGATGGCCAGTGATGGTGAGCATTTTTTCATGTGTTTTTTGGCTGCATAAATGTCTTCTTTTGAGAAGTGTCTGTTCATGTCCTTCGCCCACTTTTTGATGGGGTTGTTTGTTTTTTTCTTGTAAATTTGTTTGAGTTCATTGTAGATTCTGGATATTAGCCCTTTGTCAGATGAGTAGGTTGTGAAAATTTTCTCCCATTTTGTAGGTTGCCTGTTCACTCTGATGGTAGTTTCTTTTGCTGTGCAGAAGCTCTTTAGTTTAATGAGATCCCATTTGTCAGTTTTGGCTTTTGTTGCCATTGCTTTTGGTGTTTTAGACATGAAGTCCTTGCCCATGCCTATGTCCTGAATGGTAATGCCTAGGTTTTCTTCTAGGGTTTTTATGGTTTTAGATCTAACGTTTAAGTCTTTAATCCATCTTGAATTGATTTTTGTATAAGGTGTAAGGAAGGGATCCAGTTTCAGCTTTCTACATATGGCTAGCCAGTTTTCCCAGCACCATTTATTAAATAGGGAATCCTTTCCCCATTGCTTGTTTTTCTCAGGTTTGTCAAAGATCAGATAGTTGTAGATATGCGGCATTATTTCTGAGGGCTCTGTTCTGTTCCATTGATCTATATCTCTGTTTTGGTACCAGTACCATGCTGTTTTGGTTACTGTAGCCTTGTAGTATAGTTTGAAGTCAGGTAGTGTGATGCCTCCAGCTTTGTTCTTTTGGCTTAGGATTGACTTGGCGATGCGGGCTCTTTTTTGGTTCCGTATGAACTTTAAAGTCGTTTTTTCCAATTCTGTGAAGAAAGTTACTGGTAGTTTGATGGGGATGGCATTGAATCTGTAAATTACCTTGGGCAGTATGGCCATTTTCATGATACTGATTCTTCCTACCCATGAGCATTGAATGTTCTTCCATTTGTTTGTATCCTCTTTTATTTCCTTGAGCAGTGGTTTGTAGTTCTCCTTGAAGAGGTCCTTCACGTCCCTTGTAAGTTGGATTCCTAGGTATTTTATTCTCTTTGAAGCAATTGTGAATGGGAGTTCACTCACGATTTGGCTCTCTGTTTGTCTGTTGTTGGTGTATAAGAATCCTTGTGATTTTTGTACGTTGATTTTGTATTCTGAGACTTTGCTGAAGTTGCTTATCAGCTTAAGGAGATTTTGGGCTGAGACAATGGGGTTTTCTAGATATACAATCATGTCGTCTGCAAACAGGGACAATTTGACTTCCTCTTTTCCTAACTGAATACCCTTTATTTCCTTCTCCTGCCTAATTGCCCTGCCCAGAACTTCCAACACTATGTTGAATAGGAGTGGTGAGAGAGGGCATCCCTGTCTTGTGCCAGTTTTCAAAGGGAATGCTTCCAGTTTTTGCCCATTCAATATGATATTGGCTGTGGGTTTGTCATAGATAGCTCTTATTATTTTGAGATACTTCCCATCAATACCTAATTTATTGAGAGTTTTTAGCATGAAGGGTTGTTGAATTATGTCAAAGGCCTTTTCTGCATCTATTGAGATAATCATGTGGTTTTTGTCTTTGGTTCTGTTTATATGCTGGATTACATTTATTGATTTGCGTATATTGAACCAGCCTTGCATCGGAGGGATGAAGCCCACTTGATCATGGTGGATAAGCTTTTTGATGTGCTGCTGAATTTGGTTTGCCAGTATTTTATTGAGGATTTTTGCATCAATGTTAATCAAGGATATTGGTCTAAAATTCTCTTTTTTGGTTGTGTCTCTGCCTGGCTTTGGTATCAGGATGATGCTGGCCTCATCAAATGAGTTAGGGAGGATTCCCTCTTTTTCTATTGATTGGAATAGTTTCAGAAGGAATGGCACCAGTTCCTCCTTGTACCTCTGGTAGAATTCGGCTGTGAATCCATCTGGTTCTGGACTCTTTTTGGTTTGTAAGCTATTGATTATTGCCACAATTCCAGCTCCTGTTATTGGTCTATTCAGAGATTCAACCTCTTCCTGGTTTAGTCTTGGGAGAGCGTATGTGTCGAGGAATTTATCCATTTCTTCTAGATTTTCTAGTTTATTTGCGTAGAGGTCTTTGTAGTATTCTCTGATGGCAGTTTGTATTTCTGTGGGAGCGGTGGTGATATCCCCTTTATCATTTTTTATTGCATCTTTTTGATTCTTCTTTCTTTTCTTCTTTATTAGTCTTGCTAGCGGTCTATCAATTTTGTTGATCCTTTCAAAAAACCAGCTCCTGGATTCATTAATTTTTTGAAGGGTTTTTTGTGTCTCTATTTCCTTCAGTTCTGCTCTGATTTTAGTTATCTCTTGCCTTCTGCTAGCTTTTGATTGTGTTTGTTCTTGCTTTTCTAGTTCTTTTAATTGTGATGTTAGGGTGTCAATTTTGGATCTTTCCTGCTTTCTCTTGTGGACATTTAGTGCTATAAATTTCCCTCTAGACACTGCTTTGAATGCGTCCCAGAGATTCACATAGGCTCAAAATAAAAGGATGGAGGAAGATCTACCAAGCAAATGGAAAACAAAAAAAGGCAGGGGTTGCAATCCTAGTCTCTGATAAAATAGACTTTAAACCAACAAAGATCAAAAGAGACAAAGAAGGCCATTACATAATGGTAAAGGGATCAATTCAACAAGAAGAGCTAACTATCCTAAATATATATGCACCCAATACAGGAGCACCCAGATTCATAAAGCAAGTCCTGTGTGACCTACAAAGAGACTTAGACTCCCACACCTTAATAATGGGAGACTTTAACAACCCACTGTCAACATTAGACAGATCAACGAGACAGAAAGTCAACAAGGATACCCAGGAATTGAACTCAGCTCTGCACCAAGTGGACCTAATAGACATCTACAGAACTCTCCACCCCAAATCAACAGAATATACATTCTTTTCAGCACCACACCACACCTATTCCAAAATTGACCACATACTTGGAAGTAAAGCTCTCCTCAGCAAATGTAAAAGAACAGAAATTATAACAAACTATCTCTCAGACCACAGTGCAATCAAACTAGAACTCAGGATTAAGAATCTCACTCAAAACCGCTCAACTACATGGAAACTGAACAACCTGCTCCTGAATGACTACTGGGTACATAACGAAATGAAGGCAGAAATAACGACGTTCTTTGAAACCAACAAGAACAAAGACACAACATACCAGTCTGGGGAATTTCTAATGACTGCCTTGTCATTAGATTGAGAAACATACTGAACTACAGACACCCTGCCTTACCTCATCCCCACCACCTGCTCCAGCAGCCACACCTCAAGAGTGCGTCACTTGTCACACAAAGGGGACTTTCTTCTGAGCAGTCGGGGCCCTGTCACTCCCCCCCACCTACCACACAGCAGCATCTCTATTTCCATTCAGGCCCAACTTTAAAAAAAAGAACCCAGATGAGAGATCTGGCTGTGGCACACTGCGATCTGGGATATGTTCCATGAAGGTTCAGGCGCCACATACACAAAATGAATAGCTGATACTCCTCCTTCATCAGAGAACTTGTGAGGCAGAAAGCGGGGAAAGCCCATCTGAGTCCAGCAGAGCTCCTCTGGGGGACATCAGGTCAGGCCCCAGTATCTGGGCCAGATGCAGTACTCATCAAAATTGCCTCTCAGTCCAGGTTGGAAGAGGGAAGCTGCAGCACCCCGTGGCTAGAAACAGGAGAAAGATATCCCCTACAATTCTCTAGATGATAAATCTCAAGAGAGTTGTTCCCTAAAGCATTAGTTAACTAAAAAATAATATAAAATAAGCAAACATGGGCTCTAAGAAAAAAAAATTCAGGTTAAGAGGATGATTTGAAGGCTCAGAAAGAGCACATCTTTGAAAATTACTTGCTATAGGAAACAGAATTTTAAAATAAAATGCATCTGGTTGACTCTTCATTGACAAAGCGGAAGCTCCCAGGGATGAGAGGTTGAACACTAAATTACACCTCTTTACACCATGTCAACTTGAACGCTGTGGGAACCCAGAGGCCCCTGCTGGGCTCCTGTGAGTCAGATCTGTCTACCTGGAGGCTGCTGCAGCGACGTGAAGATCTGGCAACTGGGGTGGACACAGCCATCAGGGAAATCAGCAGTGACAGTGGTGGGAAGCCAGGGTGAGGAAAAGCAAAAGAAAACGGGGGTGTTCACACTGAAAGCAATTTCCTTTCTTATCACCTCACACTTGTCGTGCTTTTGACACATTTTTATCGACCTTGGACTGCATAGAATATTAAACTTCCTGCATTTATTTGTGTGTGGTTTCATGCGCGTGGATTCTTTATGTTATTACTTTGGAATATAGTGTGGCATTTCCTCAAACCTTCTCGTCTTTTGCTCAAGCATGGGTTTAAGAGCAAATAAACACACATACTCATTTCTGTTGTTGTGGGTGAGACAATAGTGTCATCATGTATTTATTATGTGTTAAGCATTGTCCCAGGCTTTTAAAATTAAGATACACATGTAATTCTCGCAACAACCCGCAAGATGGGTGTGATAATCCCTCCTTTGTGGATTGGGCAACTGGCTCCCAAGAGGGTAATGTAACTTGCTCAAGGCCACACAGGGAAGGCAGGATTTGAACTCAGGTCCACTTTATTCCAAAGCCCTGTCTGCCATAGCCATACTCTCCGAACAGCATACTCACAGAAGTCACTACTTGTCTCCGCAACTTCCCTATCTTATGGTTAAATTAGTCTCTAGGTAGAATTGCAGTCTTTAGTTACTTCCCTTAATAGCTCCCTTCCCTTATTCCCTTGGGTCAGTTTGCAGTATCTAGTTGAGTCTGGACTCTGAAAGTCACTCTTTTGGTCACACATTCTGTTGGCTGAAGATTGTCAGCCAATTACTAACTAATTATCATCATTAACCTGTTAGTAAGAAGAGGAAGAACCTGTCATCAACCAGGCAAAGAGAGGAAGAACCTTAGATAATATTAAAGAAAACAACATTTCACCCCTACTTTTCAGTCTCTGCTACAAAAAAAGACTTTAAAATTAAAAAATTAATTATTTAAAAAATTAAAAAATGATTTACCAAATTATTATCCAAACCACTGATAAGTCACCTCAGCCACCAAATGTGATTTCAAATGATTTTCTAAGCAAATCAAATCCACCTTCAAAGGGCAAAAATCTGGCATAATTTAGTTATTCGATAGAGTACAACGTACGTTCTGGAAGCAATTCAAAGTTAGACAGTCCAAAACCAAGTCTGAGCAATGATGGTGAGGTTGGAATAAATGCAAAATCATTCAAGGTGACCACTTTCAAATACAACATTCTTTTGAATACAAAAATTCTGGAATGTTCATTAAAAACTTAGTGTAATTTTCTTATTGTTTCACTGCCTGAAAACTATCAGTATGTTTCCAATAAATATTGTTTTATGCCTAAATTAGACAGAAGTTGGCTTATGTTACTAAAGGTCAAAAACTACTAATTACTTTAAAAAACTAGAGCCTGAAGTGTTCAAATAACAGATTTTAAAAGATGACCTTAAATACAAAACTTGGCTGGCTCAAGATATTGAGGCATAGACTGTGATCTATTCTGGCTCAGATACATTTATGCGCTACAGAAAAAAAAAATAGCTAAACTGTTAACTGTTTGTTGGCATTCAGATGATATGTCTACATGGAACTTCAGGGGATTTGGCAGAAAATTTCTGATTATTAATGGATCTTGACTACTTGTGGCTTTCAGCAGGGGTGATATTCAAAATACCTTCAACAACTCATACAGCTCTCAATCCACCAATCAGAATGGATGTGGGATGAGCAGCTGGGCCCTGAGGCACTGACTGGCTCACACCAGCCCCTTAATTGCTAATTGTGATGTCCTCAGGAGGTCCTGGGGAAGGGCCAGGGCAGTGGGGAAGGGTAGAGGGTAGTTCAGAGGCAAAAGAGGCTTAAGGCTGTAGCTCTTTTCATATTTATAAACAGTTTTGGGCCTACAGGCGTACTGGTTAAATATCACTTCTGGCCTACAGGAAGACCTTGCAAGAAAGAAACAAGCCCTTGTCCAACTTAGCCCGCGTAATAATAGAAGGAGAAAGAGAGCAGAATGCAGCTGACCTTTCTCCTGTGACCAGCAATCCAGGACGTGTGGGGGTGGGACTTAAATTCTGTTTGTGAGTAAAAGCAAGGCAATGGTGGGAACAGAGCATCTGTAAGAGAGGGGATGGGAGTGTCCTCAGAAGTGGGCGAAGCCTGACCAGTCCCCTGTCCCCCTTCCCACACATGAGGCTGTTGCTGTGCCTTTATTTTCTGATACTTTATGTAAGATTGGGAGCTTGGTTCTGTCTCTCATCAGGGCTTACTCCTTCATCCTGCACCATGGCAGTGCCAGGCT
Source organism: Homo sapiens (assembly GCF_000001405.40). Classification (NCBI taxonomy): domain Eukaryota; kingdom Metazoa; phylum Chordata; class Mammalia; order Primates; family Hominidae; genus Homo; species Homo sapiens. The sequence continues at coordinate 75,325,248 of NC_000002.12, read as the reverse complement.
GAGGTCTGGTCCAGTGGACAGAGCCCCCAGACCTGTTGCTAAGAGAAGAAAACTGCAAAGGAATGAGTAAGATCTGGTGTTAAGGACCATGATTTTAAAAATTTATTGCTTTGGTTACTAGCTATAAATTTTCCTATGAATTGAATAGACTGGCAGCTTAGCAGGGTTTTAAGGAAGTTAAAGTGACAAAGAAAACCCAGCTTAGAAAGAAGCAACCCATAATACTCCACTCCTAAAACAATTCCCAGGCTCCAAAATCATGTCAACAGGAAAGGCATTGCTAAAGCAGCTCCCTGATGAGGAAACATTCCTACATGCTTCTCAGTCATGGTCCTGGAGGTCAACAAGTAGGGAAAGTTCTCCCAGCAGGAGAATCATCAGGGTAGCCAGACCAGCCAACCAAGCGCAGATGCAGAGGATCTGCAATAGACTGGGAGAGAACATCTCAAATGTTTTCATGTTCCCCCTTTATAGATGAGAGTTCCTGTTGTGGTTTTCCTGTTTTACCTTCACTATTGGTTATTCAGTGTGTTGGGGATGGTTACATGGACCAATTAGCCATCAATTGACATACTATAAGAAGCTGTATCTGGACATGACCATCAGCCAGCATCCAGGTCTCAGGCTAGATGAGGCTACTGGATGTGATTTTGAGATCTTTTCCTTTTAGGGGTGGTGGGGCATGCATATTTGATTTCACATGGGATAGCTGTGTTACACTAGGAATTCTGGAATTGTGTGTATGGAAATAAAGACGGTGAGTGTAAGCCCCGGCAGCCATGAAGTGGAATGTAAGAGATTATGGTAGCTGCACTTATCTGCCTAAGAAACATTCCTTCCACCTTCTAGTAAGAGCTTTAGCTGTCACCAGGCCTGGCCAATCATGAGCCCCCATTGCCCAGTGAAGTGATTTGTTCTGGCATGGGCACATGACTCATGCAGACACTGGGAGAAATACACTTTCCTGGCTGATAGTGGCTTGGTGACCACACCAGTGACCATGGTTTCCACCTTGTGGAGAAGGACAAGAACTGGACAAGGACAATACTAGTGGTACTGAACCCCCAATTTCAAATCCCAAGGCCCTAATTCCTAGTTTCCACCATTTTTTCAACATTTTTGTAAGCTATATCTGCATCGTTCTTTACACACACACACACACACACACACATTATATACTTATATAGAATTTTATGTATAATTCTGTGTATAATTCATATATATGAATATATAAGTACAGTTGACCCTTGAACAACACAGGGGTTAGGGGCACCAACTTTCTGCACAGTCAAGAATTTATATATAACTTTTGACTCCCCCAAAAGTTAACTAATAGCCTACTGTTGACTAAAAGCCTTATCAATAACATAAACAGTCAATTAACACATATATTGTATATTTTATGTATTACATACTGTATTCTTACAATAAAGTAAGCTAGAGAAAATAAAATGTTAATAAGAAAAACCATAAGGAAGAGAAAATATATTTGCTATTTATTAACTGAAAGTGGTTCATCAGCATAAAGGTCTTCATCCTTGCTGTCTTTATCTTGAGTAGGCTAAGGAAGAGGAGGGAGAAGGGTTGGTCTTCCTCTCTGAGGGTTGGCAGAGGTAGAAGAAAATTCATGAATAAGTGGACCTGCACAGTTCAAACCCATGTTGTTCAAGGGTCACTATACATATATATTATACATATAATTCTGTATATGTGTGTGTGTATGTGTGTGTAAAATACAGTGGTTCTCCCTTATCTGTGGTTTTGCTTTTCATGGTTTTAGTTACCCATGGTCAACTAAAGTTTGAAAATATTAAATGGAAAATTCCAGAAATAAACAATTCATAAGGTTTAAATTGTGCACCATTCTGAGTAGCATGATAAAACCTCTCACCACGGTGCTTTGTCTGGCCCCAGACATGAATCACCCCTGTGTCCAGTGTATCTACACTGTATACACTACCTGCCCATTAGTCGCCCATTAGTATCTGTTTTGGTTATAACATGGAAAAAACAGTGTATGTAGAGTTTGGTACTAAACATGATTTCAGGCAATCAATGGGAGTCTTAGGTGTTTCCCCACAGATAAGGGGGGACCACCACTACATAGGAAATTAGTTTCCTTCACTTGAAACCAAAAACATACTATGTAATATAGCCTAGAATCTGTAACTAGTTATAGAATGATCAAAATCATTCATAAAAATGTATAGTTCCCCCATAACATATATTATTTAAATCAATATACCACTGCATTTAAAAAGGTTTACATAGGATGTCATGAGAGATTAAAAGCTGTCATAATGCATGTAACATTACTGTATGTAAAAACTAGGCAATTTTTTTTTTGAAACAGAGTCTCACTCCATCACCCAGGCTGGAGTGCAATGGCACGATCTTGGCTCACTGTAACCTTCAACTCCCGAGTTCAAGTGATTCTTTTGCCTCAGCCTCCTGAGTAGCTGAGATTACAGGTGCGCAGCACCACACCCATCTAACTTTTGTATTTTTTGTAGAGATGGGGTTTCACCATGTTGGCCAGGCTGGTCTTGAACTCCTGACCTCAAGTCCTCTGCCTGCCTCGGCCTCCCAAAGTGCTGAGATTACAGGCATGAGCCTCCACACCTGGCCAAAAGTAGGCAAATATTTTACAACTTATTTAGCAATGTATTCAAAGTACTTTCACATCTCATCTAATTTTCACCAAAAAAATAATAATAATAATAAAAATCAGCTGGTGGTGATAATAGCAATGATATTAAGCACCATGCATGCATTGTCACTGAAAGATGACTCGGCATTGTAATGACTTGTTTCCAAGTTTACAAATAAGGGAACAGAGGTTCAGAGAGGTTCAATAACTTTACCAAGTCTTCAGTTACCAGATGGCAGGGCCAGGTCTGAAGCTGGCGTTTGATGTTTCCTAAATGTGTGTACTTTACCCTCGACCACACTGTTTCCTCTTTAATATTGGAATCCCATTTTACAAATAAGATGTAAAGGCAATTAGCTGACGTATTGCACCCAGAATTTTAGAGAAACAAAGAGATGTGGAAAGAGGTGAAAAAGGGGCTAAGATGGAATGGGGAGCAGTAGGAAAGATTACACGTTGTCCAGGATAACATCAGCTGTACAGTGGTCCAGTTTTTCAGTTTACCATGTCCTTCTGTGTTGTCTCAACACCAAGGCATCTGAGAAAAGATGGCAAACAGCAAAGAGGATTCACTCTAGAGTTAAGGGAAAGTAAACCTAAAGAGTAAACACAGCAAGCACAGTATTATACTATCTTTGAAGTAGTAGTTTCTCGGGGCCCAAGTGGCAGGACAGGATGACACAGCCATTGTAACCTAGGGCAATCAAGGGCAGATGTCTCTCATCATTAGGGGGAACACTGCATTGATTACTGCCACTAAATGCTCAAGGGCCTGGAGGACCACCCGTGTGGCCTGTGGGCTGCTATTGATTATATGCTGGTGATGTCCTGGGCTGCAGAGCAAGGAAAGGCTGCAGGGAGGCTGAGGGAGGAGGGCAACGTCCCTTTCATTCACAGCAGGCACAGCAGCCTGACAACCAGAGATGCAAGCTGCAAGCTGCAAGCTGCAAATTTTTCTTTGCTGTTTTCTTTACTCACACTGGCTCTGCTCCCTGTTCCTGATCAAAGCGAATATGGGAAGTAATATATTCATGTATTTACCACCTGATCCCACCCCAAGGCCTGGGAAACCAGGGTCCTCAACATAAGGAGGCCTCCCCCTTTCTTCTGGATTACATCCAGAGTGATATTAAGGCTTTTGGCATCTCTCCTAAATCTTGCTTTTCCAGACAAGAACAAGATGCACTTGGGCTAATTATTTTTACCTAATGAGCAGTGTCTGCTTGAACTAGGCTGATTTCCCCCAGGGGTTCAGGTCTTTCTAGGAAATAAAGGAAAATCTTAACATTTTTCTCTTTTCAGAGGCTGGAGCCATATTTATTTTGTGGTTGACACAAAGGGATTCTTCGTGACATTCTTGCTTGAGGACACATTTCTAGCTCCAACCTTGTTATTAGCCATACCCTTTGGAGAATGTGTAACACATAACTGGGAAGGGAGTGGGAACACTAATTCAATCAGCTGAGCTCATAAAATGTGGCCAAGTCAGAAATAAGAAGGAACATGAAGTGTCAGGCTGCTGACAGGGCTAGGGAGAGCAACTGGCAAGCCAGAAGGAAATCGCATTTCAGCCTGGACTGGCCACCTCATGTCTCTTGGCATCCTCTGGGTATCAAGGCTGCATGCTAAAAAAGCAGTGGCTTTGATAAGTATGGGTGAACCCATTTGGTTAAAAAAAATCCAGTGGCCTCGACTTCCAGTTCAAAATGGCATTTGGGCAGCAGTTCCTCTATGGCTCTTTCAAACTTTGCAATAAATAATGCAATAAGGAAATGTAAAGAAATACACAACATCGGCCGGGCGCAGTGGCTCATGCCTGTAATCCGAGCACTTTGGGAATCTGAGGCGGGCAGATCACAAGGTCAGGAGATCGAGACCATCCTGGCTAACACGATGAAACCCCATCTCTACTAAAAATACAAAAAATTAGCTGGGCGTTGTGGCGGGTGCCTGTAGTCCCAGCTACTCAGGAGTCTGAGGCAGGAGAATGGCATAAACCTGGGAGGTGGAGCTTGCAGTGAGCCGAGATTGCACCACAGCACTCCAGCCTGGGTGACAGAGCAAGACTCCGTCTCAAAAAAAAAAAAAGAAATACACAACACCAAAAAAACTCAAAGTAACAGGCAGACTAATGCCAGAATCTTGGTGGAAGTTTTACAAATTACAAGGCAAATGCCACTAAATTCATGTTTAAAACAAAGCAAAAACAAAAAAGACTTCACTTAATTATACACACACAACCTGAAAATAGAAAAGCAGATTCTTTGTCCTGTGTTCACTCTCCGTCCCAGTCTCTGTAACCCATAGGTGTGGATTCTGAGGTAGCCTGAGCACTTTTGCCCTCTTATGCCTCCCCCCGTTTATTCTTCCACCATCATGATAAACTTTCATAGTCTGCAGCTTCTAGAATATAAACAGAAATAGGAGGTGGGGCTGGGCTGGCTCAGATAATTCTGAGATGTATGGCCCATTTTTCAAGAACCTGTGACACTCTGGCTCATCTGTGTTCTTGATGTAGCCCCATGGGTCTAGGGCCAGGAGCCCAGTGGTATGAGTTGAGGAAGACACCACTTTGGTCCAGAAAGGACTGCCATAATGATATCAGATCACTCTTTCATTGAAATTTTTAAATGCATTAATCTAGGGGATGTGGCTTGTGTATTTTCTTTTGTGCATGTGTTATAGTCCTCAGGTTTTAGTAGCAGATATTATCCTATCTTAATATAATTAAGTAAGTAGCTTTTATCTTAGTATATTTTCAGGACATTTTATGTATGGTATGGGAATTGCCTGTTCCTTAAAGGATTGAACGGATTTTTAAAATTACAATTATTTGGCTCAGGGCATTTTTTGGATATAATTCTCAAACTTTAAACATTTTTTCTGTCATTACTACTCAATACAATTCAAGTTCTACTATTTCTTAGCCAGTTGTTATCATTTATGTTTTAAATAACCTGGCTCATCAAAATTTTAAAGTTTATGAGTATAGAATTGATACACAGTATGTCCTCCCTTGCTGAATTGTTTGGGAATGTTTCTTGAATTAACATGTTCCTCAGCAGTGGACACACACCTCCAATAAATATCCACTTGGTCTAAGTTGTCATATAGAATCCTCTGGATTAAGACGTTATCCTTAAAAATATCTGATGTCTTGAAATCCATTGGGCATAAATCCGGAAGCAGGTTCCTGTCACTTTCAGTTCAGCAGGCAGGCAGAAAATTCTTTTCTTTTTATTGAAAGTTAATTTTCTATGATTTCCCATTTCCTCATCATTCCTGGGTATTGGTTTTTCTGACACTGCTTTGCCTGGACATTAACGTGTGAAGTGACCTCTCGTTTTACAATTCAGAGGCCCTGCGAACGCCGAATGTAAGATCTGAGGGAACCAGTAAGGAAGTGGTGGAGGCCGTGCCCTCTGATGATGCAAATTCTCACCTGGTTATCTGCCTGCTTGCCTCATCTTCCTGCTGTATACCAGGGTCCTCTGCTTTGTCGTGGCTAAGAACTCAATATGGAATATTGTTGGCCATTGGAGGTAGCAAAAACTGCTGCACCTCTTGTGGAGGAGTTAGCGTCAACCTATAAAGGCTGTGGGTCTGCATGGGGATTACAAATGGGAAATAGCTAAAAGTAAGGTGTCCAACCTAGATAGGAAGATAAAGGAGTAGGTTGGGCAAAGCAGGAGTTGTTTCTTTGGAGACCGCTTTGAACAATGCACTCTCCATGGTGGGTGCATGCTTTGAAAATATGTCATGCTGAAGTCAGAACAGAAATCACTCAGCACCAGCTCCACCTCAGTTCCCAAACCAGCCTTTGAGGAATGATGAGTCCCCTAAAAAAATGATAGGAAATCCTCCAATGCAAAGAATTCCAACAGCTTCCTTCAGCCCACAGCTGGCGATGAGAAGTTGCCACGTAAATGGAGGAACTATCTCCGTTTATAGAAGAACTCTCTCCATTTATGTGGCACCACTCCTCAACTCCAGCCACTCCTCAACTCCTTTGTTGCTTCTTCTCCATCTCCCCAGCTTCTAAATATTCCAGTATCCCTAGCCTCGTGTCTCATATCTCTTTTTTCTATATATCCTCACTCACTAGGTGATCTCATGCAGGCCCAGAACTTCAAAGACATTTAAACATCAATGATTCCCCAATTTTTCTCTCTCTCCCCATCCTCCCCTCTGAACTCAGCTCTTTTATACCCAACCACTTACTTGAAATCTTTACTTTGATATCTAATATTTGTCTCAAAATTAATATGTGCAAAATTGAATTCTTCATTTCCTTGCCCCAAATGTGTTCTTCCTCCAGTCTTCCCTATGTCAGTAAATGACAACTCTTTTAAGAATTGCTTAGCATAAAACATCTTGCAGTTATCCTTCACTCTGCTCTTTCTCTTACTCATATATCAAATCCATTGGTAAATCCAGTTGGCTCTTCCTTCAAATATATCCAGGATAAGACCACTTCTTATCACCTCCATGTGGTGGCCCAAACCATCATTATCTGTCTTGTAGATTATTGCAGGAATCTTCCAACTAGTCTCCCTGCTTCTACCCTTACATCTCCCCCAGTAAATTTATCACATAGCAGCTGGAGGGATTAATTTAGAAACAATCTGACCAACTAATTCCTCTCCCCTAAGCCTGCCAGTGTAACTGCCCAACAGGTTCACCTTGCCCACTGCCTAGACAGAGCCAATTTATCAAAACAGGGGAATTGCAAAAGATAAAGAGTAATTCACACAGAGCTAGCTGTGGGGAGACCGAAGTTTTATTATTACTCAAATCAGTCTCCCCAACAATTTGGGAATCAGAGTTTTTAAGGATAATTTGGTGTGTAGGGGGCCAATGAGTCGGGAGTTCTTGTTGGTCAGGTCAGAGGTGAAATCAAAGGGAATTGAAACTGTCATCTTGCACTGAATCAGTTTCTGGGTGGAGGCCACAAGACCAGATGAGCCAATTAATTGATCCAGGTGGTGCCAGCCAATCCACTGAGTGCAGAGTCTGTAAATATTTCAAGCACTGATCTTAGGTTTTACAGTAGTGACGTTATCCCTGGAAGCAATTTGAGGATGTTTAGAATCTTGCAGCCTCCAGCTATGTGACTCCTAAACCATAATTTCTAATCTTGTGGCTAATTTGTTAGTCCTCATAGACAGTCTATTCCCCAGGCAGGAAGCGTGTTTGTTTGGGGAAAGGGCTGTTACCATCTTTGTTTTGAAGCTAAATTATAAACTAAGTTCCTCCCAAAATTAGTTTGGCCTATGCCCAGGAACGAACAAGAACATCTTGGAGATTAGAAGCAAGATGGAGTCAGTGAGGTCAGATTTCCTTCACTGTAAAAATTTTCTCAGTTACAATATTTTCAAAGGTGTTTTCCCCAGTGGCTTCTCATCTTACTTAGAGTAAAATCCAAGGTCCTTGCTAAGCCCCAGGGTCCAGCCTCTGGCTATGTCTGTGAGTTCCTTCCCTCCTGCCACTGCAACTTCACTGGTCCCTCTCCCATTCCTAGACATCCAACCAGGCTCCTCTCTTGGGGCTTGCACTTGCTTTTCCACCTATTTGGAAAGTTCTTCTACCAGATCTCACATGCCTGGTTTTTTTGTTCCCTCAGATGACTCCACATTGTTCCCCTTCTCATGGAGGGCTTCCCTAACTCCCCGGTGTAGAATAGCACCCTTTCCCTGGAATCTCCTACTTTTCTGAATTGCATTTATTACAACCTAATATATTAGGTTTTTGCTAACTTACATATCATCTCCCTTCTGCTAGAATGGCAGCTTCACAAAAGCAAGGACTTTGTTGTGTTCACTGCTCCATTTCCAGCAACAACCTCATGAGAGGCTTCTAGGAAATGCTTGTCGAACAAAAAAGTGGGGATCCACAACCAGCCCTGTGGTCTGGATCCACTCCTGCAATTAGGGGGCAGGTTCCTGAGCCTACACTTGGGGGCTGGGGCGGTTGGCCCCACATACATCCTCTCCAACTCTCCTCCATTTATTTATTTATTTATTTATTTATTTATTTATTTATTTATTTATTTTTGAGACAGAGTCTTGCTCTGTCACCCAGGCTGGAGTGCAGTGACACGATCTCGGCCACTGCAACCTCTGCCTCCCTGGTTCAAGCAATTCTCCTGCCTCAACCTCCCAAGTAGCTGGGATTACAGGTGCCCGCCACCACACCTGGCTAATTTTGTGTATTTTTAGTAGAGACAGGGTTTCGCCATGTTGGGCAATCTTTCTCAAACTCCTAACTTCAGGTGGTCCACCCGCCTCGGCCTCCCAAAGTGCTGGGATTACAGGCGTGAGCCACTGCAGCTGGCCTCTCTTCCTTTATACATACCCACCCTCACCCACCAGTTCTCGGGGATGTCCTACTGGAAAAAGCCCTGCTCTGCAGTGCCCTCTGCAGCTGGCTCTGATGATCATGAGGGGAAGCCAAAATACTTAGAGTTGCATGAATTTTGCAAGTCACTCATTCTAGGAATCAAAGGGCATTTTTCTTTACTTCCCTGTAACTGAATTTAATCTAGTTGTCAGGGCTGTGTTTGTGTTTCCCCAGTGGTTGAAAACTTTATCTTGCCAATTCAAAGTAGCTCAGATACTTCTAATTTTAAGGCAATCAAGTTTTTATCCCTTTTATTGTTGTCCTTCTTCTTTGGGCAGGGGTGGGGTGGGAGACTCAGCTATCATGCTGCCATTGGGGGACAATCTCTGCTCTGCCAGCCCTCCTCTCTCCTTGTTGGCCTGTGCCCATTTTCCATATGGCCTCTCTTACTGGTGTCTGTCTTCCTGGTTTGACCTCCAGCCACAAGTGTCACACACATCGCATCTTCTTTATTCTGAGCACGGACCTTTTTGGTACATAGCCCTCTCAGAAGCTCTACAGCATCTTTGAGAAGCTCAGGAACTTCAGGCTGGTATTAGAGTTACATCTGGTTTTTATGAGCCCTGTACTTTAAGTAATTCGGGGGACTTGTTTCAAGAAAACAAAAGTACAAAATTAGGAACAAATGTGAATTTTTACTTAGAATGAGAAAATAAATCATAACATTTTTTCTATCATTACTACTCAATGCAATTCAAGTTCTATTTCTTAACCAGTTATTTATTTTAAATATCCCAGCTCATCAAGATTTTAAAGTTTATAGTATAGAATTGATACACAATATGTCCTGCCTTGCTGAATTGTTTGGGAATGGTTCTTGGATTAACATGTCAAAAGCTGACATACAACAAACATTACAATCTAGAAAAATAATTTTATTGATTAACTGTCTTAGGTCACTTGGTGATTCTTTTGTCTGATATTTTTTGCATATTTTTCAATTGCCACTTACATGACAACATTTTAGAATATATATTTTTAATGGACTAGAAAGAAAATAAGTCTTTCCTCTGTCTTAATTGATAAAACATATGTCTTCACACAGAGATATACTCTCTGTTGGTAGTATCAGTACAGACATTGTTTCTCCTTCTCTACCCAGGTATTTCCAGTAGTTCTGAGCACCATGGTACATATTTATATTACCATATGACCTTTGACTCTTCGTCCCCCTCTCATGACTCCAGACAATTTGGCACAGTTTAAAGTAGTAGTATTCCTGGAGGCTCTTCCTACACTGGATTAGTGATACAAGAAGCACCTGCAAGCCACATAAATGTATCACAACATACTCAACTGGGATGTATCCTGAACACAGGTTTCTTTTACACAGATCCCAAATGCTTTACGGCCACTCCAATGCCACCCCACATGAAGGGAAGATGGATGGAGAGGCAGGTGAAGAAGAGAGAAACAGTTGTCTCCACTGATTGCACCTGAGATTTGCGCTTTGTGAACAAATAGCTGGGCCCATCCCCAGGCTTTGTGAGAAGCCCTGAACTTAAGCCTCATTAGCTTCTCAATAAATTCCCTTTGCTGAGCAGTGCTGATTGTGTGAAGCTGCTCCCAAGCACATCTACCCCAACATCCAATGACATTGCCACTCTACCATTCAGGAGCAATGTTGGGTGAGGCTTGCATCTCCTGGGTTACTCTCTGACAAATGGACCACAAGACACATCTTCTGTTCTCATGATTGTTCTAAAAACATATCTTGGGTTCCCATCATATATGCAGCTCCTGAAACTTGAGGCAGGAGCACTGAAAACTTTCTTGGGGATCTAGGAGGTATCCAGGTTCTCATTAATTCCCCTCTAGCTTTCCTTTCCTGCTGACAGTTTTTGAACTCTTACTTCATTTAAATAAGAAAAACTTTATGACATCATACTTTTTTTTTCAAACTCTTTATTTTATGGTATAAACTCTATACTATTGGTTCTCCAGTCTTTATCCTTGTTCCTTCTGAGCCAAGCCATTTTTTAAGAATTCAAAATGAAAATTATTTATCTCCCATGCACCAAGCTTTTGTAAATCAGTAGTGTACTGGCCTTCAAGACTGTGCTCTCAAAGATTTGCAAGTCTTTTTAAGAACCCCAAAGCCAAGAAAATGACCCTTTGTTGTCTATGTGTTGGCTTCCTCTGGGTGTCATTTGAAAATAGTGTTATCCTTGATGCCTGAAAAGGGAGGTAAGGTAGAGTGTGGAGCAGAGAAAAACAAACTATTAACATTTCAACATATATTTCTGATTTAGGAAGTATTGATTTTGGCTTCCAAGCACCAGAAAGGCTAACCAGAATAACTGGTCAAATGGGAGGGCTCTGGTAGTAGTCAGGGTCCCCTTGACTATAAATAGAACGGGATTTAGTATAGGAAATTAGGCACTTCCAAGTTTGTGGAAGAGTTAGAGAAGCAGAGTCTAGGCTGGTCTCTGGAAATGACTTTTGGAACAAAACTGACTAAAAGTATAGCGACTTTTTCTATAATTAGAATGTTGGTGGATGAGGAAGCTACTGTACCCCTTTTGGCTCCAGGATCTCACATCACTCCATGTCTAACTGGGGGTCAAGAAGCTGCCCCACGGGGAGCTGGTTCCAAAGCCATCACATGCTGGCTAGAGCCACATCCACAAAATAGATGCCTCGCATTTTGCCACTTCCCTCCTTGCAGAACTTGGTTCTACATTCAGGTCTCACACAAGTGCCTCTGGTTATCTTGGTGCAAGGAAGTCTGGGATATATAGTTTTCAGTTTTCCAGCCTCTGTAGTAGAGAAAGGCACACCAGGAGGAGGTTGTAAGAGATGTTCATTTCTTGATCTGCCATTTAGCTGCCGGAACTGTGGACATTAGCCAACTCCCTGGGACAAAAGTTTCTACTCAATCCAGCTCCTGTTCTAGCAAGATACCCCAGGCCACACATAAGAGGAACAGCCACCATGGGCTTAGTGTCTGTGAATTTATATCCTGAGCTGCCTACCTTAACCACCAAATCCCACTGCTTCTGCCATCCACACCCTTGCCTCATCCCTTCTGTTTGGCATATAGTTCACTCAACCTTGGCCTTTCTCCCGGGTAAGCATATGTCTTCTGTGGCTTGATGGAATTTCCGCAGATGGCCTACACAGCCCTAGGACTGTCCCTTACCATGAGGGGTCCTGAAAGCGGGTGTCTTCTTCCACTTCGATCCAATTTGTCTCACCGTCTAGGGTGTGACTTGTTTACAATCAAACCCCAATGCTGGGAACAATTTAGTTTTTCACTTCTTCAACAACAAGCTTGGAAAAAAGTGTCATTTTGGTGCACCTTCACAAAATGCTGCTACCCTACAAGGATGCTAATGTCAATGTGTATCGTGAAGATACAACAGGACAGATGTGGTTCACATTGGTGGTTCACACTGTAAGAATCTTATTTTTCTCAATAAAAAGTGCATCTTGGCTACAAAATATTGTGTGGGGTCATGACCCCATTAATTTCTTTAAATGAAATTTCATTTCAGGTAATTATATTATACTAAATGATGTCAGACAAGTATTAAATAAGCCTGTGGAAATAATCATCCTTCAATAACGGAGAAATTGAAAGCTGCATTTTATTCATGACTGAGCATAAATAACATGTTTAGATTTCATTGTTTAGTAAAAAATGATGCATAAATTAACTCTTCCCCTAATTTTAGTTCTATTCAGACATGCCATTTTAATTCCTCTTAATGTACTCATTCATAGAGTTAGTACCAAGCGGTATAAAAGACACTAGTCTTCATCTCGTAATAATTTTAGCAAAGGTCCCTTTGAATCTACATGTATAGGTCGTATTTTCCTTCCTTTCGATGCAACACTAAATTAAACTCAGTATGTTGCTCAGACATGTGTTGGGAGAAATAGACAAAGGTTATATTGATGCATGTGGTTTCCTGGTCTTTTCTAGGGCATGATCTTATATTATCACCCTCCACCACCTGGCCTCAGCAATCAGTGAGAGGGCTGTGTTCCTATGAGCAGTTTCACATCCTCCTCCTGCCTTTCACACTGGCCATACAGGGAACCCCTGTGGCTGTCCCCGGATACTGCAGGCTGCTGCCTCCTGCACACCTGCTATTGGCCAGATCACTCTGCCCCCTGGTCCCTGATGCCTGACTGTGTCCTTGGGTGAGATGCACCTGAGAAACTGTAGCAGTGCTGCTTGGAACGAGGGCATCCCAGTTAGCTATGGATCAGGACTCTTGCTCATTTTCACCACCTTTGGCCAGAGCACAGCCAAATGTCCAGTTCTCTACTGTGTTTCTCTCCCTTGGCTGGAACAAGGACATAAGCCTCTGCAGGCCCCGGGACACCCCACCCTGCCTCACTGAAAACGAGAACCTCTCTTGGGAATGTGCAGAGCTCTGGGAGGTTGCTATTCCAATTCAACCAGAATTTCATGAATTGTGCTTTCCAGTTTCATTTGGAGAAACAGTTGCTTTGATTAAAATACAGGTATACTTCCTCAGAGATACTGTTGATTTAGTTCCAGACCACTGCCGTAATGGTCACAGTAAAGTGAGTCACATAAATGTTTTTGTTTTCTGGTACATATAAAAGTTATGCTTACACTAAACTCTAGTCTCTTAAATATGCAACAGCATTATATCTAAGAAAAATGTATGCAGCATAATTAATTTTTTTTATTGCTAAAGATAGAGCAAGGAGGATACTAAAAGAATCTGTCTTCCACCTCGGGGGTGAAGGGGGCAACTAGACATTCATCCACTTATTTATTTTGGAGCCTCTGAGCCCCCTCTGAATTCCCTCTGACCCACCCCCCCACCACACACAACAGCAACAACAACACACACACACACACACACACACACACACAGCCTGTGGAATGGCAGAGAACACACAGAAGGACACACACACACCCAAGCTTATGGGAACAGATAATTTTGAGACTTCATGTACCACCAACCCCAGAGCAGAGTTCTTGGTGACAGTGGGAGCTGCTGCCTCTGCAGCCTGAGGACAGAAAACTTCTAACCTGCTATTTGAAAGCAGTCTATTCCCTGCTTCCAGCAACCTCTACCGATGTTTACAGATGGCTCCACCATTACTCATCACCCTCTTGGGGCACTAATTTTGTCTTAAAGTTTAGTTTCGTTTTTTTGCGAAAAATTGAGTTTAGTTTCCTTTTGTGAAGAAGTCGCTCCACCCTTCTTACATCTGATAGTCCTTCACAGCTTATCTCTTCAGCCCAGAAGAGTAACACATGTCTCCTAAGAACTGTATTATTGAATCTTCTGGACACTCAAGGAGGTACCTACCATCTATCTGACTTAAGATGTATAATGCTATGCATGCATTTGAAGACCCATGTGTTCCCCCGATTAAATTATTCACTCTTCCGGAGGGAAACCACTATTCCGATCTTATTGACACATATTTCTTAATTTTTCTTATTCTCCTTCTGCTTGCTTTCAAATAATCTCGGTCAAAGTTTGGGTGTTTTTCCTGGTCCTCCTTTACCCCAGTGGTATCTTGGTCCCTCCATTACATAATGCCAGATAATGGAGGGATGTGTATGGTCTTGATTTACAACTGAATACCTGGCTTCTAAGCCTCTCATCTGATCCTGAGACCTGGCCAGCCTTCATGTTGGAGGACTTTCAGATGTCTAGCCAGCCCACACCAATTCACTGCACGTCTACTGCTGGTCATGAGCCTTTGCGGGCCTCGGGGCTCCCCACCTTGTTTCACTGAAAATGGGAACCTCTCTTGGGAATGTACAAAGCTCTAGGAGTTTACTATTCCAATTCATTCAGAATTTCATAAATTGTGCTTTCTAATTTCATCTGGAGAAACAGTTGCTTTGATAAAAATACAGATATACTTCCTCAGAGATACTGTAGATTTAGTTCCAGACCAGTGCTATAATGCAAATATCACAGTAAAGTGAGTCACATAAATGTTTTTGTTTTCTAGTACATGTAAAAGTTATGTTTACACTAAACCCTTAAATGTGCAATAGCATTATATCTAGAAAAATGTATGTACCATAATTAAATTTTTTATTGCTAAAAAATGCTAATAATCATCTGAATCTTCAGTGAGTCATACTCTTTTTGCTAATGGATGTTTATGGCTGCTGACTAATCAGGGTGGTGGTTGCTGAAGGCTAGGGTGGCTGTAGCCTTTTTCTAAAAGAAGACAACAATGAAATTTGTTGTATCAATGGACTCTTCCTTTTGCAAAAGATTTATCTGTAGCATGTGATGCTGTTTGATAGCATTTTACCCACACTAGAACTCCTTTCAAAATTGGAGTAAATTCTCTCAAACTGTGCCAATGCTTTTTCAACTAAGGGTTTTATGTACTATTCTAAATCCTTTGTTGTCATTTCAACAACGTGCATAGCATCTTCCCCAGTAATACATTCCATCTCAAGAAACCACTTTCTTTGGTCATTCATAAGAAGCGACTCCTTATCCATTCAAGTTTTATCATGAGATTGCAGCAATTCAGTCACATCTTCAGGCTCCATTTCTAATTCTAGTTCTCTTTCTATTTATTCCATATCTGCAGTGACTTCCTCCACTGAAGTCTTGAACTTCTCCAAGTCATCCATGACGGTTGAAATTAACTTCTAAACTCCTATTAATGTTAACATTTTGACCTCCTCTTATGAATTACAGATATTTTAAATGGCATCAAGAATTATAAATTCCTGGCTGTGTGCGTGGCTCATGCCTGTAATCCCAGCACTTTTGGAGGCTGAGGAGGACGGATCACTTGAGGTCAGGAGTTCAAAACCAGCCTGGCCAACATGTGAAATCCCATTTCTTCTAAAAACACAAAAATTTGCTGGGTGAGGTGGCTCATGCCTGTAGTCCCAACTACTCAGGAGGCTGAGGCAGGAGAATCGCTTGAACCTGGGAGACGGAGGTTTCAGTGAACCAAGATTGTGCCACTGCACTCCAGCCTGGGTGACAGAGCAAGAGACTCTGTCTCAAAAAAAAAAAAATTATAATATTTTTCCGGAAGGTTTTCCATTTGCTTTGCCTAGATCCATCAGAGGAATCATTATCTATGGCATCTACAGTCTTACAAAATGTATTTCTTAAATAATAGATTTGAAAGTCTAAATCATTCCTTCATCCATGGGCTGTGAAATGGATATTGTGTTAGGCATGAAAACATTAATTCCCTTGTATATCTCAGAGTTCTTAGGTGACCAGATGCACTGTCAGTGAGCAGTAATATTTCAAAAGGAATTTTTTCTGAGCAATAGATCTCAATAGTGGGCTCAATATATTTAGTAAACCATACCATAAACAAACGTGCTGTCATTCAGGCTTTGTTGCTTCATTTATAGCAGACAGGTGGAGTAGCTTTGGCATAATTCTTAAGCACCCCAGAATTTTCCAAATGGCAAATGAGCATTGGCTTCAACTTAAAGTCTCCAACTGCATTAGCCCCTAACAAGAGAGTCAGCCTGTTCCTTGAAGCTTTGAAGCTAGGCATTGACTTTTCCTCTCTAGCTATGAAAGCCTTAGATGGCATCTTCTTCTAATGGAAGGTTGTTTTGTCTACATTGGAAATCTGTTGTTAGTGTGACCACCTTCATCAGTGATCTTAGCTAGATCCTCTGGATAACTTGCTGCAGCTTTTCTACATCAGCACTTGTTGCTTCACTGTGCACTTTTATGTTCTGGAGGTGGCTTCTTTCACTAAACCTCAGGAACCAACCTCAGCTAGCTACTGACTTTTGTTTTGCAGCTTTGTCATCTCTCTCAGTCTTCATAGAACTGAAGAAAGTTAGAACCTTGCTCTGGATTAGGCTTTGGATGGAGAGAATGTTGTTGCTGGTTTGACCGCCTATTCAGACTACTAAAACTTTCTTCATATCAGCAATAAGGCTGTTTTGCGTTCTTACCACTGGTATGTTCATTGGAATAGCTCTTTCAATTTGCTTCAAGAACTTTTCCTTTCCATTTATAATTGGCTGACTGCTCCAAGAGGCCTAGCTTTTGGCCTATCTTGACTCTTGACATGCCTTTCTTGTTGGGCTTAATCATTTCCAGCTTTTGATTTAAAGTGGAAGATGTGTAACTCTTGCTTTCACTTAGACACTTAGAGGCCATTGTAGAATTATTAATTGGCCTTTATTGTCTTATATGGGTGCAGTCCATGGCACTCCAAAACAAATACAATAGTAATATCAAAGATCACTGGTTACAGATCATCATAACAGATATAATAATAATGAGAACATTTGAAATATTGTGGGAATTACTAGAATGTGACACATATAAGCACATGCTATTGGAAAAATGGTGCTGATAGACTTGCTCAACACAGGGTTACCACAAACCTTCAATTTGTAGAAAATGCAATATCTACAAAGCTCAAAAAAAAAAAGCACAATAAAATGAGGTATGCCCATATGCCAAAGGCACTGATTTATTTGAGAAGTCCCCCATTTTGGGACTTGTATATGTTTCAGCCACCATCTTTGTGCATACATCTTTCTCCATAGTAAAAATTCTTAGGTTTAAGATTTCAAGATTAAAGATATGCACATTTCAAAGATTTTGGATACATACTACCCAATTTCCCTCTGGAAAAATTATGCCTATTTACACTATCAGTGTTTGAGGGCACACATGGATCATCCATTTTAGGTTATATACTTTGCCATACATCTAGTAATTCCAACCTATTGGTCACATTATTAAAGTTCTCTAACATTAAGTTTTATCTACTTGGTTTAGCAGATTGATTGAAGGTATGTCAAAATATCTTACTATTGTCTTTCTGCTTACGTTTATATTACTAACAGTGTATGCTATTTGCACAGAAAGTATAATGGCTGTTATAGCTTCAGGTTATCAATATTAAATTGCCCTATATATTCTATGTAATGTGTTTTGGCTTGAATTTTTTACATATAGGTGTTCAGTAAATGTTGCTGAAGTAATGAATGTCACTGCCTAGTGGAGTTCTTGACATGAGGTACACTTGAAATAAATCTTGCCTGCCTTTCAGAATACCTTGCCATTATGAGACTGGGCTGTCTCCTCTCATAATTGTCTCTTTGAAAACTGCCCTCATTTCAAACATGATTTTCTAATTCTCATATGAGTGGTTCCTCTTCTCTTGTATTCTTTTATCCTATTTATTATTAGTCTCTTTTATCTGACCAAAAGGTGAGATAAGACTAACCTCCATCTTGCTCTCCCAGCCTGGAATCTGAGGCTTTGGTGGCTGCTTAGAAACCAGGAATAAAGGCCCTGTAGCGGCAGGTCTTCTAATGTATTGTGCATGAAAACGACGCCGGGAGCTTGTTAAAGTTGAGTCCTGGGCCTTCTGATTACATAATGTGATTCAATAGGTTGAGAGTTAGGCCCTTGAATCTGTATTTTTATTTTTTATTTATTTATTTATTTTTTTGAGACAGCGTTTCACTCTTGTTGCCCAGGCTGGAGTGCAATGGTGTGATCTTGGCTCACCACAACCTCCGCCTCCCGGATTCAAGTGATTCTCCTGCCTCAGCCTCCCGAGTAGCTGAGATTACAGGCATGCGCCTCCAAGCCCAGCTAATTTTTGTATTTTTAGTAGAGACAGGATTTCTCCATGTTGGTCAGGTTGGTCTTGAACTCCCGACCTCAGGTGATCCTCCCGCCTCAGTCCCCCAAAGTACTGGGATTACAGGCTTGAGCCACCGCGCCTGGCCTTGAAGCTGTATTTCTAAAATACCTCCTGAAATGCTTCATTTGTTGCAAGTGAGCTTCAGATAAGACTTTCAGAAGCACTGTCCTTGGGACCTTCCTAACTTCTCACACTATTTGGGCATTTCAGAGCTACTAGAGCTCAGTAGTTCAGTGTTGGTGGCTTTCCCCCTTCATTGATATGCCAGAAGGCTTATATGTGTTAATTTACAAATGCAACTTTAATCTACAAAACGAAAATTAATTTCTGAATCACTAATTAGGAGTTGTAGAATGTGCCCTTAGACACCAACAGCTCTAGGGACTCGCTCTTCCCCATTAGTAAGCCCCAGCCAAGGGTGTTCCCCTTCATTGTGTCTAGATAAAGTATTGGTTTCAAAGGCCAAATAGGAGCCCAGGGAATTTGATTCTGCAGCAGGAATTTCTAAAATGCAAGATACTAATAATGAACCCATAAGTTTTAATTGAAAAATTAGAGCAATTTTTCGAATTGCTCTAATGCCATGTGCCACCTTAGAGAGAAATGGCCAGTTCAATATTCAAAGCTGGTTGGGGGAGGGAGGGATGAGGAAGAAGCAAAGAAACAAATCAAAGAAGATCTCTCCCATGTAGTATGCCCAATTCTTGGGTGGGGGGGAGTGAAGGGGATGTGGAGAGACTTGCACACCTGGAGAGAAAAGGAGAGAGAGAACCAGGATGCAAAGCAGCTGACGCCAAATGGCGAGTCTTGCGGATATTCTCTGATCCCCACTCCAGGCATCTTCTATATCACATGGTGAACCTTTAATTAGTGTAACGGAGACACACATCTTACTTTTGCAGAGAGCATGCATCACAGTTACTCACAGACATGAGTTGAGAAACACTGCACAGTGATTACATGTTTTTGAATTGGTCTTCCACATTGAAAAGTTGAAATATCACATAAAAATCCAGGTTGCTAGCTTCCCCTAAAAAATGGGAAGATCTACCAAACTAGATCCTGTTTCCAACTTGAGATTTCAGTGGGAGCCGAGGATCACCTGCCCTAAGAGAGGCTTCTTAGGTTGCTATGATCTCTACCACTCCGTCTGTCCATTTGAGTTCCCCAACCACTACTTCACCTATCAGGCCCCTGAAGCTTTTGGTCTTACACGTAATATTTAAAAGCTGACTCCTGTGTCAGCTGACCTCTCCTTCACATCTCATTTAAAGAAAGGTAATTTCTCACTGTCATGGAGAGGACTCTATCTTCCAGCCACTGTCCCTCTGGAAAAAGTTAGGGGGACAGAGAGTGTTCACAGGTAGCCCTTGGTCACCTA
This sequence comes from Homo sapiens, assembly GCF_000001405.40. NCBI lineage: Eukaryota > Metazoa > Chordata > Mammalia > Primates > Hominidae > Homo > Homo sapiens. Next base: position 75,305,194 of record NC_000002.12, on the reverse strand, counting down.
GCAGAGATGTCCATTGATCCCCTCCTCTACAGCCCCAGTGGGTGACAGTTACATCTTATCCAATAATAATCTACAGCTAGGGTGACCTCCAGCTCGGGTGACCAACTCATCCAAGTTTGCCCAAGATGGATTTAGGCACTAAAAATCTCATATCCTGGAAACTCTCTTTCCACCCAGGCCCAAGCAAGAGCAAGATGGGATAGTTGGTCAGCTTATCTTCACCTGGGTAAAGGGGCTCTGGCATTGGACACTGTGGGCATCTGGCTCTGGAGCAGACTTTTGGGCTCGGAAAGTTCAAAGGGTTGTGAGGAGAAGTTATAGGCAGCCTGCAATAGTGGGCATCTGGCTCTGGAGCAGACTTTTGGGCTCGGAAAGTTCAAAGGGTTGTGAGGAGAAGTTATAGGCAGCCTGCAATAAGAACTCTTATATGCTGGCAGACAGGGGAGCAATTTAAGATGTAACATGTCTTGGGCTTGGAAAATTAAACAAATTAGACCACTTCTCACCCTGCTCTGTATATCTAATACAGCTGAATAAGGATTTAATGATTGAGAGTGGCCAGTCATCTAACCTGGCCTAGGACTGTTGGCTTGTGCCTCCTATCTGACCGGGCACTCATGAGAGCTGTCATCTGTCTACCTGGCCTCCTGGGTCCAAAGGAGGTTGTCTTTTCCTATAATCATAAGGGTGATAAATAGAGATTTTTAATTAGTTTAAATTATCTAGGCTCAAGATCCCTTTCATAACACTTATGTCCATATTTTGACTCAAACATTTGCCTTTCAAATGTTTCCAGGGCTATTTATGAAAGTGAGGATTGGCCTGTACCAGCTTCTGTAATGCAGAGACATAGTTAGGCATATTATAAATCCGTGACTTTATCCATCTATGAGTTTCATTTTGTGCTTTTTCTTACATTTGTTGTCAGTCTTAAAATTACTCTGTGATTTTTATGTGAAACACTTTTAAAATCTAGACAAGTATAAAGAGTAAAACAATGTATTATTTCCCACATAAACTCATTTTTATTGACTTTATAGAAATAATTTGTATCTTCTTTTTTCATTTAAGGTAATTTCATAAACAAGGATAATATTAAGAAATATTTAATGGCTGGGAGGACATAAGCACAGACCCAATGGGGATGAGGTCCATGCCAGGCTGGCTGTGGGGTAGAGGGGGTCCTGGAGTCCCAGGCTCTAGCAGGCCTGTACCCTTTAGATTGTAGGGTTGTAGGTAAGTTTGAGAGGCAGGGGAGGTTCCAGACAGGCAGAAGAGCAGAGGTGCACTCAGGTCCACAGGCTATTAACCAGGACCAAGACCTTTAAAAATCTTTGTCAGCATGAAATGTACATAGATATAGTACATTATAGGTATAGGTATGTATGTGTGTGTAATACATGCACATAGTTTTAAATTAAAAATCAAATGCTGCCAAATAGCTACTAGAAGCTATTACTCTCGATTTTTTTCTTCGAATATTTTCCTCCATATTATTCACATACACACCCACATATACATATATATCCACATATATCACCCGCAGTAACAGGAAGTTGATAAATACCTAGATATATACACACATGAACACATATGTACATATATATGCACACATATGTGTGTGTCTAGGTGTTATTTATTGACTCTTATTGCAGGCAGAGTGTTTTGTTAGTTTATTTGCTTTTATGTCTTTTCTTTTTCCCACTCCCTCATCCTCCTGATATGATTACATGACAGTTTTGGTTCAATGTGTACTCAGTGGTTTTATCATTTTGACTATGCAAATAGTGCTTACTGCCAAATGAAATTGAATGCTGTGATTACATTTTCTTTCTTAGAGAGGCAGTTCAGAGCCTAACAGGCTGCTTGAATCCCATTCTGGCACCTCAGGCCAATCTTTCTATTTTTTCCCACCTGAATAACGGAGATATCAATAGTACCAACTTGCTAAGGTGATATTTACAATTAAATGAGTTGATATGTGTAAAATGGCTTAGAACATTAAGTCATGTGATGGAAGTAGTCAGTAAAATATAAAAAAAAGCAATGATTATTACTACCTTTTTTCTTTATCTTGGAGTTAAAGTTGCCTCATTGACATTTTTTCTTCATTTCTTTTAATCTCTTAGTCTTCTGACACCCTTCAACAATTACATAAAACACCTCTTACTACAATGTTCTTCACGTTCAAATCTATCAGGTAGCAGATCACAGTTGGGAAATTTATAAGGACTAGTGGTGATTATGATAAACGGAAAGAGATAGCCATCCAGAGTTCCTCTGTCCACACAATGTTATTAAGACAGGCTTCCCTTTTGCCTGCTGCACAGCTGACCTGTGGGAGCTACCTTGCCATCATCCTTGGATTTTGCTTGCCTCCCTCCTGTTAGAGACCTTTGCTTCCTGAACTCTGTGCTTTTCTCTTACTATAAATCCTAGCTTTGGTACAAAACAGCCTCTTGTAGTTTCTTGAGAGGATTTCAATGAAGATAAATGTAGGTATATTTCTTGAAATTTTGCTGGCCAAAAAAATACCACTACTCTACTCTTCTGTATGATTGATAGTTTGGCTGGATATAGAATTCTAGGTTGAAGATCCTTTTCTCTCAGATTTTCCGAGGCATTTTTGTCTTCTAGCATCCAGTGTTGTTGTTGAGAAAATCTGCTGCCTTCTTGTTTCAGGCCTTTGCCTGAGACATGATTTTTCTCTCTGGAAATATTTAGGATCTTTATCTCCAGAGTGTTCTGAAATGTCATGATTATGTTGGTGTGGGTCTCTTCCCTACATACCCCTCCCATGCATTATGGTGGCCATGAGGGCCCAGGAATCTGGAAACAAATATCGTTTAGTTCTGGAAAATGTCCTTGCATGTTTTACTCCTTGATCATTTCCTTTTCCACTAATTTACTTATTCTTCCTTTTGGAAACCTATTAATTGAATGTTGGCCTTCCCAAACAGATTCCAGGATTTCCATATATTTCTCACCTTTTTCTTCTACTTTCCAGGGGATATCCACAGTTTTATCTTTCAAGCATTTTACTGAATGTTTTCTTAGCTATCCTATTTTAATTTCCAAAATGACAGTCTCACTCATTAGCAGCATGACATTTCACTTTATAAACAGAACATAATTTACTTAAATCATCTCTTTATATTGCATATGTAGACTGCTTACAGATCATGATGCAATAAACATGCCTGTGTCATATCTCTGATTCAATACAATTTTCCAAAACTGCACTTACTGAAACAAAAATAAGCATATTTTGAAGTTGTTAATACATAGCATGTTACCAAAATGTTTTCCCAAAATTTGCATGCATCTGTATCACCATGCGGACAGCAGTATTATCATTTATTTTAATATTTGATAATATGATAGATGAAATTTCATCATTGATGTTGATGTTTTGTTTTGATTTATTTCATTGCTGTGGAGATTAAACTGTTTCTTGGATTCATTGTGTGTTTTTGTTCTTTTTGCACCTATTTATTGCATTTTGATATTTTTCATAGATTTGCTTGAAGTGTTAAATATGAGGCATGTTAATATTTTGTTGGAAACATTTGATTCAAGTGTCTCAAAGCTTTATGCATTTTATTTTGATATTATTTTATAATATTCACTAAATTTTATTTTTTATCATCAAATTTATCAATATTTTTTCTGCTATGTAAATATAATAATCAAAACCAAAGAAGAAAGACAAGGAAGAAAAAGTAATTGCCACAAAGACATAATAAATATTTACAAAGTAATATTCTTACTGTCTAGAGATTATATTCAAGTCAATAAGGAAAATTCTGCACCACCATTGGAAAACTTGAGCATAAGAAAACTTACAGGAAAGACAAGTAGTTAATAAGTATCTGAAGTACATTTTCAGCCTCATTAGTCATCTAAGGAGAGTCAATGAAAATGTAACACTAATTTTTGCCCATGAAATTAGAAAAGATTTTAAAAATAATAATATTGGCTAAGAGTGAGGTGAGGTTGGAATTCTCATGCTAATAGGCATGTAAATGGATTTAACCTTTCTGAAATTAATTTTATAATATACATCTAAAATCTTAAAAAATCCCATAGCTTTTTGCATAGTAATTACACTTTCCTAACTCTATTCCAAGTAAATAATTAGATGAGAGCACAGCGAACACAAAGCTACTTACCACAGAATCATTTATGACCAAATAAATTAAAACATCATAAATTTCCAGCACCAGAGGAATGGTTTAAAAATCCATGGCACATATGATATAATATTGTTCCACCATTAATATGATATTCACAGAGAACTTTAAGTGTTATGGAAATACTTATAATGTTTAGTAAAAAAGGAACGTAAAGCTATATCACAGTAAGATCTCAACCATCTAATATGTAAATATAATTATAGGATTAGTCATGTGTGTGTGTGTGATCCTGATCTTCAGTGTATGGAGACAGATATTTAGAGAAAGAGGGAGAAATACTGACTACCACAAAGTTATTGAATTAAGTGTGATTTTTCTTTCTTTTTGTACTTCTACTTTTCTAAAATGTGCATGTAAAATGCCTTTAGAAAAGATTAAATGTATGGCTTCCTATTTTTCCTAACAAGTCTACTAAAAGAGAACTTACTATGTCAAAATAATTCATTTTTCTTAGAAAGCTGTTAAGAATTTTGTTAGTTTTTAAATATTAAAATTAGATTTTCCTAAAGCTCCTAATCATTTTAATGTCTTCTCCTTTGATCCATCCAGAATGCATCTTATATCTCTTCTATATAGCAGTTATTAGCTATTACTCCTTTCTAGGATTTCATCCTTTTAAGAGCAGTTTTTTCCTGCTGTAGCTCCTGTGCCTATAAAGACATCTGACACGAACTGATCATACAGCAAATATTTGTTGAATGAATTAAACATAACCTAGGTCTTCCATATCTTAGGTGTGTTTTTCAGTCTATCTCTCTTGGTTAAACTTTATTTCCATTTGTCAATATTCTTAAGTTGTGACTTCGAAGAGATTAAATGTGGTCTAATGTATACATACACACACGTATATATATACATATCTAAGATATGTATATCTAGATAATATATCATGAACACCACCTGGGATTGCATTAATTTATTTGGCAGTCATATCACACTACAGGCTAATATTGGCCTCTCTGAATGCTAAAACTGCTATGTCTTTCATGGATGTGTCTATCCACTCATAACTCTCCACACTTGCATTTGTTCAGTTGTTTGTGGGGCTTTTTTGGACCATGTAAAAGACCTTACATAAATCCTCATTAAATTAAACTTTTTAGATATAAATGCAAATGGTTTTAGATAATGATTTTGTCTTTTATGTATTCATGTCTCTTTGTAGCTTCATATCATACACAAATTTAACGAGCAAGCCCTCTATGTCCTCATCTAAGCTATGGGCAGCTTTCTATAGTTATAAGAAAAGTATTCCTAAGCTGTAGTTGAGTCATTTGTCATTTGGAGCAAATTTTCTCAATAAATTACAAATCCCTATATTGTCTATGCTATACTTTTCCATTTTATCCACTACAAACAATATCACAGGAGATCATGGCATAACTCTTGCTGTGCCTGACATGTACAATTACTGCATAGCGATGGAGGATGCAATCCAGTTTATCTCAATCGTCAGTCTCTCCCTTTTCAGGAATAAAATATTCTTGGAAAATCACATTCTAATTCCATTTTAAGGAAGATAACTATTTTCCTGGTTTCTCCACAATCTGCCCATTAGCCCCAGTCTTCAGTCCCGATCTTCCGTGGAGGTGGCACTCTGTTTTATTATCTCCTTTGGGCATCTCCTGCCAAATCGGCTCTCAAAATATTGGGTTCTCTAGGGCTCTTTCTACAAGCTTCATTCTTTTCTTTTCCTTCACACCCCAAATTTAATTTAGCGGTAACCCCCTTCGGGTCACCTTCAAAATACATTACAAATATGACCATTGAATACCACTACACTGTTATGACTCTGGGTCAAACCACCTCTTCCCCCATCTGAAGAAACACAGCAGCCTCATAAGCAGTCTCCTAGATGCTCTCTTACCACTCCAACCCCAAGTTCATCAGCCACACAGTGGCAATGAGATAAAATTTTATTTTCTGCATAAAAGAAAAATCTAAAGTCCTTACCATGTCCTGCAAAGCCCCACATGATTTGTCCCTATTAATAAAAAAATTACCTTCCTACCCTCCTCCCTCTTGTCCCATGCTCTAGTTAGAGAGATCTTCTCTCTACTCCTCAACTCTACTAAGCATCTTTTCCTTCTCAGGACTTTTGCCCTTGTGTTTCTTTCTGCTTAGAGCACTCTGACTATGGAGGCAGGCATTACTGGATGGTTTGGAGTTAGGCCTTCACTTTATTTGTTCCATTTTGGGAATTGTCTCTTTCAACCCATACTTACTACAGTGTTATCTGATATGTACTCTTAGTACAAAACATAGTATCTGGAAGATTGTCTTATCCAGCACATTCTGATTCCTGATGTTATAGAATGATTGTTTCTCCCAAATGTGTAGGTTGAAGGCTAACTCCCGATGTAGCTGTATTTGGAGAAAGGGCCCTTGAGATAATTCATGTTAAATGAGATCATGTGGGTAAGGGTTTAAATCAAATGTGAATGGTGTCCCTTAAAAAAAAAAAAAAAAAAGGAAGGGACATCAAAGAAAAGACCATATGAGGACATAGCAAGAAGGCAGCTATTTGCAAGCCAAAGGGAGAGACCTCAGGAGAAACCAAAACTGACACCTTGAGCTTGGACTTCCAGCCTCTAGAACTGTAGGAAATAAATTTCTCTCATTTAAGTCACCCAGTCTGTGGTATTTTGTTATGACAGCCTTAGAAGACTAATACACCTGGCTAATATTTTTATTTTTATTCTAGGGTTCTTAGGGTCTAAATGTGTGCATACACTCAGAATAAACCAGTATTATAAAAATTACTCATGGTTAAAAGACATGTTTATAAATATTAAGAATATATGTACCCACAGGAAAAAAAACACTAAAACAGTCCTTATTTCTACATTTCTCTGTGATATTTTCACCACTTTTCTAAAGCTTTCAGCAGGTTGTAGATAGAAGCTTCCACCCACTAATTTGCCAGCTGTTGAAGAGCACCTTCTGTCTTAGTCCATTTTCTGTTGCTATAATAGAATACCACAGACAGAATAGCTTATAAAGAAAGGAAGTTTATTTAGTTTAAAGTTCTGGAGGCTGGAGAGTCCAAGAGCATAGCACTGGCATCTGATGAGGGCCTTCTTGCTGTGTCATAACATGGCACAGGGCATCATATGGCAAGAGGGCAAGAAGAAGAAAGTCAGAGAGAGCCCACTTTTGAAACAAAACTACTCTCTCAATAAGGAACCCACTTCTGTGATAGTGACATTAATTTATTCATGAGAGAAGAATCCTCATTAATCTGTTAAACTATTCATAAGGTAGAGGGATTAAATTTCCAACACATGAACTTTTAGGAGACACATTCATGCCATAGCACTTTTCTACAAGTCAGACACATAGGGATGCTTCTCCTGCTTCTCTGCACCATCTTGCTGCAAACCTGTCGTCATCTCTCCACCAGCTGCCTCCCTCTATTTTTCTTGCTTGCTTTATCCTTCCTTTTCCCTTTTTCTCTATCCCTAAGCTGGCTGGGTGTGGTAGGCTGAATAATGGTCTCCCAAAGATGTTTATACTCAAATTCCCAGAATCTATGAAATGTTTTGTTACATTTAAAAGAAAAGAAGGCTGGGCACGGTGGCTTATGCCTGTAATCCCAGCACTTTAGGAGGCCGAGGCAGGTGGATCACCCGAGGTCAGGAGTTCCAGACCAGCCTGGCCAGCATGGTGAAACCCCGTCGCTACTAAAAATACAAAAATTAGCCAGGTGTGGTGGTGCACGCCTGCAGTCCCAGCTATTCGGGAGGCTGAGACATGAGAATCGCTTGAACTCAGGAGACGGAGGTGGCAGTGAGTGGAGATCGCGCCACTGCACTCCAGCCTGGGGGATAGAGACTCTGTCTCAAAAAAAAAAAAAAAAAAAGGAAAAAGAAAAGAAAAGAACAGAACTTTGCAAGTGTGATTAAATCAAGTATCTTGAGATGAAGAGATTCTGGATTATCTGAATGGGTTCAATGTAACCAGCAGGGTCCTCATAAGAGGGAGGAAGGAGGATAAAAGACAGAAGGCAATGTAATAAATTAAGCACAGAAACAGAAACAGAAGATGCTATGCTGCTGCTTTGGTGATGGAGGAAGAGGCCAAGAATCCAGAAATGTATGTGGCTTCTAGAAAAGCCAAGGAAACAGATTCTCCTCTAGACCCTCCAGAAGGATCCCAATACTGCCAACACATTTTAAACTTCTGACCTTCTGAACTGTAAGATAATAAATTTGCGTTGTCATAAGCCACTATATTTGTGACAGTTTGTTACAGCAGCAATAAGAAGCTAATGCACTAACTCTCTGGGAAGCAGAAGAAAGTGTCTTAATTTGTTCTGCACCCTGCAGTTTGTGAAACAACATGCATACAAATAAGCTTTCTATTTTGATAGGAGTTTTACAGCTAGTAATTAGAGAGAAATCAACCACATATAAAATTTTAATAACCTAGCAGGTATAAGGATGGACTCTATTGGTGTTTCTGTTGACAATGCTTAGCATGAAGAAATAATGCTAGAGTGAAAATTACTAGAAATTACAGAATGCCCAAAGAGTACTGATACTAGTGCTATGTGTTTAGGTGACATAGGTGATAATCTATTAACTTTCTGCTCAATTCATTTCTAGAGTCCCTGATGAGAAAAAAGAAATTAAGACTTTTGAAAAACTGCCAAATGTCAGACCTAAAATCTATGCCAAAGGCAAACTCTAAAATATGTTAATTCCTGTGTAATAAAAAGACTTCCTGAAATAAAAAGTATACTTATTAATTTAGTGATATAACTCTGAAATTTGCTTCAAAATTATCCATGGGAAAGGAGAGAAGTAGAGGAGTATAGGTAGGTAATTCAAAACTTATTCTACTTTTTTTTTATGCTTTTGTATATGTTTGAAATTTTCTTTCCTGTTTTAGCACTATAGGGCAAAGAGCCAGAAAATGCCCATCAGGTAAACAAGTACACACTGTGTTTGCCACAAATTGCTTCTGGGATTGGCTATTAATCCAACTATCAAAATTCAATATTCTGTTCTGTAGGCTTTTACATGTCATCTTATTTAGTAGTCAAAACAGCACTTATTATCACGTAGATGAAGAAACTGATGTTCTAGGTGAGTTATTTTGTCTAAGATCACAAAGGAAGTAACTAATGAGGCTGGGACATAGACCTGGGACTTCTAACTCCAGGTCCTCACCCCTTTTCATTACAGAGCCACTGTTCTAACAAGGTACTGTTAGGTGAAGGAATCCCCAAACCTGATTCTTCTGGAATCTAAATAATGTATATTTCACAGCCAGAGTGTGACTTGTTTGGGATGATCTTTTCAAAAATTATCTTTGGAGCCCTGGGCTTCATATCATCATACTGAAAAGATCCTGTGGATAGAAGGCCAGGGGAGAAGCTTCCCTAATATTTCAAAGACCAAGGGCAAGAGTACAAATGGAGAAACATACATTTTGTTTAAATATGTAAAAGTTATAAACCAATCATTGAATAAAATGTTACTTCTAATCTTGACAAATGTATCTTCATAAAGATAAAAATCAAAAAATATGTATAAAGTTATGGTTTTAATTTAAATGAATCAAATATCAAAAGTGATTACATTTAGTTATTGCTGCATCTGGGTGTCTGTTAATAGTCTGGCAATGTTTGGATAAACAGCAATATTAAGACATACATAATTCAAAATTTACTATGTATATATTTCATTACATTCATTTTTTTTGTCTCCATTCTGGCAAAATCCTGTTCTATTGATAGCAATGATCTGAGAATTTAAAACTGAGACATATATTTGAACTCTAAACATCTGTGTAAATTTTAGTTAAAAATCTTAAAGTAAATGTAAAAAATTAATTAAAACTATATTATATGCTCTCAGATTAAATTTTCTCCTAAAATATAAGAAATACAACTACAACTGGTGAATATCAACTTTTATTTTACTTTTTGAAAATAAATCTTATCAAACATTTTTTACATGAAATCATTCACAATTATCTTATACCATATCCATCTAATTGTCAAAGTAAAAATTTGTGTTATGCACTACAAAAGTTATGTATAGACCTACACATATGAAAATTTAAGTGATGTGAATTATTTGATATTATAAAATATTCCTCAGCTGCCATTTGCAATTGTTGGGATTCCATACTAATTTGTGAGAAACTCTGAAGACATGAAATCAAAGAGCAAAAAAATAGACACTCAGCATTATAGAGAAATTATACTTCGTTGCACAAGAATTCATTGTATGCATGCTATCTGAGAGTAGAGATTTGACAAGTCAAATAATTTATCTTTTCACTTAACTACGCACTTTCACTGCTCCAGTTCTCTTGCACTTCAAAGCCATTTGTGTCCAATATCAACAGCAGCATAACCCATAAACCTTACAGTATTATTGAAACAGTTACTTTGTACTTTGAGCACACAGACCAAGAAATGTACTGAAGCATTTCTTTGGGGCCTGAGTGGTGTTAACCACAGGAGCAAATGCTGAGTTATGGGTAACAATGAACCAGCACTGACTAGTTGTGGCCAAAAGTATTATGTGTTCTTTACCACATTCATTGGTGTTTGTGATAGGTACAGCCTCAGTTTGAGCAGGAGCCCCTATTTTTCAGGAGTTAAGGTGGTACTGGACAGGCAACCCAACTTATATGCCAAGTCAAAGTCCAGATTCTCCCACATTCTTGTGATAAAGCCAATTTGCATCTTTCTCTAAACACTTTGATCTATTTAAATGTTATTTCAATGCTTTGATATAAAAGATAAGCAATTAAGACTTTATAATTACTCCTTTAGTGAAACAACTTGAAAACATTGTACATTATCACAGAGTTCATAAAGTCAGATTTCATGCTTACAAATAACATATCGATTAGGCACAAAGAAGATCCAGGAAAAAGAGAAAAGCTAGACGATAGTTTGAGTGAGAAGTGGCAGAGTTCATACTACTGTTCTCAGGCCCAGTCCTAGTCTCAGCCTTGGCATCCCCACTTCTCCTTATAGCTGCTGGATATTGATCCCTGCCTTGTTGGCTCAGTCCACTTCAGTTCCCAAAATCCATCCTGACCTCAAAGAGAGAGGAAATAAACTGCTCCAACCTCTTGTTTGGATGCATGAACTAGGCCTTGTGCAGCCGAAAGCACATTCTTGCCTCAGGGTCTTTGCACTGGCTATTATCCCTGCCTGCAAAACTCTTTCCCAAGATATTCACAATGCTTCCTTATCATTAAACTCTTTGCTCAAATGTCACCTTCTAAGTGAAGCCTACCCTGACCATCCCATCTAAAATTTCAATATTCCTTCAACACTCACAATCTCTCTGTTTTTTCCATACTAATTATTACTTGCTAATATAAGATAATTTACTTATTTATCATAATTTTTCTTTCTTTCTTTCTGCTGGAATATAAGCAACATAAGAGCAATAAGATTTGCCTTATTTTCTTACTGATGTATCTCCAGAATGTAAAATAGCCTAACAGAGTAGGTGCATGATAAATATTTGTTTAATGAATAATTGAATCCCCAAGTTGTTGGTCTATTGTAAAGAATCAATATGTTAGAGCAACTACTCTTGTTAAGGGGACTTGTAGGCCTAATCTTAGAGGCTACAACGCTATTCTTGCCATCTCCATCTTAAAAATCAGATCCTGAAGCCAATGTGCCTGCTCAAGCCCTACTATAGGTTTAAGATGGCAGTGGGCCTGCTGTAAACAGCTGGTACTGCATTTTTAGCTTTTGACTTCCCCAATTCTGAGGCCTCTGTTCCCCAACTTGACATTGTTTCTTTGAAGCCTTGGTCCCAGTGTCTTTTAGTTAGTATCCCAAGAAGCCTATACACTGCCTCTTCTACTCCATAATGAGTAAGAAACCTGGCTCTAGTCTCTATAATGACACTTTGTGTGGGTGATTAGAGCAGATTTCTATCTATTAGCTGTAGCTTATAATATGACTGAGATATGAGTCATAGCATAGGTTTTGCCAGGAAAGTAGCCATTGTTTTCCATTCTTTATTGTTTCTGATAAGAAGCCAGCCGTGATCTGCATCCATTTTCCACTGTATGTAATACATCATTGTTTCTCTGGTTGCTTTCAAAATTCTTTTTTATCTTTCCATTTTATCTATTTGACTATGATATGTCTTGATGTGATTTTCTTTGCATTTATATTTATTGGGGTTTGTGGGCGCATTTTGGATCTTTAAATTGATGTCCTTCATAAGTTTCATTCAGTGTTTCTTTAAGTATTTTTTCTGCTCAATTTTTTTTATCTCTTCTCTTCCCAGGACTCCAATTGCATACACATTAAGCTACTTGATAAATGGTTTGACAGTTCTCTGAGAGACTGTTCATTTTAATTCCATCATTTTTTCTCTGTTCTTCGGATTAGATCATTTCTATTGATCTATTTTCAAATTCACTGACTCTTGCTATTTTTAATCTACAGTTAAGTCAATAAATTTTTATTTCTATAATTTTATTTTTTTCAGCTCTAGAATTCAAATTTTGTTCTTTAATATAGTTTTTTTCACTATGGATATTCTCCATTTGCTTATTCATTGTACATATATTTTCCTTTAAGTCCTTGACTATATTTATAACAGCTGCATTAAAGTCCTTGTCTGATAATTGCAGCATCTAGACAATATTGGGTCTGGTTTATATTTTTCTCCTCGTCCTCATCTTCCTTCTTCTTGAGTATCACCATCATTTTTGTGTTTCTACATGTCTTATTTTTTAACTGAAAACTGTACATTATGAATATATAGAGTAGATGTTGAGAGCTATGAGGTGTCAAGGTGATCAATTCAGGCAACAGCCAAACTGAAAGCAACAATCAAGCCTTTATTCACTTACTGTGTTAGTCTAAGCAAGAGGCCAAAAAGAGAAGAGTAGTGCCAGTTCTCTCAATGCTCCATTTTTTCCTCATGGAGTGCCACCAGGTGAGGGTCAGATGGATCACTGCAGCTGGGGAACAAAAGGTTCCTGCCATTTTCTGGACTCGGGGGATGGAATGAGAGAAACAGGAAAAAGATACGCATGAAAGACTGAGTCAGAGTGGTGAAAAGTGTCCTCAAGGATAAGGAGGTCTTAGCAGTGGTGCCTGCATGGTATCTAAGCTGAACCCCACCCCACCCTACCCATAAGGAGGCTGCTGAATGGAGGTGCCTTGGCTGGAAATGCAGATATGCACAAGAGCATGGCTAGCTAGGGTTGGTGGAGAGGGTGACTGAGTCCTCCACTTCAGAGTCTTCAGTCTCTGAAGGAGTCTCAACTTCCTTCAGAGATTGCAATGTACTAACTGTGCACCAAGTCTGGCACGGGGAGGGAGGGTAAGTTTTCCCCCTTGCCAGGCTGCCAGGTAAATCTTTGTAATTGTTTATGGTTATACAATTTTGACCTGAAGCCAACTCCTCCATGGAGGCTTTAGATTCTGTTATTTCTCTGGAGCATGATTTGTTTTTTTTCTAGCAGAGAGTTAACTTAGCTAGAGTCAAACTCCAAATGGTCTCCCTTTCCATTGGCAGCAGCTAGAATCTCCACTCAGTTTTTTCAGTTTTCAGCTGCTTCTTTTTGATCAGGCTCTCTTGGGTCCCACACTTATAGTATAGTTTGACAGCTAGCCAAAGCTTTGGGCATATTTTAAATGCATATTTTGGGGCTCAATCCCTCTGAGGAACCCTTCCTTCCAGGATTTCCACTATAGAGTGGGTTGAATGGTAGCCCCCCCCACCCCTGCCAAAATATATTTCTGCATCTTAATCCCTGGAACCTATGAATGTTACCTTCAAAATGAATAAATGAAATGAATGGGGCAAAGATGTGATTAAGAATCTTGAGAGCAGGAATTTATCCTGGATTATCTGGGTGTGCCCTAAATGCAATCACATGTATTCTAATAAGAGAGAGACAGGAAGTGTTGGGACAGAGACACATAAAAGAAGACATACAGAAGAGTAGGAGGCAATGTGACTTTGGAAGCAGAGAGTGTAGTGATAATTTGCAAGCCAAAGAATGCCTAGAGTCACCAGAAATTTGAAAAGGCAAGGAATGGATTTTCCCTAGAGCCTCCAGAGGGAGCACGGCTCTGCTGACTCCCTGATTTCAGGCTGCTGACAGCCAGAACTGTGAGAGAATAAATTTTTGCTATTGCAGTCCACCTAGTTTATAGCCACTTGTTACAGCAGCCGTAGGAAACCAACACACTTTTGAACATTCTGGTTGCTCTAATGCTGTGACCTTTGCCCTCTCACACCTCAGGACAGCACATTTGTGGATTTCTGTGCTCAGAGTAGTGGGTGAATTGGGGAAAGTACTCAGGCAAAAAGCCTCAAACTATAAATCCCTGGGTCCTCTTAATTATGCCCTTAGATTCAGGTTGTTTCAACACAGCTCCTGGGTGAAGGGCTAGGATTGCAAGTTGTAAACACATTTGCTAATCTCACTTTTTACCAGTCTGGAAATAGCATTTCAGTTTACTGGCCATGGGGCAGTGCTCCTAGCATAATGCATGGTAATGCCTCTGGTACCTGAATGAACTTTAAGAAGTATGCTACAGTGCAAAATGATCACTCCATACTGCTTAATACTTTGCTTTCCCTGTTACAAAATCAGGAAAGCAAATTGGTGCTGCCCCATCATGAACCCTGGCTCACTCTTTCTTCCTAGGAGCCCATATGGAGGAGCCCATCAAGGTTATCTGTGAATTTTTCCACATGTGGCAGCAAGGGGGATCATTGCGCTGGAATCTGATTTAATCTGATTATCAGGTACCTCAAACAAATGTAATACATCATTCCTTGGCTTAACATCCTTTTTAAAAAAACTTTTCACACCTTCAGAACAAATTCCAAATTGTATGGCATATAACGTTTTTCATTGGTGGTTTCCAAGCTAAGATTTCACCTTTTTACTGTGTCTCAAACATGCCAGGCTCTTTGATGCCTTTCTTCTTAGCCACATGCCTCAGGATAGTTTTAAGGCTACTCACAAATATTCTGCTTCCCACTCTCCAGGAACATGGAAGAATGACTCTCCCGCCCACTTGAAGTTAGGCGTGGCCATGTGCCTTGTGTTCCCCAGTGGAAGTTGAGTAGAAGTGTTGTGTGTCACTTTTGGAGCCAGTATGTTTTGATATATTTAATTTTGTCTCTGGCATGGTAACAAGCAACTTTGAAGCTTGCTTCCTGAATGACAGTAATACACAATGTGCCTGCAAACCCAGAAAGGGCACACAGTGAAAGAAATAAACCTTTACCATTTTAAGCTGTTAATGTTTATTGGCTGTTTATTACAGAAACAGCTGTAATGTCTTGTTATTCTTAGTGTTACAGGACAGAGAAATATGTTACAGGAAAGGGGTCCCCATCCAGACCCCTAGAGAGGGTTGTTGGATCTCACACAAGAAAGAATTCAGGGCGAGTCCGCAGTGAAAAGTGAAAGCAAGTTCATTAAGAAAGTAAAGGAATAAAAGAATGAGTACTCCATAGACAGCATAGCCGAGGGCTGCTGGTTGCCCATTTTTACGGTTATTTCTTGATGATATGCTAAACATGGGGTGGATTATTCGTGCTCCCCTTTTTCAGACCATATAGGGTAACTTCCTGACGTTGCCATGGCGTTTGCAAACTGTCATGGCACTGGTGGGAGTGTAGCAGTGAGGATGACCAGAGGTCACTATCCTGGCCATCTTGGTTTTGGTAGGATTTAGCCAGCTTCTTTACAGCAACCTGTTTTATCAGCAAGATCTTTATGACCTGTATCTTGTGCCGACCTCCTATCTCATTCTGTGACTTAGAATGCCTTAACTGTCTGGGAATGCAGCCCAGTAGGTTTCAGCCTCATTTTGCCCAGTTCCTATTCAAGATGGAGTTGTTCTGGTTCACATGCCTCTGATACTTGCATGTCTATAAAAGTTCTACTTTTGCAGCATTCAATGGCCAAGTAAAATGGCCTCTCTGGGAAACCTTCTCTAACTCCACTATGCAAGTAGGCACTTCCTTTTCTGTACACCTTGGTTGTTTTTTCTTTTCAAGACCAATATACCTCTACAGTTGATGGTTTTAGGCCAAACCAAGTGTGCCAAAAGAAAGTGAAAATAACTGTTGCTTTTTTTCTACTTACTCTAGGATGAAAAAATGGTCTCTGCATTTATTTCTACTTCACAGAACAGAGTCCCAATTCTGGTAGTCATAACTTTGTGGGCAATTTATCCTCCCCTATAGGAAACCCAGGTTTTAGTAAGATGCTAGGGGGTGAGTGAAATCTTGATTTGAACTTAGAAAACTGTAGTAGTTTAGCTGTTTTCTATCACAATGCTAAGTTGCCTAAATGTCTTTCCAGACATAAAAGAAGTCTTCACAACAATAAGGAGTAACAGTGATAGAAGATCTTGCTCATGATATAATGAGGCCAATTCAGTGTGCAACGGGGCCTCTGCTCCAGGTGTTCAGTCACCATGTGTGGAACTACAGCAAATACTATGAGAAAGAGAGAAATTCTGCCTTTGCCCACTGCGTTTGATGATCTCCTTGCCAGTTGTGGATTGGCAAATGGAAAGGAAGTATCATCAGGAAGGGAGAAATAGAGATACAAAAAGATGAAGTTTCACGGCCAACATCCCACAGGAATTTAATGATCAAGCAATGGCATCATTATTTATTTGTAGATATGATGTGATTTTTAGGGGCAGTCAGAGGCTTTCTCTGTCCACAGTTGCCTTTGTGGTACCTAAAATCCTACCACCGAGGAGTAATTTTCTTTGGATTGTAAAGTCTGTCTGACTTCTAGGGTTCTCCATGGTCATGTAACTATCATGGGAGGAAGTAACAACTTCCTCCATGAGCTAACATGACAATTGTGAAAACAAGGCTCTGTAAAAAAGGAACAAGGCTAGGCATCTGCTGAGAGGGTAAGGACATGAATCATGTCCACTGATTTCTACTTCAATGTTTAACTTCTAGAATACTTAGCTTTGAGAGCCAGATTTAGGAAGAGAAAGGGCAAGAGGTGGCCTATGGAGGGAAGGAGAAGCAGCTAGATATGTAAAATAGCTGATCTGAAATTATCCACTAATTCAAGTTAAGGTACATTAATTTCTCCAGAGGCTGCTGGGATGCTTTGTCTTGGTGCAATGAGCTAAATGAAACTGTTCTGTAATTCATCACTGAAGTTACTGCCTATCACTTTCATTTCTCACAGGTGCCCAGCCATAAGTAAGCAGATTATGCTGCTTGCTATCCACAGGGATGGAGTGTGTTTGTTTCATTGCTATTTAAATGCAGATTTGAATCCAAGCCTATTGGTGATATGATTGCCAAGATCCTCACTGGGAGATTTAATTCTTCAATACATTGGAAGATGTCCAAATTGTCCTGGCTGTGCTGAGCATAGGTGGATGGAAATGGCATGACCAATTAAGGACACCATCAATCAGTCAATTAATAAGCAGTAATTGAACAAATATAGGACACTTGGTTAAGCATTATGGAGAACATAAACATGCTAAGAATTAGTCCCTACCCTGAAATTATTTAGGAAATACTGAAAGTCCACTTTCTGTCTTTCTTTCTTTTCTTTCTTTTTTTTTTTTTTTTTTTGACAGTCTTGCACCGTCGCCTGGGCTGGAGTGCAGTGGCGTGATCTCGGCTCACTGCACCCTCTGCCTCCCAGGTTCAAGCGATTCTCCTGCCTCAGCCTCCTGAGTAGCTGGGATTATAGGTGCGCACCACCACTCCCAGCTAATTTTTTGTATTTTTAGTAGAGACAGGGTTTCACTATGTTGGCCAGACTGGTCTCAAACGCCTGACCTCGTGATCCACCCGCCTTGGCCTCCCAAAGTGCTGAGATTACAGGCGTGAGCCACCAGGCCCACTTAAAGGCCACTTTCAACCCTATTGACTTCCTTCACTCAGCCAGTAGTAGCCAGCACCTGCAGGTTCACTCTGAGTCCATCACAGGCATGTAGGCGTTCCTTTGCCTTAAATGGCTCTGGGAATCATCTTCTGTAGCCAAGCTCCCCAAGCTGTCACTTATGACAGCTGCATGACACTACTGCTGCTGCTAATCTATACATCCAACTCACCCTCTGCCGTAGTTTTCAGGCTTTTGTTTTGTTTGTTTTGTTTTGTTTGTCCTTATTCCTATTATTACTGGCTCTCAGCCCTGAACCCCAGCCCAGTCAGTGAAAGTCCTGATTCCCTCAGCTTCTTTGCCCTCCCACTAAAGAAGGGTTTCTCAAACTTGGCACACCTGATGTTCGGGGCCAGATAATTCTTTGTTGTGAGGCTGTCCTGTGCATTTGGGAGGTTTAACAGCATCCCTAGCCTCTCTACTCACAAGACACCACTAGCAGCCTCCACTCCCACAGTTATGACAATTAAAAGTGTCTTTAGACATTGCCAAATGTCCTTTGGAGGTCAAAATTACCCCCAGTTGAGAACCCTTGCTCTAAATGCTCTTCTACATGTCTCCTTTGACTCAGAAAGACTTCCTTGGGCTGTGAGTCCATGACTGCAGTCATGAACTTCTGACTTTGTACTTTTCTTTCTCCTTCCACTGGTGTTATAAGCCCCATGAAGGCACAGTGCTTGTCTTCCCTATCTCACTTCTAGGTCAATGCTTGACATAGAAAAGACACTTGAGGTTTATTTTTTAAATGCCTGACAGCCCGAGTGCCTCCATCCTGGAATCAAGGGAGAGATGGGGAGATTTAATTCTTCAGTACATTGAAACATGTCCAAGTTGCCCTGGCTGCATTGAGCATAGATGAATGTGAACGGCATGACCATTCAGCCCTGGGGATAGATGCTGGCTAGAATCAGGCTTAGGTTGGCAGCACACTTCACTGTTGACAATTTGGAGAGTTAGCTGTCAGGCCACACCTATCACAAAAGTTGATCTGTCCACCCCACCCCATTCCATCATCACCCCATATAACAGGCTTGCCCACCCTCATCAGTTCATACTAAGAGCCCTTGAGATAGAGCCATGCTTTTCATAGCAAACATAAAATCACAGGAAGGCTCCTAACATTATCAAGCGGCACACAATAAATTCAGACTGAAAAGATGCCTGCTGTTGACTGGGATAATGGTGGAGCATTTGAAACATGAATTAGGCTTTAAAGAAAGGGGTAATTTGAAAAAGTGGAAGTGGGAAGGTAAGGGAATGGTTAATTCCAAATGTTTAATGTGGGGAAAATAATATAAGCACTGCAGAGTTGAGGAAAAATCATGATACACTTTAGACGGCAAATGTTATAAGGAAACAACCCAGGGAGGAAGGAACTAATGAAGAGACTAAGGTATGAAAATACATGGGGCATTTTTCCCTACTAGTGTGACAATCTGCCTATCTGGAGTGACTACCATGTAAAAAAAATAAATGTCCCTTAGAAGAAGAGTCTCCTCTGGCAGAGAGAACCTGGAAAGAGAATATACTTGATCAGGTAATTACTCGCTCAGCCAAATACATTGGCAAACTAATACTAAGGTAATACAGAGAAATAAACAGACAAGAGTATCTGTGAAGTTCTTGACAAAAGATTAATAAGGGGGCATAGCAGGTTGGGCACAGTCCTATGTCAAGAGTGCAGGTTAAGGATCTGACAGCCACATAATGGCTTTGTGATCTTAAGTTCCTTAAGCCTCAGCTCTAAAATGGGGAAAATAGTAACCTTGCATGTATGGGGTGAGGGTTGTATGAGATAAGGGTGTACTGTATACAAGATCATACATTATCAAATGGAGACTATTTTTTAATCTGCCAAATATTAGAGCATCATTGAAAGTTACAATGGACATCACAGTATACTTCTGGCATATAGATGAAGAGACAGATAATAGGACATAGATGAAAACCCATGAATAAGAAATAGTACTAATATATGAAACTGACCTGAACTAAGTAGTGTGTAAACAGAATGCCACTGTATTTTTCACCATCCTCTGGTAAAATGGCTCTCTTTAATCTTCCTTCTATGGCACTGGATGGACCTCAGGCAAATTCCAGAACTTTTCCATTAGTTCAAAATTCTAAAACTTCAATACCATATACCCAAACTTCAGTCTTTTACACAAACTAAAACTTCCCCCCTTTCTAAGCTCTGCTGTGAATCATGTTTTGAGATCAGCAATAGGGAAAGGGACTGTGGTACTTCCTTCATTATTTCTCCCTACCTTGATCTTCTACCCGTCTTCCCCACTGACTCTGCCTTTGGCTTCTCCAGGGTTGCATATTCCCAACTGCAGACCTCCAACTGCAGCTCCCTGTTATGGACAATATCTCCTCAGTGGCCACCAATGACTCCTGTCAAGCCCTGGCTTCCAGCGGCTCTTGCTCCAGGATAACCCAGAGTCCTCACCTGTCTGTCCCATGGGAAACACACACTCTTATCCACTGGAAGTCAGGCTCACTCCCTATGCTGTCAGAACAGACCTCTTTGTAATCTTTGAAAAGCTTTCATCTCCCCTGTGGGTGGGGGATGTCCCAACACTCTGACTTCCTCTGGACCTCTTGGTCCTTAGCTCATTCTTACATAGCCTGGAGGTGATAGGAGGTATCAAGGCAGATTAGTTTCGAGTCATTCTCTCTGCAAGTCCTGCAGAGACAGTCAAGTGACTTGCTTTTGAATGAGGGGATACTTAATACCTATTTTCCCCGGGTTTGAGATCTTAATTAAAAGTCCAAAAAAGAAAACATCCTTTTTACATCCTTTAACATGTGTACTTAGTACATGTGTTTTTTACATCCTTTAACGTGTGTACTTAGTAATGAATGTTTAGGCACAAATAATATGATGTAGTAACATATTGATAGATTATCTGTTGTTAGTCACTGTACAAAGAGCAACACAGCATATATATATATGCATATATATGCAATGTTACACATGCACTGTACAAAAATATACATTATATATGTATATATATGCATATATATATGCAATATTATTCAGCCACAAAAAGAAATGAAGTTCTGATACATGCTAAAATACAGTTGAACCTTGAAGACATCAGGCTGAGGGAAAAACGCCAGTCACAAAAAGACAAATACTGTATAATTCTACTTCTATGAAGTACCTAAAGTAGTGAAATCTAAAGGGACAAAAAGTTAAATGGTGGTTGCCAGGGTGGGGCCAAAGGATAATGGGGAGTTATTGTTCAATGGGTATAGAGTTTCCGTTGCGTATAGTGAAAAGATCTGGAGATGGATGGTGGTCATTGTTGCACAACAATGTGAATGTACTTAATGTCACTGAAACGTACACTTTAAAATGGCTAAAATGATAAATTTTCTGTTATGTATATTTTATGACAATTTTACACACCAAAAAAAAAAAGTAGATGGAGAAATGGCCAGAAAATGGACAACTTTGTGTGAGTGCCTGAGGACAAAGATAGCCTAAAGCAGCAGGCTGCTTGTCTCACCAAACTCTAGAAAGACTCAGGCCCAATTATTAGGGTGAAGCTTAGGACTGAGAGCAGAAGAAATCAACTAAAGTCAAGATCTTTGTGCCCACCCCACTGACAGGCTTTGCCATATTCTGGGTTTTCCTGATGACTTTTCCAGATAGAGTGACAACCCCACAGGTTTGCCTAGGACTGGGGGGCTTTCTGAGACACAGGACTTCCAGTGCTAAACTGGAAGCAATTGCTCATGCTAAGTTTAACATACACCTCTGTCTTCTGTATTTCTTTTAAGTTGAGAGTGGGAAATGAAGGCTGATCAGATTCAGATTTATTTTCGTGGCAAAGCTACTTCTTAGACGGTGTTGGGTTGGCTCATTAGAAGGTACATGGTGTTTCACTGAGTCTTTTTTGAATGGTGTTAGCAGCCACGGAAGCTCAATACCTAGATTCATTTATTTTGCAAAACTGCTATACTGTAACTCTATTATTTTGTCTTTATTTATTAGGTAAAATAATTTTACAGAGAAACATTCCCATAAATTATTTGATCCCATCTTTTTATTTACCGCTTTTAAAAATAATGAGTTGGTTCCCCAGTGTTCTCTAATGTTGACCAATTAGATTTCTTTGATATGCTTATGATCTCATGATTTTAAAAATATCTAATGTGTCTCAATTCATTGCATTTATTTTCCTTTTTACGCTCAATTGTCCCATCTTTGGCTATAAGGGCCTTTTAAAGTGGGCTCCTGAGTCCTTTTGACATGATGCCATTAGTCATTCATAGTTTTTCTTGCTGTCTGTAGGACAATTTGTTCTGGGCCGGGAATCAGCCATTTCTCTAAATAACTCTGGCTGCTTTCAATGGGAAATGGTATTATAAGACTACCATTTGGCTGCTAGGGAAACTTATTGCTACTAGGTCGGTCATTATTTCTAGACTTTTTCAGTAGACAAGGCTAAGATTTATTTTTTTAAAAAAGATAAAATACATGACAAATTTAAAATGATGCTTCAATTTAAATTCAGACTAGAGCTTTTATTTAATCTCTTCTATCGTGCCCTTTCTCCCATGATGAAAATTCTGATTTCAACAACACTGAGGATGATAGAATTTGAATTTCATATAATTACTCATTTGTTTTATGTAGGAATACATACTCTACAACTTAGAATAACAGTATCAATTTGTACAAACAATATGATTACTGAAAACTATTTAAATATATTTTGGAATAGTTTTTGTCTTTGGAGTATAACCCACTACAGTTTTATAGTCATAGTATTGCATTTTAAAATTACTTGGAATAGTTTCCTAATTAGTTTTTTAATACTTTATTCTTAAGTATGAATGGACAGCTTAGGATCACCAGTTATTGCTCTATAGCCTTCAAAATAAAATAAAAAATCTACCAAAAAGACTGACATCAAAAAGGATAGCCATATTTTTCAAAAGCAATAGAAGAGTTTGAAGATACAATTGAGAAAATATTTCAGAAAGTGAGCAAAACCAAAAACAAAAAGATTAGGAGAGAAAAGTTAGAGGATCAACCCAGAAGACTCAATTAGTAGGAACTCCAGAGATCAGAGAGAATAAAGAAGAAAATAAAGAAGAAAAAC
This sequence comes from Homo sapiens, assembly GCF_000001405.40. Lineage (NCBI taxonomy): Eukaryota > Metazoa > Chordata > Mammalia > Primates > Hominidae > Homo > Homo sapiens. The sequence continues at coordinate 75,281,970 of NC_000002.12, read as the reverse complement.
CGTATTTCTAGGTTGAAAGATCTTGTCAAAATGCCCAGAAGAATGAATGAATGAATGAATGAATGAATGAATGAATGAATGAATGAAAAAACTAATCAAGATACATGATAGTAAAATGTTACTTCAGAGATAGATAAGGAGAAGATGCTAAAAAATTCAGACGAGGCTGGGCGTCGTGGGTCACGCCTGTAATCCCAGCACTTTGGGAGGCCGAGGCAGGTGGATCACCTAAGGTTGGGAGTTCGAGACCAGCCTGACCAACATGGAGAAATCCCATCTCTACTAAAAATACAAAATTAGCTGGGGGTGGTGGCGCATGCCTGTAATCCCAGCTACTTTGGAGGCTGAGGCAGGAGAATCGCTTGAACCTGAGAGGCAGAGGTTGGAGTGAGCCAACGTTGTACCATTGCACTCCAGCCTGGGCAACAAAAGCGAAACTCCGCCTCAAAAAAAATAAATAAGTAACCTCGGAGGAAAAATAGGTGCATAATTAGAATCTGCAATCAGAATCATATCGGACTATTCAAGAGTCACACTGGAAGCTACAAGACTATGGAACAATGCCTTCCAAATCCGGAGGAAAATGTATTCCCAGCTATTATTCTATACTATTCAAATTACAAACAGGTATAAGAGTAGAGTAAGAATAGTATTAGCCCTGACTCAACTGTTCATCCATCATATACTCTTTCTTAGAATGGTATGGAAGATATATTTATTTTAGCAAAATAAAGGATAAGTGAAGAGTAAGTAAGACAGGAATCCAGCAAACAGCAAATCCAACACAGGGAAGAGGAAAAGGAAGGTTCCAAATCAATCAACCAAATTAGAGCAGTAGAATCAAGGGCTCAAAGAAGGAGGTACCAGGGGAAAACATATTTAACTGTAGATTAAAACATATTTAACTGTAGATTATCAGATGTATTTAAGCACTTGGATAATAATATTGACAGATATTTGTCATATCTGTTAAACAGATTTACTTGAGGATTTGGAACATAGTTTCATAAATAAATTTAAAATGAGGCAAGTATTAACTCTAGAAAAAAAAGTAAATGTTGTACTACAAAGCAGCCATAACTATGGCATACTTTTTGGCTCAGCAGCAAATATATGTGTATCGTAGTGTAAATACTGACTTTCCTTGAATAAACTTTTACCTTAGGAATAACTTTAGATTTATAGAACAGTTGTCAATATAGTACAGAGACTATATACCTGTATATAGTCTCTGTATACCTGTATACCCTTCACCCAGATTCCCTGCATTTTAATATCTTCCATAACCATGTGACATTTGTCAATACAGTACTATGTGACACTAGATACCATTTTAATTTTACCAGTTTTTCTATTCCGGGATCCAATGCATGAGTCCACGTTGCATTTAGAAACACTGACTTGTAATTTAACCAAAAATTGCACTTTAACCACTTTAGGAGGATTAAGAAGAAAATGAGGAGGCTGTCTAAAAGAGGCAAAATCTTTGTCTTCATAATAGGATACCATGGCAGATCTCACCTAAAACCCAACCTCAAAAAATGGTCAAAAAATGTTTAGAAGAAACAGCTAAAAAATTGAAAGTAGTTGCTTCTGACACATGAGAATAGGTCCTGAGGAGGGCTTCAGAGAAAGGGACTGCTGTTATTTTGCCACAAATCTTTTAGCACCCTGTGGCTTTTAACTATATGCAGGTATTATTTTTATAAAAGTAAAAGTAAATTCAAATATATAATAAGCAAAATAAAACTAATATTCTTGCTGATTAGAAAACACATTCCAATAGATCAAAAGGCAAAGGTTATGAACAAACCATTTTCATGAGAAAATAACATACTTAATAAAATATTTGTCTGAAAACAAATTCAATCTCTCTAATAATCTAACAAAGGCAAACTTTAAAATGGCAGGTTAACATTTTGCCAATGAAGTTATAAAAGTATAATAAAATAATAATAATATTCAATATTGACTTTTTCATGATAAGGCAAGCACTCACATAGAGATATTGAAATTGGAGATGTGTACTATGGTAGTAGTTTTTTAAAACACTGGATAAAAATGTGTACCAAGAATCTAAAAACTTTTCATGCTCCTTGACTTAGTTAAAATTACTTTTTAATTCTTACCTTTGTGAATATGTGTTAAGGAAATAACCCAAAATATAGACAAATCTTTATTTGTAAAAAAAAAAAAAAAAACCTTTATCATTAAAAAGCAATATTTAAGAAGTACATCTACTAACATTAGAAAATGCTAATATTATGATATTAAGATTTAGAAAAAGGATACAAGTTTGTGCATACAGAGTGATATCAACTATATGAAAGAAATATTGTAGATAAAACATTCAAGGAAATTCATCAATATTGAAGTTAATGGTTATTATCACAAAGTGGTGAGATTGTGGGTGATTTTGATTTTATCCTCATTTATACATACTGAACTGTCTATATTGTTTTATAATAAGAATGTATTGCACTTACTACCCAGAAAAACCTTAAGTGTTAAAGAATGTGAGGTGGGTACAACTGACACAAGGCATGAATTGCCATTTTGGAAATGTGTCTTTGACTCTATCTTTGCTCTGGTGTCCCTGTCCCCATCCTGTTCCCTTCCTAGCACTCTGTCTCTAGCCTCTGGTGCATTGATTTCAAATGTTTCTTTAATTTTTTAAATTCGCCAAACAATTATTCAATACCTACTTGGTCTAATCCTTACAGAGTGTCATGTACTAGGCAACTTGATGAAAAGCAGAAGCAAGCATGATCTCCTCAATCAAGCAGCTTTGAGTCTCATGGGAGATACAGATACAAAATTATTACAGCACAAGGTAATAAATACTATTAAGCTGAACCACATGAAATTGCCACTTTCGAAGGTCGGAAAGAGTCAACCACTGGCAATTTCTTACAGTTATAAATGCTGTGAATGGAGAGAGGTCAGTCAAGTGGCTTTATACCTTCCAGTGGTATTATCTGTGTAGTAGGGAGTTTCTAGTAGCAGAATATCAAGCACTGGGATAGTTGCTAGGTGACATGGAATGATAAGATGCTAGTGAGAAAATCCTTTGATTTTCCTGAGCTGTTATTTGTGACGGACAAACGACTGAATTAGGTTGCTGAAAATTATAGTGAGCTTTCTTAGAGCCAGTTGAGAGTTGTCTGCAGGGAGATAATGGAAACCAGGAGAGTGGGTGTGCTTGGAAAGGGAGATGCCAAGAAAAAGAAGTGAATGCATTATGTAGTTGGTGAAGAGAGACAGACAGAGGAAGCCAGAAAGAGAAACAAAACAGTACAGGTTCTGCAGAATCAAAGGAGAAAAGAACTCCAAGGATGCAGCATGCAGGAGTATTACAGAATGGATAGAGATGTGGACAATTAACAAAGGCTATTGGATCTGTCCATAGGAGAGCATCGGTAACCTGAGACGGGCATGTTTTCTAGGGTGGTCAGAGCAGAAACCTGATTGTGAAGGGTAGGAGTAAGGCAGTGTGCACAGTGGTTTTAACAGCCACGGGCCCTGGGCCCAGAAGGCCCAGGTTTACTTTCTGGTTCCACAGCTAAGAAGCTATGTGACTTTAGGCATGTTACCATCTCCATGCTTCCCTATCCTCATGTACAAAATTAGTAAAATGACAATAGTCCCTTCTGTGACAGATGGCTCTAATGGATGCAGTTCTTCACGATTCCTCATATCCACATCCTCTGTCATGTAACCATGCAGTACTCTCCCACTCTGACTCTGGGCTCAGCCTGTTGACTTTTTTTGACCAATAGAATGAGGTAAAAGTGACACCAAGCCAGTTTTGGCCATGAGAGGGCTTCTGTGCTTCTTTTTGCTTGCTTTCTTGCCCCTCTGCCATCACCTAGGAATATACTCAGACGAGCCTGCTGAAAGAAGAGAGGCAAATTAGGGTAAAGCTGAGTCTCTCTAATAGTCCCACCTGGGGCCAGCCTTGATCAGCTGACACCCAGTATATGAGTGAGCCAGTCACAATCAGCAGAGCCACCCAGCTGACTCCAGATACATGAGCAATAAATGTCTATTGCTGAATGCACTGAGACTTTGTTGTTGCCTGTCAGGCAGCAATACCGTGAAAACAGATAACCAAAATACGGGTTTGTTGCAGGATTAAGTGAGATAGCATATATAGACTACCTTGAACAGTGCCTAACACAGAGTAACTGCTTAAACATGTGTAACTCATTATATCATTTTCAGATATGATTGTTTTCCTGGGGCCACCCAGGGACAGCTGAAATGCAAAGGTAGCCTATGTAAGCTAATCATTTGATGTTTCTCCAAACTGATATTTTATCTATCTTTCTCATTGTTTATTTAGTGAGGGAGGAAGAAAACTGGATTCCTCTGAATAATTTTTGGAGCCAAAACTGATTTACTTAGTAAGCCATTTTTACTAGCTGAAAAAGAGCTGATGTTCTAGAAAATAGAATGGCAAATTATCTGCCACATTTCTGAATTACACTTCTTTAGTGTTCTATTGTGGTTTCCAAAAAAGAAAACTTCTGGGGCAGTACATTAAAGAGTGTAAAACTCAGGAAATAAACAAGCCTCTCTTTTCCAGTAAATGACACTATACTATGCATTATTCAGTTTTGGAATTTCAGCTGAATGAGACTTCTGACTCTTAGCTGACTGACTACATGTTGAATCATAAAAATACTTGACAGAAGTAGGATGCACTCACCAGGAAGTTTTCCTTCTTCTTCTCCTTATTATTATTCCCCCATGAAATCAAGGTCTGGCTCTGTAGAACCAACTTTTTTTTTTTTTCAGTTTATTGCACTGGAGGTTTAGTATTCCTTAGATAAAGCAAAGCTCATGGACACCTTTACAACTAGCCCACAGCTTGCTTGGCTTTTGGGCTGTGAAGAAGCTGCATAATCAAATGAAGCTTTTTTAAATGCATCTGCAGATGCTGGCATAAAGAATCAGGTGGGACAATTTGGCATCTGATGTAAGCATCTTGCTTTATAGTTGTAAAAGCTTACCTGGTCTAGAATAAAAAGTGTAAAAAATATGCTCTGTCAAACCAAAGGTTTAGAACTCTCTAAATCCAGCCCCGGGTTTTTGTCCCTGCCTTTCTTTCTTTCCATTATTTATTGAAGCAAAGCACAACGGGCTATTAACTATTCCCTGAGAAATAAATGTTAACCACAAGCAGCACACCACAGTTTAGGAGTTTATGCCCCAAACAGGTTCATCTGATTATCCGACAGGCTTCCCTCCCTTTCAACTGTCCTCACAATGCCGACAGCCCTATTGGCAAGGAGACTTCTGAATCTTAGCTGACTATTGACTGCATGCTGAGTCACAAAAATACTTGACAGAAATTGAATGCACTCACCAGGAGGTTTTCCTCCTCCTCCTACTCCTTCTAACTCTCCTCCTTCTCTTCCTCCTACTCCACCTTCTCGCATGAAATCAAGGTCTGGCTCTGCAAAATCAATGTATATTTTTTCAGTTTACTGCAATGGAGGTTTAGTATTCCTTAGGTTAAATAAGAGTCCTGGATACTTTTACAATTAACCCACTTCTTGTTTGGCTTTGGCGCCAAGCAAATCATTTGTACTTGTCCAAGTGTAATGAGTAACATCTCATCAGTAAGTCTCTCATCCTATTTTACTGGGTTCAAATTCCAGCTCCACCATGCACTAGCTGTGTGACCTTGGGAAAATTGCTTAACCTGTCTACGTGTCTGCTTTCTCATCAATAAAATGAAGCTGATAATGCATAATACTTTATTGTTTTGAGAAAATTCAAATCAGTAATTCATGTAACGTAGTAGTCCAGTTTCTGCTAATAGTGCCCATTTTTTACTCAACAAATATTTATTGAACATATTATGTACCAGACACTGTTGTAGGAATTTAACAAAACAAATCAAGAATGACATAGGTCTTACATTCTAGCAAGGGAGACAGACAAGCAACGATAAATCAGCTGAATGGGTAAATTTCTGAGTATGTTCCACAATGATAAGTGATATGAAACAAAAGGAAAAGTAACGCAGGGTGAGAGGGATGGGAGAGGTGAGTGAAGTGTGGGAAAAGTTGCAGTATCGAATAGAAGAGAAAAATCTTATTGAGGTGGAATTGGAGCAAAAACTCAAAGGAGGTAAGGGAGTGAGCTGAGCAGGTAACCAGTGGAAGAGCATTTCAAGCTTGAGCCAAGCCCAAGTGTGAGGGGCCAGAGGATTAGAAGGAGCCAGGAAAGAGTTGCAGAAGATGAAGTCAAAGTGATAATAGGTTTCAATCATTTGCGGCCCTGAAAACCACTCTAAGAGCTTTAGTTTTCACTCTGAGTGACATGTAGAAAGACTGCAGGACTTTGGGCAAAGGAGTGGCATGATCTGACTTACATTTTAAGGGACTCAGTCTGGCTCTCTGTTGAAAATAGTTCATAGGGGAGAAAAGCAAAATCAAGGAGACCTGTTGCTACTGTTGTACCTTAGGTGATGGATGATAGAAGCTCAGGTTGGAATTTGGGGGTGGGAGTAGGGAGAAGAAAAGGAGGATAGCCTTGGAGTTGGTGAGAAGGGGTCAAATTTGAGATGTGCTTTAAAGGCAAACCTAATTAAATGCTCTGAGAAATTGGATATGGAATGCAAAAGAAAGAGTCAAGGCATTAAGCCTGAGCAACTGAAAAGGTGGAGTTGCCATCTACTAGAACAAGGAAGGTTATGGTTATGGACAGGAAAGAGCAATAGTTCAGTCTTGTTACTTAAGAAACCTTAGCTACTTTTGTTATTATCACATTCTGCCTCATACTGTTATAAATGCATGTACCTGTCTTATCTCTATCCCCAGATGGCAAACTACTTGAGACTGGAAACCATATCATGTTCTTTTAAATGGACCGTAGTTCTATCACAGTTTAGTTGATATGACTGTACTCCATATTTGCCACACATACTAGCTACACTCCTGATACTTGCCAAGTAAACAAAACAACTATTGTTCATCCTTCAAAATCTTATCTAAAGGAAAAAGGAGAAATGGGAAAATCAATGGAAGGAAAAACTGAGCGTGACATCAGCAAGATGGCAGAACAGAAAATTCCCCCATATCACTCCCCTCACAAAAATACAACTGGAAACTGTTCAAAGACAAACATACCACCCTGAATTCATCCAAACTTGGGGGAGAAGTGGAGGAGCCCCCTGGGCCCACAGAACTGAGAGAAGCTGCAACAAATAGGAGAAATGGTCATTTCAGACTGCGCCACCCCTACCCCAAGTCAGCATAATGCCACCGACAGAATTTCCCCAGACCCAGTTTCTGAGGTGAGAGTAGGGAGCTGCAGGTAGACTTTCAATCTCCCCACTAATCTGGGAATCTTCACAGGAAGACTACTCCATTCTGATACCACAGGAAACACTGGGGGAGCCAGGAAAGAACCAAACTACTTGGGACAAAGAGTGGGGCACTGACTGCAGCAACTGGCATGCAGATCTTGGTAATTACTCTGCACATCCACCAGTGGACACACCACACTGAAGAGGCTGGCCATCACCATAGTACTGCAGGAGACACAATCCATGGGAAGGCCCAGCTGCCTGGCCAGATTTTCTACAAAGCTCAGGTGTCTGCAAGGAGCCTTCCTTTGACCTGAAAAAACTAAAAGATCGGGATTAAGTTCCAGTATGTGCTTAAGCCTTCCCCAGAGTGGGAAACAATGGCAGGGCAGTGATTTAGTTATAGGGCAGCATTTAAGTTTCAGTGCCCACTGTAAGTTTTCCCCAGATTGGGAAACAACAGCAGGGCAATGAGTTAGTTTCAATGCAGCATTTTAGTTCTGGTGCTCACTATACATTATCCCCAGAATAAGAAGCAACAACAAACTAACATTTAAATTCTGATGCTAAGTAGTAAAGCTCTAGCATCACCAAAGAACATCTACAAAAACCAGAAGAGGTGGCTGCTTCCTCAAATATGCAGGCATCAATGTAAAGATACAAGGATTGTAAAAGCTCAGGGAAATATAACAACACACAAAAAAAAAGCCCCACAAAGCACTAGCAATGGATCCAAAAGAATTACAGATCTATGAAATGTCTGATGGAGAATTCAGAATAATCCTCTTAAAGATGTTCTGAAAAACAAAAAAAAATATGCATGGAAAACCAATTGAAACACTGAACTGAAAAACTCATTAGAAAGTTTCAACAGCAGACTTGATCAAACAGAGAAAAGTATTTGAAAACTTGAAGTCAGAATATATGAAATTACCCAATCAGAGAAACAAAAAGAAAAAAAATTAAAAAGTGAAGAAGGCCTATGAGAATTATCTCTGCATAATAGGAATTCCTGAAGGAGATGAGAGAAAAAATGGCATATTAGAAAGCATATTTAAAGAAATAATGGCTGAGAATTTCCTAAACCTGGAGAAAGACAACAGCATCCGGCTATAGGAAGCTTAGATATCACTGATCAAATTCCATTCAATGAAGTAGTTCCTGAAGGCACATCATAATCAAATTAGCAAAAATCAAAGACAAAGAAATAATACTCAAAGCTGCAAGAGAAAACAAACATATCACATTCAACAGAGCCCAAATACAGCTTTCAGTAATAGTAGAGGACTTCAACACCCCACTTTCAACAACGAACAGATCATCCAGAAAGAGAATCAGCAACGAAACATTGAAGTTAAACTCTACACTCTAGACCCAACTGGACCTAACAGAAATTTACATACACTGCATCCAACATCTACAGAATACACATTTTTCTCAACAGCACATGGAACATTCTCCAGGATACATCATACGGCAAGTCACAAAACAATCTTAGCAAATTTTTAAAAATTGAAATGATATCAAGTATCTTTTCTGACCATAATGAAATAAAATCAGAAATCAAAAACAGAAAGGATATTGGGAACTGTACAAATTCATGAAAACTAAACAACATGCTTCTGAACAGAGAATGGATCAAAGAAGAAATTTAAAAGAAAATATGAAATTCCTGAGACAAATAAAAATGGAAATACAATATACCAAAGCCTGTGGGATAGAGGAAAATCAGTTCTAAATGGAATCCGTGTCGCAATAAATGCCTGCCTCAAAAAAGTAGAAAGACTTTAAGTAAACAAACACCCTAATGATGTACCTCAAGAAACTAGAAAAGTAAGAACAAACCAAGCCTCAAATTAGCACAGGAAAAGAAATAATAAAGATCAGAGCATAAATAAACAAAATTGTGACTAAAGAAAAACCATATAAAAGATCAACAAAACAAAAATTTGGGTTTTTTTTTAATAAAGTTGATAAATTTTTATTTAGACTGAGAAAAAAGAAGCCACAAATAAAAGCAGAGACAAAAAAGAAGACTTTATAACTGATACCACAGACACACAAAGCATAATTAGAGACTATTATAAACAACTATACACCAACAAATTGAAAAATATAAAAGAAATGGATAAATGCCTGGACACACACAACTTACCAACATTGAACCATGAAGAAATAGAATACCTTAACCGACCACATAGCAAGTAATAAGATTGAAGCAGTAATAAAAAGTCTCCCATCAGAGAAAAGCTTAAGACCTTATGACTTCACTGCTGAATTCTACCGAATGTTTAAAGAACTAATGCCAATTTTACTCAAAGTCTTTTAAAAATTGAAGAGGACGGAATACTTTCATATTCATTCTATAAGGCCAGCATTACCCTGATATCAAAACCAGAGAAGGACATAATAAAAAACAAAACTACAGGCCAATATGACTGATGAACATAGATGTAAAATCATCAACAAAATACTACCAAACCTAACTCAACAACATACTGAAACAATTATTAATCATGATCAGATGAGATTTATCCCAAGGATGAAAGGGTAGTTCAACATATGCAGATCAATAAATGTGATACATCGCATTAACAGAATCAAGAACAAAAACCACATGATAATTTCAATAGATGCTGAAAAAGCCTTTGATAAAATCCAATATCCCTTCATGATAAAAACTCTCAACAAACTGGGAACAGAAGGAGCATACCACCAACACAAAATATATGACAAAACCCACAGCTAGTATTATACTCAATGGGGTAAAAATGAAAGTGTTTTCTCTAAGATGTGAAACTGGACAACAATGTCCACTTCTACCACTTTTATTCAACATAGTACTGGAAGTCCTAGCCAGGGCAGTTAGGCTAAGTAAGGAATAAAAGGCATCCAAATTGGAAAGAAAGAAGTCAAATTATCTTTGTTGGAAGACAGCATGATCCTATATTTAGAAAAGCCTAAGGAGGCCTGATGCAGTGGCCCACACCTGTAATCCCAGCACTTTGGAAGACCGAGGCAGGCAGATCAGTTGAGGCTAGAAGTCCGAGACTAGCCTGGCTGACATGGAGAAATCCTATCTCTACTAAAAATACAAAAAAAAAAAAAAAAAAAAAAACCATAGGCAGGCATGGTGGCACATGCCTATAGTTGCAGCTACTGGGGAGGCTGAGGCAGGAGAATTTCTTGAACCCAGGAGGTGAAGTTTGCAGTGAGCTGAGATTGCACAAGTGCTCTCCAGCCTGAGTGACAGAGTGAGATTCTGGTTCAAAACTACAAAATAAAATAAATTAAGAGCTTAAGGACCCCACCAAAAAAAATTATTAGAACCAATAAATGAATTCAGTAATGTTTCAGTTTACAAAATCACCATACAAAACTCAGTAGCATTTCTATAAACCAACAGCAAACAACCAGAATGAAAATAAAGAAAACAACCCCATTTACAATAGCTACAAGAAAAAACCTAGGAATAAATTTAACCAAAGAAATTAAAGAATCCTACAATGAAACCTATATAACACTGATGACAATTGAAAAAGACACAAATTAAAAGATAGCTCATGCTTAAGCACAGGAGGAATTAATTTTGTCAGATGCCCATACTACCCAATGCATTACCTATCAAAATACTAATGACGTTCTTCACAGAAATAGAAAAGAAATTCTAAATTCATGTGGAACCACAAAAGAACCCAAATAACCAAAACAATCTTCAGCAAAAAGAACAAAGATAAAGGCATCACGATACCTGGCTTCAAAACATACTGCTAAGCTATATTAACCAGAACATCAAGGTATTGGTATAAATACAGACACAAAGACCAATGGAATAGAATAGAAAACACATAAATAAATCTGCACATTTACAGCCAATTTATTTTCAGCGAAGGCACCAAGAACATATACTGGGGAAAATTCAGTCTGTTCAATAAATGATGCTTGGAAAACTGGATATCCATAAGCAGAAGAATGAAATTAGACCCCTATCTCTCACCATATTCAAAAATTAAATCAAAATGGATTAAAGACTCAAATTTAAGACTCAAAGCTATGAAACTACTGGAAAAAAAACATTGGCACAATACTTCAGGACATGGTCTGGGCAAATATTTCAGGTGTAAGACCTCAAAAACATAGGCAACCAAAGCAAAACTAGACAAATGAGATTACAGCAAGCTAAAAAGCTTATGCATAGCAAAGGAAACAATAAACAGAGTAAAGAAACAACACACAAGATGGAAGAAAATATTTGAAAACTATCCATGTGACAAGGGATTAATAACCGGAATACACAAGAAACTCAAATAACTCAATGCCAAAACCAAAATAATCTCATTAAAAATGGGCTAAAGATCTGAATAGACATTTCTCAAAAGAAGACATACAAATGGCCAAGAAGTATATGTAAAAATGCTTACCATCACTAATTATCAGGGAAATGCAAATGAAAATCACAATAAGATATTAACTCACCCCAGTTAAAATGGCTATTATCAAAAAGACAAAAAGTAACAGATGGTGGTGAGGATGTAGATAAAGGGGAATGCTAGTACACTGTTTCTGGAAATGTAAATTAGTACAGCCACTATGAAAAGCAGCATGGAGGCTGTGATGGTTAATATGAGTGTCAACTTGATTGGATTGAAGGATGCAAAGTATTGCTCCTGGCTGTGCCTGTGAGGGTGTTGCCAAAGGAGATTAATATTTAAGTCAGTGGACTGGGAAAGGCAGATCCACCCTCAATCTGGGTGGGCACAATGTAATCAGCTATCAGTGCATCCAGAATAAAAGCAGGCAGAAGCAAGTGGAAAGACTAGACTGACTTAGTCTTCCATCCTACATCTTTCTCCCATGCTGGATGCTTCCTGCCCTCAAACATTGGAATCCAAGTTCTTCAATTTTGGGACTCTTGGACTTTTGACCACAGACTGAAGGCTGCACTGTTGGCTTCCCTACTTTTGAGGTTTTGGGACTCGGACAGGCTTCCTTGCTCCTCAGCTTGCAGATGGCCTACTGTGGGGCCATACCTTGTGATCATGTGAGTCAATACTCCTTAATAAACTCCCCTTTATATATACAGCTATCCTATTAGTTCTATTCCTCTAGAGAACCCTGACTAATACAGAGGCTCTTGAACAAACTAAAAATAGATCTGTCATATGATCCAATAATCCCACTATTGGGAATATATCCAAAAGAAAGAAAATCAGTACATTGAAGAGACATTTGCATTTCCATGTCTATTGCAGTGCTATTCACAATAGCAAAGATATGGAATCAATCTAAGTGACCACCAATAGATGAATGGATAAAGAAAAGTGATATACATACACACACACAAAATGGAATATTATTCAGCCATAAAAAATAATGAAATTCTGTCATTTGCAGCAACATGAATGAAATTAGAGGACATTATGTTAAGTGAAATAAGCCAATCTCAGAAAGGCAAATATTGCATGTTTTATGTTCTTACTTATATGGGGGAGCTAAAAAAGTTGATCTCATGGATGTAGAGAGTAGAATGATGGTTACCAGAGGCTAGGAAGAGTAGAGGGAAGCAAGGAATGATGACAGTTTGGTTAATGGGTACAAAATAGAGGGAATAAGTTCTAGTGTTTGAAAGCACTAGGGTGACTATAGTTAAAAATAATTTACTGTATATTTTACAATAGTTAGAAGAGAAGATGTAAAATGTTTCAAGTACAAAGAGATGACAAATGCTTTAGGTGATTACCATTAATTATTCTGATTTAATCATATTCTATGCGGGTATTAATTATCACAGGTACTCCATAAATATGTACAATTATTAAGCATCAATTTAAAAAGAAAAAAATGGATGGATGGCCTGAATGGTATAGAGGACATTCCTTCACAGATACATAAACTTTATCCCTATGTTAAAAAGGGCATCTATACATGCTAGATCCCTGATTTGTAGCATACATTTCTAAAATACTTCTATTAACAGTGTTTTGAAGTGATGCCTTTGGCCAATATGGAGAAATCTTATAAGAAACAGCCATTTAAAACTCAGTGCTGTGTTTCCTATATGGATGTAGCTGAAGGTCTATTTCAGTACATGGTAGTCTTTCTTTAGTTAGGAGGAAAATGTGTCTAACTCTATTTTCCCTCCCTAATACAGCTCAATATATGTTTTTTTTTAAAAAAAAAAAAATGTAACTCAAGATTGTTGTCTGTATCATGAGTTTTTTCTGTAAAGAATCAGAGAGTATTTTAGGCTCTGCAGGACAGTACATTCTGTCACATCTAATCAGCCCTGCCATTGTAATGAAAAAGTAACCACAGAAAGTACACAAGCAAATAGGCCTGGCTGTGTTCCAACAAAACTTTATTTGTGGGAGCAGAGCAAGACGGCTGAGTAGAAGGCTTTACCGAATTTCCTCCCTGAAGGAACACGGAATTTAATAACTATTTACATAAGCCAAGCATGGTGGCTCACATCTGTAAACCCAGCACTTAGGGAGGCAAGGCGGGAGAATTGCTTGAGCCCAGAAGCTTGACACCAGCCTGGGTGACATGGTGAGATCCCATCTCTACAAAAAATCAAAAAATTAGCTAGGTGAGTGATGTGCATCTGTAGTCACAGCTCCCAGCTACTCAGGAGGCTGAGGTGGGAGGATCTATTGAGCCTGAGAGGTTGAGGCTGCACTGAGCTATAATTGAACCATTGCACTCCAGACTGAGCAACAGAGCAAGACCCTGTCTTAAAAACAAACAAAAAACTATCTACACAAAACAAACACCTTCATAAGAACTCAAAATTAGGTGAGCACTCACAGTACCTGGTTTTAACTTCATATCACTGAAAGAAGCATTGAAGATGGTAGGAAAGACAGTCTTGAATCACTGATGCCACCCCTCCCTCAACACCCAGCAGTGGCTGCATGGAGTGGAGAGAAAATCCGTGTGCTTGGGAAAAGGAGGGTGAGACATTGTATTGAACTCAGTGCTGTCCTGTCACAGCAAAAAACAAAACCAGGATGAACTTAACTGATGCCCACCCACTGATAAAATATTTAAACCAGCCCTAGCGAGAGGGAGGCACCCATCCAAGTGGTCAGAACCTGAGTTCTGGCAAGCCTCACCACTGTGGGATAAAGAGCTCTGGGTTCTGAATAAACTTAAAAGGCAGTTAAAGACACAAGGACTGCAGCTCCTAGGCAAGTCCCACTGCTGAATTATGCTCAGAGCCAGTGAACTTGGGGAGCACACAACCTACTAAAACACTAGCTGGGTGTCTAAGGAAGTGCTTGTACCACCACTCCCCAAACCCCAGGCTGCACAGCTCATGGCTCCAAAAATGACTCCTTCCAACGGCTTGAGGAAAGGAGAGAAAACAAAAAAGGGGACTTTGTCTTCATCTTGGATACCAACTCAGCCACAGATTAGAGCACCAGTCAGAGTCATGAGATCTCCTTTCCAGCCCTAGCTCCTGGATGACATTTCTAGACATTTCCCATCCTGGGCCAGAAGGCAACCCACTGCCTTAAAGAGACAGAACCAATTCTGGCAAGACTCATCACCTGCTGACTAAAGAGCCTTGGACCCTGAATAACTAGTAGTGATAACCAGGTAGTATGCCATGGGCATTGGGTGAGACTCTGAGACTTGCTGGCTTCAGGTGAGACTCAGCACATCCCCAGCTATGGGGAGAGACTCCTACTGCTTGAGAAAAGCAGAGGGAAAAGTAAAGCAGACTTAGTCTTGCACCTTAGGTACAGGCTCAGCCGCAGAGGGATGGAGCACCAAGTGGGCCCTTGGGGTCCCCAATTCCAGGACTTGTCTCTTGGATGGCATTTCTGGACCTGCTCTGGGCCAGAGGGGAGCCTACTGTCCTAACAGATGAGTCCCAGGCCAGACAGCACTCACCACAAGCCAACTGAAGAGCCCTTGGGCCTTAAGTAAACATCACCAGTAGACTGGAAGTACTTCTCATGGGCCTGTGGTGGTCATGGCCACAAGGTTTGACTCCTCTTCCTATAGAAAGGGGAGGAAGAGTGGGAAAGACTATCTCACATGTGGTTTCAGTTCCAGCTCAGCTGCAGTACAATAGAACACCAAGCAGTTAAAGTGTTTGACTCCAGACCCTGGCCCCTGGATGGCACCTCTGGAGCTATCTACAGTCTGGGGGAACTTGTCATCCTGAAGGGAAGGATACAAGCCTGGCTGGCTTTGCCACCTGCCGATTATGGAGCCCAAGGGCTTGAGCAAACGTAGTGGTAGCCAGGTAGTGGTAACAGCAGGCATTGGAAGAGACCCAATGCTGTCCCGGTTTCTGACCAGCACAGTAATAGTGGTGGTGGCCACAGGGGTGCTTGTGTCACAACACTCCCAGCTCCAGGTGGCTCACAACAGAAAGAGGAGGTGGGGAGAGAGAGAGAGACAGACTATTCGTTTGGGAGAAAGCAAAAGAAGAGAACAAGAGTCTCTGCCTGGTAATCCAGAGAATTCTTCTGGATCTTACCTAAGACCATCAAGGTGGTACCTCTATAAGTCTGCAAGAAACAGAGTGTCACTGGCTTGGGGTGCCCCCTAATATAGATACAGCTTAGATCACAACACCCAAGTCCTTTGGAATACCTGGAAAGCCTTCCTAAGAAGGACAGGCACAAATAAGCCCAGACTGTGAAGACTATAATAAATCCCTAACTTTTTGATGCGCAGACATACACAAACATCCACAAGCATCAACACCATCCAAAAAAACATGACCTCACCAAAAAACTAAATAAAACACCAAGGACAAAACCTGGAGAAACAGAGGTATGTGACCTTTTAGACACACAATTCAAAATTGCTGTTCTGAGGAAACTCAAAGAAATTCAAGATAACACAGAGAAGGAATTTAGATACATTTAACAAAGAAATTGAAATAATTATAAAGGAGCAAGCAGAAATTCTGGAGTTTAAAAACACAATTGGCATACTGAAGAATGCATCAGAGCCTTTTAATAGCAGAACTGATCAAGCAGAAAAAAGAATTTAGTGAGCTTGAATACAGGCTATTTGAAAATACACAGTCAGAGGAGACAAAAAAAAGAATAAAAAACAATGAAGCATACCTACAGGATTTAAAGAATAGCCTCAAGAGGGCAAATCTAAGAGTTATTGGCCTTAAAGAGGAGGTAGATAAAGAGATAGGGGTAGAAAGTTTATTCAAAGAGATGATAACAGAGAACCTCCCAATCTAGAGAAAGACATAAATATCCAACTACAAGAAGGTTATAGAACGCCAAGAAGATGTAACCCAAAGAAGACTACCTCAAGGTATTTAATTATCAAACTCCAAAAAGGTCAAGGATACAGGAAGCATCCTAAAAGCAGCAAGAGAAAAGAAACAAACAACATTCAATGGCGCTCCAATACATCAGGTAGCAGACTTTTCAGTAGAAACTTTGAAGGCCGGTAGAGAGTAGAATGACATACTTAAAGTACTGAAAACAATACTAAAATGTATATGGAACCAGAAAGGACCCAAAAAAGCCAAAGAACAAAAGTGAAGGAACTATATTACCTGACTTTAAATTATACTACAGAACTATAGTAACCAAATAACAGGGTGCTGGCATAAAAACAGACATATAGATCAGTGGAACAGAATTAAAATCCCAGAGATAAATCTACACATCTACAATGAACTTATTTTTGTCAAAGGTGACAAGAACATACACTGGGGAAAGGGCGGTCTCTTCAATAAACGGTGCTGGGAAAACTGGGTATCCATATGCAAAAGAATGAAACTAGACTATAGCTGCATTCTATCTTGCCATATGCAGAAATCAAATCAAAATGGATTAAAGACTTAATCAAAGACCTCAAACTGTGAAACCACTAAAAGAAAGCAATGGTAAAACTCCCAAGGACATTAGTCTGGGAAAATATTTTTTGAGCACAGGAAACCAAAGCAAAAATGGACAAATGGGATCACATCAAGTTAAAAAACTTCTGTACAGCAAAGGAAACAAACAACAATGTGAAGAGACAACCCACAGAATGGGAGAAAATATTTGCAAACCTCCTATCTGATAAGAGATTAATAACCAGAATATATAAGTAGCTCAAACAACTCTGTTGAAAAAAAAATCTAATAATCTGATCAAAAGATGGGCAAAAGTTCTAAACAGACCTTTCTCAAAGGAAAACATACACATGGCAGACAGGCGTATGAAAAGGTGCTCATCATCACTGATCATCAGAGAAATGCCAATCAGAACTACAATGAGATATTATCTCACCCTAGTTAAAATGGCTTTTATCCAAAAGTTAGATAGGTGCTGGTGAGGATGGGGAGAAAGGAGAACCCTTGTATACTGTTGGTGGGAATGTAAATTAGTACAACTACTAGGGAGAACAGTTTGGAGGTTCCTCAAGAAACTAAAAATTGAGCTACCATGTGATCCAGAAATCCCACTCCTAGGTATATACCCAAAAGGAAAAAAAATCAGTTTACAGAAAAGATATCTGCACTTCCATGTTTATTCCAGTACTATTCACAGTAGCCAAGATTTGAAAGTAATCTAAGTGTCCATCAGCAGATGAATTAATAAAGAAAGTGGGATCACATGATCCCATAAAGAAAATTTTAAAATATAGTAATATATACAATGGAGTACTATTCAGCCATGAAAAAAAACAAATGAGATCCTGTCATTTGCAATAACATGAACAAAACTAGAGGTCATATGTTAAGTGAAATAAGCCAGGCACAAAAAGGAAAACTTTGCATGTTCTCACTTATTTGTGGGGGCTAAAAATTAAAGCAATTGAACCCCTGAAGATAGAAAGTAGAAGGATGGTTACCAGAGGCTGAAAAGGGTAGTAGAGCATGAGGGGGAGGTGGGGATGGTTAAGGGGTACGAAAAAAAAAAGAATGAATAAGACAGTTTTTGCTAGCACAACAGGGTGATCATAGTCAAAAATAATTGTATCTTTCAAAATAACTGAAAGAGTGTAATTGGATTGTTTGTAATACAAAGGATAAATGCTTGAGGTGATGAATACCCTATTTACCCTGCTGTAATTATTATGCATTGCATGCCTGTATCAAAATATCTCATGTAACCCATAAATGTGTACACCTACTATGTACCCCCCCCCCAAAAAAAGTTAAAAGTATTTTTTAAAAATTTATTTGCAAAAACAGGTGGCAGGCCAGGTTTGGCACACAAGCTGAGCCTGTAGTCAACTTCATTATCTCCAGTTCATCCTGAATTCTCTCTTAAAATTGTTGACCTCTCAACTGCCCCTTATGGAAATTACCAGTGACCTCTGTGTTGCTAATTCCAGTGGTCAATTCTCAGCCCCTACTTAACTTGACCAACAGTAGCATTTGACACAGTTGATCACTCTCTCCTCCTTGAAATTCTTCCTTCTCTTGGCCTACAGAACACCATGCTTAGCTTGATGTCCTTCTACATCACTGGCTCCTCTTTATCTTTTTTCTTGGTTCCTCATCTTCTCCCTGATTCTTAATATTGTAGAGCCCCAGGGCTCAGGCTACTTCTCTTTTATATTTATATTAATTCCTTGGTGATCTCATTGAGTTTCATGGCATTAAATATAATTTATAAACAGGTGAATCTCAAATTTTTGTTTCCAGCCCAAACCTCTCTTCCATCTCCAGAATCTTATTTCTAATGGCTTATAGAACACCTCCAGTTGGAGTCTAACAAACACCTCAAACTCAAATTGTTCAGAACTAAATTTCTGCTCTTTGTCCACAAACCTGAACCCCCTTCAGGCTTCTTCATCTCAATTAACCTTGAAGTCTTCCTTGTCTCCTCTCTTTCACTCACACCCTACATCCAATCCACTAACAAATTCTGCTGACTTCACCTCCAAAGCCATATTGACAAAATATGTTCCCATTTTCCCCACTGCTACTTTTCCTGTCTATGCCCTGTCATCTCTTACCTAGATGATTGATGTGGCCTCCTACCTAATTTCCCTGATCCCTGTTCCTTCCCACAGTCAATTTCAACACAGCAACTAGAGTGATCATTTTAAAATTCAAGCCAAGTTATAGCACTCCTCTGTCAAAACCCTATTTCACTCAGAGTAGATGTCACAGTCTGTACGACGCCCAATGCTATCTCCTGTGCTGCATTTCAAGGCCCAGTGCCCTCTCTGATCATCTCTTTTACTGTTTTTCTCTAGACTTATTCTGTGCGGTGTGCCCTAGACACACCAATCCTCCCTGACCCCCACCAATGTAGGGCCCTTGTCCCTGCTGTTTCTTCCACCTAAAACATTCTTGCCCCCAGATACTCATAAGGCTCTCTCTTTCTCCATTCAAGGCTATGCTCAAGTATCATTTTCTTATTGATATCTGTCCTCACCATTCTATTTAGATTTGTAGCCTACTCACTCCCCAGAAGCTCCCATTCTCCTTACCCTACTTTATTCTGTCTACAACACCTATCTCCCTCTAATGCATATCTCCCTGGCATGTCAGGTCCACATGGGCAGAGGTTCCATGTGTTTTCTCCACTGCTGTATCTTCAGCACCTAGAACAGTGCCTGTCCAAAGTAAGCACTCTGTAAATATTTGAAGGCTCATAGAATTAGGAATAATCATGCTCCTAAGTAAATATTTTAGGGACAATGTGAATTTTGTAGCTGATCATATTTTCCTCTTCACTTTAGCTACTAGGAATCTTAAAATCAAATGTATGGAACATCTATAGAAACTCACATGCACTTTACGGCTGTGGTAAAGAACTTCAGTTCTGGAGCTGGTGGTCCTTTGATACCCAGTTCTACCAATTTACTAGATGTCTGATTTGAGTCAGGTTGCTTAGCCTTTTTGTGCTTCAGTATTTTTTTCTTGTAAAATGGCTGCAGTAGTAGTAGCACACTTCAAAGGGTTATTGTGAGGACAAGTGAAGATAGTAGATGTTAAGTGCTTAGAACATGGTTCAGCATATTAAAAGAGCCCCATAATGGCTTACTGGTAATTTAGAATTACCAACCATCTCAGTGTGCCCGGGACTAAGGAGTTTCCCCAGAAGTGGAATTTTCAGAGCTAAAGCCAGGCAAGTCCCAGGTACGTCATTTTATTTTTCTACACTGACATTTCCCTTTGCCTCTTTTTATTTCTTATTTTTTTATCTTGCTCTACAAATTTTTGAAAGGTGCTTTATATTTTTTGAAACAAAGTACAGAATGAATAAATCATACATGTACTCACATATAATGTGCACATTATTCACCTTAATAAATATTAATAAGCCATATGCTTTATAAAGGGAAAACAAATGATTGAATGAAGGCATAGTCATTTCTTCTCTAACAGAGTTTAGATTCACTTTTTCAATACTGTATGCAAAGCAAAGGTAGAAAAAGTTGAGGCAGAGATGACAAAGCCTTTAGCACTCCATCTTAAGTAAGTTTAGTATTATACCAAACCACAAGATTATGTAAATGAAAAGACTAACATTGTTAAGTGCCACACAAATGTTAGTTGATGTTATTATAACAATCTGGTCTTATGATACCCTGAGGCTTCTTGAATAACAGAGAAATGCTAATGAAATCAGGCTGTATATTTTCAGAAATACAATATAAACTCTGTGACTGCAATGCTCCACAAGTTCTTCTTATTATTAGCTACTTCTATGATTGCCTTTGTTGGCATTTTCCCCTCTTCTATAACTTTTGTGAATATCTGAAATATAAAACAATTTCAAGATTTTTTAACAACAAGTTATTAAAACCAGAATTGCAATGTAAGGAGCTCTACAGACTCTCTCCCCTGCAAATCATAACTGGTGAAAATGATTCTTAAAATGTTTAAGTCTCTGGAAATTGTCCTAAGAGAGTATGACAAATGGAGAAACATTTTTAAAAAATGAATATCTCGGTAAGAAGAGTGACAGTCTGTGGCATTTGAGCTATGACCTGCTCCCTTCTCTGTCCTCCAGCTCAGCATAATAGAAGCTCTACTATGGGTGAATGAAAAAAAAATCACAGGGCTGTCTTTTCCACAACTCCTAGTTTAGGGCTATAGCATCATTCCAAGAGGACCAGGCTATCGGCATTTCTCATCCCCACCCCCACCCTCAAACCCACTCCCAGATTCCCTGTTGCAGAAGCTGAATTCCAGGCCAGGGTAGCTGAGAGATATGGGGCTCCCTTCTTTAGTATAGAACCCATTCATATGGTAGAAGCTCTACCATGCAGCAGGATGAGCATACTGAATCCAATTGCTCACACTGCAACCTGCTCATAGGGTGAAAGTTTTATGCTAGGAGAGGCAAACCAAGAAGAACAGAGACTAATGCACCCACCTAGTGGCCCACTCATAAAGCAGGGGTGTTACTCCAAAAGAAATTAGTCACTGTACCCACCCCCAGCTCTGGAATAATGGTGCAGATGTTTTGTCCAGGGGTAAGGCCAGGTCCCAAGCTTCAAGCTCCCCTCAAGGGAACTTAATTTATTTGGAACAGAGTGTGGAATTTCAAGCCCACTGTTGCTGTTAAAAGCAATGAGAGCAACACACTCAATTGTAGGGCAGCTATACATTTAATAGAGAGAACCAAGGAAAGCAATAGCTAGAGTTAAAACAAGCCTCAAAGATTTGTCTTCAATAACTACTGTTCCAAAGAGGCCTAAATTTAGATGGGAATGTTGTGACATTTGTACTCCATAGCATTACTGAAAACAATAGAGCAGTCAGCCAGCAGTTAGTGGAGGCTATCAGCAGGTGTGATAGCAATAGACAGGCAGCTTAACCAAAAAATCAGGAAAAGAAACTGTCAAAGAGAACCATGTTAAAACCATTGTTACTCCAGGGAGACTGTGTGCTTATCCAACCCTGCACTTTCTGAGAAATGGCATCAAAGGCTACATACAAAGAAAAGAAATAGGCTGAAATAGCTCAGCTAAATCACTGAACAAAGAAGCCAGCAAACAACACCACCAAGCCACTGCGTGTGTGGAAGAGGGAGAGGCAGGAGTAAATCAGTATTCAGAATTGCTACAATATATTATCTAAATTTCCATTTTTTAACAAAAAGTTATGAAAAATGCAAAGAAACAAGGAAGCCTGACACATACACAGGAGAAAATAGGCAGAAGAAACTGCCTTTGAGAGGGCCCAGATGTTGGAATTATAAGACAGACTTCCAAGCAGATATTATAAATATATTAAATGGACTAAAGGAAATCATACTTAAAGAAGTAAAAGAAGGAAGATGAAGATGTCTCATCAAATAGAGAATATCAACAAGTAGATATAAATTATTTAAAAAATAGAAATTTTGGAATTAAACATACAATAACCAAAGCAAAAAATTCATGAGAGGGCTCAACAGAGGATTTGAGTTGGCAGAAGAAAGAATGAGCAAATTTTAAGATACATTAGGGGAGATTATTCAATTAGAAGAACAAAAAGAATGAAAGAAAATTGAATGGAGTCTCAGAGAAATGTGGGACATCATTAAGCACCTGAACACATGCATAATGGTAGTTCCAGAGGAGAGGAGAGAAAAAAGAAAGAAAGATTCTTTCTTCAAAAGAATATTCAAAGAAATAATGGCTGAAAACTTCTCAAACTGATGAAATCAGGATTTTAAAAAAATTAATCTACACATACAAAACACCCAAATGGAATAAATACAAAGAGATCCACACTCAGACATATCAGAGTGAAAAAGCCAAAAACAAAGAGAAAATCTTAAAAACACCAACAGAAAAATGTCTTGTCTTATATAAAAGAAACTGACTTCTCATCAGAAACAATGGAGGCCAGTTGTATGACATATTTGGAGTGCTGAAAGGAAAAAAAAAAAAAAAACTCTGTCAACAGAGAATCCTATATCTAGCAAACATATCTTTGAGAAATGAAGGTGAAATAAGAGCAAGCACAGATAAATGAAAATGGAGATAATTTGTTGCTGTCAGACCCACCTTGTAAAGGGTGTTAAAAGTTCTTCAGACTGAAAGCAAGTGAAGCCAGATGGTAATTATATACAAGAAGAAACACAGAATCCCAGTAATGGAAGTTTTGTAGGTAATTATAAAAGATAATATAATCACATATTTCTTCTCCTAACTGATTTTAAAAGCACTTGTATCAAACAATACATATATAATTATATTGTTGTTCTAGTAATGCATATAAATGTAATCTATTTAACAATAAGCACAAAGGAGGTGAGAGGAATCAATTAAACCAGATGATAATGCAAATCCACAAGAGCAAACTGGCCCTCCCACCCTAGCCTTTCATATGCAAACTTGCAAGATACAAGATATAAATACAAAAATCAAGTATAGTTCAATATACTAGCAATGATAATCCAAAAATTAAAGTAAGAAAGCAATTCCATTTACAATAATACTTAGGAATAAGTTTAATACTCTGAAAACTATAAAACATTATTGAAAAACATTAAAGAAGACCTGAGATAAAAAGACATTCTATGTTCATGATGCTCCGGAATACTTAATTTTGTTAAGAGAGCAATACTTTCCAAACTGATCTATAGATTTAATGCAATCCCTATCAAAATTCTACATTCCTTTTTTTGGAGAAATTGACAAGGTTATTATCAAATGTATATGGGAATTCAAGGGATCCTGAACAGCCAAAACAATCTTGATAAAGAAGAACAAATGAGGAGGACTCACAGTTCCCAATTTCAATACTTACTATAAGACAACAGAAATCAAGACAATGTGGTACTGGCATAAGTACAAATAGATTAATGGAATAGAATTGAAAGTCCAGAAATAAAGCCATATATATGTATATGGGCAATTGATCTTCAACAAGTGTGCAAAAAATTGTGATGGGGAAAGTATATTATTTAAAATAAATGTGCTGGAACAACTGGATATCTACATACAAAAGAATAAATTTGGACCCCTACCTCACACCATATACAAATGTTAATTCAAAATGGATCAAAGACCTAAATGCAATAACTAGATCTAGAAAACTCTCAGAATAAAACTTAGGTGTAAACCTTTATGAAGTTTGATCAGTCAATTGTTTCTCAGCTATCATACCTAAAGCACAAGAAGCCAAATAAAAAATTGGACTCTATTGAAATTAAAAACTGTTGTACTCTCTTAAGCACTTTTTAGGGTGCTCTCGAGAAAGAGAAAATATAACATACAGAGTGGGAGAAAATATTTGCAAATCATGTATCTAACAAGAGTCTATCCAGAATATATAAAAATCTATTCAAAATATATAATGAACTCTTACAACCCAATCAAAAGACAAGTAAAACCAAAAAAGGGTAAGGAGAATGGTTTATATAAACTTTTCTTCAAAGATATACAAAAAGCCAATAAAAACATAATATGTTCAAAATTACTAGTCATTAGGAAAATCAAAATCACAGTGAGGTGCCACTTCACACCCACTGTGATGACAATAATAAAAAAGACAGAAAATAACAAATATTTGTGAAGATGTGGAGAAATTGGAACACCCATACATCATTGGCAGAAATGTAAAATGGTGCAGCTGCTTTGGAAAAAAGTTTGGTAGTTTCTCAAAAAGTTAAACACAGAGTTGCCACATGACCTGGGACTTGCACTCCTAGATATATACCCAAGAGAAATGAAAACATATCCCCACACAAAAGCCTGTACACAAATGTTCATAGCAGCATTATTCATAATAGTCAAAAAAATAGAAACAACACAGATGTCCATCAGCTAATAAATGCATAAACAAAATGTGGTATACCTATACAATGGGCTATTACTCAGCTATAAAAAGAATGAAGTATTTACAAGCTACAACATGGATGAACCTTGAAAACATTATGGTATGTTAAAAAAGCCAGTCATGAAATGCAACATATTATATGATTATATTTCTAAGAAATTATGAGACTAGGCAAATTAATAGAAAAAAGGCAAATTAGTGGTGTCTAGGGGCTGGAGAAAAGGGGAAATGAGAGTGACTTCTAAAGAGTAAAAGGTTTCTTTTTGGGGCAATGAAAATATTCTAAAATTGATTGTAGTGATGGTTACCTAAATGAGTAAATGTTATGGCATGTGAGTTACATATCAATAAGGCTGTTTAAAAAGTTAATGGGGCCAGGCACGGTGGCTCATGCCTGTACTTCCAGCACTTTGGGAGACTAAGGCAGGCAGATCACCTGAGGTCAGGAGTTCGAGACCAGCCTGACCAACATGGTGAAACCCTGTCTGTACTAAAAATACAAAAATTATCTGGGCATGGTGGTGCATGCCTGCAATTCCAGCTACTCAGGAGGCTGAGGCAGGAGAATCACTTGAAGCCGGGAGGTGGAGGTTGCAGTGAGCTGAGATCCCACCATTGCACTCCAGCCTGGGCAACAAGAGTGAAACTCTGTCTCAAAAAAAAAAAAAAAGTTATTGAAAAATTATTCCAAATAAGAATGTATAACAAAGTGTCACATATTCATTAAGTATTTATTAAGCATCTGCTATGTGCCTGACACTGTTCAAGGCACAGTGAATATAGTAGTAAACCAAATAGACTTAGATCACTGCCCGAATGGAGCTGGCCTTCTAGCCAAAAAGACAGACACTAAACATACAAAGAGGATACATTTTAAAAATATTTCTGAAGACTTAGCAATGAATAAAGTCCCTGCTCTCATGGAGTTTGACATCATGTGTTTTCATTTTTAAATCTCTGATCCCTAGACGTTGTTATGTAAATGGGCTGAATGAAAATATATATATAACTTACACAGACTGAAAATTCCCAGGCTACCCAAATCATCCAAATTTGGGACTACTTATTCAAAGTACTCCTCTCACATATATAGTGACTGTCTCCAGCTATTCCTGCTGCTATAGCAAAATATTTTAGACTAAGTAATTTATAGACTATAGAAATTTATTTCTCACAGTTCTGGAGACTGTGAAGTCCAAGATCAAGGTGCTGGCAGATTTGGCATCTGGTGAGGGGTGCTCTCTGCTTCCAAGATGGCACCTCTTGGTGCATCCTCCCATAATGGGAGGGACAAATGCCATGTCCTCACATGGCAGAAGGAGCAGAAGGGCAAAAGGGACATAATCATTTCCTCAAGTCCTTTTAGAAGGACACTAATCCTGTACATGAGGGTGGACCCTTAGAGTATAATGCCCTCCCAAAAGCGCCTCTTCTTAATACTATTACATGAGGGTTTGACTTCCAATATATGAATTTTGGAGGGACACATACATTGAATCCACAGCAGTGAATAAAGAAACAGAGAGATTTTCTCATCTAGTAGTAGGCTTTTCTATATCTCTCACAATTCTGGGATCTCAGAACTCAGAGTCACTCAGTACCTTGGACTTCCTGGAAATTTGCTACACATCCATCTCTCTAGATGAAATTGAAAGTATGCCAGTCCTTTCTCTCTGGATTGTCATAATTTAATCTGAAGCCTAGACATAATTCTCTGGCTTCAGGTGTTTCATTAATGGATGTTTCATAATTGTATATAACCAATTTCCTATTGTGGAACATTTAATTCTCCCCAGATTTTGGCCTAATTTAAATATTGTGAGGAGACTTCTTAGAGTAATATCTTCATTTACCGTTGCATATCGAGGATAGGACCTTTCAGGTGGATTTCCCAGAACTGATGATTTGCCCAAAGGTCAGTTTCAGTTAATAACAGTGTAAATCAGAGAATTATTGGAAGTTTTGAAACTACATTTTTTCTGAGTTATACTATTCCTATGTCATACAGAGTCCGAACAGAAAACAGAGGGCAAGCTCAAACTAGGTAAACTGAGAAGTGTTAAAAGTTGGGGGTGGTTTATTTACTAAAAGTAAGCAGAGTGTAAGGAAAACTGTCAGAAGAAGAAGATAGTAACCTAAGGCTAATAAAAACGAGACGCTAGTGTTAATCCTCTCCCTAAAGGGGCAAGGGGAGGAGGCAATCATTAGATTCTTTTCATTCAATAAATACTTATTAAATATATGCTATGTGTCATGGGGAGTGCAGATACTAAAAGTGAGATGTTTAGGTAGCAGGTATTTCATTGTTATTACCACCATTTATGTGATCAGAGCAGTGCTAAAGACACATTTTATATCCTTTAATATTAAAATGCCTTTGAGGAAGGTAATAATAACATTTTACAGATAAAGAAACTGAGGTTCAGAGTGGTTAAGTAACTTGCCTGGGTTCATAGAGCTTATATTAGGCAGAGCTAAAATGTAAGCCCAGGTGTGCCTGGCTCTAAAGTTTTTAGCCTCTGTATGTTTCTTCGATATAAACCACTGCTAAGAAAGCAAGAATGTATGTAGAGATCTCTACCTTTGCAAAATAAACCTGACCTTCGAAAAGGAAGACCTTTTTGAAATCTTTGTTGTGAAAACAGATTAGTTGTACCTATTTATCAGGTGTGAAATTGGTTTTTAATCTTCTGCTGTAAGCACAAACACACTCATAGTTGCAGCTAAATTTTCCTGATTTCTCAACTTTTTATTTATTTAAAGAAAATTGAGCTGACACAAGCAAATGCAGCAATCTCTGCACTTGTCCTTTTGTTTTGGAAACGCACAGAAGAAGGCCCCCTGTGATGATTAATTTTATGTGTTAACTTGACTAGGTCACAGGTTGGCCAGATATCTGATTAAATATTATTTCTGGTTGTGTCTGCGAGGGGGTTTCTAGAAGAGATTATCATTTGAATTAGTGGACTGAGTAAAGCCAATGGCTCTCCCCATTGTGAGTGGGCAGCATCCAATCCATTGAAGGCCTGAAGAGAAAATAGAAAAGACAGAAGAAGGTTGGATTTGCTCTCCCTAGAATATCTTGTTGTGTATATACATATATTTGCTCTTCCTAGCATATAAGCATATAATTTTTTATATATGATTGGTTTTTTTTCAGCCTTACTGATTTCCTGTGTGATTCAGCTACCCATCAAATTCCAGCAAATTCCTTGGCTACTAGGGATCCCATAAAACCACACAATTCCATAATACTAAAATACCACTATGGAAAAGAAAGGGGACTTGGCCCATTTCATCTTCAGTTTTCACCTTACTTCAAGTATCACAAATAACACAGTGTCTCTGGACAATGATTCTCCTCAGATACCAGCAAATTTTAAAGAACTGTTACTGCTAACATTTGCATAATTTCTTTCAGAAGTCAGCTAGGAAGATTTATGTGGCAAGAAGGTATCTGAGTAAACAGAAAAATTTCAATAGTGTGATTTCTTTAGAGAGAAGGCTTTATGGTTTTAAAAATGGTATGAAATCTAATTTGCAACTAATAGCAGTCCTTTATGACAGGTTTGACTCTATTTAGCAAAGAAAAAAGTAAAAACAGAAGATAAACAAATTACCCAAAATTACACAGTTTGATATTGCAAGAGATGACATAGAGCCCACTGCTTCTGATTCCCTAGAACAATCATCTTTCTATTACACTGCAAACCCCAAAAGCAGACAGGGACCCATCTTGTCTCTTACTTGGAACTGATAAATCTGTTAATAGAAAAACCCTTATGCCACATGAACTGATCAGGTGCTGCTACTCTCTCTTTATTATAGATAACACAGATTTAATTATAGATAGATGACCAAGAAGACTGAGCAATGGGTTGAAGAATTTGCTGACAGAAAATTTAAAAGTTTGAAGAATTGGGATGTAAGATGTATGTTGTTAGAAATTGCCTTTTTTGAATGATGTTTTTGTAGATGAAGTTGTAAAAAATGTTCTATCATCTCCCAATGTCTTATATGCCTATTATTAACATGGAGATCTCCCTCAAAGAACCTTGAAGCATCTATTCTTCTGAACTAATCCAGACTCTAGGTCTTTCTAGGTCTGCTATCCATCTGAACTTCTGAAATGTTCTTTCACTGTTCCTTTCTGTTAAAGCTCTTTGCTTCCTGGATACCATGTCTTCCTTTCTTCATTTACTCCCTTCTTTTGCTTAAATACCTCCTCTATTAGCTTTTAAGACAGGACACATGGGAATATATTTTTCAATCTTTTAAATACCTGAAATTGGTTTAATTTTTCACACTAGATTGATGATAGGTATAGAATCCTTCCCTGAAAGTAATTTTAACTGAGAATTGGAAAAGCATTTAACTTATTGTGCTAATACTCAAAATTGTTGTTAAGTGAACATTTTCATTGGGGACCTTTGAAATTGCAATTGTGTCTTTTCTGTGGAGCCTTTTTTTTTTTACTAGAAAGTTTTTTCTTATCTCCTGACTGTAGGTGGGAGTTGGTATACCCCTGGCTGCTGTCATTCTGGAAGCAGTACTAGGGAAGGGGGCCAAGGTCTGTTAGTAAAGGAAGCACATGCCTATTATTACCTAACTCTGTTTTCAGCACCGTGTCTCATTTAAGCTCTCTAATGAGCCCAGAGTCCTTGAGGTACTCCTGTTCACTTTCCCCAGAAAATAAACTTCCAAAACCGCAATGAACTATCACCTTACATACATTAGAATGGCTATTATTTAAAAAGTCAGAAAGGAACAAGTGTTAGCAAGCATGTGGAAGAATTAGCACTCTTGTGCACTGTTGGTGTGAATGTGAAACGGTGCAGCTGCCATGGAAAAGAATATGGAGGTTTCCCAAAAATTAAAAATAGAACTACCATATGATCTAGTCATGAAATTTCAGAGTATTTATTCAAAAAATATGGAAACATGATCTTAAGGAGATTTTTGCATACCCATGTTTATTGCAGCATTATTTACAATAGCCGAGAGGAAGAAGCAAACTAATTGTTAATCAGCAGATGAATGGATAAAGAAAATGTGGCATATGCATACAATAAAATATTATTCAGCCTTAGAAAAGAAGAAAATTCTGCTGCATGTTATGACATGGATGAACCTTGAAGACATTATTGTAAATAAGACAGTCACAAGAAGACAAATACACAATTTCTCTTTTATGAGAGGTGTCAGACTGTTAGAATATGTAATGGTGGTTGGGAGGGGCTGGAGGATGGGAAGAAAGAAGAGTTGTTCAGTAAATACGGAGTTTCAGTTTTGTGAGATGAAAAAGTTTTAGAGGTCTGTATGCACAACAATGTGCATACAGTTGACACTTCTTTGCTATACACTTAAAAAAGGTTAAGATGGTAAATTTTATCCTATGTGTTTTGAACACAATAAAAAGAGATGCTTTCAATAAATAAATATATGTATTTGTATACACACATACAACTTAACATAAAGCAATAATGAAAACAAGAAACCCTTAGTGGAAAATGGATAAATAACATTAAGTAGAAAAGTAACTCCTAAAATGGTCAGAAACACTTGGGAAAATATTTTACTTCTGGGTAAATAAAATCAAATTAAAACCATTTTTTTAAAAAACAAAACCCTAGAGAAACCTTCGACTTCTCTTTTCACCAGTCTCCACATGTGCAATCATTGTAGGTGAGTATATCTATATTTATATCTATAAATCATTTTATTGTGCTTCACTTTATTATACTCTACAGATAATGCAATTTTTTACAAATTGAAGGTTTGTGGTAGCCCTACATCAAGCTACTCTATCAGCACCATTTTCTTCTCTTTTCCTTTTTTTTTTTTTTTTTTTGAGATGGAGTCTTGCTCTGTTGCCCAGGGTGGAGTGCAGTGGCATGATCTCGGCTCACTGCAACCTCCGCTTCCCAAGTGCAAGAGATTCTCCTGCTTCAGCCTCCTGAGTTTCTGGGATACAGGTGCAGGCTACCACGCCTGGCTAATTTTTGTGTTTTTCGTAGAGACAGGGTTTCACCATGTTGTTCAGGCTGGTCTCGAACTCCTGACCTTACAGCACCGTTTTTTAAACAGCATGTGTTCACTTTTTATCTTTGTGCCATATTTTGGAAATTTGTACAATATTTCAAACTTTTTTATTATACTACACCTATTATGATGATATGTGACCAGTGATTTCTGATACTACTATTGTAATTGTTCTGGGGAACCATGAACCATGTTAATGTAAGACAGCAAACAATAAATGTTGTGTGTGTTCTGACTGCTCCACCGACTGTTTTCCTCATTTCTCTCCCTCTCCTTGGGCCTCCCTATTCCCAAAGACACAACAATTTTGAAATTAGGCCAATTAATTACCCTACAATGGTCTCTAAGTGTTAAATGAAAAGGAGAGCTACACATCTCTCAAATTAAATGAAAAGCTAGAACTCATTAAGTTTAGTGAGGAAGGCATGTGGAAAGCTGAGATAGGCCAAAAGCTAGGCTTCTTGTACCAAACAACCAAGCTGTGGATGGAAAGGAAAAGTTCCTGAAGGAAATTAAAAGTGCTACTCCAGTGAACACATGAAAGATAAGAAAGTGAAACAGCTTTGTTGCTGATACGGAAAAGTTGTATTGGTCTGGATAGAAGCCCAAACCGGCCACATTCCCTTAAGCCAAAGCCTAATTCAGAACAAGATCCTAACTCTCTTCAATTCTATGAAGGCTGAGAGAGGTGAGGAAGCTGCAGAAGAAAAGTTGGTAGCTAGTAGAGGTTGTTTATAAGGTTTAAGAAAAGAAGCCATCTCCATAATATAAAGGTGCAAGGTGAAGCAGCAAGTGCTGATGTAGAACCTGCACCATGTTATCCAGAAAAAGCTCTAGCTTAGATAATTGGTGAAGGTGGCTAAACTAAACAATACATTTTCAATGTACATGAAGCAGCCTTCTATTGGAAGAAGATGCCTTCTAGGACTTTCATAGCTAGAGAGAAGTCAACACCAGCTTCAAATCTTCAAAGTGAAGACTTACTCTCTTATTAGGTACAAATGCAGCTGATGACTTTAAGTCAAAGCCAATGCTCATTTACCATTTGGAAAACTCTAAGGCCCTTAAAAATTATGCTAAGTCTATTCTGCATAGCTCTATTAATAAAAGAACAAAGCCTGGATGACAGCATATTCATTTACAGCATGGTTTACTGAATATTTTGAGCCTACTGTTGAGACCTACTGCTCAAAAAAAAAAAGAGTATTTAAAAAATATTACTGCTCATAGACAATGTGTCTGGTCAGTCAAGGGCTCAGACAGAGATGTACAAGGGGATTAATGTTGTTTTCATGCCTGCTAACATAACATCCATTCTGTGGCCCATGGAGCAAGAAGTTATTTTGACTTTTAAGTCCTGTTATTGAAGAAATACATTTTGTAGGCTACAGCTGCTATTGATAGTGATTCCTCTGATGGATCTGATCAAAGTAAATTGAAAATCTTTTGGAAATGATTCACCATTCAAGATGCCATTAAGAACATTCATGATTTATAGGAGGATGTCAAAATTACAACATTAACAGGAGTTTGGAAGAAATTGATTCCAATTCTCACGGATGACGATGGGGGGTTCAAGACTTCAGTGGAAGAAGTAACTGCAGATGTGATGGAAATAGCAAAAGAACTAGAATTAGAAGGGGAACCTGAAGATGTGACTGAATTGCTGCAATCTTATGGATAAAAGTTTAACAGATAAGAAGTTGCTTCTTATGAATGAGCACAGACAGTGGTTTCTTGAGATGAAATTTATTCCTGGTAAGATGCTTTAAACGTTGTTGAAGTGACAATGAAATATTTAGAATATTACATAACTTAGTTGACAAAGCAAAGGTAGGATTTAGAGGATCAACTCCAATTGTGAAAGAAGTTCTAGTGTGGGTAAAATGCTATCAAACAGCATTGCATACTACAGAAAATCTTTCATGAAGTCAATTGATGTGGCAAACTTCATTGTTTGCCTTATTTTGCCTTCATTGTTGTTTTATTTTAAGAAATTGCCACAGCCACCCTAACTTTCAGTGACTACCACCCTGATAAGTCAGCAAAGCAACTGTCAACATCCAGGCAAGACTTTTCACCAGCAAAAAGATTATGACTCACAGGCCAGGCACAGTGGCTCACGCCTGTAATCTCAGCACTTTGGGAGGCCAAGCTGGGTGAATCACCCGAGATCAGGAGTTTGAGACCAGCCTGGCCAACATGGTGAAACCTCGTCTCTATTAAAAATACAAAAATTAGCGAGGCATCGTGGCACGTGCCTGTAATCCCAGCTACATGGGAGGCTGAGGCAGGAGAATCACCTGAACCCTGGAGATGGAGGCTACAGTGAGCCAAGATTGTGCCATCGCACTCCAGCCTGGGTGACAGTGAGACTCTGTCTCAAAAGAAAATAAATAAAAAATAGATTATGACTCACTAAAGACTCAGATGATTGTTAGCATTTTTAGCAATAAAGTATTTTTAATTAAGATATGTATATTGTTTCTTCAGACATAATGCTATTGCACACTTGTAACAGACAACAATACTTTTACAAGTATTACTTACTTTTTACATGCATACATAATTATTTAATACAATAATTACTTTTTACAAGTATGTAAAAAGTATGTAATACTTTACATATGCTGGGAAACCAAAAAATTCATATGACTTGCTTTATTATGATATCCTCTTTATTGAGGTGGTCAGAACTGAACCTGCAATAACTGTGAGGTATGTGACTATATAATTTCACCATATATATATATATGTGCTTATACTATGTGCATAATCAAAATATCTCCTTCCAGAATTTCTCCCATGTATTTTATTTTCTTTACTACTTATATTATATATAATATCCATTTCTTCTTTTAATTTTCCAAATAGACAATCTGAATATTTGTACAACAATGGCAAAGAAGATAAAGCTGGGTGCTAATAGTGTTGATACCCATATTTTCATGGTCATTTATGTAAAGCAGTCTAACTGTACTGCGTTGTGTTTTGTGTGTGTGTGTCAGATATTTACATAAGCCTTTTCCACCCTGGATTTATACATATATATTATATATACATATAATGTGTACGTATATAATACATAGTTTTATTTGTGATATATGCACAACACATAGCAATAGGACTCTTACATTGCATAGATCATAAAAAATTGTAAAATGCACGAAAGTGTTAAATATTTAGTAAATACTTCTTTCTTAATATAAAATAAACAAAATCACCTGGGTATCAATAAAAACAACTATTAGAAAATCAACTCAATCTTTCCAAAATAAAATAGATCAATTTCAGACAACCTTATTGCTTGTAAGTGTGGTGTTAATCTTCCACTTGTCTTAGGTAAACAAAATAATGGTAAATTTTAAAAATAAAGTTAATTCCCTCAGAATATGTCATAAAAGTCTTCCATTTTAGTGATAACTGGATTTCTCACAGTAATTTTTATCTTAATCTCATTAAAAAGAAACTCTCTACTAACACTTTTTGAAAATAGTGATTTGGTAAGACGACATGGTTCTGCTAAGCTGTGGCAAAAGATCAGCAAAACTTTCACTCAGGACTAAGCATCTAGGATTCAAAACCTAGTGGGAAGATACTGGATTGAGAATCACCAAACTTAGTTTCTTTGCTCCCTCCACTAATAATCTGTTTATTTTAGTTCCATTGGCTGCTCAGGCCTCAGATTTTTTCACAATAACAAAGGTCACATGCCACACTTCCAGCAATAAAAAAGCAAAGGTTCCAAGAATACCTGGGTCAAGAAACATCACTTTAACTTTAGTTTATTTTGGAGATAAAGAAATGATTTGTCTTAGTCGTTTACCACTGAGCTTTAGTTATCCAGGAAATTAATTCAGAAGTCAACTGTGCCTCCATCTTTGTCCCTTATCCCTCCCAACCACAACCGCAACATCTTGTAAACAAATTTCGGTATGTTCATACTTATTCACTGTAGGAAATGTTTCATCAGTAATAAACAGTCTTCTCGTTTTCGTTCTGCTTAGTAGTTTAGGATTACAGGGCTTTAGCCTGAGATCATTTTAGAATAAAAATCTGGATTTTCTGAAACATTTAAACTTATGAGCCTTATCACTAGTTGTAAATATTAAAATATCATGTCCTCAGTGGACACGGCCAGGGCAGAAGATGCTTCTATGGGGAAAATGACATTGCTAATTCAAAAACATTATCAGGGAGCAATTACAGTGGGAAAGCTGAGAGATTTAAGCATTAATCATCAGTTCATGATCATGCATTTGTGTCTAAGTCAGCTCCCCACTATGCTCTTTCTCGTGCTACCCCAGAGTCTTCCTTCAAAGCAATTATAATGATTCATAATTATGAATTTATTAATGGGATCATTTGTTTAATGTCAGTCTTTCTCACTAGCTTCCTTGAAACAGGTACCATGCCTGTTTGGCTCACCATTTGTTTCTATTGCCTAGAAGAATGCCAGGAACATAGTAGGTGCTCAGTAAATAATAAATAAATAAATAAATAAATAAATAAATAAATAAATGAAGATTCTGCAAACAAGGAGAACTGAAAATAATTTATTTTCTTCCTAATTTCCAATTCTAAGCTATTTTCTTGTCTTGAGCCAAAGGGCTGCTCAAACCAACAGGTACTGAGTATAAGAATTTAGACACTTTTGGGAATC
Organism: Homo sapiens; assembly: GCF_000001405.40. NCBI lineage: Eukaryota > Metazoa > Chordata > Mammalia > Primates > Hominidae > Homo > Homo sapiens. The sequence goes on along the minus strand of NC_000002.12, from coordinate 75,246,228 downwards.
TCAGCAAAGAGAACTGTGTGTGTCTTTCTCCCCAAGAGCATCACAACCATGAGATGAGAATCAGAAAGCAGAGGATCTTGGAAAAAACTTGGTACTCAGAGACCTGGAGTAGGGAGAGAGATTTGACCTTGTCCTCACATGAGCATACTGGTCACACAACTCATAAAAGACTAAGATGGATCTGCATGGACTGAGTCTTCTTGCCTCAGAGGCCTCAAGAATACATAGAGACCAGGGAGCAGGGAAGCTTCCTCAGCAGAGCGCTGACAATCTGCTTCTACAGAGCAGACCTTCCAGAAGCTACAGAATTCTTGTGGTATAGGGTTTTCTAGTGGCTAGCCCTGAGCCCTGGTGAGCCTACCCACCTAATGGGACAGAGGAGCCAAAGAGAGGGAAAACGAGGAGGGGGGCGTGGGAAGATATATCCAGTGGAGTTTTCACATTCAACCATGACAATACAACCATGCCATAAAGCAGGGGTGGCAAACTTTTTCCATAAAGGATCTAATAATAGTATTTTAGCTTTTGAGGGTCAGTCTCTGTTGCAGCTACTCAATTCTGCCGTTTTAGTGTGAAAGCAGCTATATAAAATATGAAAAAAAAGGCTTGTTCTAATACATTTTACAAAAAAGGCAGTGGCTCATAGTTTGTCAATAGACCATGGTTTGCTGACCCTTGCCCTAGTGTAAGACCAAGACTAGTCCTGTCCTAGCGACTTCTAAAATCAAGCTTTGACAAGATCCACATAAAAAGTGGGTTTTGAAGGCTGAGTCTCCACCAGTAATATGAGCTTGGAAAACACCTTAGAAATGTCAGAGATTTGCCCTTAAAAAGCATAAAACCAAACAATACAAATTCAAAATGACCAATCAATCCAACTGACAGCTAGAACAAAAATAACGTTCTTCATAGGAACAGCACTCAGAGACTCTACAATGTATTATTTATAATATCCAGTATTATAAATTATAAACAAAAAATTACCAGACATGCTAAGAAATAAGAAAATGTCATCCAGAGTCAAGAGGATAAAAGCCAATAGAAAGAGTCTCAAAAGTGAGCCTGAGGTTGGACTTATCAAAGACGTTAAAATGTCTTCTTAAAATATCTTGAAGGACTTAGAGAAAAATACAGTCTTGATGAGTGAACAGACAAGGGATCTCAGAAGAGAAATATAATTTATTTTTCAGAAAACAACCAAATCAAAATTCTAGAACTGAGAAGTACAATAAATAACATTTAAAAATCGCTCACTGGGCTTAACAGCAGTTTAGAAAAATCATAAGAAAGGGTCAGTGAACTTGAAGACCAATATAAATGATCAAATCAGAGAAAAAAAGAAGACTAAAGACAAATGACCAGAGTCTCAGGGACCTTTAAGACAATATCAGACTAATGTAATTAATGTTGGACTCCCAGAAAAACATAGAGTGAGCATGAGGCAATGAAAAATAATTGAAGACATAATGACAAAATATTTTTCAAACTTGATGAAAAACATTGACTTCAATACAGTAAGCTTAGTGAACTCCAGGCAGTATAGATGCAAAGAAAGCAACATCAAGATATATTGTAGTCTAATCACTTACAAAAAAATAAAAGTTGATGAGTAAACTGAAAGGAACCAGAGATCACCTGCTGGGAATTAAAAATAAAAATTACTACAGACTTATCATAAAAAACAATGGAGGCCAAAAGACAAAAGAATGCTGTATTTAAAATTCTTAAATAGCCTACCCAGAATTCCATGTCTAGTAAACATATTCTTAAAGGCAAGTATAAAAATAAAAATAATTTTCAAAGAGATAAAAATGAAGAAAATTTGTCATCAGCAAGTCTACACTATGCAAAGTGCTAAAGAATGTTTCTCAGGCTGAAGGGAAATAATACCAGACAGAAACTCAGATTTAAAGAAATGCAGAATACCAGAAGCAGGAAGTGAGTAAATATAAATATAATCTAATTTTTCTCTTTTCATAATTTTCTTATAGGACAACTGGTGTTTAAAGCAAAACAAGACAAAACAAAAAGACAAACATTGTAAAGTAGGTGGGGTTTAAAATAAGTGAAGAAAAAAATATAATAGCACAAACGATAGAATGAATATGAATGAATAAATGAATATGAATGAATAATATTGTACCGTTGTAATGTCGTTACATTTTTGAAAGGGAAAGCAGAAAGTAAGAAGTATCCATGAAGTGTGAAGTCAGGTCTTACAATATTAACTCTAAGTAAACTTTGATAAATTAGGATACATGTTGTTAGTCCTAAAGCAACCCCTAAAAATAATAAAAGGAGTCATAGCAAGAAGCAAATAGAAGAAATTAAGTGGTATATTAAATTTTTTCAATTAACCCGAAAGAAGACAGAAAAGGGCAACCGAGGATCAAAGAAGATATGCAAGTAAAATAAGAATATCAGGAAGACACGAGTAAAAACCTCATTAAAAAATAATAGAGTACGAAAGGAAATTGAAATGAAAAACAAAAAAGAATTTCTGAAGGTAGAAAACATAACTTCAAATTACATAATTTTGTGGATGAATTAAAAGGGAATCTGCTCTGTTGAGACCTATCTAACATTGAGATGGGTCTCTTGAAGATAGCAAACTTGCCACTTAAAGATAGCAGTTTGCCACTCTGTCTTTTAAGTGGGCCGTTGAGACTATTTATATGCAGGGTTAGTATTGATATGTGAGATTTTGATCCTGCCATCTGTTGTTAGCTGGTTATTTTGCAGACGTGACCGTTTAGTTGCTTTATAGTGTCTGTGGGCTATGTATTTAACTGTGTTCTTGTGATAGCAGCTGTCTTTCTTTCGTTTTCATATTAGGTCTCCTTTAAGTACTTTTTTTTTTTTAAGACAGATTCTCCTCTGTCGCCCAGGCTGGAGTGCAGTGGCGTGATCAATCTTGGCTCACTGCAACCTCCGCCTCCTGGGTTCAAACGATTCTCCTGCCTCAGCCTCCTGAGTAACTGGGACTACAGGCGTGTGCCACCATGAGGCTAATTTTTTGTATTTTCTTTTTTTAGTAGAGATGGAGTTTCACTGTGTTAGCCAGGATGGTCTCAATCTCCTGAGCTCATGATCTGCCCGCCTCGGCCTCTCAAAGTGCTGGGATGACAGGCATGAGCCACCACACCTGGCCATAAGTAAAGCTGGTCTAGTTGTAATGAGTTCCCTCAGTGCTTGCTTGTCTGAAAAGGATTTTATTTTTTGTTTGCTTATGAAGCTTAATATGGCAGGGTAGTGAATTCTTGGTTGGAATTTCTTTTTCTTTAAGGATGCTGAAAATAGGCTTTCAACCTCTCCTGACTTATAAGGTTTTTGCTGATATGTCTGCTGCTGGCCTGATACATGAACTGACTCTTCTCTCTAGCTGCCTTTTAGATTATTTCATGTTGACCTCAGTGAATCTGACAAATATGTGCCTTGGGGATGGTGTTTTGAATGATACCTAGCAGGAGTTCTCTGTATTTCTTGAATTTTCATGTCAACCTCTCTAGCTTATTTAGGAAAATTTTCATGGACTATGTCTTTAAATATATTTTCCAAGTTGCTTACTCTCTCTCCTCTCAGGAATTCCAGTGAGTGGTAAGTTTGATGTCTTTACATAATCCCATATTTCTCAGAAGTTGTATGAATTTTTAAATCCTTTTTTTTCCCTTATTTTTATCTGACTGACTTGATATGAAGAACTTTTCTTCAAGCTCTGAGATTCCTCAGCTTGGTCTCATGCTGTTTCTCAGCTGCATGACACTGGTGTTGTGTCTGCATTTCCTTTGTTAGGTATTATGCTGTTAATACTTCCAATTGTATTATGAAATTCTTGTAATGCATTTTTTGGTTCCAGAAGTTCAGTTTGGTTCTTTCTTAAAATTACTATTTTATCTTTCAGCTCTTTGACTATTTTACTGGATTCCTTGGATTAGGTTTCAACTTTCTCCCTAAGCTTGATGAGATTCCTTGACATCCAGATTCTGAATTCTACATCTGTCATTTCAGTCATTTTAGTCTGTTTAAGAATCATTGCTTGGGAGCCAGTGGGTTTGTTTGGAGATAAGTGGACATTCTAGCTTTTTGAATTGTCAGAATTCTTGTGTTGATTCTTTCTCATCTGAAAGGACTTATGTTCCTTTAACTGTTGTGTAAGTTGAATATAGTCAATTGGCTTCATTTCTGGGTGCTTTCAGAGGGCCAAGACTCTGTATACTATCTTTATTTGCGGCTGGATTCTTGTCCTTGGTTTCAAAGTGACAGAATATTTTTGCAGTTGTAGTTTAGGCTGTGATTCAGTAGATGGCACTAAAGAATTATAGCCAGAAGATAAGTGCTTATCTGCAGGGCTTTATTGTATTTCCTCATATTTGCAGCTGTCCTCTGTGGTGGAGGAGGGAGAGCTGACTCCCTCACCGGGTCCATTTCTAGGCCTTGGGGGAGACCTCTCTGATCACTGGTGTTCTGTCTTTATTTCCTTTATTAGGTGTTCTGGGCCACGAGACTCCCTCAGGCAGAGGCTATGGCAGGGCGATAGGCCACATTCTTTCCAAACTGGCCCTGTGGAGGGAGGAACACCCTGCTCCCACACCAACCCATGAACCGATATGTCTTATCACCCCTTTCAGTGCTCTGAGTATGAGGACTCCTCCCCAGCTCCAGTACCAGCCACAGATCTCAGCTCAACACTCTCGAGCTCTGTACCACAACCCCAGGATACAGGGACCAGCCAGCAGCTTCATCCCCTGGACCCTTGGGTTGGGTTCCAGCTGTGCTGGGGGATCTGATGTGCTCCCAGGCCACTGGGAAACTACTTAGATGGAGCAAAGGATCCAGGCTAAGCAGCAGAGGCTGTGCTGTGTGCATACTCCTGCAGAATGGCCAGGCAGGGGTCCTGGGAAGGGCTGGCAGGCAGGTGGGTCTGCAGAAAAGATGCAACCCAGTCCCATTGGGAAGCACCAGCCCTGTTCTCTCCTGATCTGGTGGTCAGCTGGGGCTAGAGTTACTTGGAAGAAGATAGAGAGCCCTATGGGCGCCTATGGCTGTACTCCACTGCAGCTGCCCCAGGCACAAAAGCCCCTAGGCTCTGCTCCAGTTGAAGCCCTGTCTCTGCCTACTCTCAGGGAAGATTCCCCTGCCAATTCAAACATCCATGGGGCATGTGGGGTCCCCTATAGCTAAGATCACAGAGGGCCATGGTGAAAGTAAGCTGTCCCTCTGTTTCTCTACTCACTCCTTCCACATGATCCATTCAGGGCCATGAACTAGCCCTAGCATTCATGTATCCTGCACAGGGTTCCTAGCTTTTTCCCTCTTCACCCTCAGTGTCTGTATCACCTTTCCAATAGCTGTTGGTGTTTTCTCTCTGAAGGTCTGCTCAAAGTATGTGCAATACTTTGGTCTCTCTCAGTGGAAGCAGTGCTTCCTGGATGCATCTAGTGAGCCATTTTGTCCCCTCTGAAGACAACTGCCAATCTCTGCAGCATGAGCTGCTTCGTGCCCAGGAGCTCCAAGGTGCCACCAACCACAAGGGCTACAGCCATGCAGAGCATGAGCATGCAGGCCTAGGTGTCCAGGGTGGGAATGGGGCTCTGGCTTTTTCGAACAGTGGGCACAGGCATGCTGTTCCCACCATCAGCTCAGGCACTGGCAGGAGGAGGGTACCACTCAGGAGGCTGTGAGAGAAGGATCAACAATTTTTTTTTTTTTTGAGACGGAGTCTCGCTCTGTTGCCCAGGCTGGAGTACAGTGGCACTATCTCAGCTCACTGCTACCTCTGCCTCCTGAGTTCCAGCAATTCTCCCGTCTCAGCCCCCTGAGTGGCTGGGACTATAGGCGCCCGCCACCATGCCTCTCTCATTTTTGTATTTTTAGTAGAGATGGGGTTTTACCATATTAGTCAGGCTGGTCTCGAACTCCTGACCTTAGGTGATCTGCTGGCCTCAGACTCCCAAAGTGCTGGGATTACAGGCGTCAGCCACCACGCCCAGCGACAATTATATTCTTGAAGGGAGGAGGCAGTATTATAAACACAATAATTTTTCCAAATGAGTATTGTATTTAACGTAATTTTAATCAAACCTCCATGGGAGCTGGAATTTGACAAAATTAGTTTGAAATTTACCTAAAGAGAGAGAATAGTAAAGAATTTTTAATAGTAAGAATAATAAGGGTGGAGAGCATGCTCTGACACATGATAAAACAGATTTTAAAAGCTATGATACTCAAGACAGTATACTTTTGGCAACACTAAAATAAAATACAGATGTCTGAATTAAACAGAAAAGAAACTGTGAAAATGACCATGCAAGCCAATACCATGCATAACAATTTTAATAATCAATAGGAAAATTATAATCTTTCATAAATTTTTAAAAAATTATCCTGTGGTTAGTTACAAATGCATAGAAAAATGCGGAAAATGGCAAAACTAATGTTTATTTAGCACGCTGAAATTTTAGAAACATTGATAATTAAAGCGCTACATTTATCTGCAAAAAAACTCACCAAGAGTCATTTTAACATTGCTTACCTTCTTCTCATGGTATATCTTATGATAGGAAGCAAGCTTCACTTCTATATCTTGGCAACTTGTCATATTCCTTCTTAAGTTTGGATCCGTTTACATTATTTTACCCTTTGCACTTTCAATGCTGTAAAATGTCTCTGAGAATTCTTTTAATGCTGAGTTTATTCCTGGCAGCGCTTCCTCAAGGACATCTTCATTCTTTTCGTCAGAACCACTTTCCTTATTTACACCATTAAGTAGACTTTTACTAAGTTCCTTCTGGCTACTTATCTAGAATTTCTCCAATGACAGCAGTGTCAACATTTTTATGGTCATTTATTTCTTTTATAACTCCATTTATGTTCAATTCTACCTCTACTTCTAGTTTATCACTTTCTTTGTTGCGCTTTCAGTTTTGCTGGCGAATTTCTTCTTTTTATTATTCATCTTTTGTAAAACATCACGTATTTATCATTGTGAGACAAGGAGGGACTAAAACTTCACACTTTTCTGTGTGTACATAGACTGAATAACAGTTGCACAGTGACTAGTCATAGACAGAATTTAAAAGAATGTTGCTGATCATGGATGATGATGCACATTTTTTTTTAATGTAGTCATTTGTGGGCTGAAACTTGTACCTTATACAAGCACTCACGATATACCATGATAACTGAAATTTAATTATGTTGTTAGGAGACTGGTGTCATTTAATCAAACCATGGTAACTAAAATCCATGCATATCAGAACCATGTCAAGTGAGGAGTTTGTGTATGTGTGTGTGTGTGTGTGTGTGTGTGTGTGCGCGCAAGAGACTGCTATAATTCAGGGTCAAAAGAAAGGGAGGAATATTGTGTAAGAGATGCTGAGACAATTGATGTGTTACTTGAAATATGACAATGTTTATATCTGTCACACTATACTCAGAATAAAGTCAAGGTTTTTCAGAGTTAAAAATAAAATCATCAAGCAGTAAGAAAATTATGTGAGACTTAAAAACAGTTTGCTGATAAGGTAAACTGGGGTCTATAAAGCTCAGAATAATGTTTGTAGTGGTTGAGCTCCTAAAGTTTAATAAAGTAAACTTTATTGAAAGGTACTTTTAAACATATTATATCATTCTATCCTTTCAACAATCTTGAAAAATACCTAGTAAAGATAGCACATGTGTAAGAATGGCTTTGTTCTTATGAGATATGGGTTGAAGTATTTAGATATGAACTGTTCTGATGTCTGCACTCAACTTTCAAACAATTTGGCCAGAAATATATATATCTGTAGATAGATGACATAGGTAAATAAGTAATGGTGACAAAATATTAATAATGAATAAGTGTAAATTAAAAATATGTAGGAGTTCATTACACTATTCTTTCACTATTTCTATAGTTTTAAAAGTTTCTAAAATGCAAAATTTAGAAAAATAAAGTAAAGCATCTACAGTGTATTTTTGAAGGATGCTTAAACAAAACTTGCTTCATAAATTCTGGATTTATTATTTTCTTTAATGGGAGTCAGAAGAAAAATTTATTAATTTGAACATTTGTCCATTTTGTGCTTTTAGTATTAAATATTTACTACAGTTCAGCTGTCTTTTAGAGACACAAATAATTTTAAGGATTCATGTTGACAGCTCTTTTTCTTAGTTAAAAGTTAATCAAAATAGATTTGGTCCTGAGAATGAGGGTGTGTAATGAGGCACTTCTGGTAGAGCTGAGTGAAAGATAAAGCATTGTTTCAAGTTTATGCTCTTATAAACCAGAAAGTCTAATTGTGTCCCTATTGCCTCACATCACTTTTTTCAACTAGCTTATAATTGACCATCACTGGCAATTGATCTTCTCCTTTACTATCTAGGACACAAGATATGGATGTGACAGTTGGCACTACAGGTCTCTCCAAAAGTAGGAAGTGCAAGGGCACATGTGGAGCTGCCTAAAGTTTGCACAGAGATATTGCTCCAGAAACAGAAACCACACAGAATTCCGCAGGCATCTGAGCCTGGAGCAGCCTCAGCTGGGTGCCATTTTGACCCCAGATACTGGAGATTTACAGACATGGTTGCAGCCATTGCACTGCTCCAAGGAGAGAGAAAGGAAAATGGGTGCACTCATGCACACTCAGGCAGGGACTTGCTCCCCTGCTACAATCATCTGTTGAGACTGAGACTCAAGTGGACCACACTTCCCACAGCTTCTTGCTCATGCTGCCAGCCTGGGTGGTCCCTGGCTCTCTCTGGTCCCAAGCCCAAGGCTCTATTTTGAGAGTTTAACTCTGGACTGTCCCCTATCTTCAGCCTGAGCTCAGGCTGATGCAGCTGCAACCACTGCCTGGCTAAGGAGGGACAGGGAGACCAGGTCATCCTACTCATATCTAGGACGATACTCACTGCTCTGCAACAGGCTGCTGTGAAACTGGCTGACATGTGAGTGAACCACACTCCCCACAGCTTCTTGCCCATACTGCTTGCCGGAGCATTGCCCCATTCTCCCTGGATGTAAGCCCAAGGCATCCTTTTGAGAGTTTAATTCTAAGCTGCATCTCACCATCGCCATGAGTAAACTATGCATTGGACCAAGGACTAATATCCAGAATCTATAAAGAACTTAAAGAAATCAAGAAGAGGCCGGGCGCGGTGGCTCACGCCTGTAATCCCAGCACTTTGGGAGGCCGAGGCGGGCGGATCACGAGGTCAGGAGATCGAGACCATCCCGGCTAAAACGGTGAAACCCCGTCTCTACTAAAAAATACAAAAAATTAGCCGGGCGTAGTGGCGGGCGCCTGTAGTCCCAGCTACTTGGGAGGCTGAGGCAGGAGAATGGCGTGAACCCGGGAGGCGGAGCTTGCAGTGAGCCGAGATCCCGCCACTGCACTCCAGCCTGGGCGACAGAGCGAGACTCCGTCTCAAAAAAAAAAAAAAAAAAAAAAAAAGAAATCAAGAAGAAACTCCCATTGAAAACTGGGCAAAGGTCATGAACAGACACTTCTCAAAAGAAGATTTACAATCAGCTAAAAAACATATGAAAAAATGCTCAACATCACAAATCATCAGAGAGATGCCAATCAAAAGCACAATGAGATATTGCTTCACACAAGCCAGAATGGTTATTAAAAAGTCAAAAAGTAATAGATGTTGGTGGGGCTGTGGAGAAAGGGAATGTTTATGACTGTTGGTGAAAATGCACATTAGTTTAGCCCTGTGGGAAAAAGTTTGGTAATTTATCAAAGAACTAAAAATATAATTACTATTCGACTCAGCAATCCCGTTACTTTGTATATACCCAACAGAAGTGAATAATTCTACCAGAAAAATACATGTACTTGTATGTTTATTGCAGCACCCTTCACAATAGCAATGACATGGAATCAACCCAGGTGTTCATCGACAGTGGATTAGATGAATAAAATATGGTACATATAACCATGGAATACTACCCAGCCATAAAAAAGAATGAAATCATATCCTTCACAGCAACATGGATGCACCTGGGGGCTATTATCCTAAGCAAATTAATACAGTAACAATAAACCAAACACTGCTTATTCTCACTTATAAGTGGGAGCTAAACATTGAGTACACATGGACACAAAGATAGGAACAATAGACACTGGGGACTCCTAAAAAGGGGAGGGGTGGGTATGGGTTTAAAAACTACTTATTGTGTACTATGTTCACAACTTGGGCGATAGGATCATTAGAAACCCAGACCTCAGCATCATGCAGTATACCTTGTAACACACTTGCATATGTACACCCTGAATCTAAAAGAAAAAGTGAAATAAAAATAGCATATAAATAAATAACATATAAATAAATAAATGGTGCCACCATTGGTCAAGCTTTCCAATTTAAAGTCCTAGAAGTAAGTCATCTTTGACTTTGCTTTCTACCTCTCCGTCTCTCTTGGGGGTTCGGTTGATTTCACGAGGATGACTAATCATTCCAGTTTGCCCAGGACTGAAGGGTTCCCAGCATTTTGGATTTTCAGTGCTAAAAAAAGGAAAATCCAAGACAAACTGGGACAAGCTGGTCACCTTAATTCCACCCTTAAGTATTTCTCAAAACCCTCCACTTCCCATCATCCCCACTGCTTTAACTCAGACAACCACAGTCTCAAGTTAGAATTCCTCCAGTGGCTCTTGCTCTAGTCTCCTCGCTCCTAAACTTACCCTTTCCCATACATTCTCCATATTATTGATAAGATGCTCTTTCAGGGATGTAAATCTGATTAGCCCCAAATTAAGTCATCCATTAGCTCCTACTGTCTCAAGGATAACTTCTAACTGTTTAACACAATCCACTGCAAATCCTCCCGAATGTGGCTTTTGCCTGCCAGTTCCATTCCTTAATTCCCTCCCCTTTTTCACAGACATGTACACTCCAGTCATATTGAATGACTCGTAATTCCTTAAATATGCCATGGGATTAGATGCTTCTGGGTCTTCCCAACAAAATCTACCTAAATTGCTCTCCTCAGTTTCTTTACCTGGTAACCACCTACTTTTTACTGAAAATTCAGGTTCAGAGTCACCTCCTCAGGAAAGTTGTGTTTGATTCCCCTTCTCTACTCCAGCTTGAATTAAGTGTCACCCTTGCATGCATTGAGGTGCTCCCTGTGCTGGGAGCTATCATGGCACTTATTGTGTTGTGTTAACTTATGTATCAATCTCTCTATTAGACCATGGAATTATTGAAGGGAGGTGATGTGATTTCTTCTCGTTAATTCCACTGCTTAGGATATGCCCAGAATAAGAAAAAACAAGGAACTGGGAGTTTGAAGGTTTGAGAAACAGTCCTGGCTCTCCCCTTAAAAAGCCACTTATTTCTCCTGGGCTGTGGCTTCCTGTCTTCCCTTTGCTTGGCTGCCACTTCTCATTCTTCAGGTCTTAGCTCATATATCACTGGCTCTGAGAAACCTTCCCTGATCCCCCAAGACAAGGTTTGGTGAAATCCCATAGCACCCTATTTTGCCCTCACCTGTTGTCTATAAATCTCATTAGTGGAGGAATTATTTCTGTCTTGTTTATCTCTGTCCCCAACATCTGGCATATTACCTGGCACATGGTAGAAAGTCAATAAATAATGGTTGGATTGATAAACTTTAAACTACAGGGCATCAAACAGAAGAAGATGATCTCTAAGATTCCTTTAGGCTCTAACCTTCTGTCAAGCAGAGATAAAGCCCTATATTTCCACAGTGACTAAGAAGCATTAAATTATGATTGCCACCTTTGGAAACTGCTCTAAATGGCATTGTGTCATCCATTGTTCAGGCAAACACACATTCAGTCGAGTTTTTGCCAAAAGTAAGGGCATGATGAGATAGAAATTTGAGTAAAAAGGGTCATCTAAAAGCAATGCTAGAGAAAGAAGGAGCATGAAAGGCAAACTATTTGTTCCTCGTGAGTGCAGGAAATGATGCATCCTCACGAAAGTACCTGACGCCAACCCACAGCAGGCCACATAGAACCTTTTGGCATCCCAGCTGGGGAAGACCATGGATGCTCTGATACCTTGTCCATTCTACCTACTCCCACCACCAGGGACAGGGAGAGCCCTTAGGTCAGCCCAGGGACAGAGCAAGCCCTCAGGCCCTGCTCTTACTGTTGCTAACCTGAAGAACCGTAACTGTCTTACTACACAGGCACCCCCAGCCTGAACCAAGCCCCCCTAGCTGTCTGAACTGCAATTTCTTCACCTCTCACTTTCCAGAAATCCCTGTAGCTCATGCCTGTCCAGCCTACTTTCCTTCTGACAACACTCTGTATTTTGGCAAGTGGAGGGAACTCAATTATAATCACGGGCAGAGACGTCTTGTTGTTGCTATTCCTACATAATTATATTCTTCCTCAGAGAGTCACTTCCTATGTCCACTGATTACCACCATGGCTTCCTGCCCTTTATCTCCACAATACAGCTCTGTGTTAATTTTGTATCTAAAGAGAACATGGATCATTCATGAAGCCTTCGTCCAGTCGATTTCTTAAATTATTTGCCAAACATTATCCTCAAACCAGAACCGAAAACTTTCAAATGGCCAGACAAGATTAATGTATTGCTATTAGAAGGATTACTTGGATCCTAGAGATTTCTCTTCTTCTTCCTATTATTGTCATAGTGTTTCAATTTCCTCTCCTCGTGAAGAAGCAGCTTAACATAGAAAAAGCTTTAAAGTAAAATACAAGTCTCATGTCCAAAGGGCTGATTTTAGAACTTATGGGAGTTGGTGAATGATGAGAAAGAAGAAGGCTATGAAGAAGAATAGAAATTAACTTCTGTGGCGACCCCCATGTGAGCCCTGAGGAGAAAGCGGCTGCAGACAGAAATGGAAGGCACTATTTCACTGAAAGACTCAGACACTGGGGTGCAAAGAGTGTCACAAAAGAGGAATATGGATAATGCCCCCAATTTCTTCTTACTCTTATGGTCAGAGAGTCTTGAGGGTGGCAGCTCATTGGTGGGTAGCTGGGGCAGAGAACTACACAGGCCTCATTAAAGAAGGCTAGAGAAGGGTAAAGGAAATAGCAAGTGCTATGTGGTAGCCAGAAGGATTTGTTAATAAGCCCTGATGAGAGAGTCTGTGGAAATAACTGGGAGTTTTCAGGGTCTAGAGGTCCTTTTAAGAAAGGAGAGGCCAGGATCCAGTGTAATCAGATTATTGTAGTTAATATGACCCTGAAATAAAGTGTGGTCTCTGTGAACAGAGGTTACACATTGGAGGATCTAACCCAAGGTTTTTGATGAATTCTGACATGGTGCCCATTTGCAGAATAAAACAATCACTATTCATAGAATAAATCCAGGAGGGCATCTGCATCATGGCTGCCTGACCACTGGCAGAGTCATGTCTTGAAATATGTGCCAATGTTCAAAGATTAGGCTGGTCCCATTTCCTTTTTTCCCCAAGGAAGGAAAAAAATGAAGCTAGTTAACTTCCTGGGGGAGAACACTGATTGGGCTTGATATGGCGGACACAGAGTTGGACCTTCACAAATTTGTGAATAGCGTTAAGAGGGAAAATTATTAAATGAAGAGAAGTCCTAGAAGCCAGTATCAAAAGAAACCAAATTTATGAAATTATTTTTAATGGGGTCTTTCCTGGAGCTGGAAAAAGGACTTATGATAGCAAGTAAATTTGGATCAATTCAAACGCCCTTTGAATCCCCTGGGATGAGCTTCTGTGACAGGCAAGAGGGAAAGCAGTGACGCCTGGAGGAGAAGCAAACGGTACACCAGGTGGACATGTTTGGAGACTCAGTGACTCCCAGTTCATGCAGAAGAAGATTTCAAAATTGGGTTAGAATGCACTGCTGAGATGGTGCCTGCCATGGTCTGAATGTTTGTGTACCCCCAGAATTCATATGATGAAACCTAATTACCAATGTGTTGGTATTAGAAGGTGGGGCCTTTGGGAGGTGATTAGGTAATGAGGGCAGAACTCTCATGAATGGCATTTAGTGCTTTTATAAAAGAGGTCCCAGAAAGCTGCCTTACTCCTTCCACCATGCAAGGACACAGCAAGAGGTTGCCATCTATGAACCAGGAAGTAGGCCCTCGCCAGACATCAAGTCAGCTGGTGCCTTGACTTGGACTTCTCAGCCTCCACAACTTGGAGAGACAAGCTTCAGTTTGTGGGCTGCCCAGATCATGGTATTCTTCTGTAGCATCCCAAACAGACTAAGACAGTGCCATAATGGCACATCCCTGAGACAAGGAAGAGAACAAAAATCACAAAGTCAGTGTTTCTTCCATTAGAGGTCATTGGAGCCTTGAAGTGACTGACTGCTAAAAAGCAGGTGGAGATTTAACACGGCATCACAGTCCAGGCAAAACCACCCCCAGCTGGACCCATACCAAAAGTAATCATTACAAAAAATAGTGAAAAAGGGCCAGTAGATTTGAAGACTGGCTAATGCAGGCCTATTTGGAACTTGTGACAACAGACGCTATAAACAGTGACATGCTACTGTGGTTACTCAAACTGCTTTAAAGTCTCCAGGCCTCTTTAGATTTTCACTGTCACAGTTAATCAGGAGAAGCAAATGAACAGAAGAAAAATCACAAGATACAGAAACCCTGCTTCAGGCTTTAGTGGTAGAAGTCAAAGCAAATATGGCCCAGCAATTTGAGATCATGTTGAGGTCATTAATGCTTTCAGGGGGTAGACAAGGCAAGGTCTTATCTCTGTTAGCAGAGAACCACCCCCAACACACACACAAACACACATACACACACACACACACACACACACACACACACACATATTATTCTGCAGGGAACAGGATGGGAATAATTTATCAGTTCCAATGGCTGGGATAAACCATCCTCTGACTGAAAAAAAATTAGAGGGAATATCGGAAAACTATATTTCTTTTTTACATTATGAAAGAAAACACCTAAAGTGTCTTAAACATAAAAGAGTAGTATGTTGGATAAGTATAAGTGAAGACTCACATAACCACCACATGGGACAAGAAATAGAACATTGCAAATCTCCTGTATGTTCCTTTTCATACACCCTAAAAATAAATACTACCCAGAATTTTTTTGGTAATTGCTTTTTTTTCTTTAAATTATTACTAATTAAATATGCATCCTTAAAATTATAGTTTACTTTTTCATGTTGTTAAATTTATATAGAGGAAATTTATTGTGCATAGTCTTCTATAGCTTGCTTTTTTTCCATTCAGCATTATGTTCATAAGATTCATTCATGTTTTTGTGTGTTATTCTAGTTGATTCATTCTCATTGCTGTATATTATTCCATTGTATGGCCATAGCACAATGTGTCTATATATACTACTGCTGATGGACATTTGTGTAGTTACTGGGACAACTATGAACAATGTTGCTGTCAACATTTTTGTCTGTGCATCTATTCATCTTCTCCACTTTCTCCATGGTACCTACCCAAGGGTGGAATTACTGGGTTGTATAGTTAGCATATGTATTAGACCAAGTTATTCAGAAAAATAGAACTGGTAGGATGTGTGTCTATATAGTTATAAAAATATTTGTTTTAAGACATTGGCTTTTGTAATTATGGAGGCTGGCAAGTTCAGAATCTACAAGATGCGCCAGCAGGCTGGAGACTCAGGAAAGAGCCAAGCATACAGTTCAGGTCCAAAGACCATCAGCTGCAATGTCCACCTATTTAAATGTTAATCTCATCCAAAACACCCTCACAGAAATATCCAGAATAATGTCTGACCACATATTTGAACAGCATGGTCCAGCCAAGCTGAGACATAAAATTAATTATCATAGTATATGTTCAACTTTTGTAAGTAACACTATTTTCCAAAGTGACTGTACTAACATAGAGTCATTATGGGTGGGGATCTTCAACTTCTCATTAGGATATGGTTGACACTGATAAGCACCCTATTTTATTCCTATAGAATGAGTAGCCCCCCAAAACTCCCAGAGGAGTGGGGGTTCTGAAATAAGGCCTTGACTCCTGATGCTCAGTGGCTAATATAATTGTCAAGTCTTTCTGTCATCAACAACAGGCCAGCTTTCTACTATAAAAACTGACAGGATGGGGTGCCTGTGTCTGAGTGCTGGCACTTCTGCCTGTATTTTCCATCAGCAAATGATGTCACAGTCCACCGAATAGCACAATCAGAAACTCAGGTCTCGTCTCTGACTCTACCACCTGTTTATAGCTAATAACTCATCAGTTTCTATTGACTCTGCCTCCCATGACTCTGTCAAACTCATCCACGTCACTCTATCCTCTCTAAAACTACTCAAGTTCAGGCAGTCCCTTGCAAGAATCTCTTAACTGGATCCCTGCCTCCTGTCTTGCCCACTCCAATCCATTCTGGACTCTAAGAAGCCAGAATATTTTTTCTAATATATATCTGTGAAGTTATCACTCTCCTGCTTAAAATGCCCACTTTGACATTGAATGAATTCCTTTCTCCTTAATATGAATTAACAAAGCTCAGCACAATGAGAGCCCCTATCTGGGTTTTCTTTACTCTCTTCTCTTCCTTCTCCCAATATTGCCCTCACAGCATTTCAGCCACAGAACACTTCTGTCAATTCCTTCAATGATCCACATTCTTTTTAGTCTCCAGGCTTTCACATACATAATCCTCTCTGCCTGGAATACTCTTTCTCCCATTCCATTCCTTTTATCTCATTAACTACTTACAACTCTTCAGGTTTTTGGCTAAGTGGAGACAATATTTTATGTTTATAAAATCTTGTTTAATATTTCCCTTTCTTAGGCACATGGAAAAGTACACTTCTCAGCCCTTGTGATATTAGGGAAAGCTATATCACTAGCTTTTACCAATGAAATGTGATTAGAAGTGATGTGTGTCATTTCCAGCCTGTGGCAATGAAAGCTTCTGCCCGATTCTCATGTCTTGCTTCACCTGCTATTGCAAACTCAGAGGTCTCAAGTTGAGAAGGCAGAGCCTTAAGCCTGAAGAGGCAGCATCTCTGAGTGACTACAAAAAAAAAGAGTCAGTCATCCAAGCCGACAGCAGGCTTTCTGTGAGCAAAAAACAAGAGGTTTTGTTGTTGTTGTTGTTGTTGTTGTTGTTGTTGTTGTTAACCCACTAAGCTTTGGAAATATTCCTGACCATAGCATCGCCTAGTATTTTCTGGCTAATACAGAAAATGGTGTCAGGAGTTGGATACTACCACAGTAAAAACTAATATATGTGCCATTGGCTTAGCAGATGGGTAGCAAAGGTAAGAAAATAGATATTCAATGCTGGGAAAACATTAATCCATGTATAAAGTTGAAAATATTTAGTAAAATTGTTGTCTGTGAATACTTGGAAAAGACTTCCCTAGTGAAGTTGTTCAGCTCGAATGGAAGACACTGGAAAGAAGAAATTTAATAATCTGTGTTATTTGTTATTTGCTGCATTTGGCGAGGAATTACAAAAAGAGTTGGAATCAGGAAATTAAGCAGAAATGAAGAACAAACAGCTCAGAAATTCGTAGCTTTGAAGGACTGGAAAAGCCAATTTCTTTTATTCCTCAAATAGGAAGAGATAACAATGTTAAAAAAAAAAAAAGTCTTTGAGTGGTGGCAAAAGCCTCTTAAAATTCAGTCTTGGGTCAGAGATGAGGCTAAATGTGAAGCCTTTCAATAGACACTCAAGACCTTCTCCATTAAGACAGCTTGCAGGGGATGAAAAAGCAAAAATAGAGAACACGTATGAGAAGCGTGTTGTGATGGTTAATATTAAGAGTCAACTTGATTGGATCGAAGGATGCAAAGTACTGTCCCTGGATGTGTCTGTGAGGGTGCTGCCAAAGGAGATTAACATTTGAGTCAGTGAACTGGGAGACACAGACCTACCCTCAATCTGGGTGGCTAGCATAAAGCAGGCAGAAGAAGGTGGGAGAGGCCTACTTGCTGAGTCTTCCAGCCTTCGTCTTTCTCCCATGATGGATGCTTCCTGCCTTTGAACATCAGACTCCAAGTTCTTCGGCTTTTGGACTCTTGAACTTACACCAGTGGTTTGTCAGTGGCTTTCAAGCCTTCAGCGACAGACTGAAGGCTGCATTGTCAGCTTCCCTACTTTTGAGGTTTGGGGACTCAGACTGGCTTCCTAGCTCTTCAGCTTGCAAATGTCTTATGCTGGGACTTCACTTTGTGATTGTGTGAGTCAATACTCCTTAATAAACTCCCCTTCATATATACATCTATCCAACTAGTTCTGTCCCTCTAGGGAACCCTGGCTAATACACATGTCTTATAAAGAACTTTGGGTATAAGTACAGACACAAGACACTGAGAAGAATCAGATATGTTTTTGAAACAGTTAAGCTGTCAAAGAAACCAAGAATTAGGAAAAAAAGAAAATTATGACTGTTCAAGACTTTTAAATGACACTTGGGTCCCTCATTTTACAGAGGTAACATCTGTGCTACACTCAAGGAGAAATACTCCTCAATGCTCCATTTAGATGTGACCATGAAGAAAAATGGGGAGAAAAGAACAAGGCTCCAAAAAGTAAGAACTAAGACCCAAAGCCACAGTGGATGAAGAAGCAAGAGCAGGGTCTACTCAAGGAATCCTTCTTATCCCAAGCTCAGGGTTCTCAGCCTTGGCTTTATTGAACTTTTAGACTCAGTAATTTTTTTGTTAAGGGATGGGGGCTGTCCTGTGCGTTGCAAGTTGTTTAGCAGTATCCCTTACTTCTACCCACTAGATGCCAGTAGATTCTCTTCCCCAGTTGTGACAAAAAGAAATGTCTGGAGACATTGCCAAATGTCCCCTAAGGGACAAAATTGTCCCTGGCTGGGAATCACTGCTTTAGGTGAAAGGCATCCCATAAAGTCTGCCCAGGAGGATTTCCGAATTGCCATGGACTAGTGACTGCTATGTATTTCCTATCCTTCTCCCTTCTAAACAAGAATGTTTATTGTGATTTCCCCTGTCTTATTTTACAATTGCATATTTGGTGTAGGGTGGAAGAACAGATACTCATCTATTTTTAGTTCATCTGAGAATCTGTCAATATATTCATACCTAGAAACATTTAAATATGCGTGCTGTACCATATTCTTAATCATCTAATTTATCCAGAAATCCTGGACTTTGAATTTGGTACAGTAACTGGCTGAGATACTGAATTGACTGTATTCTGTGTGTGGAAGAGAGAATAAAATGGGTATCTGGTAGCCAGAAAGATGGATTGAGGCAGAGACAATGCCATTCAAAATTCTGTTTCACAGTCCTCCTTTCCGAGCTCGTGACAATCACCCTTCCTAAGCTCCTTGCAGCTCAGGGGGACCATGTGACTAGTTCTGACCAAGGAACTGTAATTAGAATGCTTCTTACAGAAGCAAGAAATAAACCTCCATTAGTTAAGCCACTGGGATGTGGGGGCTGTTTGTTACTGCAGCATGGCATAGGCAGCTCAGATGTCACCCCATTGTGAAACCTGCCCTGACTCTCCAGCTCAGGGCCAGGTTCCCTGTATGTGCTCCATGCTTCCCCTAATATTACATGTATCATGCTATATTGTACTTGCCTTTTTATATGTCTCTCTTGTTCGGAACAGGAATCATACTTATCTACTGTATGTGTAGCACAGAATCTGGCACTTGAATATTTGTTGAATGAACAGATAATGATTACTAATCTTATATTGTTGAGGTTCAAATGCACTGAACAGATTATAGAAAGGTAGAGACAGCTGTTGTGACTGTTGATATCTCATGGAAATAGTAGGAGGGAAAAACCCTTGACTGGGCAAACACTACCCCATTAAAGGTCGTGGCTGATAACAAATATTTAATTATGTTCTCCATTAATCATGGCAGAATTCCAACCAGAACGTGGAGAAAAGTAGAAAACAAAATAACTCCCAAACCATTTTCATCCCCAGCACTGTTCTAGAAAATTCCGTAAGCTGAGTTCAGGCAAATTTAATTTTGATGACTTTTCAATTTCTGAGACATGAAGGAGAGACTGAAAATGTAGTGGGAGCAACAGTTTTCTCTACAGTATTTTTTGAAAAGTCCATGCCAGTAGTCTTACAGAATGTCTTACAGTCTGGAAGTGTCTGATTGTTACATCATGATTGCATTAAGAAACATTTTATTAAGTGTGGCTCACACCTATAATCACAACAGTTTGAGAGGCTAAGGCAGGAGAACCCCTTGAGCCCAGGAGTTTGAAACCAGCCTGGGAAACATAGTGAGACCTTGTCTCTATAAAAAGAGTAAAGCAGTCTTGCAACAGAGCAAGACCTTTCTCAAAAACACAAACAAAAAAAATACCAAATTCACTGAAAGGTTTTTTTTTTCAAATAATAATAAAGGCAGAGGAGTATTCAAGATTAGAGAAAATAAAGTAACATGACAATCAAATGAATGCAGCGTACGGTACATGATTGGGTCTGCATCAGGAAAAAAAAAGCTAAAAAAGACATTTTAGGATGATTGGAAAAATTAAAAGTACACCATCAATTAGATAACAGATAATAGACTGTTGTATTAGTGTTAAATACATGACAATATGACAATGTTATTTTCATTGTATAAGAAAACGTCTTTGACTTTAGGATGATGGATCTTAAACATTTTTTGTTTTTCAGAGCCAGAGTCTCACTTCATCCCCCAGGCTGGAATGCAGTGTTACAATCATAGCTCACTGTAGCCTCGACCTCCTGGGTTCAAGTGATCCTCTCACCTGAGCCTCCTAAGTAGCTGGGGCTACAGGCATTTGCTACCACACCCCAAACTGGATCTTAAACTTAAGCATATATCACAATCGCCTGAAGGGTTTATCAAAACACAAATTGTGTCCCTCCCCTATACTAGCACCTTCTCCTTCAACTCTGTTTCTGATTCAGTAGGTCTGGTCTGGGGCTCCAGAATTTGCATGAGCTCGATCAGGTATCCTCCCATTAAGGTAGAGGAGCATGTGGAGTGATGCAAAGGGAAATCCCTCAGCCAGCAACTGGCTGGAGGGCCGTCCAAAGGCAGCACTGTTGGCAGGGTGATCACTTTTCCTGTTATTGCCCTTTTCCATATGTAATTTTAAAGATTATTATGAATTACTTTGATAATAAATGAAATGGATACAATTTTAAGATTACAATTTTTCCAATTCATGTTATGGAGCAGCATCTGAACCAGGCAGACCTAATTACCATCCTTCCAAGTCAAAAACTGGTGTCCAGCGTGAATAGATGTATAGCAGAGCCTCTTCACAGTTGCTCTGGAGTGGGAACCGATGCTATCTGACAGGTTTCAATGTCTTCCCAGATCCTAGTGTGGTGCCTCCAGTGCTGAGGGATGAATGAGTTTAACTCTAAATAGCTGCATCTGCAAAACTTGAGAAGATGGCAAAGCGCCAAAACATGTAGCCATCCTAAAGAGTGTCTATAACATCCAGGATCTGAGACATCACTCCAGCTGGATATGGCTCAGAAGATGGCTTCATGTGACAAGGTTAACCACTTCCCCCAGCCACTGGTTGCCTGAAACTCAATTTGCCCAGAGACCTCAAAAGGCCTCATGCTCAGGCCTGCCACCTGTCACATCCAGGAGCCAAAACAAAGGAACAAGCAAACAATTATCAAGAGCGAAACCAGTTTTGTACAGAGGGATTTTGCAACAGGATAGTTTTGCCATTTTCCAGAAGATAGTTTCATGAGTTAAGGGAATCACTTCAGCCACATCGATTTTTATAGTACAGGTTGCCAGAATGTATCCCTGATTTTCTTTAATAATTTTAGAGAATGTCACTTTTAAAATTTTACTTAATATTAAAAATGTTAATCATTAAAGATTTGGAAAATACTGAAAAGTAGAGAAAAGAACATTTTAATTGTTTCATATTACCCTGCTAATTTTTAGTGGGTCTCTTTTCAGTGTTTTCTCTCGTAAGTAATATAAGTACTTATTTTTTACAGAATATGAATCAAATTACAGACACTATTTGGTACCCTGCCACTCTCAAACATCTTTGCCACATCATTAAGGTTGAAAATATGATTTTTGATGGATAGTTTATGTTTCATTATAAGCATATGCCATGAATTAAGCAACCCCAAGCTTCTATTATTGAATATTTAATTTATTTTTATAATTTCCTATTACACATAAAACTGCAGTTAGCCTTCCTAAACAAAAGTCCCTGGTTTTTATTGAGAATAAAAACCTAAAAATAAAGTCACTGGATCAAAGGGGTAAGTATTGTTTTAAGACTTTTAATACCTAATGTCATATTGTCCTCCAGAGAGTTTATGTCAATTTATACCTCTGCCAGCAAGGATTTGATGCCAAAGCCCTAGTAATAATGTCCATCTGCCTAGGGTCCCATATATACATCTGTCATTCAGTAACATGGGATCCAATAGGTGACTGGTTCAGGATTTGAGGATATTGGTTTCCAGCCATTAATTTCTTTGTATCAGGAAACAAGATACAAAGAGACAAGACCACAAATCAAGTGTTTAAAATTTATCAATGTAAGTCGTTATACTCGGTATTATGCAGTTTTCTCTTATTTTTTAAATCTCTGTTACTGTAGGTGTCTGTTTCTGTTTATAGACATAGTTTTTTGTTTATTTGAATTTTGTGTTTATTTCTTAAAATTTTAACCTGAAGTTTCAGTTCAAAAATTTTAATTCTTTATATAATAAATGACATTTTTAAACAGAACCATCTTTAGAGTAAATTTAAATTTTTTATGTTTTTGGAAGAGAAGAACAATTAGTGAGTTAATAAATTTTGTTTCTAAAACAACTCTGATTGAGCCAATTTATTTATTTAATACTCTGTGTTTTAAAAGGGATGACAGCATATGAAAATATTGGTTAATACTGAGTTCTTCCTGTCAAATGTAATACATGTGAAACAGAGACACATTTAAATATATATGTTCATAGTTCTAATCTAGGGAAGACATCACACTGGAGCTATAAATCCTGGGAAATAGAAGCGAAAACAAAACCATAATTAATATATTTATTAATGTTTCACCTACCGTGTATTCATTAGCTAGAATCTTAGTCTTTAAGAGGCATGCCTATTTTTTTTATTTTATTCCTCCTTTCTCTTCCACTTTGCAAAGAAACATTCAGATTCTTATGCTTGCTCTGCATCTTCCTCAACTTTTCATATATACTCTTCTTTATCAGATAGATACACTAAAATGCTGTTATCCTCCACTCATGCTGATATCAGTTTCCATCTCAGAAACTCACAGTACCCGCAACCCAATACGGATGTCAATGGACCTAGAGCATCTGCTCGCTCTTGTGCTCCACCCCCGCCCCCATCCTAATAACAGCTTCTTTTCTTCCAATTGTCACTTAAATGGCAACTCTCAATCAGTTCAGCTAAAAGAAAATAATTTGTTTAAGCCTGTTGGTGACAACTTTCTTCTCTAAAACTAACGCAGACAATCCCTAGGTCATTTACTCCCTAAAGGCATGCTGATGCCTCTCTGGCCCTCTAATAAACAAAGCCTTTGTGTAGCAGCTCTTCGGACAGATCATAGCCTCTGTCCCTACTCTGGCTGAGCAGACCACACTGCCATCCACACCACCTCCAGTACAGAGGGGTCTCACCGCTCAGTACGTAAACATCTGTGTGGAAAATGGCTGAAGTGAGATAAATGTTGCTTAGTGAGAGGAATAACATTCACATACAGTTATAAACTCAGTCAGTACTCATGTTATAAGTTAGAAGTGCTGACGAAAGGTCAAACAGGGTGCCTACACATAAAGCAGGTAGAGCAGTTCTGGCATATATAGACACTGTGTAAGTGCCAGCTGCCTTTCTCTTCTTCTCCTGGCTTCTTGTTATTACTATTTAATTTTTATTCCTGTTTTGTGTTGGGAAGATTTACAGTTTGATGATTTCTGTTCTGTTGCTGCCATCCCACCTCATACTACCTTCCTAAAACCAACTATTTTTATGCAAATCAATCCAGTTTAATACGTATGTATTGCTCATCCACTTGAGTAAAGCACTGTATGGAAGGAGGTGCTAGAAAATGAATAGTAGAATAACATGGTTCCTGCTCTCAGGGAACTACAACCTAATTTGAAAAAGACATAATGCACACCAGACAGTTTATCTTATGAAAGGATGGCTAAGGAAGGGAGCCAGTGACTAATAGTAACTCATCAACTCTGCAGAGAAAGAAGGGAATGCCTCCACATCCGGCTTATGAGGACCTAAACATAGCTGCCATCACTCTCCCTGCCAATGTTGTCCTTCATCAGCCAAGTGGCTTCAGAACTTCAGGGCAGCTGGACGTAAGTGGGCCTTGAGAGCTCTGTTGGAGAGTTGGGCTGAGAGAATGACAGAATTGGGCAGGGCTTCCTCTGGCAGGCTGCGCATTGATGGGAGATCAGGATGGAGACCCAGAGGGAGGACCAAGACAGAGGAGCCTGGGTAGGATATGGCAGTCAAAATGTCTCATGTACCCCATACATATATACACCGACTATGTACCCACAAACATTAAATAAGACAATAACAAATAAATAAAATAAAATTGAGGGAAAATTTAAAAAACATCTGAGAATCGGAGTGGCCATCTGCCCCATGGTGGACCACTGATTCCTTACTATCCACAAGGCCTAGAGGGAGAAGGAAGAATGAGCTAGGTCTCTCTGGCCCTGAGGCAGCAAAATGAAAGGCAGGGAGGCTTTCTGGAGGTATCCCAGCAGAGCTCTGATAACCTGCCAGCTTCTTGATTCAAGTAAGTGAAAGGATGGGAAGGAACTAACCCTAACACTAATCCCCCCAATTTTTTAATGACCTGGGGAATCCCTTAATGCCCACTGTTTAGGGTACACCAACCACCAGACGTGAGCCCTGATGACCCAATAAAGAAAATAATAACCATATCTTAATTATGCATAATGCTGCAATAAACATGGAAATACAGCTATCTCTTCAACATACTGATTTCATTTATTTGGATAAATATCCAGAGACGGAAATGCTGGATCATATGGTAGTTCTACTTTTTAATTTTTTGAGAAACCTCCGTACTGTTTTTCATAAGCACTGTACTATTTATATTCTCATCAACAGTGCACAAGGATTCCCTCTTAATCACAATTGTCAAGATATGGAATCAACCTAATTGTCCATCAATGAATGAATGAATAAAGAAAATTATATATATAATTTTTATATAAATATATAATTTTATATAAATACATAATTATATAATTATATATATAATCCCACTCCATTTTGTGTGTGTACATGTGTATGTACGTATGTGTGTACATACACAAAATGGAACGGAATGTTATTCCACCTTTAAAAAGAAAGAAATCCTGTCACTTGCAACGACATGGATGTTGGAGGACATCATGTTAAGTGAAATAAGCCAAGCACAGAAAGAAAATTATCACATTGTATTAGTCCGTTTTCATGCTGCTGATAAAGACATACCTGAGGCTGGGCAATTTACAAAACAAAGAGGTTTAATCGGGCTTACAGTTCCACGTGGCTGAGGAAGCCTCACAATCATGGCAGAAAGCAATGAGGAGCACGTCCCGTCTTACATGGATGGCAGCAGGCAAAGAGAGAACGAGGAAGACACAAAAGTGGAAACTCCTGATAAAACCATCAAATCTCATGGACTTATTCACTACCACGAGAACAGAATGGGGGAAACTGCCTCCATGATTCAATTATCTCCCGCTGGGTCCCTCCCATGACATGTGGGAATTATGGGAATACAATTCAAGATGAGATTTGGGTGGGGACACAGAGCCAAACCATATCACACATGATCTCACTTATATGTAGAATCTAAAAAAGTTGAATTCACAGAAATAGAGAGAAGAGTGGTGGTTACCAGGGGCTAGGGGGAAGAGGGCATGGAGAGATGTTGGTCAAAGGCTGCAAAGTTTCAGTTAGATAAGAGTCATAAGTTCTGAAGATCTATTGCACGATATGGTAACTATAGTTAATAATAACCTACTATACACTTGAAAATTGCTAAAAGAGGAGACCTTAAATGTTCTCACCGTGGAAAAAATGACAAATATGTGAGGCAATTAATATGTTAATTAGTTTGGTTTAATTACTGCACAATGTATGCATGTATCAAAACATCATCACATTGTACCCCAAAAATATATACAATAAAAAATATAATGAAAACAAAAAAAAAAAGGAAAGAAAATAGCAATGTAAGCAAGGGTACCTCCTAAAAGAGAGCTCCTGAAAGAGCTCAAAGAACACCTGAGTAAAACATAATAATAATGATGTATCTTTAAAGAGATTCAAGTGCAGTAAAAGTAAAACATGATCTTCAGAAGCTAAACAATAACTTTTGGCTAAAATATTCAGTAGCTGTATTGAAAGACACAAAGAAATGGCTTAGAAGATCAAATGCAATAAATACCTTTGAGCACAAAGCAGAAACATAAAAAAAGATAGAAACCATGAGAAAATTTTTGACACCTATAGAATTGCTTTCAATATTTTTTATGGCAACCTATGTTTCAAAAAGTAGAGTTTACATTGAAACCCTGTACACAGAGGAAAGTAATGAAATAAAAGATTTACAAAACGATAATTACCCTTACTGTATCTATTATGCATTCTGACATTTTCTAGTCTGTGCTATCTTATTTTTTTAAGTGCTAGTCACCACCAAGAGGTCAGGAATAGTTTTTAAAACATTCACAGAATGAATGCAGGAGACTTAGTGTCAGGCCTCTGAGCCCAAGCCAAGCCATCGCATCCCCTGTGACTTGCACATATACGCCCAGATGGCCTGAAGTAACTGAAGAATCACAAAAGAAGTGAATATGCCCTGCCCCACCTTAACTGACCACATTCCACCACAAAAGAAGTGTAAATGGCTGGTCCTTGCCTTAAGTGATGACATTACCTTGTGAAAGTCCTTTTCCTGGCTCATCCCGGCTCAAAAAGCACCCCCACTGAGCACCTTGCGACCCCCACTCCTGCCTGCCAGAGAACAACCCCCCTTTGACTGTAATTTTCCTTTACCTACCCAAATCCTGTAAAATGGCCCCACCCCTATCTCCCTTTGCTGACTCTCTTTTCGGACTCAGCCCACCTGCACCCAGGTGAAATAAACAGCCTTGTTGCTCACACAAAGCCCGTTTGGTGGTCTCTTGACACGGACGCGCATGAAATTTGGTGCCAAGACCCGGGACTTGGATCAGGGGACTTCCCTTGGGAGATCACTCCCCTGTCCTCCTACTCTTTGCTCCATGAGAAAGATCCACCTACGACCTCAGGTCCTCAGACCGACCAGCCCAAGAAACATCTCACCAATTTCAAATCCAGTAAGCGGCCTCTTTTTACTCTCTTCTCCAACCTCCCTCACTATCCCTCAACCTCTTTCTCCTTTCAATCTTGGCGCCAAACTTCAATCTCTCCCTTCTCTTAATTTCAATTCCTTTCATTTTCTGGTATTTTCTGGTAGAGACAAAGGAGACAGGTTTTATCCATGGACCCAAAACTCCGGCACCGGTCACGGACTGGGAAGGCAGCCTTCCCTTGGTGTTTAATCATTGCAGGGACACCTCTCTGATTATTCACCCATGTTTCAAGGGTGTCAGACCACGCAGGGATGCCTGCCTTGGTCCTTCACCCTTAGCGGCAAGTCCCGCTTTTCTGGAGAAGGGGCAAGTACCCCAACCCCTTCTCTCCTTGTCTCTACCCCGTCTCTGCTTTTCTGGGGGAGGGGCAAGTATCCCTCAACCCCTTCTCCTTCACCCTTTGCGGCAAGTCCCGCTTTTCTAGAGGGCAAGAACCCCCAATCCCTCATTTCCACACCCCGACCTCTTATCTCTGTGTCCCAATCCCTTATTTCCACACCCCAACCTCTTATCTCTGTGCCCCAATTCCTTATTTCCATGCCCCAACCCTTTCTCTGCTTTTCTGGAGGGCAAGAAACCCCTACCCCTTCTCAGTGTCTCTACTCTTTTCTCTGGGCTTGCCTCCTTCACTATGGGCAAGCTTCCACCTTCCATTTCTCCTCCTTCTCCCTTAGCCTATATTCTTAAGAACTTAAAACCTCTTCAACTCTCACCTGACCTAAAATCTAAGCATCTTTTCTCCTGCAATGCCTCTTGACCCCAATACAAACTCGACAGTAGTTCCAAATAGCCAGAAAATGGCACTTTCAATTTTTCCATCCTACGAGATCTAAATAATTCTTGTCGTAAAATGGGCAAATGGTCTGAGGTGCCTGATGTCCAGGCATTCTTTTACACATCAGTCCCTTCCTAGTCTCTATGCCCAGTGCAACTCGTCCCATATCTTCCTTCTTTCCCTCCCACCTGTCCCCTCAGTACCAACCCCAAGCGTCGCTGAGTCTTTCTAATCTTCCTTTTCTACAGACCCATCTGACCTCTCCCTTCCTCCCCAGGCTGCTCCTTGCCAGGCCAAGCTAGGTCCCAATTCTTCCTCCGCCTCTGCTCCTCCACCCTATAATCTTTTTATCACCTCCCCTCCTCACACCTGGTCCGGCTTACAGTTTCATTCCGTGACTAGCCCTCCCCGTCCTGCCCAGCAATTTACTCTTAAAAAGGTGGCTGGAGCTAAAGGCATAGTCAAGGTTAATGCTCCTTTTTCTTTATCCCAAATCAGAGAGCGTTTAGGCTCTTTTTCATCAAATATAAAAATCCAGCCCAGTTCATGACTTGTTTGGCAACAACCCTGAGGCACTTTACAGCCCTAGACCCTAAAATGTCAAAAAGCCATCTTATTAAAATACACTTTATTACCCAATCTGCTCCCGACATTAAATAAAACTCCAAAAATTAAATTCCAGCCCTCGAACCCCACAACAGGATTTAATTAACCTCGCCTTCAAGGTGTACAATAATAGAAAAAAGTTGCAATTCCTTGCCTCCACTGTGAGACAAACCGCAGCCACATCTCCAGCACACAAGAACTTCCAAATGCCTGAACCGCAGCGGCCAGGCGTTCCTCCAGAACCTCCTCCCACAGGAGCTTGCTACATGTGCCGGAAATCTGGCCACTGGGCCAAGGAATGCCCGCAGCCCGGGATTCCTCCTAAGCCGCGTCCCATCTGTGTAGGACCCCACCGAAAATCGGACTGTTCAACTTACCTGGCAGCCACTCCCAGAGCCCCTGGAAATCTGGCCCAAGGCTCTCTGACTGACTCCTTCCCAGATCTTCTCGGCTTAGCAGCTGAAGACTGACACTGCCCGATCACCTCGGAAGCCACGTAGACCATCACGGACACTGAGCTTTGGGTAACTCTCACAGTGGAGAGTTTTGGGTAACTCTCATAAGCCCGTCCCCTTCTTAATCAACACGGAGGCTACCCACTCCACATTACCTTCTTTTCAAGGGCCCATTTCCCTTGCCTCCATAACTGTTGTGGGTATTGACGGCCAGGCTTCTAAACCTCTTAAAACTCCCCAACTCTGGTGCCAACTTAGACAATACTCTTTTAAGCACTCCTTTTTAGTTATCCCCACCTGCCCAGTTCCCTTATTAGGCTGAGACACTTTAACTAAATTATCTGCTTCCGTGACTATTCCTGGACTACAGCTATATCTCATTGCCGCCCTTCTTCCCAATCCAAAGCCTCCTTTGTGTCCTCCTCTTGTACCCCCGACCTTAACCCACAAGTATAAGATACCTCTACTCCCTCCTTGGCGACTAATCATGCACCCCTTACCATCTCATTAAAACCTAATCACCCTTACCCCACTCAACGCCAATATGCCATCCCGCAGCACGCTTTAAAAAGATTAAAGCCTGTTATCGCTCGCCTGCTACGGCATGGCCTTTTAAGGCCTATAAACTCTCCTTACAATTCCCCCATTTTACCAGTCCTAAAACCAGACAAGCCTTACAATTTAGTTCAGGATCTGCGCCTTATCAACCAAATTGTTTTGCCTGTCCACCCCGTGGTGCCAAACCCATATACTCTCCTATCCTCAATACCTGCCTCTACAACCCATTATTCTGTTCTAGATCTCAAACATGCTTTCTTTACTATTCCTTTGCACCCTTAATCCCAGCCTCTCTTCGCTTTCACGTGGAATGACCCTGACACCCATCAAGCTCAGCAAATTACCCGGGCTGTACTGCCGCAAAGCTTCACAGACAGCCCCCATTACTTCAATCAAGCCCAAATTTCTTCCTCATCTGTTACCTATCTCGGCATAATTCTCATAAAAACACACGTGCTCTCCCTGCCAATTGTGTCCGACTGATCTCTCAAACCCAAGCACCTTCTACAAAACAACAACTCCTTTCCTTCCTAGGCATGGTTAGTGCAGTCAGAATTCTTACACAAGAGCCAGGACCACTCCCTGTAGCCTTTCTGTCCAAACGACTTGACCTTACTGTTTTAGCCTAGCCCTCATGTCTGCATGCAGCAGCTGCCACTGCTTTAATACTTTTAGAGGCCCTCAAAATCACAAACTATGCTCAACTCACTCTCTACAGTTCTCATAACTTCCAAAACCTATTTTCTTCCTCATACCTGATGCATATACTTTCTGCTCCCCGGCTCCTTCAGCTGTACTCACTCTTTGTTGAGTCTCCCACAGTTACCATTGTTCCTGGCCCAGACTTCAATCTGGCCTCCCACATTATTCCTGATACCACACCTGACCCCCATAACTGTATCTCTCTGATCCACCTGACATTCACCCCATTTCCCCAAATTTCCTTCTTTCCTGTTCCTCACCCTGATCACGCTTGCTTTATTGATGGCGGTTCCACCAGGCCTAATCGCCACACACCAGCAAAGGCAGGTTATGCTTTTGCATATACAAAAGTACAAGCTTATAGTACAAGCCACTAGCCCGCCTCTTAGAACCTCTCATTTCCTTTCCATCGTGGAAATCTATCCTCAAGGAAATAACTTCTCAGTGTTCCATCTGCTATTCTACTACTCCTCAGGGATTATTCAGGCCCCCTCCCTTCCCTACACATCAAGCTCGAGGATTTGCCCCACCCAGGACTGGCAAATTAGCTTTACTCAACATGCCCTGAGTCAGATAACTAAAAAATACCTCTTAGTCTAGGTAGATACTTTCACTGGATAGGTACAGGCCTTTCCTACAGGGTCTGAGAAGGCCACCGCAGTCATTTCTTCCGTTCTGTCAGACATAATTCCTCAGTTTAGCCTTCCCACCTCAATACAGTCTGATAACAGACGAGCCTTTATTAGTCAAATCAGCCAAGCAGTTTTTCAGGCTCTTAGTATTCAGCGAAACCTTTATATCCCTTACGGTCCTCCATCTTCAAGAAAAGTAGAATGGACTAAAGGTCTTTTAAAAACACACCTCACCAAGCTCAGCCACTAACTTAAAATGGACCGGACAATACTTTTACCACTTTCCCTTCTCAGAATTCAGGCCTGTCCTCAGAATGCTACAGGGTACAGCCCATTTAAGCTCCTGTATAGACGCTCCTTTTATTAGGCCCCAGTCTCATTCCAGACACCAGACCAACTTAGACTGTGCCCCAAAAAACTTGTCATCCCCACTATCTTCTGTCTAGTCATACTCCTATTCACCGTTCTCAACTACTCATACATGCCCTGCTCTTGTTTACACTGCCGGTTTACACTGTTTTTCCAAGCCATCACAGCTGATATCTCCTGGGGCTATCCCCAAACTGCCACTCTTAACTCTTGAAGTAAATAAATAATCTTTGCTGGCAGGACTATGCTGAATCTCCTTAGGCACTCTCTAATCAGATATCCTGAGTCGTCCCAATTCTTAGACCTTTTATACCTGTTTTTCTCCTTCTGTTATTCCATTTAGTTTCTCAATTCATCCAAAACCATATCCAGGCCATCACCAATCATTCCATACGACAAATGTTTCTTCTAACATCCCCACAATATCACCCCTTACCACAAGACCTCCCTTCAGCTTAATCTCTCCCACTCTAGGTTCCCACGCTGCCCCTAATCCCACTTGAAGCAGCCCTGAGAAACATCGCCCATTCTCTCTCCATACCACCCCCAAAAATTTTCGCCGCCCCAACACTTCAACACTATTTTGTTTTATTTTTCTTATTAATATAAGAAGGCAGAAATGTCAGGCCTCTGAGCCCAAGCCAAGCCATCGCATCCCCTGTGACTTGCACATATACGCCCAGATGGCCTGAAGTAACTGAAGAATCACAAAAGAAGTGAAAAGACCCTGCCCTGCCTTAACTGATGACATTCCACCACAAAAGTGTAAATGGCCGGTCCTTGCCTTAAGTGATGACACTACCTTGTGAAAGTCCTTTTCCTGGCTCATCCCGGCTCAAAAAACACCCCCACTGAGCACCTTGCGACCCCCACTCCTGCCCGCCAGAGAACAACCCCCCTTTGACTGTAATTTTCCTTTACCTACCCAAATCCTATAAAACGGCCCCACCCCTATCTCCCTTCGCTGACTCTCTTTTCGGACTCAGCCCACCTGCACCCAGGTGGAATAAACAGCCTTGTTGCTCACACAAAGCCTGTTTGGTGGTCTCTTCACACGGACGCGCATGAAACATAGCATGCCAGCAATAAAATTCCCAAAGGAGAAAAAAAGGACCGATGAAGAAGAGGTAGTAATTTCAAAAAATACTAAAGGAATATTTCTTTGAGATGAAGAAAGGACTCACCTAGTTTCATGCTGGATTTAAAATAAAAGACTCACATATTTCCAAACTTGCTTGAAGATAAGACTTATTCAGGGGACTTGTTAAAAACCCAGATTGCTGAACTCCAGCTCAGACAAACTAAATCAGAATTTTCAAGGGAATATAATAATGTTTATTTAATAATCACCTCAAGAGCTTCATATCATCTGATAATTTGGAAAACATTGGACCTATTTTAAGTTCCTCAAACCTTAATGTGCATATAAATCAATAAAATGCAGATTCTGGTTGAGTAGTCCTGGATCTGTTCAAGAATTTGCAACCAATTCCTCGTAATGCCAGTGCTGCTAGTTCAGGGACTAGGACTGAAATTATTTCTGGCTATAGTTGAAGATGAGATGCTTCTAACTTCATTTTTTAATACAAAACACTAATTCTAAAACCTGATCAAGAGAGAAAAGTAAAGAAAAAAATCTATACACAATCTCACATAGAGAAATAGATGCAAAAATTCAAAATAAAGCATTAGCAAGTTGAATCTAGCAATATATCAAAGGAATGACTTAGCCTCTGACCAAGCAGAACTGACGCCAGGAATGCAATGGCGGGTCAGTATTAGGAACAGCGTGGGGAAGTATATCCACTTAATCCATTATGTCAGTAAGTTAGTGGAAAAACTTACACAATCATCAACAGATTCTGAAAAAGGCATTTAAAAATAAAAGAAATAAGCCATTTCTATTAATACTTCAGAGTAAAAAATAAAGTAGAAATAAACTATAAAACATAAAGATTATTTAGCAAATTTAATAAGAAATATTATTCTAAATGGTAAAAAAAAAAAAAACTAAAGCAACATTAATTTAAATTTGAAACCTATGCAGAAATACCTGGTATCTTTTTTTTTTTTTTTTTTTTTGAGATGGAGTTTCGCTCTTGTTTTATGTTTGTAGAGACAGGGTTTCACTGTGTTGGCTAGGCTGGTCTCGAACTCCTGACCTCAGGTGATCTGCCTGCCTCAGCCTCCCAAAGTGCTGAGATTACAGGCGTGAGCCACCATGCCCAGCCCTTGGTATTATTTTGAATTTAACATTGTCTTGATAAGGTAAAGGAAATTAAGTGAGACAAGAAAATACTAGTTATGTGCTTGAAAACTAGGGAAACTCAATAAACCACTAGAATAAATTCAAAAATTAGTAAAATGGCTAGGATATACAGCATATACATACATGCATAAATGCACACACACACATGCATAAACACACACACACACACAGAAGTCAATAGGTTTGATCTAACAAAGAAATGGAAAAATGTATTTCATTTACAATAGAAACAGAACCAACAAAATACATGGAAATGAAGTTAATCAAAAGACTAAAATTATTTTAGCCAACATTATAAAATCATTTTTGAAAGATATAAAATGAGACCTAAAGAAACAGAAAGGCATATCATGTTCCTGGATGAAAAAATGTAATATCAAAAATATAAATATTGTCAAAATTAACAAGTAAATTTCAGACAGTTTCAATTAGAATACTAATTCTACTGCAGTTTAGTCCCCTAAAATCTTCCAGAAATGAAGCCAGTCAACTGGCACGGGGTGTTTAATTGAATAAAAAATATTCAAGTTTAAATGTCGTTCCCAGAAATAAATAAGAAAAGCATTCAATGACCATTCAGGTGAACTTGTCTTACCAAATATCAGAATCTTTATTCCTGTAATAGTCAGGATGAGTTATTGCATGGTGAGTAACAAATTAATCCAAAGCTCTGGTGCCTTAACACAACAAAAGTTTATTTCTTGCTCATGCTGCGTGTCCGTAATGATTTGACAGGGGTCTGTGCTACACAGTCACTTGGCAATTCAAGGTGATAGAGACCTTCCATCTTGTAGCTGGATCATTTGGAACAAGGGGGCTTGGTAGAGGAAAGAGAATACATGAAGTAGTCTCTTTGTCTTTCTCTCTTTCTCTCTCTCTCTCTCTCTTTCTTTCTCTCTCTCTCACACACATACACACACATTTTTATGCTTCAGACTAGAAGTGACATACGTCATTTCCACTCACAACATATTGGACTAAATTAGTCACATGGCTCTGCCTGATTGCAAGTGATAGGGAAAGTAGGAAATTATGTGGTATATATAGCAATGCCATAGGAATAGACAAATGGATCAGTAGGATGACTGGAGAATATAAATATTAAATCACATATGTTTGAAAACTTAATCTTTGACAATAATAATGGTTTAATTCACTAAGAAAATGAATGCAGCTGTCAAAACCAGCTAACCACATGAAAGAAAATGAAAGTAAATATGTTCACTTCCTTTTAATCATATACAATAATAAAACTCCAGGTGAATTAAAGACCTATATGCAAAAAATAAGAAACCACCAAGAAAATCTGGGACACTATGTAAAAAAAGCCATACTGGAAAAGCTAAATACTATTAAAGCAAATATGACTACATAAAAATTGTGTAAGTTTTTGTGACAAACGTATCAATTCAAGAGAGAAATAATAGCATTAGAAGTAAATATCTGAAATATTTATGAAAGGAAAAGCGTTTATATCTGTAAATATACAAAGAACACTAAGGAAAAAATGACTAGAAAGCAATTCAACAGAAAAGGGGCAAGAGATGTGAATAAACAATCTATAGGTAAGAAAATCCAAATAACCGAAAACAAAATAACAACAACAAAAAAACTTAAAGAAGTTCAAATTCTGTAGTAGTCAGGAAAATGTACACTCTATCATAACAGTGTTACAATATTTTATAGCCAACAGACTGATCAAACTAACAAGCCTAGTAACTGGAGTAGATGTGGGGAAAGGATAATCTTAACTGCTAGTAAAATATACAGATTGCCTTTTTGAAAGGCAATCATTTAAATACAAATAGAGTCCTGCCACACTGCCACTGCCACTGGCATGAGCACACACAGGAACACTACAACCCTGCTCCCCCTGGTATCCCGCCCCAGCCTATACACATGCACCCTGCTACACTGCTGTGGCTGCTGGCATATGCGAGTAAGCCTGGATCCCACTGCCATGTCCCCAGTGAAGCGCTTTAGCCAGCACCACTCATCAGAGTGTTGTGGCCAATGGACTGAGAACACCTCAGCCCCTCCAGTGCAGAAGGTTCTTAACCTTAAGTGATCAGAGAACAAAGCCAGAAGACTGCTACCAGCCATGCAGAATTAGAGAATGCAGCCCAGGAGTGCTGAGCTGAGCCTTAGTTTCCTAAAATCGTCCAGAAGTGAATCCAGTAGACTGAACCCACATTACGCCAAAATCAAACCTCCAAGGGCATCATAGAAGAGAAAAGCAAAATAACTCATCCAAAGGATAGCAGCTTCAAAGACTGAAGAAACATCAGCTCACACAGATGAGAAAGAACCAGCACAAGAACTCTGACAAATCAAAAAGCCAGTGTCTTCTTACCTCCAAATAATGACGGCACTAGTTTCCCAGAAATTGTTCTTAACCAGACTGAAATGACAGAAATATAATTCAGAATATGGATAGGAACATAGATCGTGGAGATTCAGGAGAAAGTTGAAACCCAATCCAATGAATCTAAGGCATACAATAAGACAACGTGAAAGATTATATGGCCATTTTAAGAAAGAACCAAACTGATCTGATAGAACTGAAAAGCTCACTGCAAGAATTTCACAGAACAATCGTAAGTATTAACAGCAGAATTGACCATGCTGAGGAAAAAACTTCAGAGCTTGAAGACTGATTCTCCAAAATAACTCAGTCAGACAAAATAAAGAAAAAAGAATATGGAAGAATGGACAAAACCCCCAAGAAATATGGGGTTATGTAAAGAGACCAAATCTACAATTTATTGGCATCCTCAAAAGAGAGAGAGAAAGCAAGCAACTTGGAAAACATATTTGGGGATATCATGCATAAAAATTTCCTCAACCTTGGCAGAGAGGCCAGCATTCAAATTCAGAGAATGCAGAGAACCCCTGTGAGATACTATACAAGGTTACCACCACCAAGATACATAGTCATCAGATTCTACAGGGTTGAGGAAACTGGCAGATAGGAGGCAGGACTAACATGCAACTCCCTCTTGGACGGACACAGCAGTGTGTGGAGACTCATACAATTAACCTTTGCTCCAAGAACTACTGCAGGAACACACCAGGAAATCCAAGAGAATCCACAGACCTCTTTGAAAGAGGCAGCTTACCACTGCAGGCCCCATGGGACAGCTGAAAAACTGCGAGTGTCTGTAGAGTGTAAGGGAAAACATCCACCCCCAAACATACATCCTCACAGGGAAAACTGAAAGTCCAGATCATAGCAGGAGTATTTGACCTTACCTGGGGCTGAACCAGAATTTGAAAGCTGAGCAAAAAATGCAGGGAGAGGAAGCAGTGGGAAGAGCCCTGTGGGCACTCTCGGTCCCCAGGGAAGCAGTTTCTGAGTTTGTCTCCCAGGTCTTTGGGGAGGGCTGCCAGTGTAATTGAGGAAACACCACAGAGAGAAGAAAACTTCCAGGTGAACTTTGTAATAATTTTGACTGAACATGAAGTTTCCTGGACGGAATCTGGGGAAGGGGGTAAACGCGGAATGCAGATACAAGCACAGAAGCCGCAGCAGGTGGGGAGGTGCAAAACCTGAAAGCCCTGTTTGCTTTTTCAGAGGGAAACCTTGCGGCCTGGGGCAACATCTCAGCCCTGCTTCTGACTGCCTAGAAATAAACTCAGTGCTGTTGCAGGGGCATGATGGGAGTGAGAATGGCCTTGCAGGCTGTGTGGGAATTGTGTGAGACCTGTCACTTGTCTGACTGCCCTGGCCAGAACTTCCAATACTATGTTGAATAGAAACACATCCCATGCTCGTGGGTGGGTAGAATCAATTGTGAAAATGACCATACTGCCAAAAGCAATCTTCAGA
Source organism: Homo sapiens (assembly GCF_000001405.40). NCBI lineage: Eukaryota > Metazoa > Chordata > Mammalia > Primates > Hominidae > Homo > Homo sapiens. Next base: position 75,208,700 of record NC_000002.12, on the reverse strand, counting down.
TTCAATGCAATTCTCATCAAAATATCACCATCATTCTTCACAGAACTAGAAAAAACAATCCTCAAATTAATACGAAACCAAAAAAGAGCCTGCATTGCTAAAGCAAGACTAAGCAAAAAGAACGAATCTGGAGACATCACATTACCAGACTTCAAACTATGCTATTAAGTCCATAGTCATCAAAACAGCATTGTACTTGTAAAAAAAATAGGCCCATCGACCAATGGAACAGAATAAAGAACCCAGAAGTAAACCCAAATACTTAGAGCCAACTGATATTTGACAAAACAAACAAAAACATAAAGTGGGGAAAGGATACCCTATTCAACAAATGATGCTGGGATCACTGGCAAGCCATATGTAGAAGAATGAAACTGCATCCTAATCTCTCACATTATACAAAAATCAACTCAAGATTGACTAAAGACTTAAATCTAAGACTTAAAACCATAAAAATTCTAGAAGATATCATTGGAAAAAACTGTTCTAGACATGGGCTTAGGCAAAGACTTCATGACCAAGAACACAAAAGCAAATGCAACAAAAACAAAGATAAATAGGGGGACTTAATTAAACTAAAAAGCTTCTGCACAGAGAAAGAAATAATCAGCAGAGTAAAAAGACAACCCATAGAGTGGGAGAAAATCTTCGCAAACTATGCATCAAACAAAGGACTAGTATCTAGAATCTACATGTAACTCAAACAAATCAGCAAGAAAAAAATAATAATAATCTCATCAACAAGTGCGTTAAGAACATGAATAGACAATTCTCAATAGAAGATATACAAATGGCCAACGAACATGAAAAAATGCTCAACATCACTAATTATCAGGGAAATGCAAATCAAAACCACAATGTAATATCACCTTACTCCCGCAAGAATGTCCATAATAAAAAAAAATAGATGTTGGGCCAGGCGCAGTGGCTCACACCTGTAATCCCAACCCTTTGGGAGCCCAAGGCAGGCGGATCACCAGAGGTCAGGAGTTCGAGACCAGCCTGGCCACATGGTGAAACTCTATCTCTTCTAAAAATACATAAACTACCCAGGTGTGGTGGCACGTGTCTGTAGTCCCAGCTACTTGGGAGGCTGAGGCAGGAGAATCGCTTGAACTCAGGAGGCGGAGGTTGCAGTGAGCTGAGATCATGCCACTGCACTCCAGCCTGGGCAACAGAGCAAGACTCTGTCTCCAAAAATAATAATAAGAGATGTTGGCATGGATGGGGCAGAAAGGGAACACTTTTACACTGCTGGTGGGAATGTAAACCACTGTGGAAAACAGTGTGGACATTCCTTAAAGAACTAAAAGTAGATTTACCATTTGATCCAGCAATCCCATTACTGGGTATCTACCCAGAGGAAAAGAAGTTAATATACGAAAAACTTTTGCAAATGAAAAAATATGAAACCAGAACAAATGCCCATCAATCAATGAGTGAATAAAGAAACTGTGGTATATATATATGAGATGGAATGCTACTCATATATATATGAGATGGAATACTGCATTCACAGTAACCCGGATGAGATTGGAGACCATTATTGTAAGTGAAGTAACTCAGGAATGGAAAACCAACATCTACTAGAGGCCCATCTCACATGCAATGACACCCACAGGCTCAAAGTGAAGGGATGGAGAAAAATCTACCAAGCAAAGGAAAACAGAAAAAAAGCAAGGATTGCTATCCTAAATTCAGACAAAATACTTTAAAGCAACAACAATCAAAAAGACAAAGAAGGGCATTACATAATGGCAAAGGGAGTTCAATGGAACAAGAAGACCTAACTATCCTACATATAGATAGATATAGATATATATCTCACCTTATATGTCCTATATATATATAAATAATCTCTTAAAACATAAATATATAGGATAGTTAGATCTTCTTGTTCATATATACATATATATATATATATGAACACCCAGATTCATAAATCAAGTTCTTAGAAACCTATGAAAGATTTAGATAATCACACAATAATAGTGGGAGACTTCAACACCCCACTGTCAGTATTAGACAGATCATCAAGGATGAAAACTAACGAAGATATTCAGGACCTGAACTCAACACTTGATCAATAGGAACTAACAGAACTCTCCATCCCAAAACAGCAGAATTTACATTCTTCTTAACTGTACATGGCACATACTCTAAAACTGATCACACAATCAGCAATAAAACAACCCTCAGCAAATTAAAAAACAAAAACTAAATTATACCAACCACATTCTTGGACCACAGCTCAATAAAAATAGAAATCAATACTTTAAAAATTGCTCAAAACCATACAGTTACATGGAAATTAAACAACCTCCTTCTGAATGACTTTGGGTACAACAAAAATGACAATGTACAATTGTCATTTGGTATAATGACAATGAAATTAAGGCAGCAATCAAGAAATTCTTTAAAACCAGAAAGAATAAAGATACAACATACCAGAATCTCCGGGCACAGCTAAAGCAGTGTTAAAAGGGAAGTTTATACTACTAAACACTCACATGAAAAAGTTAGAAAGATCTCAAATTACCAACCTAACACCACACCTAGAGAAACTAGCAAACCAACCTCCAGACTAGCGGAAGACAAGATATAGCCAAAACCAGAGCTGAACTGAAGGAAATTGAGATGTGAAAAGTCATACAAAAGATTGAGTCCAGCAGTTGGTTCTTTGAAAGAATGAGTAACATGGGTAGAATAGTATCTAGACTAACAAAGAAAAAAAGAGAGAAGATCCAAAAAAAAACACCCCACACAATCAGAAATGACAAAGGAGATGTAGGGTTATTTCTAACCCTACAGAAATAAAAATTTTAAAAAACCTTTAGAGACTACTATGAACACCTCTATGCATACAAACTAGAAAACCTAGACAAAATGAATAAATTCCTGGAAACATGCAGCCTTCCAAGATTGAACCAGGAAGAAATTGAATCACTAAACAGACCAATGAGTTCTGAAACTGAATCAGCAATAAAAAGCCTATCAATCTGAAAAAGCCTAGGACCAGATGGATTCACAGCCAAATTCTGCCAGATGTATAAAGAAGAACTGGTACCATTCCTCCTGAAACTATTCTCAAAAATTGAGGAGGAAGGACTTCCTAATTCATTCCTTGAGGCCAGCATCATTCACATACTAAAACCTGGCAGAGACACAACAAAGAAGAAAACTTCAGACTAATATCCTTGATGAACATTGATGCAAAAATCCTCAACAAAATACCAGCAAACCCAATCCAGCAGCAAAACTAATCCACCATAATCAAGTAGGCTTTACCCCTGGGATGTAAAGTTGGTTCAACTATGCAATCAATAAATGTGATTCATCACATAAAGAAAACTAAAAACAAAAACCACATGATCGTCTCAATAGATGAAGAAAAGGCTTTTGATAAAATTCAACATCCCTTCATGTTAAAACCCCTCAGTAAACTAGGTATTGAAGGAACATACCTCAAAACAATAAGAGGCATCTATGACAAACCCACAGCCAATATCATTCTGAATGGGGAAAAACTGGAAACATTCCACTAGAGAACCGGAACAAGGCAAAGATGCCCAATGTTACCACTCCTATTCAACATAGCACTGAATGTCCTAGCCAGAGCTACCAGGCAGGAGAAATAAATAGAAGACATTCACATAGGAAAAGAGGAAATGAAACTATCTCTGTTTGCAGATGATACCTATAAAACCCCATAGTCTCTGCCCAAAAGCACCTAGATCTGATAAATTCAGCAAAGTATCGGGATACAAAACCAATGTACAAAATCAGTAGCATTTCTACATACCAACCACATCGAAGCTGAGAGCCAAACCAAGAATTCAATCTCATCAAGAATAGCCAAAAAATGAATAAAATACCTAGGAATACAACTAACAAGGGAAGCGAAAGATCTCTACAACAAAAATCTCTACAACAAAACACTACTCAAAAAAATCAGAGATGACACAAACTAATGAAACAGCATTCCATGCTCTTAGATACGAAGAATCAGTATTGCTAAAATGGCCAAACTACCCAAAGCAATTTACAGATTCAATGTTATTCCTAACAACCAATGACATTCTTCACAAAATTAGAAAAACAATTTTAAAATTCCTATGCAATCAAAAAAGAGCCTGAATAGCCAAGGCAATTCTAAACAAAATGAACAAAGCTAGAGACATCACATATCCAACTTCAAACTATACTACAAGGTTACAGTAACCAAAACAGCATACTACTGGTACAAAAACAGACACATGGACCATTAGAACAGCACCTATTCAATAAATGGCGCTGGGATAACTGGCTAGCCATATGCAGAATACTGAAACTGAACCACTTCCTTACACCATATCCAAAAATTAACTCAAGATGTATTAAAGACTTAAATGTAAAACTATAAAAACCCTGGAAGATAACCTAGGATATATCATTCTGCACATAGGCCCTGGCAAAGATTTCATGATAAAGATGCCAAAAGCAATTGCAACACAAACAAAAATTGACAAATAGGACCTAATTAAACTAAAGAGCTTCTGCACAGCAAAAGAAATTATCAACAAAGCAAATGGACAACATATAGAATGGGAAAAAAATACTTGCAAACTCTGCATCTAACAAAGGTCTAATATCCAGAATCTGTGAAGAACTTAAATTAACAAGCAAAAAATAAACAGCCTCATTAAAAAGTAAGCGAAGGACATGAACACTTTTCAAAAGAAGACATACCCATGGCCAAGAAGCATATGAAAAATTGCTCACTATCATTAATTATTAGAGAAATGCATATCAAAACTTCAATGAGATACCATCCCATATCAGTCAGAATTGCTATTATTAAAAAGTCAAAAAGTAACAGATGCTGGTAAGGTTTCAAAGAAAAGGGAACACTTGTATACTGCTGGTGGGAATGTAAATTAGTTCAGCCATTGTAGAAAGCAGTGTGGCAATTTCTCAAAGAACTTAAAACAGAATTACCATTTGACCCAGCAATCTCATTATAGGGTATATACCCAAAGGGATACAAATTGTTCTACCATAAAGATACATGCACTGATATGTTTATTGCAGCAACTATTCACAATAGAAAAGACATGGACTCAACCTAAATGCCCATGAATGGTAGTACACTGCATAAAGAAAATGTGGTACATATTTGTATATATACCACATATATAAATGTGGTATATATATACACGTGTAAATGGAATACTACACAGCCATAAAAAAGAACAAGATCATGTCCTTTGCAGCAATATGGATGGATCTGGAGGCCATTATTCTAAGCAAACTGAAGCAGGAACAGAAAACAAAATACTGCATATTCTCACTTATAAGTGAGAGCTAAACGCTGAGTACGTATGGACACATAGAAAGGACAACAGACACTGGGCCCTACTTGTGGCTGGAGGGTGGGAGGAGGGTGAGGATCAAAAAACTACCTATCAGATACTAAGTTTATTACCTGGGTGACAAAATAATCTGTCCACCAAACCCCTGTGACACAAAATTTATCTATATAACAAACCTGCACGTTACTCCTGAACCCAAAATAAAAGTTTTTTAAAAACCATGCTGGTGTCTGTGTATGTGCAAATATATGGGCAAATTGCAAATAATTCATGTTTTCGCTTTAAAAAGTAATACATGAAGTTGGTATAGACTCTTAGTTATTTGTATAAAATATAGGAAATAATTCAAAGAAACAAAACTTTATTTAAAACTTTTAAAAATAAACAAATATGAATAGAAACTCACAACATATATATGCATATGCATAGGAATATAAATATAATCTACTTCCCAGCAATTCCACTTTGAATCTACCCCCATAGAAAGAAAACACCAGGATGTAGAGAATGTTTATTGTTAATTGCCTTTAGTGACAAAAACTGGAAACAAAGTTAATTTTCATGAATAGAGAATTGAATGTATAAATTACGGTGTATCCATAACATAGAAATAATATTTAACCACTGAAAAATGAGTTAAATCTATACCTGTTGACTCTGAAACAGCTGGGCAAAGTTTAGAGTGGGAAAAACAAAATACAGACAACAATGAAAGTCCTATATTTGCATTTACATGTGTGAATATTATGTATGTTTGTATTTCCATCTAGATAGTATCAAAGAGTCTGGACAAATAAGGAAGGATTTATACTACATTGTTAACAGCGTTTACTTTAAGATGTGTGATCCTGTGTTGAGTGTCAAGGAAGATGTTCAGTGAAAAGAGGAACGAAGGGGGAAAAAGGATAAGAAAACAAGAATATCAGCTCTTGGAGGGAAATAGCATGTATAGAATTTTATCTATATATTTGTGCAAAGCTGTAGGGGGAAAATTCATTACTTTATAGATGGGTGATGCTAGATAAAGTGTCTCCTCATATCATAGGTATGAACCAAAAACAACTTCTGCTACTGTATAGCTGAGGCTTTTTTTTTTCCTCAATGGTGAACCCATCATGAATATGCTTTTTCTTTTTAAGAAGAGAAACTAGCTTTAGCAAGTCATAAGGATTCCTAAGATATGGCTACCAGCCATGAAAATCCCGGAGTAGAAAGAAAAACAACCCCAAGTCAGACTCATCAACACATCAGAGTTGAAGGCCAGGGTAAGGAACGTAGGTGTCCCAGTGCCTGGCACCAGTTCCACCATTTGAGGTGGCTTTGGACTGGCATACAAAGCCTCAAAGTTAGCCGAGGGCTAGGCAGGATGGAGGCAGGGAGAGAAGGCGGGCTGACCTGCGCTCCAGTCCCTATGCAAACCTGGAAGGTGAGCAGGGAGAAGAACCCCTGATGCCACCCAGGGCCCCGCTCTGACCTGCAGGCTCATAGGTGGGCAGTCATTATGGGACTTTAAGCAGAGTGACAAGGTTTGATTTATAAAACTTCAGCCTGAAATATTCGCCTTTTTTCCACCCTCAACCTCTTCCCATCCTAACTCATTCTTCAGGCTTCTTCATGGATGAGATTTTCTTCCATCTGTACGGATACCCCTCATTGTTTAGGTTAGGTGGCCTCCCTCTTCTCTCCTCACTCAGGGCTTAGTACCTTTGGTCATCATAATACCGCCCATTTTGTATGGTTCATTGCTTCTTGTTTGTCTTCCTCCATACTGTAAGTGCTTGTTCACCCCCCAGCCCCAGTGCCCAGCACAGTACCTGCTTCAAAATATCAACTTGCTGTACTAATGGAGGATAAATGGATTAATGTTTACTTTTTAGCTATTTCATATTTATTTTATATTTAGCTCTTATTACATATTTAGATTTTATTCGATTAGCTTTCTTTTTCTCCCTTAACCACTGAATAAAGTTCCTTTTGAAAACGTCAGCCTGGCTCTAATGGACAGGGAGAAAAAAGAAAAGATAACTTTAAACAGCTTGGAAGGAAAATTAAAGATAGAGAAGTTTCCCCTCCCCCCTCCCCCACCCTCCGCATCCCCTTCCCTCTCCCTTTTCCTCCCTCTCTCTGTCAGCTCTTTGAGATGGTGGAAGCCTCAAGCAGAGATCCAAGGTGGAGGAGGCATTCCCTTCCACAAAGAAGACCTCTTGTGCAGCCGCTCTAAATAAAGGGACGCTGTTCTCTTGAAAGCATCTCTAGAGTTTTCTATGCAGTGTGTTTACGGGTGCCTAGGAGAACCTGGCAAAGCAATGTGCGGTTCCTATATACGCTAAAATCCCAGGCTCCGAAAAAATACAGAGTGAAACAGCAGATTCTCCTCCCCGGCGTGGGATCCAATTTTTGCCCGGCATAAGTGTATAGTAAATTTCCCAGCCTTAAAGCACTTCCCGAGAGATGCTTTGAGCGCTCGCGGTACCAGTGCGTAAACGCCGCTCCCCGGCTGGCGCGGGTGTGCGCCAACTCCAACCTGCGCGCAAGTCTGCCGGTGCGCGCTCCAGTCCCACAGCTCCGAGTCCCCGCAGTGAAAGGAGGGGGCGGTGCACCGGGGTAGATGGGCCCCTGAGGACTCCCGGGGTTCAGTTTTCCGCGGAACTCTGCCTGCAGCAGTCTGGCGGGAACGTGCTGCGGAGCTCATCCCATCTTGGCTTCTCCAAAAGGGTTTATACGGACTGGCGAGTCTTTGCCCTGCCTCCTCCAAGTGTCTGGCACCAGTTCTACCGTTTGAAATGGTCTTGGACTGGGATACGAGGCCTCAAAGTCAGAAGACGGCAGGGCAGGATGGAGGCGGGCAGAGAAGGCTGGCTGACCTGTCCTCCAGCCCCTATGCAAACCTGGAAGGGGAACAGGGAGAAGGACCACCGATGCCACCCCGAGCCCGGCTCTGGCCTGCAGGCTTGGCAGGCGCGGAGGCGGAGGCTGCCAGGTCCCCGGGAGGCAAACGCAGCGCCGCAGTGATTGCTGGCGGAGAGCCCAGAGCCGCGCGTCTGAGCGACAAGCTGCCTATGAGTGTGGCTCCTGCGCTCACCAAGATTCGCAGGGAGCTCAGCCCTGTCCCCAGTGATTGAGCAGAGGCTCATCCAGAGGGGTCAGGTGGAGGGCTCAAATGGAGCTTCTCCTGGAACGAGGGGCCAAGTCACCAGGGTGGCTGAGGAAAGTGTCCTCAAAGCTTAGAGACTGTCACTTCCCAGGTGAATCAGCTAGCCAGGTAACTGAGCTAGATATTTTGTGGGGGTGTTTCCTAAACACAGCCTCAGGAAAGTTGTTTTCGGGACACCTGGACCAGGGAGTCGTCGCCTCTGGCTTCTCGGTAGCTGGAGCGCGGCCCGGAGCGCGGCGCTGGCACATCGCCCCCACACATGACCGTTTCCCATTGCCACAGGCAAGCCGCCTCTGCAGAGCTGTCTCAGGGCTCTGGGCTTCATTCCCTGGAAGTTGATTGTCCTCCACTCCAGCTGTTTCCCAAATCCTTCCTTCCTCCCAGCACCCCTCGTGCAACGACGATTCCAGCTGCGGACCGCATCTGTGTCAGTTACTTCCAAGCCACCTACTGCCCCCTCGCGGAGTGCGTGGGGCTCCCGGCTCGCAGACTCCCACGGCAAGTAGCAAGCAGCAAAAGGCGTGGTAGCTGCGGCGGTGGAATGAGACAGTTGTCAACAGCTGGCGCAGCTGCCGCGCTGCGCACCGGGACTGGCGAGTACGCAGCCCAGGTACTGCCCCTTCCCAGTGACGTCTCTGCAGGGGGTTATAAAAGCCTCGTGCGCAGCTAACTCGCGAGCTGAGCAACCCGAACCGAGAGGTGCCCGCGAAACTGCAGGCGGCGGCAGCGGCAGCAAAAGAGAAGGAAAAATCTCCAGCTGGATACGAAGCTCCAGAATCCTGGCCATAGGCTCAGAACTTTTACAGGTCGCGCTGCAATGGGCCCCCACTTCGCTCCTAAGTCCTCACGCAGCACAGGGCTTTGCCTTTCCCTGCGGAGGAAGGAGAAATAGGAGTTGCAGGCAGCAGCAGGTGCATAAATGCGGGGGATCTCTTGCTTCCTAGAACTGTGACCGGTGGAATTTCTTTCCCTTTTTCAGTTTACCGCAAGAGAGATGCTGTCTCCAGACTTCTGAACTCAAACGTCTCCTGAAGCTTGAAAGTGGAGGAATTCAGAGCCACCGCGGGCAGGCGGGCAGTGCATCCAGAAGCGTTTATATTCTGAGCGCCAGTTCAGCTTTCAAAAAGAGTGCTGCCCAGAAAAAGCCTTCCACCCTCCTGTCTGGCTTTAGAAGGACCCTGAGCCCCAGGCGCCAGCCACAGGACTCTGCTGCAGAGGGGGGTTGTGTACAGATAGTAGGGCTTTACCGCCTAGCTTCGAAATGGATAACGTCCTCCCGGTGGACTCAGACCTCTCCCCAAACATCTCCACTAACACCTCGGAACCCAATCAGTTCGTGCAACCAGCCTGGCAAATTGTCCTTTGGGCAGCTGCCTACACGGTCATTGTGGTGACCTCTGTGGTGGGCAACGTGGTAGTGATGTGGATCATCTTAGCCCACAAAAGAATGAGGACAGTGACGAACTATTTTCTGGTGAACCTGGCCTTCGCGGAGGCCTCCATGGCTGCATTCAATACAGTGGTGAACTTCACCTATGCTGTCCACAACGAATGGTACTACGGCCTGTTCTACTGCAAGTTCCACAACTTCTTTCCCATCGCCGCTGTCTTCGCCAGTATCTACTCCATGACGGCTGTGGCCTTTGATAGGTGAGATTAGCCTTTGTGAAAAGGCGAGAAAGTGCTCATAGAGGACCACGGCATTGCTGTGAGGTTTGGAACTGGGTGGGGTATGGGTCAAGTGGAAGATTGGCCACTCTGAGGGTTTTTTTACTGATCAACTGAGTCATTTGTTGATGGGGAACTTCATCTTATGTATTTCAACTTTTTTTCCTCTTTTTTACCCATCACTCTCTCTCTTCCTTTCAACACACATCCCCCTTTTCTTCATTTAACTCCCCTTTCTTCATCTCTTCTCCACTCATCTTCCTGACACTTTCAACTTCTGCTTTGCTCCTTTCCATATATTCCTTCTCCCCTTTACCCTTGCAGGCTGCAAACAATACCTAGGGTTTGGTCAAAGGACTAGACCCTGGAAGGGGCTTTGTAAATTCCTCCAGGCCTGTTTTTCTGTCAGACAGCCTCTTGTTGCCTTCCTGTTTTAAGTACACCTAGAGGATTCTGGGACTTTCTGCTCCCACTGCAACTCTCCAGTTTGTTGTTGTAGTTGTTGTTGTTGTTTGGTTGGTTGGTTCGTTGGTTTGTGTTTGTTTGTTTGTTTGTTTTGGATGTGAAAGAGCATTTCATCAGTATCATAAGATACTCAGAATTCTAATGCAGTTTACTCTGTAATGCTAGGAATTCTCATTCAGGAATGAGAGACAGTTATGCTATCCTTAAGAAACTCCACGGATAGGGATCCAGGAAGCTTACCCAAGAGGTGTTCTAAATTTCTCCTGCAATGTAAAATGTATGTATTTAGCCTGTCTCTATCCACAGAGAAACATGCTTGGCAAAGGCATTTGAGAGCTCTTCTGTTCCGGCAACCAACAGGTTAGGGTTCCCAAAGCTGACTGAAAGTGAAAAGGTTGGCATTTCAAACACTGGGGATGGTATTCTGGAATGAATGGCTCTTCAGGTAGCATGATGGAAAATTGATTATTGGAGCACAGCTCTGTTGGTATTGTCTCCTTTGTGAGTATCTTAGGTCTCCAATGTGTATGTCTATGTGTGCACAGGTGTTAAATGTTTACCTGGGATGTGAAAGTATGCTTAAAACACCTACCACTGTGATTTTAAAATGGAGTCTTTTGATGTCCTTCCTGAGATAACTGAATGTGAGAAACCCAAAGAAGGAGCTAGGAGAAAACTTCAAAAAAAATTCCAAACTACTAACCCTCTTTGCATAAAGATTGTTTATAACTTGCAAATTATTAGAAGTCTTTTTTAGCTCCTGTAGTCAATGAACACTTTTAAAATCAGGGAAATCTTCATTTCCATCCTTTGCAGTGGTGTCCAAATACTGATTTGTTAGTTCCCTGTACATCTCTCTATATGCAGCTCCTATGTGCTTACTATGTTTTATGTAAAACAAATTGTGGAAAATCAGTTTGTATTTTAAATGTAGATGGTAAACCAATTACTCAAAGTGGGAGTGAAATGAATTATTTTGCAAATTTATCTTTTGTACTACACTGGTTTTCAGATATTCAGTTTGCTGAAAGTGAGGTACACCTGTAAATCTTTCTGCATTGACATGCTCCTTTAATCTCATAACAGCTTCCTTAAACTTAAAAAAGTCGATAGCATGATATATAAGTGAATATCAGGGTAGTGAAACCTGATGCCAGTTCAGCCTTACAAACACTCTCTTGATGCCCCCTAAATTAGAGGGCAAGTTTTTTGGGGGGTTTTGTTTGTTTGTTTGCTTTTTCTGCACTGGGGCTTTGCACAAGCTCTAGGAAGACCTGTCAGTCAGTGTGAGCTGGAGCATTCAGTAGCTGATGGAGCACCAGCAGACAGCTCTCTCTTTTGGCTTACACAGAAACATGTTCTGCAGCCCTGATCTTTCCTCTGGAACTTAGAAGGTTAGGGGTGGGGATGAGAGTCAGAGTCCGCACAGTGGATTGGGCAGGGAGCCAGATTTCAGCTCCGTTGTTGTTTTTCTCTAGGTAAACCACCGCAGAGCCCCGACCCTCTGTGATACCTGCTCAGTGAGACCAAAAGGTCTCGGATGCCAGAGCTTTAGGAAATGACAGCGACAGGGAATGTCACCATGTTTCCAACATGCAGATACAGCCCAGGGAGGTTACCAATGGCATTCCTAAGATTAGAGTTCAAGGTAGAATTAGGGATGAGACTTCAGGTCTCTGTCTCCATGTCTGCCAAGTGCTCCTTCTATTTTTTCTTGCTCAGCCTGGTGAGCACACTATAAACTCACCCCCTCAGGCCTTCCAATGAATATATTTCCTGCATGTGTGGTCATCCATTCTCTCCCAAGAATGTATTGGAAAGAAAGGGGGCTTTAAGTCCTCTCCCTGTAAGTTATCTCCCTTTTCTCCAGCATGGAAATGCAGACTTAGAGGAAATATTAAATCAGCTGTTTGTATATTCCTTGAATTTTTAACAGACAACCTTTGAATCAAGTCTTTAAAAATAACAGCAATGTGGCTTTCCTGATTGTAAAATTAAACCTGTTCACTGCAGAAGACTTGGGAAATATGAAGAGCACAAAAATCCAATCCCCCTTACCTAACCGACAAGAAGCAACACCTGCTAACCTTTGAATTTCTCTTTTATGACTATTATACTACATAATTGAGGTTAGATTCTATATAATTTTGTAGCCTATATTTTTCCATTGGTATTAATGAAAGACTTTAATAACACCTTCCTGTGTTATTCAAAAGTTTTCAGAAACATAATCTTAATGGCTTCATACTATTCTATTATGTGAATATGCTATTATTATTTACGTAGTCATTTCTCTACTGTTGTGTATTTAGGTGATTTCTAGATTTTTGCTATTATAATTAATAATCTAAGGAATATTTATATATGATAATTTTGTTTTGCCTTCTTGATTATTTTCTTAAGATAGATCCCAATAAGTAGAATTACTACATCAAATAAAATGAATTTTTAAAAAGCTATATCTTCTCATTTTAAAGGATTTTTAAAGGAATTGTTGAGTCAAACTATCTTGGTAAACTTTGTCAAATTTCCTATTAGAATCAAGATATATGCGGAGAAAAACTTCAGTTGCAGATTGCAGTACTAATTTAAATGTTTCCTGTAGTCTTTCTACAGGAAAGGTGGGGTGGGGTCAGGGAAGGAAAAAAAGGGATGGGGGGAAAGGAAGGGAAGGTAGGAGAAGGAGGGAAGAGGGAAGAAAAGTGGGAGGTGGGAAGGGGATAGGAGAGGAGGGGAGGGAAGAAATATCTCCATTAGAAAGAGTTTTATTTTTTGAAGGCAGCAGTTACCTAGAATTTAAAAATGTTTCAGAGACAAATGTAGCTAAATAAGATCAGGTTTACCTCTATCTAAACTCCAACAAATACCAGGGATTTTAGCTATTGAAACTCTATAATTTCTCTGACTTAGAATTTAAAAATTCTTTACAACTATAAAACTAAAAGGTATGTATGATGTTTCATGAAATTTGAAGATGGGGGACACAGAGAGGTGATGACTCCCCCCTCAACAGCCCCGTTCCCCTAACCCCCATTTTCAGGAGTTGGTGACAATTACTGGTTCTATTATGATGCTCTGGCAAGTACTGTGGAGCAGAACCTAAGAAGGGAGTAGAGGAAGGGAGGCAATCTCCAAGCCCTGCAGGGAGCTGGGGAATGGGCAACAGATAACCTGATTTGAAACCATGCACATAGCAACAGGAGCAACAGCGAGGTCCAGACAAGCACTGGCCTGGTATCACTGTTTCTCTACCTGGTAGGGGCAAGCATAATTTCAGCAAAATGAAAGGTAGCAGTTGCTCACTCAGACTCCAAATAAAATGGTCTCTCTGAGACCAAAAAATATAGTTGCCCAGAGAGAGTAATGGTTGAAGGCAAAAGAGGAATTGAGCTCTCTGAGAGAGCTGATAATGTAAAAGAGGAACCTAGAACAAAAACATGAATAAATCACAAAAACTTTGTCCACTGAACTCGTGTCTACACACTCTGTCCCAGCCATACTCAGCTACCAATTTAAATATCCTGCTTTCCAGGTCTCTATTAGACCTGCACTCTATCCTTGAACTTTACCTTGTTGGTTGAACTGCAATCTCATTGTTTATCTCAGAGCAGTCTTCCCTCACCCCACCTGGAGGGGGAATTAAATTCCAGGATCCTTTGCACTAATTCGGATGGCCCTGGAAACCCATTACCATGCACTGCTGTGATGCTGTGAATGGCCATTCACTAGAAGCTCATTGGCCACAACTGGCCCTGTCTTTTCCAATGTCAGCATTGATGTGGATCAAAATGGAGTTTGTTAATTCTCAGATGGGTCATTTAGATTTCAGGGCCTTTCTTCAAGAGGTCCAATGCCCACCTCCTCTCTGGAGCTGCTCCGTTACACTTGCCACACTCTCTCCCTACTCCTGGGAGCCTGCAGTGTCCTGAATGGTCAAGGGTGTTACTTTTTTAAAAAACTGGAAGAAATCATAGTTTGAATTGGAGGCAAATAAAGAATAATTCTCAAAATAAAAGCACATAGCACAAGCACAAGACACTGTTACTATTATTGTTGCTGAATTAGAGTGAGGATCATGAGACAGAAACACCATCAAACTTAGATAAAGATATTCAGTCTATCAAGTGTTGATGCCATCAAGGTAAGGTGAGGTTTCCTAACTCACAGCCTTGTTTATTCCCTCAAAGGGCTATATATGAAGGCAAATAAGACTGATTTAGAGGTAACTAAAATATAAGGTATTAAGTAAAATGTTTCATATGGGTTGTACAGATATATTCCATAGGAGACAAGAGGAGGGACATCCTGCCCAGCAGTGATGAATGATCAAGGAAGACCTCAAGATAGGGCAACTGAGTTAGGCCTTGAAGATTAGATAAGATTTTTAGAGAAGTTGATTAAAAAAAAAAGAAATGACCTTTCAGGTAGAAGAAGCTGTATGACAGAAGCATGGAAGTCAAATGTTGCAAAGTGCCTCAGGTCAATGACAGACTGATTCAACCGAAGTGAATTCACAGGTGAATCAGGGAATGAATTGAGGAGTTGCCCAGAAAAATATGAGAATACTCTATGTTGAATTTGACATGAAAATATAACGATTAGTTGGAATGCCCGACAAGAAACTTGAGAAGTGAGGCTAGAGAATGACAAGCCAGGGATCAAAGAGACAATATCAGCAGAGAATGGTAAGAGGAAATAAAATTAGATGGCAGTGAAGGGAATGATCTCTTTCCTCATCCATCCGTCCATCAAACCACTATTGAGCACTTACTGTGTGCCATATTCTGAGGCAGTAAGACATTGCCTTTGCCATTGTGTCTCAGTCTTTGGAGATTAACAAGGTCACGAACAGCATATAACCCAATGCAATCAATGCCATGCAGAGGGAGCAGAGTTAGAGCAAAGAACTCCCTTGGGAATATGGGAAAGACTTCCTGGTAAAAGGAGAAGAAGAAGGAGAGGGAGGGCAGTAGGGGAGAGAGGATGGAGGGGAGAGAAAAGAGAAGGAGGAGACAGAATGAAAGAGAATGAAGAGAAAGAAGAGGAGGAAACGACAAAGAGGAAGAGAGGCAGCAAGGCACAGGGAAATGAATGTGGAGTTTTGTGTTTTAATTAACTTCAAGAACACTGGATTGGGAATACTCATAATAATTTATTAATATCCATCATTTGGAAACTAGAAAGGAAGTTTTATGTTAATAAAATTGATAATGATATCTTTTATTTATGTTCCCTCCAGTCCATTGTCTCATTTAATCTTCATCATGCCAATGAGGATTCTGTTTCAACCTGGAAGAGCGATTAGAAACAATTTCTTTTAGCATTGTCCTCCCACTCTCCACCCCCTCACAGCTTGAAGACCCATGCAATTTGCTTTTATGTGCCTTAGACATCTGCCTACATGCTCCTGCACTTGGTGGCTTTTGGATGATACCTCATTTAAGGAAAACTGTCATTGGAGGCAGAAAAGCAATGTAAGAGTCCTATCACACAAGAGAAAATACTAGAGGCCTTTTTGACAATTTTCCACCCAAATAAAAGTTCAACCCCTCAACTTTCCAAACAGGGCCATTGTAAGAGTACCAAACTCTGCTTAAATATTCTACTCTATTTTTCCCATTTGTTAAATTCAATAAATTATTAAATCATCACAGAATTCTTCCTTTTCTTGAAATGAAATTTGCCTCTTTGGTTTTGGACTATTCCTACTTGTCTCAGGCCTCTTCCACGTAGCAGGCTTTCCAGTAAGTATAAGGATAAGGTATTAAGCTTCTATTTATCTTGAAGCATCCCCAGCTCTGGTTAACTGTCCCTGGTTCCTCCAACTTTACATCATCATCATTAGTCTCTACTGGTTATTTCCATTTGTTAATGGCCCTCTTAAAAGGAGATGACCAGAACAGAGTTACCTTACTACCATCACTCTGTCTAGCATCACCTAGACACCTAGGACTGGCATCCTCCCTAGTGACCTTGCTGTCCTCTTTGACTTAGCTCAGTGCTTATACTAAGATGCTGTCCTAGACCTGCAAGTCTAGCTGAGGGGTCCTTATATTTCCACAGCATTTATCCCGTGGTGTTGCAACTGTCTGTACCTTGTCTATCTCTCCCACACCTCCCTGCTTACTAGATTGCAAGCTCCATGAAAACAGGGATCCCTTATTTTGTTTCCTGTTCCCAGAACCTATCCAAGTGCCTGGCACAGAGTAGGTACTCATTAAAATGTGTGCGTCATGAGCAAACTGACCATGCTTCTCTTCTGCACACATCAGCCAAAATCTAAAAACCAGACCCGATGCCTCAAGCAGACCGTATAGCACACTTACGATGCTGTGCCTTGATGCAAAAGAAAAACTGGGCCAAATTTCTCCCTACCATAAAGGTTTGTTACAAAATAGAATGCTTTTGATTCAGAACCCCCGTTCTAGAATAACCATGGTTTCTAACTCACACTTACTTCTTCCACACTCCAGTTGACTGAGCCCCACAGGATACCTGACCCACACCTTGCCACCCTCAACAGGTATTGTGCCCCAGGAAAAGACTTCCGATTGGAGGAGGTGCTTATCATTACCATCTTACCTCCCGTCTACCCAAGCATACCAGAAACTCAGAGAGATGAAAATGATAAGCACCTCCTCCATCTTATGGACCCTTCTCTGGCCTAACTGCTGTCAACCCCCTGGATTTTTCTCTAACACCCCCCACTAGCAGCAGGTGCACTCTCTCCTTTACTTGTCCTTGCTGAGGTGAAACCAGGAGAAACCTACTCTCCACCCAGCCCTCCAACTCCTGCATTGTTCACACCATATAAAAATACGATAGACACAGGAAAATTCCAGCATGAAGTGGTGCATGTGAAGTCCCACGTATGTGAGACTGACTGGGGAACTGGCTTACATTGCACCAAACTTCTCTCTTGCCACCTTGAGAGACTTCAATTCCACCTCAGTGGAAGGGGAAATATGAAGCTCTCTGGATGAGGAGCACCAAAGATGAAGAGGTGCTTTATGATGACCTGGAGACATACGAATCAGCATGAGTTTTAATGCTACATATGAACTGCTCAAGGAAATTAATTTGTCTAAGCAGCCCTGGGCCTAATCCCCTGCCCTTCTCTTGTATAGTTCTTAATCTACTTTCCAATTCAGCTTTATCACTATGTTTAATATTTGGGATTCCCTGTTGAGTGCCTTTCATGTCTTTTGTATGAGCGCACCCTTTAATAAACTTACTCCTAGCCTTTGGCAGTAGAATGGTTAGGAAAGAGCCCAGGCGATGGGTTCCAGTGCTGGTTCTACCACTTAGTAGCTATGTGTACATATGCAAGGTATTTAACCTATCTGGGCCCCCAGTTTCCTCAACTGATAAAATGGTTATAATGAAACTTACCTTGTAGAAGGTAAGAAGAGAGGGAAAGATTTGAAAAGTCTGACATCCACTAAATACCACTAAAATACCAATTAATAGTAATTAATATTATGCCCTCTAGTAAACTCTGACACACAATCATATCCATTATACGTGTCCATTCTTGTCTCAGCCTCCTCCTGGATTCCTTCTACATCAAGTACAATAGCTACAGGGTAAAACATTTATGTTCTTCCCCCTAAAGATGGTAGTTTAAAACTGTCCTGACTGGGTCAGCAAATCTCTTGCTAAATGCTTTTCAACATTCTTTCCATCTTTGGAAATGTACACACAGTCTACCAGTAGTCCATCATTTGGATATTGTATATCATGGTCCAGAAAACCCAAATGTTTTCTTTTACACCATCCCCTAAGCATTCATTTCCAATCCTTTATGTCACAAAGTCACCACCCTTATATGGAGTGAGCATCATTGTTTAATATCTGAATGAGAATGTGTTCATTGCAAAAAGCTCTTATAGCTGCGTGAGTTTTAATTGATATTCAATTTGTTGAAGTTACAGTGTTTTTTAGCCTTTGAACATATTTTATAAATCATGGAAGTTTTCTTATATATCTAGTTTGTGTGCATTAAAGTATGAAACATTCATTTGCCTTTGTTCTTTGACTAAAGCTCAATAAATCTTTAAACATGAGATAGAATACTTCCAACTAAGTATTTGAATACCATTTTCAAACTTAATCAAATCAATCTTACATATTTTTATTAGTCACAATTTTTATAAGCTTAACAAATCAAATAATCTTTCAAAATGTAAACAGTATTTATAAACTTGATTAATTAAATTCCTCTAAGCATTTCAAACTATACTCACAAATTTGATACATCTGGCTTTGTTAAAATCTTCAAATCCCTAACAGGAAGACTTACAAATAGAAGAAACAAAATCTTTCTCAGGACTTACTTAGTTCTTGTAAGACTAATAAATCAAAACTTCTAAATTTAGCACACAAATTCTCTTAAAGCATTTCAACCTGCTGAGAATTAAACTGATAAATTCAGGTTCTCCTGAGCATCCAAACATTGACTACAAAATTAATTCATTAAATCCTCCTAGGTGTTACACTTAAAATTGCAAATCTTGTAAGTCAAATTCTCTAATATATCAGATTCTCATTTCCAACATCTTAAAAGCAAATCACATACAAAGCAATGTATATTGATCACAAAACTCACTACTACACATGCACTACTTACATAGAAGTACCATTTCTTTATTGCCTACTTACTTTTTAAAAATGCCTTCTTAGAGTTACAAAGTCATACAAACAAAAGTGGCAGAATCATCTTCTCTGTAAGAGGCAGCTGAGGTTCTGGAATCAGGGGTTGAGTTGGAGACCCAAATCTGGCTATGCCTCACAGGGGTCTTGCCCAGAGCTGCATCTCGATACCTGAGCCCCTCTCACAGTGGAGTTCTGCCTACCTGGTGCCTACAGAGTCCACTCATGCTTTTTCCACTGAAATCGAGTTTTGTAGTTCCAGTGTAAATCCTTGACTGATTTGCATAGACGGAATCATGCACAGCCTCACCCCACCCCTAGTTTGCATCCTTTATCTACCTGATTAACGTTAACTACATTCTACATTTTACCTTTTTATTGACATGAAAAAAATGACCAAAAAGAAAAAAGAATCACCACAAGACCTGGTCCTAAAGTTGCCTTTTTGAGATTCTGAGGTCATGAAAAATATGTGCCAGATTTTTTCTGGATGTATCCTATTTACCCACATAAATCATCAAAAATATTGTAGTATGTGTTGGGTTTAACAAAGCCAGGCTCTTAGTATGGTTCCAACCTGTACTCTTATAAAGAAGGTCTACAGAGCAGCTTTCTTTCCTCTTGGCATGAGGTCATCAGTGGCAGGGACCTTCTTCCTGGAGCCTGAAAACCACCTAGTACCCTTGAATCCTCCAACTGGATGATTAGAGATTCCTTCTTTAAATTAACTGGGTTTCCCCTTGAGGCCAGAGCCTTATGGCTTTTTCATAGCTCTAGGAGTGCTGGGTTTCTTCACCTTCACTTCCACTTTATTGCCATTATTTCAGATAATAAAAAATAATCTGTAATGATACTCTGCCTTTACAGCTCAGCCCAGTGCCCTAAGCCACAGATGGACTGATGAGCAGCCACCTTCACAAATCACACAGCTGCCTGAGCTCATGAGGGGAGAGTGCTGAGCAGTCATGCTAGCAACACCTCTGTTCTCTCTATCATAGAATATAATTGAGACACTAATTTTTAAAAACCTCATGTGCACATTGAGTGGCACGTGAGGAGATTAGGAGCATAAGCTTAAATACCCACTTTGTATGATTTATTAATTTTATTTTACTGTAGAGAAACATCCACTTGAATAGTGAATATGTGTTCATAAAAGAATTTGTCTGACTCTGAAAATGTTTAAACAAAAGAAAACCCTACAAACAACTGAGATACTCTTCTAAATAGTCCCAGGGAGCCAAGGGGAAATTTCAAATGCCTTTAGAATTCGTGATGGGAACCAAAATGAATGCAGCCCTGAGCTTGAAATACGAGTTAGCTCAACAACTTAGCTGGGCTCTTCAAACATGAGCTAGGAAGATAAAAGAGAAAACTTCATTGGAATTTTCATGATTTAACAAATTTCATTTTTAAAATTTGTTCCTGAAGTTCTTTTCTCTTCCCAGCTGGAATGATGAGGGGTCTGGAAGTTAATGTGTTAAAGATTCAGCTAGATTACCTGCCAAATCAAAGCCATCATAGGTTTTCAATGATCCAATTAGGACACTGTGATCCTAAGACTTTAGGCAGAATGCAAAGAAGGCGCAGATACTATTTCCCTCGTTTTTGTTGGTTTCCCTCCAATAATGTTATAACCAGCTACAGTCTGCATTGAGGCACTCCCCAATCCTGCTTCACAAATGCATGAACCCAAATTACTGCTCCATTCCCTTCACAGCCAATCCAATTTAGTAAGTTGAGTTGAACCAAGAGAAGAGCAGCTAATTAAAATCACACTACGGTACAAACAATATGGACGTCTTTCTACCTCCAAGGTCCCATTTGTATCTTAAAATGGGAATGTGTTCATTCTAGTTACCTACTCCTTGAACAGGAAAGATTGTAGAGAATTAAAACAAACTTAGACCTCGGAACTGTGCCAATGTGGAATGTAAGAGGTGCCGGAGTTTAGGTAATACAGAAGTATCCAGAGTTTGGCTTTCAAAAAATAGTCCCAGGTATACCACCAAGGGGTCTGCTGGAGGATACTGTGGTGGGGATCTGTCACCAGGAGCTGTCAAACTGCTGTTGAAAGATCTTTTCCTGTCACAGGCAGAATTATCTCTGCCCTGAGGTGCTACTGCACTCTGCATTTGTTTGCGTATTTGCTTCTGTCTTCTTCAGACTTCTTATAAGTCACTAATTGTTTTGATAAATATGTAATATCTTTACAACCTGGAAGGATGTTAAGAAGGGACTGTGGAATATATTCTCAGCCAGTCCAGTGGGTTGGGGTTAAGGGCAGCAGGGCAGTGCTGCTGAGATGGCCAAAGCAGATTCTTCACCTCTCCTGCATCTTCATCAGTGAATTTGTGCTGTTTACAAATCCTGGGGCGAGGGCCAGTTTTCCAAGAGCTGGGCTTTCTGCCAGGGTCTGTCTGGACCCACATGTCATCTGGAAGTTTTCATCCTTTTTTCTTTGTCTGCATCTTTCCTTTCTTTTTTTCTCTGTACACCTGGATAAAAATTCCTTGCTTCATCTCCTCCCAATACTTCCTCAGCATTTTGAAAATAGCACAGCTTCAATAAATGTCAATGACTGAAAAATGGAGATGAAACAGATGAAAACAAAAACTGCTGTATATAAAACAGTTGATGAGTACAGCAATAGAAAAAAATGCAAATTACTAACATTCTGATTAAGCAGATGAGTCTGGAAGGATCCTGAAAGGATTCTTGAGGCTGTTCATTTAGGTAAGAACTTAAGCCACCTTTTTTTTTTTTAAGAAAAATAACTTACTATTGAATATTACCTGCACAACTCCAATGTTTTTCTGATCACATTTTAGTTTAAATTTAGTTTAATATAGTTAAATTATAAATAAATCGTAAAATATTACACACTTATTAAAGAGAATTAGCAACTTACAAAAAAATAGTTTGAAGAAAAATAAATGTAAAATCAACGCTCATCTCACTGCCTAAGCACCACTATTGTCAATTCTTAGGAATTATTTCATGCCAAGACTTTCTTTCTTTTTTTTTTTTTTTTTTTTTGAGACAGAGTCTTGCTGTGTTGCCCAGGGTGGAGTAAAATGGCACGATCTCAGCTCACTGCAACTTCCGCCTCCCAGGTTCAAGCATTTCTCCTGCCTCAGCCTCCCGAGTAGCTGGGATTACAGGCGCGAGCCACCAAACCCAGCTAATTTTTGTATTTTTAGTAGAGACGGAGTTTCACCATGTTAGCCAGGATGATGTTGATCTCTTGACCTCGTGATCCGCCCGCCTCAGCCTCCCAAAGTGCTGGGATTACAGGCGTGAGCCACAGTGCCTGGCCCAAGACTTTCTTTCTATGCATAGAATCTTCATAATTATAGTCCTATAGCATATACAATTTTATTTTTCTTTTACATAATAAAGATATATTTTATGTAATAAACTTTATTCTATAAGATCATGCCAAGTGGTTACAAAGTATCGTAATTTAAATAATCCCTCATGCTTAAACCCTGGGGGGTGTTTTGAGATTTTGCTACAACATATAATTTGTCATCAATGTGTTTTAGCAAAACTAGCGCACATGGATGATTATTAGGATAAATTCTTAGAAGAAAAGTTGTTTGTTCAGAGTGTTAGCCATCTTAAGCCTTTTGCTTCATTCTGTTAAGCCACTCTTCAGAAAGCTTTAGTAATTTGCAGTGTGAAACAGAATATATAGATCCAACATATTGGAGTGTTCCTTTATCCATATTCCTAACAATTTTACAAAAATCTTTTCCAATTTAAAAGATTAAAATGTTAGTTATGTTTGCACTTCTTACTAGTGAGTATATTTTAATATATTTGTTATTCCTTTGTATTTGTGAATTAATAGAGCTTTAAATTTAAATCTTAATTTTTAAATTCCATATTGAATTGCAGAAACTGTAGGTTGAGGCTATATTAAAGGCTATAACCTTTTGATGGTCATGTGATATAAAAATTTTTTATATTTCAGGTTAAAATGTTCATTTCTTTTTCAGTGATTATTTTATATTATTTTATGTTGTTATATCTATCTGCCTTTTCTTTTGTGCTTTCTCTTTGTTATTATGCATAAAAAGACCTTCCTCAACTCAAAAGTAGGCAAATATGCATAAATAATTTCATTTACTGTACTTTTATAATTTAGTTGTTGTTTAATATTCCACTCCAATAATTTAATATAATTAGATTACCTCTTTTTTAAATGCCATATAAGTTTATCCTATTGTTCAAACACCATTTATTGATTGATCATTTCCCTACAGATTAGAAATATTACTTTTGTCCTACAATGAATTTTATTTATATTTAGGCTTTCTCTGATCTATCTACTTTGTTGACTATTTCTTTAATCGTATCAACATGCATATATGCTTCCTGATAAATTCTGGATTCATAATCTAAAACACCCTTATGGATAAGTCCTGTTGAAATTTTTACTGGAAATACAATAGATGCATTAAATTTAGAAATTAGCTTTGGAAAGAATTATTAGCATATCAAGTTTTTTTTCAGTGTATGAACATGATGCATAGTCTATGTAGTCGAGCTTTTAATATGATTTCTTTACAGTTTTTTACATTTTTCTTCTATAGATCCCACACATTTTTTAAAAAGTTTTATTATATATTGCATAATACATAATATAGAACCTAATATATATCATATTACCACATATGTTGTATATAAATTATATATATAAATTTAACTTTTTTGGTTGCTAATGAAAATACAATATTTCCCCTTGGTTTTTTTTCTAATGGATTATTATTGGTGTACTAGAAGGCTATTTATTTTTTAATAGTTATTTTGAAACCAGCTATCTTAATAAGTCCTGTAATTCAGTTGAAGTTCTAATGATTTTTCTGGTTTTTTTTCTCAGGTTTTCCTCAGATAATGGCATAGTCTATAAATCATCATCAGCTTTAATCTTACATCTAGTGTCTGTGTCCTTTACTTTTTTTATTAGATCTTTTAGAACAAGTTAATTAAAACTCATGATCATAAGCACCTTTTTTTTTAACCTGTGATGGTAATGTTTCTCTTAATATAATTGTTAAATATGTTGCCCATTGGCTTAAGACAGACATTTTAAAATTACATCATTTAATTTCTAGTTTACTAAGAGATTTAATCAAATCTAGATACTTAATTTGCCAATTGTGTTTTTGCCATCTATTAATACATTTTTTCATATTGCCTACTTTCCTAATCTTCAACTGTTCTAGAACTCCTAGAATAAACAATACCTGTTCTTGTGCTTTGTCCTTTTAGCACACTATTAGATTTACTTACTAACATTTCATTTACGTTTTTGCATCCTTGCTATAAAATACAACTTACATAAGCTTTAATTTTTTAATGCTGTCTTTTCAAGTTTAGGTTTAGGGCCATGAATAAGTGAAATAACTGTTTTCTAAAATTCTGTTGGCTGAAATAAGCGAACTTCAGTGAGAAGCTTTTCTTCCAACCAGTTTCCTAAATAATATAAATTCCTTATTTTTCTCTGTTTACTCATCATGCAGTAGCACAGGACTTTTGCTGAGCCTTTCAGGTGAAGCAAAAGAATAAAAGTAATAACACAATACGTTATTGACACAGAAAACTAATGGGAATGGAGTCTTCACAGTAGTTTGAGGATTTTACTCCCTCAGCTTAAGGGCTCTACCAGAAAATGATATAAACGCAGAGAAAGAAACCCAGCCGTGTACTCCTTCCTGGGGTGATCAAGGCAAAAGCCAGCTTCGGACAGAGCAGGGGAGGGACTACTGCAGCGGTTCTCAGTGAGCAGAACTTCGGTACTCCATCTTTTTCCTGCCGTAGTACACGGTTTCCCCAGGAGACACATCCTCATGGGCACAGATGTTGACAAAACCCAGGGAAACGTAACAGATAAGCACAGTATAGCAATGCAGACTTTTTCACTTGGCTGTGCATTTTGTAAGACATTTGACAAGACTGTGATTAATATAGCTGTTGATTTAAGGATCTCAATAATTAACCTTTTTAGAGAAAAAACATAGATAAACGCTGCAATTTTTAAAAATTAAACTTTTCTTTTAAAACACTAAGTTTCATTTTTTCGAGGCCCTCCCTTCCCATAAACTATACAGTAAGAAAAGCAAGTAGATACTATTGAAGAAGAAATAGAAATAAATCTTACTTTGTGCCTCTAATGTATTCTTATTGCATGTAAGTTATTGGCTTCTAACGTTATTTTTAATACAAGTCAAGTTTGGCACATTTTCTTTTTATCATGACTTTGCTTTATTGTTATCTTCTACTGACATTGAACACACTCATGCTTGTAAATGTAGATCTAAATATTTATAGAGCTCCTACATCATATATACCTGAGATTCAGGGATACAATGGCAAGAATCAAACATGATTTCTGCCCTTCAGGAGCTTACAGTCAATTGGGAGAAATAAGTATTAATAAGACATTAATCCAATGATTATTCACATCATTGTATAATTTTAAACTGTCTTAAGAGCTAGTAAAGAACATTAATGCTATGAGAGTACAGAAATACATCGCTTAACAATGGGGATACATTCTGAGAAATGCGTCATTGGGTGATTTTGTCATTGTGCAAACATCATGAACAATGTGTAAGAACTTACACAAATCTAGATGGTATAGCCTACGATACACTTGGGCTATATATAGAATACCCTGTTACTCCTTGACTACAAACCTGTACAGCATGTAATTGTACTAAATACTGTAGGCAATTTGGAACACAATGGTAAGTTTTTGTCTATCCAAACATACCAACCCATAGAAAAGGTAATGTGTTGTGCTACGACATCACTAGGCAATAACAATCTTTCAGCTCCATTATAAACTCATGGAAGCACCATCATATACTTAGTCTGTTATTGACTGAAACATTGTTTTGTGGCGCATGGCTGTATATGAAAATTCACACTGTCAGTATGGCTCAGGGCTGAGATCTAAAGGAAGAGCGGGAGTTCAGGGTGAGAGTGTCAGGGGTGGGTATTGTGGCAGATACTATAGATTGACCACATACAAGCCATTTACAGTTGCCTGCCCTTTGCAGTCCCCTACTAGTGATGCTGTCCACATCCCAGCCTTCCTTGCAGGGAGCACAGGCCATGAGAGAAATTTTGGGGCAATGGGGGTACAGGAGAAGTCCCTAGGTTGAGCGTCTCTTCCTGAATAAAAAGGCAACAGCCACAAGGAGAAATGCTTTTTCACTCTTAGCTTTCCCCTTTCTTGCTGTCTGAAACACAGGCGAGAGGCCTGGAGAAGAACACCAGGTTTCATCTATGAGAACAAGCCCTGTCTAATCCTTAGCCTAAGCTAAGGGTTGTGGATCAGAAAGTTAGAAAGTACCTGGAATTCCCTTGAGTACATCACTGATCCACAGACCAGCTCTAAACTGACTAGCTCTGGGCTTCTTGTTAAGAAAAGCAATGAAACCGCTAGTTCTTTGAGCGCTTGATAAACAGACGTTCTGTTATTTGTAACCAAATATAGTCTTAGCTAATTAAGAGGAGTGAGGTCAGGTTGGGAGGAAAGAATTGTAAACAAGTTAACTGCATTTATGAAAACCCTGGGCAGGAGGAAGCATGACTCCTTGGAGGATCAAATACTTTTTATTTATACTTTCCATCTCTTACATTAAAAATTTATCCATGAATAAAACTAAAACAAAAAGGGAAGAAACATAAAATCACAACTTATAAGCACTATGGTAATTCATTACCACCCCAACTATTAATGGGGCCTCAGTAACAAACTCACTGCAGGCTGGAGTTCAACTAGATAGTCTGAGCATTATTGGAATTTGACACTATGAATTCATCGTTTATTTCATACTCAGAAGAGCAAATGAATGAGTGACATGACCATAGGGATAATGTTAAATCCACTATGGTTTTTAAAAATAATTCTAATATCTCATTTTATATGGGGAAAGATAAATTAATTTTAACATCAGACAGTTAAGAACCCGTGGTCTGGAGTATGTTTTCTTTGTCATTTTTTTTTCCCCTTAATGAACCTGCTCAGATTATATTTCCTTTTTTTTCTTTTTAAATTATTTTCTAGATGTTTTTAAAGGAAATTTTGGAAAGAAGCTTTTCAAAATGATCCCTCAATTTTTAAATTCATATTTGTTTTTGAGGCTAATAAAATTAAGAGGAGTGGGAGAATGTTGAAGAGTGGGGAAGAAACAATTGGTAATGATTCCAAATAGGAAGTTATTATGATATGGAGGCAAAATATTATTCAAAACATAGGACTGGGGAAACAAGATTCCAGAGATTTGAGGGTGGAATTGGAAGATTTAGTAGGCCATTAGATGTTTGCAAGAGAGTAAAGAGTTAGAAATGAGAATGTGGAAGAAGTTAAAGCTTCTCCCAGTTTACCAACTTGGCAGACTGCTAGACAGATGGTTAAATCAGGAACATGGAGCAGGTTGTAAAAGAGCGTCTACATATTCACTGTAAAATGTCTGCAATATCCACTGTAGAAATTCAACAGTTATTTATTGAGCCTCTGCTGTATCAGTTATATATTGCCACAATAATGTTGTGTAACAAACAACCACATGACCTCAGCAGTATACAATGAACTATTATTTAGTTCATTAGTTTGGAGCATTTAGTGAATTTGGGCTGTGCTTGTCTGAATCTTGTCTGGGCTCACTCACATGCCTGGGGCCAACCAGCTGCCAACTGATATAATCTGGGCCCTGGAGGGATGACTGGGGCCACTCAGCTCTGCTCCACATGCAATTCATGCTTCCACAGGCTAGCTAAGGTATGCTGTCATGGTTATCCTATCAGAGCAGGATAATTTTGGATTTGAAAAGTGCAAAAGGCACACAGACACATGCAAGCACCTTCTCAAGTCTATGCTTGTGTCACATCTAATACCTCCCACTGGCCAAAGCAAGTGCTACAACCAGACCAGATTTAATGTAGGGGAGCTATATTCTACCTCTTCAGTGACA
Source organism: Homo sapiens (assembly GCF_000001405.40). Lineage (NCBI taxonomy): Eukaryota > Metazoa > Chordata > Mammalia > Primates > Hominidae > Homo > Homo sapiens. Next base: position 75,180,417 of record NC_000002.12, on the reverse strand, counting down.
AGAACTGCAAACACTCATAGAAAAGGGCAAGTATACAGAGAGGGATAAATAGTTGGGACCATTAATGTAATTAATACACACATCAACTATATGCCAGTATTGTTCTAGATTCTAAGGATACAACAAAGAACAATAAGAGCCCTTATTCTCCATTTAGAGTGATAGACACCAAGCAATAAACTATAAAATATGTAATTTTGAGTACCGACAAGGGTAAGAGGATAGAGAGTCATGGGAAGTAGAAGGAAGCCATTTAAAACAGGGAGATTACAGAAGGCTTTTCTGAAGAGATGGTACTTGAACAAAGACCTGGAACCTGCCATGTGATGATCTTAGTGAAGGACTTTCCAGGTAGAAGGGACAGCTAGAATAAAAGACCCCAAAGCAGGAATGATATTGGCAATAAAGCCTGAGTGAGTCAGGATTGGAGTGAGTCAGGGTAGAGGCTAGAGAAGAAGGCCATATAGACCACAATTATTAGTCAGGGCAGGCTATGATATGCTGGAGTAACAGGCAAACCCCCAAATCTCAATGGCTTTATCATGCAGTTTATTCATCACTCAGTCTAAGTCTACTCTAGTGTAGGCACAATTTCTGTCCTGAGAACCTCCCTGAAAATATTACTTGGTTGCAGGTTGTTTCCATCATGTGGCTCAGCCATCTCAACCTGAGCTCCTTGGTTGCTACATTTAAGGAGGAAAGAACTGAGAATTGCAAGGAGGTTTAACCTGTCCCAGTCCAGAAGCAATACACATCACTTCTCTTCATAGTCCATTACCAAGAGCTAGTCACATGGCCAGGCCCAACTTCAAGGGCTCTGGAAAATGTGGGCAAGCCTATGAATATTTAGTGAGCATTAAAATTCTCTACCACCACAAGATAAGCTTGGATTTCATTCTATGCATGATAAGAAGCAATCTGAGGATTATTAGCAGGGAAGGGACATGATCTTATCTACAGTTTTAAAAGATCATTTGGCTGATGTGTGGCAAATGGACAGTAAGGGGCCAAAAGTGGAAGCAGGAAGACCAGTTAGGAGCTCTCCTGTGGTGACCCCAGGAAAGAGATTATGGTAGCTAAAACCAGGGTCTGGTGGTAGACATGGTGAGAAGGGATCAGATTTGGGAGACATTTTGAAAGTAAAGTCAAAGGATTTGTTGATGGGATATATGTGAAATAGAAGAGAAAAAAGCACAGTCAAGAATGACTGCTAGGTTTGATGCTGAGCAACTGGGAGAATGCTGATTTCATTTACAGAGATGGGGAAGACTGGAAAAGAAATAGGTTCAAGAACAGAAATGAGGAGTCATTTTGGCCCAGGAAGTTTGAGATAGGCAGTAGATAGACAAGTAGAGATACTTCATGAATAAGCAGTTGATTTTTAAACCTGGAGTTCAGGAGAGCAATAATGTCTGGGATACAGATGTGGGACTTATTGACATATAACTAAAACCATAGGACTGTATACAATCACCCAGGAGAAAGAGGGAGATAGAGACATTTTCCCTGCCTGAGCCCTGGCGAACTCTAAATTTAGAAAATCAGGACGATGAGATGGAACTGGCAAATATGACCAACAAGGAATAATAGCCAGTGAGTTAAGAGAACTAATAGGTAAGGTATTCTGGAAGTTAAATAAGAAAGCATTTCGGGAAGAAGGAAGTACCTACGTGTCATAAACTGCTGAGAAGTTAAGTAAAATGAGGACCAAGACTGGACCACTAGATTTGACAAGACGAGATCATTACTTACTCAAGAGTGGCTTCATTAAAGTGGTGAGCTAACAGAAGAATGTGAGGGGAGAAGTGGAGTTATAAGTGGGAGAAAAGAGAAAGTGTATTAGGTAGAAAGGTCATTGATTTAAGGGAGTTGTTTTTTTTTCAATGGGGAAAGGTATTGTAGCATGTTTGAATAGAAATAAGAATGGGGAAATTGTCAGGTGCAGTGGCTCACGCCTGTAATCCCAGCACTTTGGGAGGCTGAGGCGGGCAGATCACCTGAGGTCAGGAGTTTGAGACCAGCCTGGCCAACATGGTGAAACCCCGTCTCTACTAAAAATACAAAAATTAGCCAGGCGTGGTGGAGGGTGCCTGCAATCCCAGCTACTTGGGAGGCTGAGACAGGAGAATCGCTTGAACCCAGGAGGCAGAGGTTGCAGTGAGCCGAGATGACACCACTGCACTCCAGCCTGGGCAACAAAGAGCGAAACTCTGTCTCAAAAAAAAAAAAAGAGAGAAATTGAAAGAAATGTATGATGCTAGTGAGGGATGAATGAATGTAGGAGCAAAGGTTTTAAGTGAGCATATGGGTCCAGGTTGTCCTTCAAAATGAAGTAGATCTTCTGGATCTAGAGGGAAGGTGGACATATGGGTAAAGGTGAAGATAGACTGGTAGATTTTATGATAAAATGACAGCTCATTTTTATTGCTTCTGTTTTCCCAAAGAAATAAAAAATAAGGTCATAGACGAAGGTGAGGAAGGAGGTGTTAGAGGTTGAGAGGAGAGGAAAAGTGAAATCGTCATGTTGTGGAGCTGGAGGGTGAAGTGACTACAGAAATATTTGGGGATTGTCAAGCAATGTTGAAGCATGCCTTGAGATTTGTGAATTAATGGGAGAATTTAGAAATCAGTCAACATAACGTATGGCTTCCTGTCATGTAGGCATAGAGCAGGCAGAAAATTATTAGCATTGGGGTTTTGTGAGAGGAGTAAAGTGGAGTCAAGGGCATATGTGAGGAGTGACTGTAGGGTGGTGGGTGGAATCTAAGTGAGGTAAACAAAGAAGCAAGGACGTGGGTAGGAGATAGAAGATAAAAGTGGTGCAATCAATGGGCTAGAGATCCTGATGAGTATTAAGAATTGTTGGACTTCAACTAAAAAGTGCATGAACTGGAAAGACAGGAGGCAATGGTCAGACAGTGAGAGGCTTAAAATAGACATTTTGAAAATGATGTAGTTATTGTTGATAACAAAGTCCAGATAATGATTTAACATGAAAGTGGAAGGCTAGAGGCAAGTGGAGAAAACTATATTGGAAGTGAGGACGACAAGAAACTGAGTCAGGGAGTTGAATTAATCATGTATGTGGATACTATTGTCACCAAACGTGAAGACAGGAACAGTGGTGGGGATGAAGACAATGAGCCAGGGGTGAAAAGGTCCAACGAACGAGAGGGAATGAGCAATAAATGAGTCAAGAAATGGCTTCAACATGGTGCAGCAGGCAGATGGTGTAGTCAAGTGCTTCAGAGGGGGTGGGGTCTGAAAGAGAAAGACAGAGTAAAATTCTGGAAGTGGTGGTGGGGGGCAGCAAGTACTCCTGGTGCCGGCTCTGTGGTGGGTGGACTGTGGAGGAGGAACAGCCACCATCTGAGGTGACTGCAGTGTTGGAAGTGGTTTCCTGGAACAGCCAAGTTTGAGGCAGTGAAAAGGTGAAGGAAATCTTTGAAGAAGAGGTTGAGGATTTTGCTGAAGACAGTGTTCCTTGGGGGTCAGGGAGAGCAGGAGACTACATCAGTGTAGGAAAATGTTTGGAGCCATATTGGAGATAAAAGCCTAGTCACTGTTCACTGAGAAGCCCAGACCTCTGGTGGTGGTCAGGGAAGTAAGGAATGATGAGATTGGTCCTGGGGGTCATTAAGAGGAAGGCCCATCTTCCTAATTAGAGTTTCCTACTTGACATTAGACACTGAGACATCTTGTGATGAGGCAGGTGGTGCAGGGAGGACAAGGTAGAGGCCTTGTGGGGAGTACTTGGGGCTCCATCAGAGTCCCCAAAGTCCTGCTGTGGAACAGCAGTCTAGATGAAGAGTCTCAGATGGCTAGCGGCCTCCCCCAGAAATCTTCTGGGAAAGTCCATTTGGGGAGTGGAATGCCACCAGAACTATAGAATCTATTATGAGGGAATTGCTTGATGAGCTCAGCAAGGATAGGCTCAGAGGAGTTTTAAAGGAGATTGAAGTTTTAAAGGAGATTGAAGGGAGTAAAACACAATGCATAGTGTTGGCGTGGAGAAGACTCTCCAACCGAGAGAGGAACCTGGAATCTGAGATGCCCATAGACGACTTAATGCTGTACTTAAAAAAAAAAAAATGTATAATGTCTCCTTTACTATAATGAAAAAAATTTATAGATATTACAATCTACCTATATATGCAATTTCAAGGAAAAAAATCAATATAATGTCCTAACTGTATTATAAAAGAGAATGAGAAAAAAGCAGTTTATAATAAAATACTCTGCTTTTCAATATGGAAATTGAACATCAGACACACAACATTAGGATAGAGGATGAATCTGCTAGGCTTACACTGTTATTTAAAATAAAAAGAATGTAGTAGCAATGGATGGCAGATACAAGAGTGGGGTTTCTTTTTTCTGTTTCCTTTTTTTTTTTTTTTTTTTTGGACAGCTCAAACATAGTGAGCCATGCTACAGTCAGTAATGTGATTTCTGAAATGAGGATTAATTATCGGCAATAAAAGAAAATAAAATCTTCTTTGATGTATATGGTAGTTAGCTTCTGAGAAAATCCAGGATATCTGTTTTCAAAGTTCAAAATGTATGTTTTCTATGATAGGCAGAATAATGCCTTCCCAAGGATGTCTACATTGTAATCCCTAGAATGTGTGACTATGTCACTTTACACGGCACAGAGGACTTTACAGATGTGATTAAGCTAAGGATATTGAGATAGGGAAGTTTCCCTGGGCATTCTGGGTGGGCTCAATGTAATCACAAGCAGCCTCGCAGTGAAAGTGGGAAGGAGGAGGATCAAAGTCAGCGGGAGGGTCAAAGTCAGAGAGAGATTTGAAGATGCTATGCTGCTGGCTTTGAAAACAGAGCAAAAGGCCATGAGCAAAGAAATAAAGGCAGCCTCTAGAATCTGAAAAAAGAAGGGTCAAAGTTATTCTCCTAGAGTCTCTGCAAGGACATCTTTATTTTAAGCCAGCAAAACTCACTTTGGATTTCTGAACCCCAGAACTGTGTGAAGAAATTTGTGTCGTTTTGAGCAGCAATAGGAACTATTCACTTTATTTATATTAAAATCAGAGATAAGTTCTAGGTTTGGGTAATTATAAGATTTTTCACCTGCATGAATATCTGGAGGGACATTCAAAAATCATTTGGGGCGTGGGACAATATTTCCTTGTGCAGGACCAATACCACTCACTGCAGGACATCTAGCGTTCCTGGTTCCCACAACAAAATGCCAGGAGCTCCCCTGAGTCATTGTGACAAAACACACTTCCCACAAATATCCAATTTGCAAAAGGAAGTACTCACCATCTAGAAGCAAAGGGATTTGAGGGAATTCATATCTGAGGACTTTTGTGAGCTAGAAACAGTGTCAAAGATACTTTCATTGGCCTTTAGTTACTTGGAACTCAGTAGCCTCAAAGGAGACATTATTTCAGAGTAAAAATCAATAAACTATTGGGATTCTGATCAATCTATAAAGACTCCTGAATTGATTTCTTAAAAGCCTGTGTTCAGCCCCTCATCATCCTCTGCCCCTGAAATTGGGCCTGAGAACAGAATCTCTCTTTGGTAATAGAAGTCATCAAAATCCATAGCTATCTAGTTTCCTAGGGAGATATCTTTAATGAAATCCCCAACCATTATGCAAATTCTCACCAGGGAGAATTGATACAATTGAAATGGAAATAGAAGTGATTCTCCTTTCACTCTCCATTGCTATGGATTAAGAAGAGAGGAGAAAAAGAAACTTCTTTTACATTACACCTCTTCCTCTGTCAGCAACCATTTGCTATTACAATAGTCCCCCCTTATCCACGGTTTCCATTTCTGCAGTTTCAGTTACCCACGGTCAACCAGGGTTTGAAAATATTAAATGGAAAATTTTACAAATAAACAATTCATGAGTTTTACTTTGCACACCATTTTGAGTAGCCTGATGAAGTTTCACACTGTCCCACTCCAGCCCACCCAGGACGTAAATCATCACTTTGTCCCAGTGTATCTACTGTCTATGCTACCTACCGTTAGTCACTTAATAGCCCTGTTGGTTATCAGATCAAAAAAACATAATTTAGTCTATATATATAGGGTTCAGTACCATCCATGGTTTCAGGCATCTGCTGGGGGTCTTGGAACGTAACCCCTGCAGGTAAGAGGAGACTACTCTATCTGCAAAGGTGTTGTATGCTTAGCAAGTGCTTTCAGTAGAAAATACTAGAAAACAATACAGAATAGTCTTCAGTGTTGCAGTGGATGTCATAACAATGATACTACTTGAGGGTTCAGTGGGGGATTTGGGGTATCATATCAAGAGAAAGGACCACAGAATTCAGAGATGGTAATGGCAGATTGGGAGCCAAGTCAGGAAAAGTTCCTGGGTTTTGGGAGTGAGGCAGGAGAGTGTGTGAGGAGTGAAGCAAAGAGAATGATTGTTTTGTTCCTGAGCTGCAGTGTTGTAATTAGCCCTCACCAGGGAGACTGGTGTTTAGCACATCAGGCTGTCTGTCCTCTGGGAAGGCCAAGTGGCTCAGAAAAAATGGAGCAGAGTAAGACACCTCATTACAGAACTGTTCTTTGCATAAGAACAGGAAGATCTCATTTCTGCCTTTCTCTTGACTTAACAATGTAGCTTGATCATTACCAAGTCAAAGGATGTTCTTTCTAGTGAGGGAAAAGTATGATGAATATACTTTCAAGTTAAAAGAGTAGATAATTGTAGTGTAATTAGACAAAACTTCAATTTAGGATTGGTTGGAGGCTCACTCCTGCAGGAAGGTTAGGGAAGGAGCTGTTTCCTCCTTTTTCCCCAGCTTCATTGTAGAGATGGCAGCTGCTAAATTCCTTCAGTCATTTCCATTCTTCCTTCATTTTTGATGTTTCTTCTTTAGTCTAACAAGATTTATTTGTCAAGTAGACCAAAAGCCAACTTCCTTGATGGAAAATGACCCCTAATTATTATTCATGGTTTGATAAATAACCCCAAAAGTCATTAATACAATTGGCAGTGATGAGGTATAGTATAGTTACAGTAAAGCAGGCTCAAAAAAATCACTTATTTATAAACGAATATTTCATGACTGGAACTTCCAGATTAATCTGGCAGTCAGGCTTTATTCTTGCAATATAATACTCAGCAAAGTAGAAAAAATTATGGAAACCTACAACTGCATTGGGTACTAAGGTTAACAGCTGAATTTATACCAGTGAATGGGGGCAATTTTTACTGGATTGCAAGAAGTTTACCAAGCCTATCCATCCCCTGACCCCTTACCTGGAGTTGCACCTCCTCCAGGATTAAAGATGGAGGAGTCATTTGCCAGCACTGTTATGGGTTGAATTGTGTCCGTTCCTGACCCCCCACCCCAAGATTCATAAGTTGAAGTTCTAATCCCCAGTGTCTCAGAATGTGGCCTTATTTGCTGATAGGATTTTTAGAAGTAATAAGTTAAAATGAGATCATTAGGGTAGGCACCAGTTCAGTATGACCAGTATCCTGATTTTAAAAAAAAGGAAGTTTGGACACATAGAGGAAAGGCAATATGAAGAGATACGGGGAGAAGGTGGCCATCTGCAAGCCAAGGAAAAAGATCTGAATAAATCCTTCCCTGCATAACCCTCTGAAGGAACCAACTCTGCCAATTTCTGGACCTTGGACTTCTAGCCTCCAAAACTATAAATAAATTTCTATTTTTCAAACGAATGCAAGTACTTTCTGCTGTTAATAAGAGGAAGCAGGTATTGCAGATGCTGGGGCAAGTCATAATTTTCTGAGGTGACCAGAAGAATATATTCGTTCCATTCTCTTTCCCACTTAAGAGCCTCTTGTCCTGGGGAGCTACAACTTCTAGGGTACTGCAGAGCAAGGAGAAGACAGGGAAGGGACAGGGAACACACATCTCAGGCATCTGAGATGTGTGTTCAGGCCCCTTAGGGAAGACATGGAAGGGGGCTGCCTAGACGGGGGACAGCCCGAAAAGAAAAGTGTCCAAGGAACTTTTTTTCTCATATTCCTTCTCAGATTAAAGAATTATGTGACTATTCTTTCTTACAGAGAAACAGGCATTTGCAAAAAGAGTAATTTCCACCTCAGTTCAGCAAAAGTACACAAAATTAACACTTTCTAGGTTCAAAAACTTGGGATGGGGCTGTTCAGGGTGCCTTCCAGATTTAGATGCTAGAAAGGATTCTGCCAGTTATCAAATGTTCAATGGCCCCTGTTTGTCAAACCCAGTTTGGCTGGTTCTCCATTCAAGAAAACAATGGGGTTTGTAAGAAAGATTCTATAGCACAAAATGAGGAGAGCACTCTTCTGATGAATTAGAAAAGGCATTATTTTCAATAATTTAGCACAAGAAAGAGAAAACAATCAAAATATCTGCATGCATTAGTCCATTTTCATACTGCTATGAAGAAATACCTGAATTCCACCCATGGTCCCTCTCACATCCTCACATTTCCAAACCAATCATGCCTTCCCAATATTCCCCCAAAGTCTTCGCTCACTTCAACATTAGCTCAAAAAAACACAGTCCAAAGTCTCATCTGAGACAAGGCAAGTCCCTTCTGCCTATGAGCCTGTAAAATCAAAAGCAAGTTAGTTACTTCCTAGATACAACGGGGATAAAGGCATTGGGTAAATAAACCCATTCCAAGTGGGAGAAATTGGCCAAAACAAAAGGGCTACAGGCCCCATGCAAGTCCAAAATCCAGCAAGGCAGTCAAATCTTAAAGTCCACGTCTCACATCCAGGTCACGCTGATGCAAGAGGAGGGCTCCCATGGTCTTGGGCAGCTCTGCTCCTGTGGCTTTGCAGGGTACAGTCCCCCTCCTGGCTGCTTTCATGGGCTGGCATTGTCTGTGGCTTTTCCAGGCACATAGTGCAAGCGGTCGGTGGATCTACTCTGGGGTCTGAAGGATGGTGGCCCTCTTCTGACAGCTCCACTAGGCAGTGCCCCAGTGGGAACTCTGAGTAGGGGATCACCCCCACATTTCCCTCTGTACTGCCCTAGTAGAGGTTCTCTATGAGGGCTCACCCCTGCAGCACACCTCGGCCTGGACATCCAGGCATTTTCATACATCCTCTGAAATCTAGGCAGAGGTTCCCAAACATCAATTCTTGACTTTTGTGCACCCACAGACCCAACACCACATGTAAGCTGCCAAGGCATGGGGCTTGCACCCTCTGAAGCAATGGCCTGAGTTATACTTTGGCCCCTTTTAGCCACAGCTGGAACACAGGGCACCAACTCCAGAGACTGCACAAAGCAGCAAGGCCCCTGGCCCAGCCCATGAAACCATTTTTTCCTCCTAGGTTTCCTGGTTTGTGATGGGAGGGGCTGCAGTGAAGACCTCTGACATGCCCTGGAGACATTTTCCCCATTGTCCTGGAGATTAACATTTGGCTCCTCATTACTTATGCAAATTTCTGCAGCCGGCTTGAATTTCTCCTCATATCGCATCATCAGGCTGCAAATTTTCTGAATTTTTATGGCCTGCTTCTCTTTTAAACATAAGTTCCAATTCCAAACCATATCTTTGTGACTACATAAAACTGAATCCTTTGAACAGTACCCAATTCACCTCTTGAACACTTTGCTGCTTAGAAATTTCTTCCGCCAGATGCCCTAAATCATCTCTCTCAAGTTCAAAGTTCCACAAATCTCTAGGGCAAGGGCAAAATGCTGCCAGTCTCTTTGCTAAAACATAATAAGAGCCACCTTTGCTCCAGTTCCCAGCAAGTTCCTCATCTCCATCTGAGACCACCTCAGCCTGGACTTTATTGTCCATATCACCATCAGCATTTTGGGGTCAAAGCCATTCAACAAGTCTCTAGGAAGTTCCAAACTTTCCCACATCTTCCTGTCTTCTGAGCCCTCCAAACTGTTCCAACCGCTGCCTGTTACCCAGTTCCAAAGTGGCTTCCACATTTTCAGGTATCTTTACAGCAGCACCCCACTCTACCAGTACCAATTTACTGTATTAGTCTGTTCTCATGCTGCTAATAAAGACATACTCAGGATTGGGTAATTTATAAAGGAAAGAGGTTTAATTGACTCACAGTTCCACATGGCTAGGGAGGCCTCACAATCTTGGCTGAAGACAAATGAGTAGCAAAGTCATGTCTTACATGGCAACAGGCAAGAGAGCTTATGTAGGGGAATTCCTCTTTATAAAACCATCATATCTCCTGAGACTTATTCACTATCACAAGAACAGCATGGGAAAGACCCATCCCCATGACTCAATTACCTCCCAACAGTTCCCAACATGACACGTGGCAATTATGAAAGCTACAATTCAAAATGGGATTTGGGTGGGGACACAACCAAACCGTATCACTGCATTAGGTTCTCTGAATATACAAGAAAATGTTTCCTCTCTCAAATGGAAAAGTCAGATGATAAGAAAATCAAAAGGGTCTGGCTAAGAGAAAGGAAAAAAACAAAAGAAATCTAAAAATGCAATTTTGGAAATAAAATTGCATTGAAGGTAGTAATGGAAACAGAAAACCCAAATTTGTCATGTAGAAGAAAAATTCAAGCTCTAGAACAGAGACGAAAGGGGAAGAAAAAATGAAAACTGGAGAGAAAAATCATTAGTTATGAAAAAGACAAGCCAGAAATCCAACTCCACATACTAGTTATTCTTGAAAAAGAAACCAGCATAAGTTGAATAGCTATCATAAAATTACAATAGAATAAAACTTTCCTGAGCAGAATCTACTTTCCAGAATCAATATAAAATGGGCTCACATATTCAAAGTAACATCAATGGAAAAAAATCTATACCCATTAATATTCCTTTCACTTTATGGTAAAATTTTGAATTCCAGGTTTAAATTGTAAAATGTCTTCATCTATCCTAGCAAGAAAAATAAAAGATAACTAAAAGGAAACAAAAATTATTCTGATCTCAGTCTTCTGATAGATGGCAATAAATGTCAGACAGTAATTGAGCAAAATCCATATAGAATTTTTAGCAGAAAATATTATGACCTTATATACTTAGCCACATTGTTACTCATTGTTATTCCTGCATGAAAGATATTCTCAGATATGCAAGGTTTTGAGAGTAGAACCATCACATCCTTTTCTTAGATAAAAACTAAACCAATACAAAGACATACTATAACTAGTGAATAAATGAATCAAAATTGAGGACTCAAAGGAGGAATAAACGAAACAAAAGAAGTGATTATGAGAATTGTAATCTATCAAACATGATTTCCACTCAGTTGTTATATGTAATTAAATTGAAACCAAAAAATGAAATTTAAGAAAATAAGCCTTGAAAGAGATTTATATTTTATTAAAAACAATAATACTTTTCAGAAAGTATTAGATAAAGATTTAATTAGGGTTGGGAAGGTAGAAATAAGTATTTGCCTTAAGAAATAAAGCGATTGTAAATTAGGTTATTCTGATTTAATAATTAGAGAAATGTAGATTAAAGTGTATTTTACCTAATATTTCTTTGTATTTTTTTCTGATTACAAAGGGAAGAGGTGTTTATTTTGGAAAATAGAAAATCAAGTAGGGGAAAAAGTCTCTGGTGATTACAACACCGAGAAATAATCATTGCTACTATATTCACATTTCATCATTGGAACTAGGCTGCTGTACTTAAACAATTTTGTAATCCGCTTTTTACATGTAACTAAATAGGTTCTTAACCAAAATGATTTTTAATTACTGATAGCAAATCAGCCCATTTGTATCAGTTTTCCATTGCTACTGTAACAAATTACCATAAATTTAATGGCTTGAAACAACCCAAACGTATTGTCTTACAGTTGGGGAGAAGTCCGCCACAGATCAACAGTGAGCTGAAATCAAGGTGTTGGCAGAGCTGTGTTCTTTCCTGACACTGTAGGGGTGAATGTTTCCTTGCTTTTTCTAGCTTCTAGAGGCCAAAGGCATTCCTTGGCTCACTGCCCCCTTCCTCCATCTTCAAAGCCAGTAACACAGCATCTTTGTGACCATTCAGCTGCTACCATGCCTCTCTAGGACCACAGCTAAGAAAGATTCTCTGCCTTTTAAGGCCCCACCTGATTAGATTGGGCAGACCTAATTAACCAGGATGATCTCCTTATCTCGAGGCCCTTAACTTAATGACATCTGCAAAGTCATTTGTGCCATGTCAGGTAACATAATCACAGACTCCTGGGATTAGAGTTTAAACTTTTGGGAGTGGAGGGGCACTATTCTGCCTATCCCATTATTATATGGTCATAGCTCGTTTAACCAATTCTCCTTTGTTTGACATTTGTTTAGAGATTTTTAAAATAATAAACAACAAGTATTCTTCTACATAGTCTGTGAAAACTGAGTATTTCCACAGGGCAAACTTCTAAAATTGGAATTTCAAGTCAAAGATTATTTTTTTAAATACCAAAACTCTTGACATGTTGGTGAATTTACTTCTTGAGAGTTCTGAACTCATCTTTCTCCAGTGGTGTATGAAAATGCCCAATTTTGCTTCTTGGCAACTGGGGACCATGTATCTGCTTCAATTTTTTTTTATATTTGACAATTTGATGAGTGAACAATGGTATCATTTTTCTATTTGAATTTATTGGCTTATTTCTTAAATTGGTTTGTAAGAGTTGTCTGTGTTAAGAATATTAACTCTTTTACTATAAGATACAAATATACTTCAAGTTGGTTATTTTTTCTTAATTTTTCTGAGATCTTTTTGACATTCAGAGTTCTACATAATATACCAAGCATTTATTTGTTCACTACTGATTTTTAGTTTAAAATGTTCTCTGTCACCCCAAGATATTTGCCTCTATTTCCTTGTAGTTTTTGTATGAGTGAGATAATGAAATTTTTTTCCAAATAGTTTACCAATTGTGCCAGAAGGATGTCTTGGCAAATGTTTCTCTTTTCCATAAATTTATAATGTCATGGTACTTTATATTAAATTCTTGTAAGTAGTAGGGTTTGTTTCTAGGCATTTTATTACAGTTGTTTGATCCATCTTTCAATCCTCATGTTGATATCACAATGTTTTGATTATTAGGACTTTATTCTGATATCTGACAAGGCAAGCAGGTACCTTCTGCCACCCTCCTATATACACCATGCTACTCTCTGTTTCTGATCTATTGGGCCCATTTGCCAGTTTATTTTCCTATGTGAACTTTAGAATCATTAAGTCATGGTCCAAGAAGAATTTCACTGTGATTTTATTGGAATTGCATTAAAATATAAAAACATTGGGGGATAATTAATTTCCTTTCAATTATAAGCCTTCCATTTTTAAGTTTTCCATTTTACCTCTGACAAGCACTGAATGTATTTCTCATACAGATGTCCTGCACATTTTAGTTTCATTGTTCCTGTCGTTTATCTTTTTGTTGCTAAGTGTGGAAAAATATTTTTATTATCATAATGTAGTCTTATTTATTGCTATTGTGAGCATATTTTTTAAAAATCCAATGTTTGCTATCTATTTAGTAACTAACTGCCTCTTGGTATTAGCTCATTTAGAACTACCATAAGCAAAAAGCACATTTTATTATAAGAACACTAAGGCATCTATAACCCAAATGCAGCACAGCAGCTGCATCTCAGGATGACCTAGAACTAGACTTTCCTATATCTGCACTTCTCTGTATGTCTGCTCCATCCTTCTCTCTTCCAACAAACAGTTTTCCTCAGATAACCTGAACCAAATAAAAGAGGATGTAACCTCTAATAGCCTCCAAGTTTTACATTTTGCAACCCCAGCCGCCCACAATCTCTAGCCCACTCACTTGCTGTGCTCTCATTCTCTCACTCTTGCTCTCTTTGAAAATATCTTGAGACTATTGGCCAGATTGATTGCTATCTCTGGAAGAGTCAGTGAGAGCCCCAAGGCCAAAGACCAATAAAGGTGTGTGGGAGTGGGGTTTGAGGAGTGGTAAGACAGAAGGAGCGCTGATTGATTGGCCAACGACTAAGTTTTCATCACTATCCTCTGCAATGTTCAAGTCAGTTGATTATACTATTTTATTGAATTTCTTAAAGCAGCCTTCATATTAAAACACATTAAAATATGTTTAATATTTAAATAGTGAACATTCAAAATATAATGGGAATGCTTTTATAATTTCATCATTCTATGTTTGTTGATTTGTGATACTTTTCATCCTGTAAAGAAAAGATTTGCGCTAGTTTCTGAGATTTTATCAAAAATGGATGTTGAATTTTACTGAATCAATTTCTAGTCTGTCTCCAGATGACCACGTTTTTCTCCCCTAAACTAATGATGTGACATTTTATTAAATAATGAATGTTTTAATATTAAATCATTTTTGTTTTAATAGAGCAATGTGCCTATATGATTGCATGTTTTGGATTGACCTAGAGTCTCACTCCTCTCTAATCACAGTGAGGGGAAAAGTATCCCTTTAGGAAATGTACATTTGCATGACTTTTTAATTAAAGGTTAAGGACTTAAAGGATATTTGTGTGCTTCTTTAACAGATGTCAGTTGTTTGAATTGGCCCATTAAAGTATGGGGCTTTTCTTGTTAAAAAGTCATTCCAAAAGGCTTGGCAAGAGTTTGCTATACAACGGAGGGACAGAGAAACATGAGCTGGGGAGTAGGCTCTGACAGAAGGTGGGCTGTCTTCCTGCCTCCACTGTTGGGCATTTGTCATATCAGAAGTGGAGGACAAAAAGAGCAGGGACCTGAAGCTAAAGGATTTGCCATAATAAGTACCAGCGTTAGCCTGGGCGCACCATATTTTATGAGAACTCACTTTTAGGGGCAGAGAAGTCAAAGGCCCCTCCCAGACTACTCCAGTGGCCCAATGCTCTGACCTGAAGAATGGAAGATGGGGCCAGGCGCAGTGGCTCCCGCCTGTAATCCCAGCACTTTGGGAGGCTGAGGCAGGGGCATCACGAGGTCAGGAGATTGAGACCATCCTGCCTAACAAGGTGAAACCCCTTCTCTACTAAAAATACAAAAAATTAGCTGGGCATGGTGGCGGTTGCCTGTAGTCCCAGCTACTCGGGAGGCTGAGGCAGGAGAGTGGTGTGAACCCTGGAGGCGAGCTTGCAGTGAGCCGAGATCGCGCCACTGCACTCCAGCCTGGGTGACAGAGCGAGACTCTGTCTCAAAAAAATAAAGTAAAATAAAATAAAAAAGAATGGAAGATGGGACACCAGCCCCAAGTGGGCATCGTCCCTTGAGTATCCTTAATTAAGGAGGTTGTAGTGAGCAGATCTTTCGTTCAAAAAGGGATTAAGGCCAGAAGTGGGAGTTGTGACCAATTATGCTGAGGTATTTTGTCTTAGTGGTTTTCGTTATAGGAATCTAATCCAAACCCTCGTCTAGCTTCTGATAAGCCCTTTGGGAAGATAGTAAGACTAACATGGATGCTCAGGTGGTTGATCCAATGCTCCTGCTCATGCTGGGTCCCATGCATCCACCCCTCCACACATCCTCTACAATAGGATGAATCATAAAATTCAGGAGAAGGATTGGGACAAGTTCAGTGTCACATGGTCATGGATCCAACTTCATGCCTTGACTTTGCTCTATCTATGGCTTCTTATAACTAATTATTTTCATAAAGTGTTAATGGAACTTGGGACTGAGCATTGTTAGCAACCTCTGCAGAGGCCAAGTTAAGGCTTGAGCTAGACCAATTAGCAGTGGGCATGGTGAGACAGGAGCCCAAATGACAGAGCCTTCCAGGAGCACTCGGAGCCAGTGTAACTACAGTCATAGAAAATTAACTCTGCTTCATGAAATCAATTCAGTGCTTTTACCTACTTTTCTTTGTACAGGAATAGTTATCACATAATTTTTTTTTTAAGTTTACCTTTCAAACTGCCTGAGCCCAAAGTAATTCAACAGATTATTTTTCATTTTCTTCCAAGACTATTGTCCTTTTTAGATTATCAGTTTATGCTTCAGTTGGACTGGGTCATTTGTATTTTGCCAGAAAATTATCTATTTCACGTACTGCGTTCAATTTTCATTATTGTTATACCTTTTTAGATAATGTCTTTAATTCTTACAAGATAATTCATTTAGTCATAATTATTTTTCTATTATTTTTATTTTGTACAATATAAATATTGTCATTCCTGCTTTTTCTTTTTTTTTTTTTTAAGATGGAGTCTTGCTCTGTCACCCAGGCTGAAGTGCAGTGGCATGATCTCAGCTCACTGCAAGCTCTGCCTCCTGGGTTCACGCCATTCTCCTGCCTCAGCCTCCCGAGTAGCTGGGATCACAGGTGCCCGCCACCACGCCTGGCTAATATTTTGTATTTTTAGTAGAGACGGGGTTTCACCATGTTAGGCAGGATGGTCTTGATCTCCTGACCTCGTGAACCATCCGCCTCGGCCTCCCAAAGTGCTGGGATTACAGTTGTGAACCACTGCACCCGGCCCACTCCTGCTTTCTTAGTTTGTATTTGCTTGATTGTTTTTGTACCTCCATTTGTTTACTTTTTTAGGAGATTTTTTTTTTCAAGACAAGGGTGATAATTTTATATCACTTCATGAAATACTCCAAAGAAATAGAAGAATCATTTTGTGCAAAATATAGACTGGTTAACTAACATGAAGAAACTTAAATGATTCATTTTAAATTTCATTGAATCAAATGACTAAATCCATGAAGAGTAATAATGCAATATTGGGATACAAATCACTCTCTCTCTCCCTTGCTCTCTTCCCTTACTACTAAGACATCTACATTTTTATATTGAATTGATTATTTTCTTCAAAATAAGTCATAAAATACTTCTAATGAAAACAACGTTGAATATCATATTTTTAACACACCTGTGCACCAACTTTGTAGAATAAGTCATTAGGGAAGAAGTTCAGAGTTCACTGTTTCTATTTCAACTTTTTTCTCATTTATCTGATAAAGAGGTACTTTAAAAATTATAAGAAATCTGGCAACATTTACCTTTGCCCTGCCAAGCAATCCATTTAGAATTGCATTTAATAGAATATATGCCTATGAAACACAAAACTTATTATTAAGACTTATGTAAATGCCTTTATTTTAGAGTTTGTACTCTGTGAGTTTGTACTGCTGTGAACTGATTCACATTTTCATTCAAGGCAAATAAATATTCTTAGGTCCTAAAGAACTTGAGCCCAAAAGGAAAGCACAAAAAAGCTTATGTAAGGGTAAAAAAATTGATAAAAGTTGCCATAGACAAACCCTGACTTCTCTAGTTAGCACAGCACTTTGGTGCTTGCTCTCCCAAAGTCTCCTGTGAATCAATGGGGACTCTCCACCATCTGCTGACTCAGGGATCAAATCTCCCTCCATTCTGTGACACTGTCATTTCAACACATGACTTCCAAGTTTGCCATGACTGGGTAAGAGGGAAGTGGAAGTGTCATGTCAGCTCTTAACTGCCTTAGCCAGGAAGTGGCACACATCACTTTCACTCACATTTTGTTGGTTAGACTTATTCATACAGCCTTGCCTAGTTGCAAACGGACTGGGAAGTATAATCTCTTATGGGACCAGGACAGGGAAAATATGAGGTAGGCCCAGTAGTCTCTTCCACGCATGATAAATGCATAGTTCTTCATACTCAAGTATAGCAGATTGTAACTGGGATTCTAGCATGGAATTTTAACAACCTTGAAACATCAACAAAATTTTTGAGTCATCTATCTTTCAATGAAATGGTAATATACAATTAATGTGCAAAAAGATTTTAAGCAGAAAAAAGTGGAATCTTGAGTGTCTCTCAGACAAAAAATACTGCACAAAAAATTGCTAAAAATATCATCATATTGACCTTCAATTACAGGGAACTGTGTTCCTAACCAAGAAAGTCATGAAATATAATTAAGTATGTCTGAGATAAAACAGAACTCAAATAGATCTATTTCCTTTGATACATTTTTCACTTCTAGCTGGAGCTTCTCAGTTTTCACTGGCATGTTTTATTCTAGTCCCAAGGTTCTCTTTCCTAAAATAGAAGAACTAAATATTGTAAACTTTCATATGAAGGCACTGGCACTCTTCCAGTACTATTTGGAGATCCAGAACCATTGGCCATTGGCTAGAATTAGTTAGGGAACAAAACACTGTGTGCCTCTAACACATTTTTTAAAGATTCTGCCATTTTGCTTAAAGAAATATTTAGGTGGGGTAATGAAAGCATGCAATACTTTAGGATGCCTTTGACCTTCATAAATCTGATTATGTAAACTTTTAATTGGATGGCTGTATTCTTTTGAATTTGTAAGTGTCACAGAGCAATAACATTTTATTCTAAAATGCACTTTCAGAACATTCTTTGGCTTCCATTCTGCAAATGGATTTTCAATACGCTCCTGAGTGATATTAATTGGAAGGTTTCCAACATTTCCCCTCCCCCCAACACAGACTCACTTCTTTTTTTTTTTTTTTTTTTTGGAAGAGTCAATACTTGTTAGCATCTCAATTGGTCTCCTCCTTCAATTTTGACAAATTCATCTAATATTCCCTCTGGATTAGTGATTACCTGATACATTCACTGACCTAGACTCAATATTGCCCATCTGTTTCTCTCCACAGAACTGATGAGAAGATATAGCTCAATATCCATAAGCCATATTTGTACACAAGTTTTCCATCTTTTAGTTTGTAACTTTTCCTGAGTAATAGTTTTTTTAGGAAGTCCATATGGTTTTTCACATGCTTCTGACCTTTTAGAGTCATTTTCGTTTCATAAAAGTGTTTTAACCATTAATGTTTCATGTAATAGTGACTATGCTTTGTCTACTTCTGCTTCTATTTTAGGTGATTTGTTGTTCTCTCTACTGTTTTCATTTTTATACCTCCTTTACTATATGGACTATTTTCTTTGACTTTGTTTTGTCTCATGACTTGAAAGTTGCGCATTCTGTTGTTATTTTCCTGGTAGTTTACATTAAAAATAACTTACTTGAAACTATTCTTTTCTTCCTATCAATGCCAAAAATAAAACTGTATTGATTGTACCTCTGTGAAAGATTAACATTTTAGTATGTATTTCTAATTCCCTTTTCTTTTCTCTCACTGTCCCAGTTTTTTATGGAATGTTAACTCATATTCTTACTATTAAATATTATGCTGTATATTTTCTCTTTAAAGAGCTATTTTTGACATTTGTAATAAGCCTCATAATGATATTATAACTATTATTAAGCTTTAATTTTCAATTTAAATGTTTGCAAGATTTGCCATAATTCTTTTAGTAAACAGCTTTCCTTTTTTAATATTCTTCTCAACCGTTTATCCCTAATGTCTTTGAGTAGTGTGGTTTTTGTTTGTTTTGGGGGGTTTGGTTTTTGTTTATTTTTCCAGGAATGGTATTGTGAATATACTTCCTGATCTCTTATATTCATGAGAAGTTCTTTCTGTTACCTTAGCACAACTTAGGTAGACAATTATCACTCTATAAGATTTCTCATGTCATAATTTTGTAAATGTGGCTCTGTTATTTTCTGGCATTATAATAGAAGATTAGAGCCCAGCCTGATATTTTTCCTTTATAGGCAAAATGTTTACCTTCTTGGATGGCTGGTAGAATTCTTTCCTTACCATTGAAATAAGAAAATATATCAGAATATCTCTGGATATGTATCCCCTCTCTCACGTATATTGATTTTGCTTAGTGTAAGCAGATCCCAACTTTTATTCATTAAGGAACTTTTTTTTCGGTTATGTCTTAAATCATTACTTCTGTTCAAATTGGTTAGTTCTCCTGTCCAGGAATCCCTATTTCCCCATTATTTTTTATCTTATTGTTCTTTTCCTTTTCATTGTGGAGCAACTTCTAAAGCTGGTTCTTTCATTTCTAATTTGCTTTTTTGCAATTTACCTGTTCTGATGCTGAATCCGATTTTGTAACTGCATTTTTAACTCTTTCAGAATTGTTTCTCATCTCAATCATTCTTTATTCCTGCCTTTTTGTCCCCAGCAAGTTCCTTTTTATTTCAGCTTCTATTCCTTTGATTTCCAGTCAGAACTGTTCCACAGTGTCCATGTTATGAATAGCTTTTAAAGTCCAAAACTACCATATTTTCTAATTTATTTTGGATTTATTTGCATAACAAATAAATCAAACAAAGATTTATTTGTTATAAATCTTCTTTCAAAACTGTTTTTTTCTGCCTTTTGAGCATTATGTTCCCCTCCTTTTATAATACGTACTCATAATTCATTGTCATCAATTTCATTTTTTTTTCTATTTACTCATTCTTTAATGTGCAAAGGTCTGCTCAGGAGAGATTTTCCTGTAAACTCCCAAAACTCCCAATGTATGTTTTTAATTTTGTTCCCCTGGCTATCCACATAACTGCTGGTACAATTCTTTTCTCTTTTCTCTGCTGGTTCACTTCTCTTATGAACAAGTGTTGTTTGATATTCTTACTTTCCAGCCCATCTTTTGCTGTCTTAAAGTCTTGTATGTAGTGTGAATATATTGCCATGGGGAGATATCCAGTCCCACTGCCTATCTTTTCATGAGTGGTATTGATTCCTGTAGAGTCAGACCTTCTTCCCAATTCTTTATGTGCCTGATCCAGCGAATGGTACCTCTATTGACATGTAGTAAATGCTCGGTAAATAGTTTCTCCAGGATTCAATATAACTCCCAGAATGCACTACGACTCTGTCAGACTCAGCTCTTTTTAACTGCCACCCAGACCCTCTAGGTATAAGCACTCCTAGTCACACAACATTTTATGGGTAATTGTAGCCTCAAGCCAGTGCAAGAAAACAGTAACTAATATTAGGGAAAGTGTGGTCAAAATGGCTCTATTATTCTAGAAGTCAAATTGGGGCTAGCTTTCCTTTCTCTGCTGGGAAGACTCCATGTTTCTAAGGAAAGTACCTAGAGTGGGCATAGCTTTATTGACTAAAAAAAGATGGTAACCCTTATCTTTTTTCCTGCCTGTAACTTCCTCAGAACTTTGGCTAGTGGAAATTCTTCCTGTTTCCTGGCATATCACTGAGGAATTCTCGGAGTTTCCAGTTTTACAGAAACTAGTTTCTCTTTGTTTTTTCTTAGTTATATCACAGGAAGTTGGGGAGAGAAAAATCAGAATTTATTAGATTTTTAAATAAAAAGATAATACAATTAATTCATAATTATTTACATTTAACTGAGTTCTGTACTTACCAGTAGCCTCCTTTTCACATGTCTTTCTTATCTAAATTCTTTACTTTGGTTTGTGTTTCGGTTGGCTTGAGTATTTAACACTTTAAATAACGTAACTGAGGAGGGCTTGTGTTCAGGATATACTTTCTGAACCTTTACAGACCTAAAATTAGTTGCCAGCCAAGCTGGACTAAAAATCAGGTCCCCTACAAAATTAGCTACTTTGGCCTTTCCTACAAAATTAGCTACATTGTTTATCTCTCTAAAACATTAAAAAAAAAAGGTACCAATAAAAAATTATTTTACCAGGTAGTGGTTGTAGTAAGAATTAAATGAGATAATACTTCTAAAGCACTTAACACAACAGTCTTCCAAAGTTGGTACAATTACTAGCTCCATTTACAGATGAAGAAGCAGATGCTCGAGGTTGAGATAACTTGCTGGAAGCTGCACAGCTGGTTGGTGGCAGAGCCAGGCCTGGGACATGGGACCGTTTGAGTTCGGAACAGAGGCCCAACTCCAGCTAAATCACCACATTGCAAGCATCTCACCCAACCACCCATTCCTCTCTTTTCAGTTCTGCTTCCTTTGCGATGCTGGGCATATTGATTTGAGGAATACTCAGCTTTCAGGTCCCAGCTGCCAAATTAGATTATGTTGCAAACATTCAGCTGTCTCCCTATGCAACATCACATATTCAGCAGGCATTTCAACAAAAATTAATTGATGAAAATATATGGCAATCACCCAGAGCTGATAAAAACAACTTTTAACCCTGCTGCTAACTACTAACAGATTCTAAGGTTAGAACTTTGCCTGAGGCCTGCGATAGAGCACTCTTCCCCCAGGACCATTTTAATTTTTGCTGTTTATCAAAATAAATACATATTTTTTGATATTTTAGAAAATAGATGTCCTATTGCTGCCTTTTATAATAATCCCTCTTATTAAGCCAGACACTGGGAATACATAATATGCATTTTCTGCCTGGGAAAAAGGCAGAGAGCAAGGGAAAGTTAATAAGCTGTGGAAATCTCTCCATGTCCACTTGGTCAAATTAAAATTCTACTGATTACATAGTTGCCTAGAGTAATGCTTTTCCGATAAATGCTCGATCTTCGTCCATAGGAAGATCTCAGGAGACATTTACCCGAAGTGAATCAGATCCAAAGATAGTAAAAAGTGTTGGAGGACCCAGTTGGGTCATAGTTGGAGTCTTGTATTCTCTTTGCCCTTAACCATCTCTATGATCTTTGATGCATTCTTCACACAGCTAGGTTTCCATTTCTCAGTCTTAAAATAAGGTTTAGACCTAACCTATGAGGTAATAATGAGAATTTCCCAAACTCATGTGTGCATATGCAAGTTTCTTGAGAAACAGGCTCTAAACTAAAGCTCTTTTTGGTGGGGACTTGGACTCAGATTCTCTTACTTCCCTGTCTCTAGGTAGAAACACTGCAAATTGTTTTGCTGCTGTAAATTCTCTTTCAATAATCAGAAGATTTTCTTTCAGTCTATTTCCCACATCTTCCTGATAATGGCCAGTAGGCAGAACTGAAAGAACAGAATGAAATATTTGAATTGCTTAAAACCCACATCTCCCTGAATAAGATTAATACATGTATCAGGTTTTATTTCTTCTTCTTTTTTATAGAGGAACAGTTCCATCTAGTGTAAGGACAGGGCACTCCTCTTCCTGACTTCAACCCTTAGGTGGGGGATGTTCCCAGTGAGTATTTGTCACAGTCCTGGCCCCAGGCTATTTCAGGGCTGCCTGGCCACTTACCTGCCCCTTCTTTGACACATTGTTTGTGAACAGGTGGAGGAACAAGGTGGGTACAATCCCCCTTCTTAACTCTTAACAATGCAAGCTCTGATTTTCCTATGTCAAATCCTGTCTTCGTAGGTCGTTATGATGCTTGTTTGTCAGGACCTGAGTCCTCTCTTTTGGGAGAGTAGGAAAGAGAAGCTTGAGTACCTACCCAAAGTCACTGGGTAAGCCTTGCTTCCATAGGTGGGTGAGGAGGACTACAGTGGGCAGATGGTAGTAAGGAAAATGAAAGGAAAGGGAATTTGTTTAGACTTGGAGGAGAAGGGTCTAGCTTTCCTCCAAGTCTCAGTTACCAGTTTGCTCCACGGTGGTGCCTTTCCTTCTTCATCCTCCTCCTTATCAATCCCCCAACCCCTGCCCTGCCACTACCACAGACCTGAATACAAGCTGATGAGATAATCCCTTCTAGCCTCTGTTTCTGAAAACCATTGATCCAGGTCAGCAGCTGGAATGCATGGGAGACATGAGTCCTTTGGAGAAATGGATGGAGCACCCAGCCCCGACTCCCATCTCCATCATGGGAGGAGAAGAGCTGTCAGCTTCATAGTGCTGAGCATTCTTTCTCATTCTCTTAGTCATTTTAATGGAAATGCAGTGTATCCCTACATTTCACTATCTCTTTACTTCATTTAGAAGAAAACTAGACACTAATGAGCATACCCAAATCCAATGTAGAAAGACAGATTGAAACAGGGGTTGGTAAACTTTGTATGAAAGACCAGTATATTCATTTCCTAGGGCTGCTATAACAAATTACCACAAACTGGGTGGCTTGAAACAAAAGAAAATTATTTTCTCACTGTTATGTAGACCAGAAGTCCAAAATCGAGGTGTTGGAAGGGCTGTGCTGCCTCCAGACACTCTTGGGTAGAATTCTTTCTTTTTTTTTTTTTTTTTTTGAGACGGAGTCTCGCTCTGTTACCCAGGCTGGAGGGCAGTGGCATGATCTCCACTCACTGCAAGCTCTGCCTCCCAGGTTCACACCATTCTCCTGCCTCAGCCTCCTGAGTAGCTGGGACCACAGGGGCCTGCCACCATGCCCGGCTAATTTTTTTTTTTTTTTTTTTGTATTTTTGGTAAGGATGGTCTCGGTCTCCTGACCTTGTGATCCGCCCGCCCTGGCCTCCCAAAGTGCTGGGATTACAGGCATGAGCCACCGCGCCCGGCCTCTTGGGTAAATTCTTACCTGCCATTTCCAGCTTCTGGTGGTTCCAGAGGTTCCTTGGCTTGTGGCTGCATAATTCCAGTCTCCACTTGTTGTGACATGGCCTTGTCCTCTGTATGTCTCTTCTCCTCTTCTATCGCTTACAAGAATACTTGTTATCATATCGAGGACCCACCACAATAATTTGTATGCACAATATGATATTTGTCACACTATTCAACTCTGTGTTATAGCACAAAAGCAGCCATAGACAATATGTAAACAAATAGTGTGACTGTGTTCCAGGATATCTTAACTTATGGACACTGAAATTTGAATTTCATAGAATTTTTACTTGTGAAATAGTCTTCTTTTTATTTTTTTCAATCATTTAAAAATGTAAAAATTGTTCTTCACTCAGAAGCCATATAAAAAAATAGGCAGCAGGCCAGCTTTGGCCTATGGGCCATAATTTACCAATCCTGAGTTAGAATAATAGAATATATCCTAAACCATCTTGATTCCTTTTTGATGGTCTCCAATAACCTTCTAATAACTCCAGCTATCTGTTCTGTCTACATTATTCTAAGTGTTTCTATGTCTCTTGACATACATTTGACCACTCTCCTTTTTAAAACTCTCTCTCTTGTTATGTGGATATGATAAAATGTAAATGTAGCTTCACAAGAAATATAATAATGGAGGGTAATTGGTGATTTTCCAAGGCAGGAGGGTGGTTGTCCTGACCTTGTTTGTCTGTATCTGAGCTATGTGACCCTTAGAACAGGAGATGGTGGCCTCTCTGGATGGAATAGAGATTTTACAGGTGAGCTGGACCAGAAGAGCTGGTGATACTCAGGTGGGGGTTGAATGGGGCAGTTGTGAGGCACTTGTGGACATTAGAGAGGTAGAGATAGAGAGAGGAGAGAAAGGGGGAAGAAGGGCATGTAAGCAAAGGGAGGGGGAGACAGGAAAAAGAGGAGAGGAGAAGAGAGGCAGAAAGATGAGCCAAGGTTGCTCACGGCAAGAGAGGAAATTAAATCCAGATGATG
The DNA here is from genome assembly GCF_000001405.40 of Homo sapiens. Lineage (NCBI taxonomy): Eukaryota > Metazoa > Chordata > Mammalia > Primates > Hominidae > Homo > Homo sapiens. The sequence continues at coordinate 75,155,305 of NC_000002.12, read as the reverse complement.
CTAAGTGAGCTTGAGGCTCATTAAGCCATACCAGGCAAGAAGACAGTTAGAATTGTCCTTGAGCTGAAGAGGAGAACTACGTTAGGAGCTGCAATCCCAAGAATGGAGAGAGGGTCCTGGAAGGCTTGAGGATGGGGCAAAGATGCTGGGGCTTGGGAACAGTCCCTCAACGTTTTGGGGTTTTTAGATTTTTTTGTTTGTTTTTTAAATGGAGGTCAAAGTGTAACAGCCTTCCAAAATAAACTAAGTTGTCCTTATGCAGCCCTTTCATTTGGTTTGAAAAGGTGAGGTCAGAGATGTTCATGCTCAGTGTGAATTTGGAGACGCAAAGGAGAGAGGCAGAGCACAGACTCATCTGGAGGAGAAAGGCAGCTTCCTGCCTCACTGCCCAGGACTGAGGTAGGGAGCAGGCCAAATGCGAACTTGGAAGCCAGTGGCAGAGGATGGGCCGAAAGGAGGGATAAGGGAGTACCAGGAGCTAAGCAGTGCTGTGGAGAAGGTCTTTTAGGGGACTCTTCCAACAGCAGCAGGGATGCAGGGTAGATAGACAGGGAGAGACCTGGGGCCAGAAAACCCAGAGAAGACAAGACAGTTAGGAGACTCCAGCCACAGTCCAGGCAACATGCACGAGGGCCTAACTTACAGTGGGGATGAAAGGGAATGATAGCTGGGAAACCCTCTTCAGAGGGAATCACCATGGCTCATTGGCTGACAGGTTGTAATTTCTCACTCACCTGTGCTGGGTTAGTGCTGAATCTCCACTGGGTTTCTTCAGAGAGTGTGTGTGTGTGTGTGTGTGTGTGTGTGTGTGTGTGTGGTGGGTTAGTGCTGAATCTCCACTGGGTTTCTTCAGAGTGTGTGTGTGTGTGTGTGTGTGTGTGTGTGTGTGTGTGTGCGTGCGCGCTCTTGGCTGATTATCTCCCTGGGCCAAACTTCCAATTATAAATCTCCCGGAGTGAGTGGCTTCAGCAAAGCAGTCCTTCCTTGTGACATGCTCAGTCTGGAGGTTCTGACTACTCCCCCATGAGCTCTGTAGGGGAGCTGTTTGTTGTTTGGGATTTTCAGAAACAGGATTTTCCTGCTTGGGCAGCAACAGCATGACCCTGAGTGTTCAGATCCCGAGGGAGCCAGGAGCCGGGAGGAAGGCAGCAGCAGGCTCAGCTTCCTGTAGGCCAAGCATTGCTTTGGGCAGTGAGGGGGGCATCCAAGTGAACTTTAGTTGTGCACAGCAAGCCCCACACCCCCGCCCTTCAATTAATCAGTGAGCCAGCAAGCTGGGCCTTTACTGAACTCCTATAGTGAGGCCAGTTTCCTTATCAAAAGTGAATGGCCTCATGGAGAGACCTCAGTCCCACACCCTGAATAAAGCTCAATAGTGCTGCCCACCATCAGTGATTCCAGGAAAAAAAATTTAATGAATCTGATTAGAATACTTAGAGTACACTGATGACCTGGAATTAGCTTGAATAGGAAGAGAGGATACGTGAGGAATTAAATCCTTGCACACAGGAGTTAAAACCACCTCCTCCCTTTTGCATCCCTGGTTGGTCCACCTGGATCCTCTGTCTTCACAACTTAAAAGGGTTAGCAGCCACATGGAAGGAAACAGGGAATGTGCCAGGTGAATTTCAGAAGTTTTGCCATTGCTTCTCTCCAAGTTGTACACAATTTCAATAATACTCTAAGAATTAAGAGATGTATTTTAATGGGTTTTTTTCCTGATCCTATAAACAAATCTTAGGTCATCAGATCTGGAAGAGACATCAGACCTTATGCTCTGCTTCCCTTGTAAAACTGAACGCCTTTAACAGCACAGCTCAGAGTGCAGTCAGTCAATATTGACATTTCACAAGAGAGGTCAATAATTCTCAGCAAGTGAGTAGCTGGTTCTAGCTCAGTCACCCACTTAGGTGTCAGGACTATCTTCTGAGAAGCAGTCTTTCATAACATCCCACTGAGGCTTGGATGCCTTCAGAAAAGATTTCTGACAATTCCTGTGCTTTCTTGCCATAGCATCTTGTTAGACTCAGTCAAGGTGATTGTGTATTGTTCCTACCCTGCCCTCTGCTGAGCTTTTGCCTAAAAGAACTCTTATAAGAAGTCTTAGGCTGGTGCAGTGGCTCACGCCTGTAATCCCAGCAATTTGGGAGGCCAAGGTGGGCAGATCACAAAGTCAGGAGTTCAAGACTAGCCTGGCCAATATAGTGAAACCCCATCTCTACTAAAAAATACAAAAATTAGCCAGGCGTGGTGGTGCACGCCTGTAGTCCCACTACTCGGGAAACTGAAACAGGAGAATCACTGGAACCCAGGAGGCAGAGGTTGCAGTGAGCCGAGATTGCGCTACTGCACTCCAGCCTGGTGACAGAATGAGACTCCGTCTCACAAAATACCAAACAAACAAACAAAAAAGAAGTCTTGGCCCCATCTTTCTTTGGAATTAATAGCCTTTGATCCACCCACTAGAAATGGTAGAGTGAGGTGTACAGTCTATTCTCCTAAGGAACAACCCCTTAGCAGTGAATTTCTCTAATGGGAATGCATTGGGGTGACTAAGAGAGCTGTGATCTATACACCTGTTTAGTGATATTTATCAATCATTTATTAAGCATTAATTGAGCATCTACTATGTACCAACTGTTAAGCTTCCTGTTTTCAGATTTAGAAGGAATCAGACATCTGACACTTTAACTCTCAGCCTCGGAGCATGTATTAGTCCATTTTCACACTTCTGATAAAGACATAACTGAGACTGGGAAGAAAAAGAAGTTTAATTGGACTTACAGCTCCACATGGCTAGGAGACCTCAGGATCATGGGGGGAGGTGAAAGACACTTCTTACTTGGCAGCGGCAAAAGAAAATGAGGAAGAAGCAAAAGCAGAAACCCCTGATAAAACCATCAGATCTCATGAGACTTATTCACTATCATGAGAACAGCATGGGAAACACTGGCCCCCATGATTCAATTACCTCCCCCTGGGTTCCTCCCACAACACGTGGGAATTATGGGAGATACAAATCAAATTGAGGTTTGGGTAGGGAAACAGCCAAACCATATCATTCAGCCCCTGGGCCCTACAGATCTCATGTTCTCACATTTCAAAACCAATCATGCATTTCCAACAGTCCCCCAAAGTCTTAACTCATTTCATCATTAACCCATTAACCCACAGTCCGAAGTCTCATCTGAGGCAAGACAAGTCCCTTCCACCTATGATCCTGTAAAATCAAAAGCAAGCTAGTTACTGCCTAGACACAATGGGGGTACAGATATTGGGTAAATACAGCCATTCCAAACGGGAGAAATTGGCCAAAACAATACAGGGCTCATGCAAGTCTGAAATCCAATGGGCAGTCAAATTTTAAAGTTCCAGAATGATCTCCTTTGACTCCAGGTCTCACATCGAGGTCACAGTGATGCAAGAGGTAGGTTCCCATGGTCTTGGGCAGCTCCATGCCTGTGGCTTTGCAGGGTACAGCCTCCCTCCCAGCTACTTTCACAGGCTGGTGTTGAGTGTCTACAGCCTTTTCCAGGTACATGGTGCAAGCTGTTGGTGCATCTGCTATTCTGGGGTCTGGAGGATGGTGGCCCTCTTCTCACAGCTCCACTAGGCAGTGTCCCAGTAGGAACTCTGTGTGGGGGCTCCAACCCCACATTTCCCTTCCACACTGCCCTAGCAGAGTTTCTCCATGAGGGCCCCACCCCTGCAGCAAACTTTTGACTGGGCATCCAGGTACTTCCATACGTCTTCCTAAATCTAGGCAAAGGTTCCCAAATCTCAATTCTTGACTTCTGTGCACCTGCAGGCTCAACACCATGTGGAAGCTGCCAAGGCTTGGGGCTTGCATCCTCTGAAGTCACAGCCCAAGCTGTACATTGGCCCCTTTCAGCCACAGCTGGAGTGGCTGGGACACAGGGCACCAAGTCCCTAGGCTACACACAGCACAGGGACCCTGGGCCAGATCCACAAAAACACTTTTTCCTTCTGGGCCTCTGGGCCTGTGATCGGAGGGGCTGCCATGAAGGTCTCTGACATGACCTGGAGACATTTTCCCCATGGTCTTGGGGATTAACATTAGGCTCCCTGCTACTTATGCAAACTTCTGCAGCCAGCTTGAATTTCTCCCCAGAAAATGAGTTTTTCTTTTCTATCGCATAGTCAGACTACAAATTTTCCAAACTTTTATGCTCTGCTTCCCTTATAAAACTGAATGCCTTTAACAGCATCCAAGTCACCTCTTGATTACTTTGCTGCTTAGAAATTTCTTCTGCCAGATACCCTAAATCAGCTCTTTCAAGTTCAAAGTTCCACAAATCTCTAGGGCAGGGGCAAAATGCCACCAATCTCTTTGCTAAAACATAACAAGAGTCACCTTTGCTCCAGTTCCCAACAAGTTCCTCATCTCCATCTGAGACCACCTTAGCCTGGATTTTATTGTCCATATTGCTATCAACATTTTGGGCAAAACCATTCAACAAGTCTCTAGGAAGTTCCAAACTTTCCCACATTTTTCTGTCTTCTTCTGAGCCCTCCCAAACTATTCCAATCTCTACCTGTTACCCAGTTCCAAAGTCGCTTCCACATTTTCAGGTATCTTTTCAGCAATGCCCCACTCTACTGGTACCAGTTTATTGTATTTGTTTGTTTTCACACTGCTTATAAAAAACATACCCAAGACTGGGAAGAAAAAGAAGTTTAATTGGACTTACAGTTCTACATGGCTGGGGAGGCCTCACAATCATGGCAGGAGATTCACTGGTACCACTTCATATATGGTGGCAGCAAAAGAAAATGAGGAAGAAGCAAAAGCAGAAACCCCTGATAAACTCATCAGATCTCATGAGACTCATTCACTATCACAAGAAAAGCATGGGAAAGACAGGCCCCTATGATTCAATTACCTCCCCCTGGGTCCCTCCCAACATATGGAAATTATGGGAGATACAATTCAAGTTGAGATTTGCGTGGGGACACAGCCAAACCGTATTAGAGCATATGCTTATTAAAGTTCCTACCTCACCAAATTGTAATTAAATTATAGCATGTTTCTCTTTTTCACTAAATTCTGAGCTTTTCAAGGGCAATTCAATGTCATTCACCTTTTTAAGCCTTATTCCTGGCAAAGTGTCTGGTGTTTCATAATGCTTAACAAATAGAGTTTGTAGTGAATTCACCAGCACATCAAAAAGCTTATCCATCATTATCAAGTCAGCTTCATCTCTGGGATGCAAGGCTGGTTCAACATATGCAAATCAATAAAAGCATAATCCATCACATAAACGGAACCAGTGACAAAAACTCATGATTATCTCAATAGATGCAGAAAAGGCCTTTGATAAAATTCAACACCGCTTCATGCTTAAAAACTCTCAATAAACTAGGTATTGACGGAACATATCTCAAAATAATAAGAGCTATTTATGACACACCCACAGCTAATATCATACTGAATGGGCAAAAACTGGAAACATTCCCTTTGAAAACCGGCACAAGACAAGGATGCCCTCTCTCACCACTCCTATTCAACATAGTATTGAAAGTTCTGGCCAGGGCAATCAGGCAAGAGAAAGAAATAAAGGGTATTCAAGCAGGAAAAGAGGAAGTCAAATTGTCTCTGTTCGCAGATGACATGATTGTATATTTAGAAAACCCCAACATCTCAGCCCAAAAACTGCTTAAGCTGACAAGCAACTTCAGCAAAGTCCCAGGATACAAAATCAATGTGCAAAAATCACAAATGTTCCTATACACCAACAACAGACAAGCAGAGAGCCAAATCATGAGTGAACTCCCATTCACAATTGCTACAAAGAGAATCAAATACCCAGGAATAGAGTTAACAAGGGACATAAAAGATCTCTTCAAGGAGAACTACAAACCACTGCTCAAGGAAATGAGAGGACACAAACAAATGGAAAAACATCCCATCCTCATGGGTAGGAAGAATCAATATTGTGAAAATGGTCATACTGCCCAAAGTAATTTATAGATTCGTTTCTATTCCCATCAAACTACCATTGACATTCTTCACAGAATTAGAAAAAAATACTTTAAATTTCATATGGAACCAAAAAAGAGCCCGTATAGCTAAGGGCTGGAGGCATCATGCTACCTGACTTCAAACTATACTACAAGGCTGGAGGCATCATGCTACCTGACTTCATACTATACTACAAGGCTACGGTAACCAAAACAGCATGGTACTGGTAGCAAAACAAACACATAGACCAATGGAACAGAACAGGGACCTCAGAAATAACACTACACATCTAAAACTATCTGATCTTTGACAAACTTGACAAAAACAAGCAATGGAGAAAGGATTCCCTATCTAATAAATGGTGCTGGGAAAACTGGCTAGCCATATGCAGAGAATTGAAACTGGACCCCTTCCTTACACCTTATACAAAAAATAACTCAAGATGGATTAAAGACTTAAATGTAAAACCCAAAACCATAAAAACCCTAGAAGAAAACCTAGGCAGTATCATTCAGGACATAGGCATGGGCAAAGATTTCATGATGAAAACACCAAAAGCAATTGCAACCAAAGCTGCAATTGACAAATGGGATCTAATTAAAATAAAGAGCTTCTGCACAGCAAAAGAAACTATCATCAGAATGAACAGGCAACCTACAGAATGGGAGAAAATTTTTGCAATCTACCCATCTGACAAAGGTCTAATATCCAGAATTTACAAGGAACTTAAACAGATTTACAAGAAAAAAACAAGCAACTCCATCAAAAAGTGGGCAAAGGATATAAACAAACACTTCTCAAAAGAGGACATTTATGCAGTCAACAAACATATGAAAAACAGCTTAACATCATTGATCATTAGAGAAATGCAAATCAAAAACCACAATGAGATACCATCTCAGGTCAGTCAGGATGGTGATTATTAAAAAATCAAGAAACAACAGATGCTGGAGAGGCTGTGGAGAAATAGGAATGCTTTTACATTGTTGGTGGGAATGTAAATTGATTCAACCGTTGTGGAAGACAGTGTGGTGATTCCTCAAGGATCTAGAACTAGAAAAACCATTTGACCCAGCAATCTCATTACTGGGTATATACCCAAAGGAATATAAATCATTCTACTATAAAGATACATGCATACGTATGTTTATTGCAGCACTATTTACAGTAGCAAAGACATGGAACCAACCCAAATGCCCATCAATGATAACTGGATTAAAAAACGGTGGTACATATACACCATGGAATACTATGCAGCCATTAAAAGGAATGAGATCGGCCAGGTGTGGTGGCTCACAACTGTAATCGCAGCACTTTGGGAGGCCGAGATGGGTGGATCATGAGGTCAGGAGATCAAGACCATCCTGGCTAACACGTTGAAACCCCATCTCTACTAAAAAAATACAAAAAATTAGCCAGGTGTGGTGGCACATGCCTGTACTCCCAGCTACTCCTGAGGCTGAGGCAGGAGAATCGCTTGAACCTGGGGAGGCAGAGGTTGCAGTGAGCCAAGATTGCACCACTGCACTCCAGCCTGGCCTACAGAGGGAGACTCTGTATCAGAAAAAAAAAAAAAGGAATGAGATCATGTCCTTTGCAGGGACTTGGATGAAGCTGAAAGCCATCATCCTCAACAAACTAACACAGGAACAGAAAACCAAACACCGCATTTTCTCACTCATAAGTTGGAGTTGAACAATGAAAACACATGGACACAGGGAGGGGAACAACACATGCTGGGGCCTGTGGAGCAGGAGGGGAGCAAGAGCATTAAAACGAATAGCTGATACATGCGGGTCTTAAAACCTAGATGGCAGGTTGATAGGTGCAGCAAACCACCATGGCACGCATATATGAACCTGCACATTCTGCACGTGTATCCCAGAACTTAAAGTAAAATAAAAATTTTTAAAAATACACTTTATAGGGATGGATAAAGGATGAAAGGAATGTGGGGATAAACCCATTATGTTATGACCACTTGGTAGTTGTCACTGGAATGTTCCCACTGAGGTTCTGGGGAAATATCAGCCCTATGGCCACACAATAGGAGTAAAGGAAAATTGAAATGTTAGCTGGTTTTGGCCATGTGCCAAGCATCTCAGGGTTCTCTTTGGTGGGGGCATTTTCCAGCTAAATTCTGGGAAGGAACATGGTGTTTATTTAAGTGCTGGCATCTGCTTAGACAAACAGGAAAATATTCTGCCACCTAACTTGACTGGAACAGGAATCCTACTCACCGTCTGATGGCTGAAACAATGCACAGTATTGCAAAACATTTCAGATCAGTTGACTTCCCCCAGCAGCTTAGTTTGCATCAGTGTAAATGCACACAGCAGATTGTGTTTCTGTGTTAAAAGGGTTACAGAACCCATCCTGGAATGAAACACTGGGACCACAGAAGAAGTGATGGGGAAATTGTTCAAGGCCATTATTTCAGTGCCATCATCATTAGCACATTTCATGTTAAAATATTGCCTGGAAGATCACCAGAACCAAAAATAATGCCATCTGTTTGTATAGTGGTTTATAGTTTAAAAAGCATTTTACAGTCATTATCACACTTTTTTACTGCAACTGCAACTCTATTTTATAGATGAGGAAATTGAGACTCATTAGGGTTTGGTGACTTCACTCAGTAACTAGTAGATTCCACATGTGCTGGCTCCTCTATGGTTATTAGCATCACAAGTAACGCAATAATCCTCATCTCCACTTTGGTACCCCCACAGCTGCAATGAATTAAAGCTATTCTTGCCATTGTGACCAGTAATCTCCTAGAAGCCAAATACAGCGGACTCTTCTTCATCCTTATCTTGCCTGATTCCTCTGTAACAAATGACCACATGGGCTACTCCCTACCTTTTGAGGCTGTCTTCTTTGGTTTCTAAGATGCTGCTGGCCGGGCATGGTGACTCATTCCTGTAATTCCAGCACTTTGGGGGGCCAAGGCTGGCAGATCGCCTGAGGTCAGGAGTTCGAGACCAGCCTGGTCAACATGGTGAAACACTGTGTATACTAAAAATACAAAAATTAGCCAGGCATAGTGGCACATGCCTGTAATCCCAGCTACTCAAGAGGCTGAGATGGGAGAATTGCTTGAACCTGGGACGTGGAGGTTGCAGTGAGCCAAGATTTCGCCACTGCACTCCAGACTGGGCGACAGAGAGAGACACCATCTGAAAAAATAGAAAAAAAATTTTAAAAAGGTTCTTCTCTCTCCTGGTTTTATGCCTTCCTCCTATGTCTTATACCACCCCTCCTTTACTGCCCGCTCTGTCCTGGCATTCCTTGTGAATGTTAATATTCTCTAGGATTTGATCTTTGGCCACTTTCTCTTTGCATTCCCCACAGTGTTCTGGGAGATCTTATGGCTCCAACCACTCTACAATAGTAACTCCCACATCTCTGTCGCTGGATCTGTAATTCAAATCTCCCTACGGAATTCAAAATATATATCCCATCTACTTTCTGCACCTCTCCACCTGGATCTGCAATAAGAACCTCAAGTTCCACACACCTAAAAGTGACTGTACTAGAGTATTCCAACAGTGCAGTATTAGGTCTGCCCATTCAGCAGCATGTAATGCTTCTTTGCTTACTCAAATTTCTATTTCTTTTAGTAAAGGAATATTTGACAGTTTCATTCATATAAGTCCCACATATTTCAGTACGTGTTTATGTCTAGATATTATATACTCTCATGACCATTGTGAACTTATTTCCATTATATTATGTAAATGGCTATGCTGTTATATAGAAAAGTTATTGATCTTTAACACATTTGTTTTGAAACCAGCAGCATTCTGAAATTGAATTTGTCTTGTTTTTCAGTTGATTTTCTTTGGTTTTTTAGATAAGCTATCATCTACAATAATTATAGTTATCTCCTACTTTACACTATTTATATCTTATTCCTTTTTCTTGTCTTAGTTGCATTGACTCGCATTCCTAGAACAATGTTACTACTAATAATAATGGTCATTACCATAGTTTCTGACTCACAGACAGACCACTTCTATTTTTCATCATTGCATTTAAGATATTTTCACCATTAAATAAAATATATACACTTTATTTAATTAAAGACATATTATTCTATTTCTATCTTATATTAGAAGTGATGATACATTTTTATTAAATGTCTTTTAGTCATCCAAAGAAATGATTATAAATTTTTTCTCTTTTGATCTAATCATACAATAAATGATATTAACAGTGAATCATCTTTATGGTAATGCTTTTTCTAGAAAGGATCCATTTAACTTAAAATCTTATTCCGCTCAGGCTGTGTTAATACATTCCAAATGTATTGATTATTGTATTTCTTTCTAAAATTCCTACTATACTCTATTTTATCTCCTAAACCTACCCCTCATATCTCTTATATTTTACATATTATATTCATCTCTATCTTTTGCTTCTTGGTTTTTGGGGAACTCCTCAAAGTGGACTTTCAAATCATCAGTGTCATTTTCTGTGCTATCCAATCTGTTATTCATTGCTACCACTTCCAGTTAAAAATTTGAAATTTAAAATTTGAATTCACAAATTTATAAGATAAATTCACATTTAATTTTTTAAATGTTTAACAGTAATATTTCTGATATCAGTTTGTTAGTTGTGGATAGAATGAGTGCTTGAATCTCAAGTCTCATTGATAATATGAATCAGTTTTCTTTTTGGTTATGTCTCACTTTTTGGAATAAGCTTCTTTTAGTGGAAAATATTTGCTTTGATTCTTCGGATGAGTTTCTTCAAACTGCTAAATCATTTCATAGACCCAGTGATTTTTCTGTTTATCCATCTTTCCTGAGAAAGCACTGTATGTCCATGGTTCCAAGTTAGGATCATTTCTCTATGAGGCTGTGGGGATGCTTATTCAAATCTTATATCCAAGAAAAAGAAAAAGATAAATTTGCAGCTTCAGTTTGTGGCAACATAGTTGGCTGTGAGGAGCAGGAAGAGGCCACAGTGAAAGGCATCTGCACCAAAGAGAACTCATGTTGTGCTGAAGGATTCCTTCCAGTCTATCGTGAAGTCCACTTTATCTCAGAAGCCCACAGGCTGTGCCCACGCTTTAATTATCACACCTCTCCAGTCCAGGGAGCTCCATCGATCAGCTCCCACTGAACTTCTGTATACTTATGTAAGACCACACTTATTGTCCCAGTAGTGGCCCCATGGAGTCTGGACCCTACGGCTGAAAGTTAGGAACATTTGTGCCAAGTTAAAGTTCCCCATGATCGTGGAAACTAGGAAAATAATTACCAAGGAAAACAGTCCTGTGGCAGGGAGCTTCACTGCTAAGCAGGTGAGGAATTGATCCTCCTCCTTTGTTCTATGTACCAGCATTAGAATATTCCCTCTACACGCTTGGAAGTTAGGGAGGTTACACTATGTACCCCGTTCACCCACTGCCTGAATCAACTTTTCCTTCATATGCACAGAATTGGGGGCAGTGGGCTCATCAGTCAATCCAGGCCACTAGCACCACATTTCACAATATATCAGGCAATACAATGCTGTGAGTAAGCGTCCAGTCTCCAGAGCCAGTCTCCTTGGGTCCAAATACTATTAGGTTGGTGCAAAAGTAATTGCGGTTTTTGCCAATTTGCTTTTATTTTGCACCAACCTAATATCACTAGTCATGAGACCGTTGGAGTTAGTAATCTTCCCTGTGCCATAGTTTCTTCATCTGTAACAGGAGGACAATAATAGCTCATCAGTGCAGCTTAGTGACAGCACCTCCTTTATGGAATACCATGAAAACTCAATTAGCTAATAGATGCTGAACATTTCAGACAATGCCTACACACAGTAATGCTCGATCAGTGTTAACCAATGCAAAATAGTGCCAATACTTCTGGTTCGAAGAAGGCATCCTTCCCTGATGTTTTCTTTTTTTATAAATTTCTTTGGACATTTCAATGGAAGGAAGACAAGAGCTAAAGCTGGAAGAGTCATATTTCCATCTTGTTCCAGAAGTTCTAAAGTAATGTTTTTGAAAAGAAAACATGGTCAAAAATGTTTTGAAATGAAAATATGTCAAGAAAAAGTAAAATTCAAACTTGTTAGCAGTATCAGCAAGGCCAATCAGGATCCAGCCTGCTTTCTACCTTTTCTCTAACCCTGTCCTCGCTTGCACCTCAGACTATAGCCCAACCAAACCTCCTGGGTTCATTGTGGCAGCTCACACCACAGGGCCTCTGCTCAGGTGAGGCCTTCCTCCCTCCCTTGTTAGCACCCCATGCACCTAACTTGCTTGTCTGTAATTCTGAGGGCTCACTTCAGATATTACCCCCTCTACAAAGCCCAGAATCACATCAGCTGACCCCTCCTTGGCATCCACCCTGCACCCAGAGCAAAGTTCTCTATACTGTGTCTGTGAGACCTTACTCCACAACTATCATGATTGTTTCAATCAATGAGGGAGCTTATTAAAAGTATAGATAATGGCTCTGGAAGATTCCAATTCATTAGGCCATGGGTAGAGCCCAGGAATCCATATATTTATAAAACAACTGGGATGATTTTGAGAATCAGCCGAATTTGAGTTAATAACACACACCCTCTGATTTGATTGCCCTCTCCTCTGGTAACCTTCCCTCCCAGCTGGTTAACCTGACCTCTCCTCTGGTAACCTGCACTCCCCTCTGGTTAGCACATCCTACTCTCTAACAGCCTGTAAATTCCTTATTTGTCTTATCTGTCTTATGTCTCCAGCACCTTGCACAGTTCCTGGCACTCAAAAATGTGTTCATAAACGCATGAATAACTGAATGACCTCTTCCCTCCAGTGGATTAGGTATTTCTATCGTTATTATTCATTGCTTTTACCCACCACATTTGATTTTCAGAGACTTAACTGAAGAGCTTATAAGAGAGACAGGAATAATTGTTTCTGGTTTGGCAACATACACTAGACTTGTTTGCCAAACTTACTGCGAACCTTCTGCCTTCTTGAGAAAGGAGGCCCAGGGGATAAGAGAGGCTATTGTGAAACAACCTTCTCCTGAGACCTAAATATTTGGCAACTTTAATCCTGGCATGAGAATTGGCACAAGGAATGAGAAAATGGAACACTCAGAAAGTGTGAGCCGACACCTTAAATGGACTTAGTGGCGAGCTAGCCAGAAGGTGGAAGCAGAGGCTGGAGGCTCTAGGATTGAGCTTCATCTCCTCTCCACTCACTGCCTCCCCTCCAGTTGGTTTACTTTAGGCAAGGCATTAACTACCCTGAACTCTGTGTCCTCCTCCATAAAAGAGGGCTGAAAGCAGATTGTCACAGAATCATTTGAAATAGTATACATGAAAGATCAAGTAGAGTGCAATAAATGTTTCCTTTCTCCTTTCTGTCACATCTCAAGCTGTGGCCTAGAAAACTGTAGAACAGTTGAGAGAAGCCAGCTAGAGCCCTGGGGTTGGACTCTCACAGTAGGGCAGATGTGGGGTATGAAGCTTCAGGAAACCAGAGAGAGTCTACTAAAGCCCAGTCCCAGGTATGAAAAACAGAGCAATGAAATTTGACCCTCTTGGAATATCCAAGAATCCTCATGGGATTTCTGTAACACATTTTGAGCACATATAAGTCCTTTTTGGGGAAAGAGCCATGCCTCATTCATCTGCGTATTTATTCCTAGTACCCAATGGAGTGCCTGATATAGGACCAAGAAATATTTGTAAATTGAATAGTGGGTGGACAAAGGCATAGCTTGGTACCTTCTCTCACTAGTTTCCTAGTTCTTTCCTAGTACCATCCTCCAAACAAAGCTTTGAGTTTTTTTTTTTTTCCTTGCCTCCATGCCTGGATGTGGTTAAGCCAACCAGACAGAGCTGTAATTCCTATGCTCCTAAGCTTCAAGGCTTCCAGAGTCTACATAGCTTCCCTCTGCATGGCAGCTTTGAGCTTTCTGCTGTTAAATAAAGTTGTAAGTGTTGTAAAGCGGTTTCATTAGGGAGGGTTTTATCTTGGAGAGGCAACAAGTTCTGTTCAATGGAATAGGGAAAAGTTAACATTTAAAACTCCAGCTATTTTCTGAGGATGGTGGGTCCTGTTATGAGTTGGCTTTGTTCTGCTGAGACCATATAAATGTGGATTTGCAAACTGGAGGAGCTAGAAGATCCCAAATACTAAAGGAAGAATGGCTTCTAGCTTCTGAGGTAATACTAGAGGGAGATAAGAGAGGAAGAGAGAGAGCTGAAAAGATTATATGTGTTGCCCAATGAGACCTTCCTGAGGTCTCTAAATACCCAGTTCTTAAGAGACTCACCAGCTTTTATGGAAGTTTATAAAAGAGAGAGTTTTGTAACCATGTTAATGAGAAGGAAAAAAGACATAGTCTCCAGTATTTTGAACTAGTCACAATGGGACCCATCAAAAGAAAAACAATAAGAATTCTCACGTATCATGGATAGGGCTTTGGGCTTCATCAAGACTGTTAAACTGGGAGTTTGAGTCAGATTTATTCAGACCATTGGAGGGGCCAGAAAGAGACATCTCAAGTGATACCTGAGTCTTCTGAACTTGATATTATTCTAGACACCACAAGGAATGCATAATTCACACACAACCTGGTCCTTTTCCTCAAGGAGCTTACAATCTCATTGTGCAGACAAGATATAAAGCCACTGGGCAGCATGCCCTCAGGATGCATTTTAATTTCAACAGATAATGATGATGGAGAAGATTAGAGAAAGGCCTCAAGGAGGGCTTCTTAAGGGGCCACCCTGAGTTGAGTCTTCAGAGGGAGATGACAGTATTTGGTTTGGCAGAATCCCAGGAACAGCCTTTTCAAGAACTCCCTGACAGCACCTCTTGAAACAGACGAATCAGGAACTACCCAAGACAAAAGCAACTCCATCCACTGCTCATTTTAAGCACATGCCTCACATGATCTGCTTGTGTAAACTTTGCAGGCAAATTTGATTTCCTTAAAATCATTTTTCCAAATGTACATTTACCTGCCTTTGCTTTTTTTTCAAAAAGTAAAACAAAACTTTTCTGCCACTTCCAACATTCCACCCTCATTTTCATTAGCCCCTTGCCTTTCTGAATTAACTTGAGTGGGAAAAGGTGTGTACTTACATCCACCCAGCCTCCTACCCCTAAAAATACTGTCTACATTCAATGCTAAGGAAAGGAGGCTACTTTGAGAATTTCAGAGTAGTAACTTCCAAAGGCTAATGGATGAATGTGAGTATTTCCATTCTCATTGTGGCCAGGAAAGATAGAGATAATCATACAGTACCCAGAAAATGACTGCTTCATATGATGAGGCTTTAATTTCCATTTTAATGGAAACATGTTCATTTAAAAGAAAGAAAAGCAGATTTCTGAACTATGTCTCCTCTCTCCGTTAACAACCTGGATGTGCACCTAGAATTAATGAGCTACATTTTTATTTCTATTTTGCTAAAGAGGCTGACCAGGGCTGTTGCATTACCTGATGTCTAATCTTTCCAGTGCTCCTCTCACGCCTCCCCTCACTGTTTTCCCCCTTCTGAATGCGATGTTAGTATTTTGGCTTTGTCTCAAATAAACTTACAAGTCGGGTTTTTATTTCTCCCCAACGGAGCCTCTCAAATCCCTTATCTTCAGCTCAACAGGAAGGAGATTACTTTGTTACCAGAATATTGAACACTGATGATTTACATGTTTATATGTTGGGAAAATAAAGCTCTGACATATTCTACTTCCTATACAACAGTTCCTAATTCTCTATGTAGAGACCTAGTGGCTTAAGGGCATAGAAAGATGCCACTGTCCACTGAGCAGCAAAGAAAGGACAGCTAAGCCCGTGTTCCAACGGAGCTGACCATGTGCATAGCTATACCTTCATGGCTGCAGTGGGGAAACCAGCCAGCATAGATTCTCCTTTGCTGCTCTCATTTTAATCAAAAAATTGCAGATGCTAAAGTCAGATAGCCTGGATTCAAATCCTGTCTGATCTCTGATCCTAGCCTGAGAGGCCTGTTCAGATTCCTCCTCTGCCCAAATTCCTTGCTAGCAGTGTGACCTGAGGCAAATGACTGAATTGCTTTGTGCCTCCGTTTTCTTAGGGGTAAAATATGGATGGTAATACCTGACTGATGGAGCAGTTCATAAGAAATGATAGCTATGAAGAGTCTACATGATACCTGGACAGCCCCATTGGTTAAATATCCTATATTGAATGCTTAAACAAATGTTAATTTCATTTCCCTTTCCTTTAGAAGCCTTAATTAATATGTTAACTATTTAGTACAGAGGTCAGTAAACTATGGCCAGCAGATCAAATCCATCCATCCTTTATGTATTTAATTTATTTTATAATAAATAAAATAGATCCCCTTGTTGCATGTTCTCATGACCGTTCTTTTTCATAGGACTTACCACAGTTGTAATTGCACAGGTATTTGTAGGTTTAGTTAATTGCTATGCATCACTCTCATAAAACTGGAGCTTCCTGAGAGGAGGGGTGGTATTTATGATCTCTTCCTCTGTGTCCCAGCTCCTGCCATAGTGCCTGGCTCTGATAGGTACTCAGTATTTGAATGAATGAATGAATGAATGATTGAATGAGTAGATGAGTCTCCAGGCTACCACCCAGCCATGGATCAAGACTACATATTTGACCAATAAGGACAGAGCCAGGAGAGGCAGATCCCCCAGTCCTTGACATGACGACCACCCAGCAGAAGCTTGTTTACCATGGTATGTAATAACATACCACAGTCCAAAGCTTCATCAGAACACAACCACATCAACTGGGTGACACTCCCACCTGGATGGGCCTGTTCAAACATTTCCTCAGTTTCGAGTCAAGAAAATGGAACTTCTTCATGGAAAGAACCAATTCAGCCCTGTAGTGTATTTCTATAATACTTGAGTAACCACCACCTTCTTTGGGAAGAAGGCAAGAGTCCAGGCTAGGTAGTTTTATTCATGGGTCGAAAGCAAAGTTTCAATGAGTTTATTCAAGCATTAATCTGCCCAAAGTAGAACTATCTCATGGTACACAGCACCTGGCACATAGGAGGTGGTGAAGATAAATAACTGCCAGCAGCAATGCTAAAATCTGTGACTGAGCCATTCCCAGTCCCCCGTCTTCCTGCTGGGCCTCTGCACTATGGAACACTCACATACCCCTTTCAAAGTGGGGAATTTGAATCAGGCAGAACTGATGGGTGGGGGTCCCATCTCTACTATGTAACTGCTGCATATCCACGAACCCCAGTTTCCTCACCTGTCGTCAAGGGACAATGTGATGGTAAATGTTTATCTTTCCCAGTACACCTCACTACTGGCATTCTGAGTCAGTGCCGTTTTATCCATTGAAGCTATTAAGCTGTCTTGGATGTAAAAAGGTCCTGGGTAGCACTGATGAAGCCTACCACTATATGCTTAATACTCTGGAATGTCTTATGCCAAAGATCCCATCATACAGAAACACAGTAAAGATCTAAGAGTATAGAGAAAGTAGATGAGTATAGGAACAACAAAGACTTTCTAAATATCTCAAGCACTGGAAGATCCTAGGGGCCAAAGAGTCTTCCTGGACAGCTGGATTTCTTTTATTTTTTCTTTTTTTTTTTTTTTTTTTTTTTTTTTTGAGACGGAGACTCTCTCTGTCGCCCAGGCTGGAGGGCAGCGGTGTGATCCTGGCTTACTGCAAGCTCCGCCTCCCAGGTTCATGCCATTCTCCTGCCTCAGCCTTCCAAGTAGCTGGGACTACAGTCGCCCGCCACCACGCCCAGCTAAGTTTGATTTTGTGTTGTTAGTAGAGATGGGGTTTCACTGTGTTAGCCAGGATGATCTCGATCTCCTGACCTCGTGATCCGCCCACCTTGGCCTCCCAAAGTGCTGGGATTAAAGGCATGAGGCACCATGCCCTGCCGACAGCTGGATTTCTAAGAAATATTTTATCTTGGACCTAGAAGATTCAGGGGATTGGAGGGCGCACCATGCGTGACCACTCTACCTATATGTCTAGGATTCTGTTTATAAAAACTCTATTTCATAAATACTAATTTTAAATAACTTGTAGAAGTGAAATAAAATAAGCTGTTCTTTCTATTAGAAAATATGGCCTTTTAATTATGCTCTGTAAAGACCTGGAATGTGTTGTTTGAAATCTGTCATGTGTCTAGTGAGGGGACTGAAACAATCAGCCTTCAATCCCCCTCCCCATCCTAACAGCCTACATACTCACTGAGGTCCCATGCACCATGAGTATACAAGGAACACTCATGCTAACCCCAATCCCTGACTCAAGCTACTTCTAGCCTGGTGAGATACCATTGACCTAACAATTTCTCCTTGAAGCCCAGGCCAAGAGACCACACAAACTGATAATTAGAATATCGTCATCTGATTGAGACCCCGGCCTAAGCCAGTTGTAGGCATCACAGATCTCCTAGGTAGTCTACCAGGCATTCTGCTCTGCCATCATCCACCCCCAGCTGTCTGTGATCTTCCTGGAGCTCTGAATGTGGCCTGATACACCATCAGGAGTTGCCTTTCTTCCTATGTTTCCTGTGCCTAAATGTCTGTTTGGTGAGACTCCTAACAATGCCTCACATAACAATTACAATTTCTTAACTTTTGTCTTATTTGATCTTCACAATAATCAAGTGTGATGGAAAAGTTAAAGCGCCTGTTATGACTTTGACCATTTTTGATGAGAGTAAGGGGACTTTGAGAGATGCTGGTTCAGGGATGCTGTAAGATGAGGCAGGAATCACAGAGGGGATAGGCTTTGCTGGAGGAGGGGGAAGGCAGCCCAGTTCCACCTTCATTCAGGCCCTAGACTCGTTCACAGACCTTACAGAACATCTGCAGAAACTGTTCACCAAGAAGAAAACTAAGACTCAATGAAGAGGTGATTTGCCAAAAGTGCATACCTGTCAGTGGCAGAAAAACAAAAAACTAGAACTCTGTTCTTTCTGACTCAGGTGGCTTGGCAGATGAGTTTTTGTTTTTGTTAATACACTGCACTAATAAGCACGTCTTTAGCACGTCCTCTGCTGTGAGCTGATAAGGACGAAGAAGTGAGGGTCAAGCCCCTTGGACTTCTTACTCCTGTCTCCCAAGGAAGTAGCCACAGCACAGGGCAGGAAGGAAGGCTGGAGTGAGGGCTGTACAGAGGGCTCTGGAAACGAAGAGGCTGGGCTGTGCCCTGTGAGATGATGTGCCTGGGTTTCTTTCTACAAGGCCCAAGTTCCGCCAACCCCTGCCCACACCCATGTGCTTCCTTCTTGCTTGGGGAGGTGCTTTTCTCCGCCTGTGCAATCCTGACATTCACAATCTGTGCTGCTTCATCCTCTGGCAATGACCCACTAGTTCCTGGTGTCCCTAGTGAGCCTCTAACAACCATTCTTAGAAGTGAGATTTGCAAAACGATGGTGAAACAGAATGCGAAATGGAGAGGGGAGAATATAGGGGAGGTGGGAGAGGGTGAATCAGGCTCCTCCTCCACAGGAAAGCTAGGTCTTAAGGTCCCCCTGCAAGGAAGCAATTCATTCCAGCAAACTCTGGAGGAGGCCCAATATGCAGCTGCTGGGTGTTAGTGCCCCATTTACCGGTCTGCAGTTTCAGCAATCATCATGCTGAAGTGTCTCTGTGGAATTAGCATGTGGGGACTACAGGGATGAATAATTCTACTCCAATTTACTTTCTCCCATGAAATACTATTTAAGTTATAAACTGAGTATTTCCATCCTTGAAGCAGCTATTAAGCCGACGCCACTGCCTCATTGGCCTTTTGCTGTTTTGAGTATCTTTGGGCGCCTGGCCCTGGATCCAGCCAGTAGCACGGATAGCACGGGCGCCGGGACACTGGATCCAGCCAGTAGCACCAGGTGTCCTGGGTACCCTGGGTTTCAGCTAGGCACTGAATCTCTGGAAAGAGACCACATGGCCTCTGGAAGTTACAAAGATAGCAAGGGGAATGTGAACAAGTGTTAAGTGCCTGCTATGCACCAGAATTTGTCTAGTCCCTTCATGCATATTATCTTGTTCAGCATCACTGCCCAGTAAATACTATCAATCCTTATTTCAGAAGGAGAAAACTGAGATTCTAAGAAATCACTTTAAGAAAGATTAAGTAGCTGAAAAAGCAATAAGTAAGAGCAATAGGGAGAGGGAAAGAGATATGTCCTGTGCTGGGGCCCGCATGGGAAGAGGAAAGTCATAATTCAGGCAGCAGGGGTTCCACTGCCAGAGAATCCAAACTAAGGAAGTCCTATATCACCAGTAAGACAGGCCACAGGGTGGTCTGTAAACACAGATCTGGGAAATGTTTACTTTCTGGAGAGCCTATTTCTCTCTTGCTCTGTGTTTGGCAGCCCTGGTCCCAGCAACTTTCATGTATTCCTTTGAAAGCTAGAATTCTCTCTGAGCACTTCACCAGCAGAGGCCTGTGAGACCTTGTCTTTCCTCACTCAATCCTCTAGCCTTGTTTCTTCATCAACATCTGAGAGTCAACATCTCTGCCTGCTTAATAGAAAGAAGAAAGGGATCGTTAAGTTAATCAGCTGGTAGTTACTAAGGAGCTTTCTTGTGCCTGGTCAGGTGCCATGGGGATTCAATGAAATAGAAGATACAATACTGACTCCTGATAAGCATCTAATGAAATGTTGAAACAGATTATAAATAGCCATTCATTTTTGCTTCTCTGGGCTTCTGTATATGCTGTGGCCTTCTCCTAGAAAGTATGTTGCACACAGCTTTCCATAGATTGTGCATGCCAGCTCAACCTTTCAGGTCAAATTCAAATGTCACCTCCACTGAGAAACTCCCCCAACCTCCCTGCCCAGGCGTAAATGTCCTCCTGTCTGCTCATGCTTCTAATGCATCATAAGTCCTCTGGAGCACACAGCAAATTGCATCTTTATTATCATGTGTGTCCTTCTCCAGAGACAGCCACTCCTTCAGAACATGAATATACTGAGCCCTTCTCTGACATATAGAAAGGGGGTTAAATAAGGCTTATTGAATGAGTGAGTTAAAAAGCAGGACAGGAAAAAGTATGGATGTGTTACCAGAAAGGCATCCCGATCCAGGCCCCAAGAGAGGGTTCTTGGATCTTGTGCAAGAAAGAATTCAGGGCAAGTCCATAAAGTGAAAGCAAGTTTATTAAGAAAGTAAAGGAATAAAGAATGGCTACTCCACAGGCAGAGCAGCCCCAAGGGCTGCTGGTTGCTTATTTTTATGATTATTTCTTAGTTACATGCTAAATAAGGGGTGGATTATTCATGCCTCCCCTTTTTAGACCGTGCAGGGTAACTTCCTGATGTTGCCATGGCATTTGTAAACTGTCATAGCACTGGTGGGAGTGTAACAGTGAGGACGACCAGAAGTCATCCTTCTGGTCTCCAAAACAAAGAAGTCTCTTCGCCATCTTGGTTTGGTGGGGTTTGGCCAGCTTCTTTACTGCAAACTGTTTTATCAGCAAGGTCTTAATGAACTGTATCTTGTAGCTTGTGCCTACCTCTTATGTCACCCTGTGATTTAGAATGCCTAACCGTCTGGGAATGCAGCCCGGTAGGTTTCAGCCTCATTTTACACAGCTCCTATTCAAGATGGAGTTACTCTGGTTCAGATGTCCCCGACAAATATATATGTTTATATGTTCAGAGAAAAGAAGTTTGCACTCATTGTTGACAGTGAGTGTGAGGATCCTGGATAGTGCCTTGATAAAAAGCAAACCAAAGGTGCCGAAGCCAGACTGCCAAGTTTAAACCCAGCCCCAGCACTTGGTGGATGAGTTACTTAAGTTCTCTGTGTCTCAATTTCCTCATCTGGAAACTGGAGGTCATAACATTAGCCTGCCTCAAAGAGTTAGTGAAAGATGAAATGAATTAACGCAAAGAAAGTACATAGAATGGAGTGTGCTTGGTATGTTAACTATGTGTTACTCCTAAGGACTGAAGTCAAAGAGAAGCATTACCTTTATATCTTCCTGTATTCTTTAAATTTTTACTTGGAAAAATTAGACAAAAGAAAAATGAAAAATAAGACAGCAGCAAAGTGACAGACTAGATATCCTGATTGCTGCTCTTGAAATTAAATAAAAAATGCCGAATAAGATACCACGCACAAAAAATTTTTTCTTCTTAAATCATTCATTGTCTTGCAAGAAGTAAAAAATGCTCAAGTCAAAATTTAAATAATGGCAGGAATTCTACATACTGACAGCAGTGAAGCTGGCTTTTGTCTTAAGGGCTTTTGACCTTGACCTTGACTCACAGAGTATGGGGACAAGAAACAAAGCCTAGGACCTGCCCAAGGTGGGTTGTCTAATAGGCCACCTTCCCTTAAAGTTGGAAACCAAAAAGCTATATCCTCAGTGTAAAAGAGAACTAGAAACGAATGCCTAGCCTGCCAACAGCTGCAGGAAACTTGCCCATCTCCAACCTTGGTGCTGTCGACAGAAAACAAAAAAAATCTCTTCTGAGAGTTCGTAGCAGAAAAAGTATCCTCACATGGGGATGCAGACCAAATTCATTTAAGTTGGTTGGTCTAAAACAAACCTCACTCTGAAATCCAGTTTGCAGTGGTCCCAGTCTGGAAGTATTCTCAGGTTTCTGGCAAAAACAATTGTATATCGTCTCTGAAGGAACCCACCTTCAACAAGGCATCAACAAATCCTCAAAGATAAAGTTCCAAAGAAAATAAGCAGTATGCAGTGAGCATAAAACAGATAATGGAAGAGGTCACCATGAGTGAGAACCTGCAGAAGCAAACCCAGAGACTTAAGCTATTAGAGTTAACAGAGACACTAAATATAAATTATGTTTATTATGTATAATGAAATAAAAAGAAGTCTGACAATATGAGGAGTGAGTAAAAATTATAAAGAATGACTAGACATTTTTAAAAATATGCAATCAAAATTCTAAAAATGAACAATAATAACAGTTAAAATATAAAACTCAGTGGACGAATCTAATAGCAGATTAGACTTGCTGAAGAGAGTCAGTGAACTGGAAGATCCAAAAAAATTAACCAGAATGCAGCACAGAGGTACAGAAGGTTAGATTTAAGAGATAAAACTAAGAAGACAAAACTAAGTTGTCTTAGTTGACAGGTTGTTTCATTTTAGTGTTTTGCCAAATTTAATCACTATAATTGTGAGAAATGAAATTTTCTCAATTTTATACTTTATTTTGATAGAGAATATTAACAATTTACTAAAAAACAAGAAATCCATCAAAAGATTCTTTCCTCTAATCAAAATATTCCTAAGAGCCAATCAAGAATTTCCAAATTAAATTGTGCACCCCATAGGAGCTTTCAGTTTTTATTTCATGCAGTTTGTCTCTGGCTTTTATAGAAATGAATTTCAATGTCTTTTTTGTTTGCCAGATTTGTATTGAGAAATTGCAACTTGCCAAAAGCTTCAGAAGTTAAAAATGTAGGAGTACTCCATTGAAAATATTTTGATTTACAATTTTCAACTAATTTTAAATAAAATATAACCAAAACTTTGAGGACTCATTTACAAAAAGTTTGGTACTGTTACTTAGGTTAATTCATAAAACAGTCAAAGGCTCAAACACTTTTAAAATACTATGTAGTATACTTTTGTATTCATCATACAAAAACACACCCAAAATAAATTAGTTCCGTTACTGTATACCTACAAAACTTTTTATAAATTTCAACTACTGCTTCTGTTTCAATTAGTAAGATACCACAGTTTATTTGTACATAGTTGCAAATTATGTGTATCACAACCTATTACAAGTACATTTCTGTTCCATGGGTTTCTTAATTTAGTAAGTGCATTATTTTTATCATAATGTATTCATATTAGTACCAAAACAAATTAATCTTCACTGCTGAATTTTGAAATGGACCCATGATAACATTCACAACAATGTCCATTATTTCACCTTCCAAAAACTTTGAATCTATGAGTTGAATTTTTTAAAGAATTGGCTCATTATTGGCAGGGTGCGGGGGCTCACACCTGTAATCCCAGCACTTTGGGAGGCCAAGGCAGGCAGATCACGAGGTCAGGAGATCGAGACCATCCTGGCTAACACAGTGAAACCCAGTCTCTACTAAAAATACAAAAAATTAGCCAAGCATGGTGGCGGGCACCTGTAGTCCCAGCTACTCGAGAGGCTGAGACAGGAGAATGACGTGAACCCAGGAGGCGGAGCTTGCAGTGAGCTGAGATAGTGCCACTGCACTCCAGCCTGGGTGACAGAGAGACTCTGTCTCAAAAAAAAAAAGAAAAAAAAATTGGCTCATTATTGATATTAACTGATTTTCTATTTGAAAACTCTGATGACACTGATAGAAAATTAGAATCATTTAGCTATTTGCCAAATTCTTCTGATAACTGAGCCAACATATTAATAGCTATTACTCGACCTTTTGTACATGCACAAGAAACATTGGAATTGAAAAAGAGTGAAGTTAATTTAGAACAACGGTCATTTAATCTAAGCGAGAAGTCATGCTTCACAGAATGATGAGGAAATGCACCATTTTCCCTGCATAGGTTAAATAATTGTCTTTGAGCACGGTTGTCTTAAAATAACTACTAACTTTTGGTGTAGATGCTGCTGCTGCTTCAGCAGATGTGTGTCTTTTGGTTTTCACAGGTTCAGTGATTAACGCTTTGGTGTGATAAAAGGTAGATGTCTAAAATCATTTTGTGCAAGTTACACATTCATCATCAACTTTTATGAAAAGCAGAAATCCAGTACTAAACTTTTCATTTGATGTGTGCTTCTTTGAAATTATAACTTATTGCTGTCAAAGATTTAACTAAGAAAGCACTATCAAAAATAAATAAACAGTTGTGGATTTACACTATACAAGAAAAAGCAAAATCACTGTAGCAAGGGTGCCCAAATAATCTTCATACTCTCCAGAGAAGGATTACTCAGCATCTTTCCTGTTCATGTTACTTAAACTGTTAGGGGCTTCCTGCTGAGCCTGCCACCCCATCTGGTGGCTGCAGGCACAGGACGCAGCACAACAGACTGGTACATCAGGTGCCTGGCAGGGGCAGCAGCACTGAATAATGCTGAGCACCTGAGTCTGAGTACACTTCATTTGATTAGTGATTGTCTTACCTGCTATACTTCAGCAGGAGACATTTTCAAGGCTGGGATTAGGGTGAGGCAAGTGTAGCATTTGCCTGGGGTGCAAAATTTAAGGGGACCCCAAAAATTCAGTAATCAAGACAAATAATATTTTAATGCAATACATTAAGATATCAAACAATGCACAAAAATCTATGATTAACAAAATATCAACATTTTAAATAAAGACGGGATTTAATTCTTCACTTGCACTGTGAGTGCCTCACTCACCTCACTCCAATCCCAGCCCACAGATTCTGGCTTTTTAGTTCGAATAAAAGAGATCTGTGGGAGAAGAGAGGCTACCCTGAGTGAGGAGGAGGCAGGGAAATATCATTCCCCTTCCTAGTCCTTCCTTTGGCCCCAAGTGCCTCTGCTTTAAGTTTTCTGCGGCCAAAATTAAGTCAATGGTCACCCTATGGTCACCCAGAAAACATGCTTACCACTTGGGGAAAGAGGAGGCTAGAGAATCAGGGAAACTCTAAATATACTTGTGAGTGACTGCAGCAGTTTTTACATAGCCTGCCAGGCCCAATGGAATGGATGATCCAGCCCTCCAAAAAATGCATCATTTTCTTAAGATTTCAAAAAATTGTTTATTTGTTTTAATTGACACGTAATAATTGTACATAGTTGTGAGGTACAGTGTGATATTTTGATACATCTATACGATGTGTAATGGTCATATCAGGGTAATTAGCATATCCATCACCTCAAACATTTAGTATTTTGGGGGGTTGGGAACATTCAAAATCCATTCAACGACAATTTATTTTGTATTTTCAAATAGCTAAAAGAAATGCATCTTTGATGTTGTTCACAAAAACTTCAAAATTGGTCAGAAGAGAGCATTAATTATTTAATAACTTAATATCAAGGCCACACTGCATAAGATGAAAATACAATTCTAAGATTATGGCCAACTACATTTTCCTAACTAGCTTACCAGAGAGGACTACTCAATACTGCAGTGACAGCAGCGGCCAAAAAGCACAGTGTCAACAATTTTAAAGATGCCCTAAATTTGAACTTCTTTCCATTATTGAGTTTCCACTAAAATCATGAAGTTCAATCAGTGCAATTCCCCTTTCCCTTACGGTAATTAAAATCTCAAAGACATTACAATCCAAACTACTCTCTTCTTTCTTTTTTTCTTACTCTGCTGCTGGAGCTAATGTGGTCCTATTATCACCTCCCCAGTCAAATTTCTATAAACCTGAGTCTCCCGTGTGTCAGCACACACCTCCTACCTAAGTTTTAGCTCTAAATCGCAAACAGGTCAATGTCACAAAGGATCTAGTTTGTCCCAGTAGCATCAGCCTTTTGCCCAGGGGATAGCTATTGCTGTGTGTGTCTGTCTTATACATGTCAGCACAGCCTCAGGGGTGGAGTCCCAAATGCAAGCATGAGATTCCATATAGGAAGAAAACAGTAGCTCACAAATGTTGTGAGCTACCTAACAAGTAGCTTCTGCCAATCCTTGACAGGAGCCCTCAAGCTGGAAATGAAATGGTACATTACTTTACTCACCTTCCATTGTGTTACAAACTTGCTACCATTGCTCTTTTCAGGGAGAAAAAAATGCGCGCTCTGTCTTCCTGCTTCACCCCAGCCACTCCCAACCCCAGTCCCACCCCTGAGGGGTAGCATTTTATTGTGAATGGCAGGATCCCAGCGATTAGCTGACTGATACTCCTAGTGTTGCTCATTCCCAATGCTTACTGTCTGGCCCACCTGCTGGCAGAAACACTCAGAATATTATACACAACTTGGACCTTCACTGTTTTTTCCCCTTCGTTCACATCAGACCTTAGTGATACGTATTTTTATGGTAGCCCTGGCTCTGCAAAAATCAAAGGGCTTAACCTGGGCTGCTTAGGGGGCACCTTCTATCTATGCCCAACTAGGGCGCTTTATCAATCCTGGCTTAGTGCCTCACATTCCAAAATAGCATTAAGGAGTTCACTGTGGAAAGAATACTCCAGAATTGTATCTGTCCCTTTGTAAGCTTGTCTTTTAAGACTAGTCTGAATGCCCTAAGTGGAGCCGCCAGCTTGCAACTGCTGAATGAAGATGGAGTTCTTTGGTCAAACATCAGCTGGCACATCCAGGCAAACTTTTACCAGTTGTGTAAGGCTCTTTGGTAAGTTTCCCAAAAGACAAAAATATATGTGAACACAACCCCTGCCCTCAGGAAGCTTACCGTCCAGTGATGGGATAGAACAGGAGCACAGATTGTTCTGCTATAAAATAAAATGAGATGGTTCCATAAGGGAGGACAGCTAACAGGAGTATGGGAGGGTATTCAATAGAATGTGGTTATGATTATCTCCAAGAGATTTTTGAACGATTGAAAAAGTTTTCCTGAAAGAGATGGGTTCTGATCCACATTTAAAGGATAAACAAAATTTCTACAGATAGTAGTGAGATAGGAAGTAGAATCTAGACAAGGCTGGAAGGCTCCCAGGGTCTGGAATCACCTCGTCTCATGAGCTCCTACATCAGGTACTTTGTTTCCTAATAGCCCAAGGACTCTATTTCTGAATCTTCTTTGAACAATATGGGTCACTGTTTGATCACACATGAGACAGAACAGCTCAAACAACAGTCAACTGCATCCCCTCCTTCACTTTACCCTAAACTGTCGCAGGCCTTCAAATCCATCTGACTTTGCACCCATTTTTTATGGTCTTGTTGATGGCGCCCTTGCTATCAGCTGGCACCTTTTGAAGTGGGTCCACTGATGATGCTGTGAATCAGCACTGGGCATGGAGATCAAAACCTCATGCTTTTTAGAATTGTGCACAACATAGCAGTGAGGATGCGAAGACTCTGCTGCTAATATTAATAAACAATAATTAATTAATAATAAAAATGATTTAGTGGTGTGTGAACTTTGTGTCATCTCTGCAGGCTGCTAAAGGCCTCTTTGGTTATAGCTTTGTGAGCTTGAGCTTAGCTGAATAGATAAGGATGCTGGTTGAGTGATATGCTTAAATAACATCCCTGAATTTCGATGATAAAAAAATATCCTGGAAGAAAATCTCAACTGATGAAATGTTAGTGACCTCAGGTAAAAAGACTGTGTGCTCCCTAAAACGGAGGGAGGATGGAAGGAGAATGGATGGAGCAATTTGTTCAGAAGAAGAGCCAGAGGGTGATGCCATATAGAAAGACAGAATCCAAATTTACTTCTGTCAATAGTATATAAATGTTCCCTTTTCTCCACAACCTCACCAGCATCTGTTATTTTTTGACTTTTCAAAATAGCCATTCTGACTGGTATGAGATGGTATCTCAGTGAGGTTTTGATTTGCATTTCTCTAAGGATCAGTGATATTGAGATTTTTTTCATATGCTTGCGGCCACAGGTATGTCTTCTTTGAAAAGTGTCTGTTCATGTCCTTTGCCCACTTTTTAATGGGGTTGTTTGTTTTTCTCTTGTAAATTAGTTTAAGTCCCTTACAGATGCTGGATATTAGACCGTTGTCAGATGGATAGTTTACAAATATTTCCTCCCATTCTGTAGGCTGTCTGTATGCTCTGTTGATAGTTTCTTTTGCTGTGCAGAAGCTCTTAAGTTTAATTAGATCCCATTTGTCAATTTTTGCTTTTGTTGCAATTGCTTTTGGTGTCCTTGTAATGAAATCTTTGTCCCTTCCTTTGTCCAGGAGGGTGTCGCCTAGGTTGCCTTCCAGGGCTTTTATAGCTTTGGGTTTCACATTCAAGTCTTTATTCCTTGAAGAGCTAAAATCAGAACTACCATTTGACCCAGCAATCCCATTACTGGGTATATACCCAGAGGAATATAAATCATTTTATTATAAGGATACATGCATGCATATGTTCACTGCAGTACTACTATTCACAATAGCAAAGACATGGAATCAGCCTAAATGCCCATCAATGACAGATGGGATTTTTAAATGTGGTACATATACACCATGGAATACTATATATATAATTCTTCCATAAAAAAGAATGAAATCGTGTATTTTACGGGAACATGAATGGAGTTGGAGGCTATTATCCTTAGCAAACTAACACAGGAACAGAAAATCAAATACCACATGTTCCCACTTATAAGTGGGAACTAAATGATGAGAACTGATGAACACAAAGAAGGAAACAGACACTGGGGTCTACTTCAGGGTGGAGAGTGAGAGGAGGAAGAGAAGCAGAAAAAATAACTATTGGGTACTAGCTTAATATGGGTCATGAAATAATCTGTGCAACAAACCCCTGTAACATGAGTTTATCTATAGAACAAACCTGGCACATGTACCCCTGAACCTAAAATCAAAGCTATAAAAAACTAAGAAAGACTGAATCCTGCACAGTTCCCAACGTATAGTCAACACAAAAGTTAGTCAACAAGTAGGTATTGAGGCTCTATTTAGGGGCTTAATGTCAAGAGATAAAAAATTCTGAAGAGCCAATTCCAGTGAGGTCACTCCTTCAGGATGATCCTGGGTGTCTATATGACAGAAAACACTTTGAGCAATAATTATTCTCACATAACAGTCTTACATGTGTTGAGACTGGGAGGAATAAAGGTATAACATGTATGTTTTTCTCCTTTTACACTTATTTTCACTCAACAAGCATTCATGAAGCCACTGCTATGTGCCAAGATATCATTTATGCAACCAAACTTTCAATGAGTATTTACTACATCCTCAGCACCTGGGCAGGCCAAGGACCTGTGGAGGGTGAAAAGAGAAAAGAAGGATATGCAATTAGAAAAATAAAGGCCCGGCGCGGTGGCTCATGCCTGTAATCCCAGCACTTTGGGAGGCCGAGGACAGTGAATCACTTAAGTTAGGAGTTCAAGACCAGCCTAGCAAACATGGTGAAACCCCTTCTCTACTAAAAATGCAAAAAAATTAGCTAGGCATGGTGGCAGGCACCTGTAATCCCAGCTACTTGGGACACTGAGGCATGAGAATTGCTGGAACCCGGGAGGCAGAGGCTGCAGTGAGCCGAGATCATACCACTGCACTCCAGTCTGGGCAACAGAGCGAGACTCCATCTCAAAACAAAAAAAAGAAAGAATAGAAAAAAAAGAAAAGAAAAGAAAATAGAAAATAAAGTGAAGCGTGGTCAGCACAAGGTTTAGAGATCTTCACAGCAGTAAAGGCAGGCAACAAACACAGCCACAAGGACATGATGACTGGGCCAAGTTGTGAAAATAAACAGGAACAGCCAGGAAGGGATCGAGGAGGAAAAACATCCCAGATTGACCACTGTGCTCACATTAGAACCAGGGTCTTATCTGATTCTTGGTCATGACTGGCCGTAGACCACCTTACTCACTGCTTGTGGGACACAGGAGTTATCTACCCAATGAGTTCCCATCTGCCAAAGGTAAAGAGTGTTTCTGAATATCACACCATCTTCTCCTATGGTTCTAATTCCTCCTGCTCTTCGCTTCCTGTAAACTAGACCAGGGGACAGCAAGCTATGGGCCAGGGACCAAATGCAGCCTACCTCCTGTTTTTGTAAATAAAATGTTATTATCATACAGCCATGCCCAATAGTTTCTTTGCTGTCTGTGGCTGTTTTCACACTACAAAGATAGAGTTTGATAATTACAACTGAAACTATATGGACCACAAAACTCAAAATATGTAATATCTGTCTTTCCCAGAAAAAAATTGCCAACCCTTGAGCTAGACTATAGCAGCCACACTCTCAGCTATTACCACCCTGGTTATCTGAACTCAGGAAGATGTGGTCCCTTAAAGGAAACTTGTAACACCCCAGGAGTGAGTGGGAGAAGTGAGGGCAGAAACTGGAATTGGATGAGAAAGACTGTGGAAGAAGGGCCCCACTGGACAAATCTCATCGTAGAGGAAAGACGTTCTCTCTGCTGAGTGATTTGGGACTGGTATAGCAGGAAGTTATGAAGATACTGCCGCTTGTCAGAGGATTGAAATTCCTTTTCACAATAAGATTGTTTTCACTCTGCCTACAAGAAAAAACAAATGTGCAGCAGAGAGTTCTTTTTATAAAGCATCATCATGCAAGAGGAAGGCTACATCTCAGGTTTTTCAGCTGGGAGGACACATACAATTCAAATCAGTCCTGATGGCCCTCAGTGGGACTGGAACCACCTGAAGTAAAGAACATAATCCATATCCCACACGCCTCCAGATCCCTGTCGCTGGCAGCCTAATGATTAATGCTTACACCAGAAAGACGTTTCATTGACTGCCTTAGAGTCCCACGAGCACGGTGCAGTCAATAAATATTTATTGAATGTATTTTCCTTGGGTTTGCAGCACTTGCTCCGTAATATCTTATAACCAAATAAGCAAGAATTGCTCAGGCTGGTTCCAGATAAATATATAAATGTATGTTAATGAATCCTAGCTAGAAGTGGGGAGTAGGAAAGAAAATATTCATCCATCTGTGTACAGGTTATCCAAATGGTACTAGCTTTTGGGTGAATAAGAAAAAAACATGTTAAACGAGCCCCAGAAATGAGGATTGCAAGAGAGGGATAGAAGAAAGGAGGAAAGAGAGGAAAGGAGGGAAGGAAGGAGGGAGGGAGATTTATAAACACCTCTGTTTTGAACAAATGAACATATATACATTTTTTAAAGCCAGTCTTTTTTATTCTCTCTGGCTTTATGTGGGTAATACTTTCATCTGCCACTAAAATGGCTCCTACACTAAAGAACGGTAGAGAGTTAACTGAAGTGCGTTCCCAAATTGCAATTTTTGCAATAAGGATAAAATATGGCTTTCTGCCACCCATTTGGAGTTACAGTGCCAATACGCTGGTGCAATCCCCCGTAAGCCCAGTCACATTAGATTCTGAATGGTGTATCGCCAATTCGAGCATGGGGAGTGGTGTTAGGATTTGTTTATTTAAGACTGAGCATTTATCCTGAATGAGAAACAAATTAAAATCTTGCATTTGAGGTAATATTAAAAGAGGGCAATGTAATTACCACATTCTCCCCTGAGCATCCTCCTCAAGTTCCTGTGAAGCCTGAGAATGCACAGCTGCCAGTGAGGGTAGGAACTATGCAGTGCTGGAGGTGAGATAAGGCATCTTCACCGCTGCATTTGGGAAATAATCCAACAAGCAATCCTATGGTTTTAATACAAACACTCAAAGAGGTTCTGGCCATGACCATCTGGGTCCAGCCCTTCACTGAATTGGAAAGACGGCAACGATAATGGTTGAACAGGCCCACATGTGTTGGCTCTGATTCTGAGTTTCCCCCACCCACCGCACCCCATGATTGAAGAGGATACAGGGCTCCACCACTGTCAGGCATCAAGGAAGACACAGGTCTAGGGGAGAAATCAACACTTCTCAGGGTCCTTTTCAAGGGACTACCCCAGAGATGGAAGGTCATCTAGTCTATGGTGTCCTGGACCTGCCTTGGCAGTAGTCGTGGCCATTTTGGGGTAACCTAAAGAAAACAGACAATGTTTGATTTGTAACATATTGAGAGTTGTTTTTGCCCTTTTGATGACCTGCAGACAGCATTTGAGTGATAGGCTTTATAGTATCAACAGAACCAGGGAAACTTGCCCAGAGATTTATAGATTACTACACACCCCCAACATCATATCTTTTCCAAGTCTGTTCCTATAATTCCACTCTCTCCTCACTTTAAGACCACCTACCCACTTTCTAAAAGAGGCAGAAGAAAGAGTTTCTAGGAGTTTCCTTCCTGGGAGTTGTCATGACTTCTGATATAAAGGTTGGCATGAAGTGTCCTCCTAGTAGACATACTCTATACACTAAACACCTTCAGTGGCCCTTACAGACCAGAGAGGGAAATCCCAGGTCCCTAGCACAAAAATGCAGAGAAAAGTTTCTAAAGTTTACAGTGATAAGAGGATGCTCAAGGAAGCCTTCATGCAAACAAAGCCTAATCCTAACATGGAGAAACAAGAAAGCTCCAAACACTTCCTCCCGTTGGGGCAGGATGCTCAGCAGACTCACCCCAAATCCAGCACACCTGTCGAAGCCCCTCCAGTAGACCACCTGCCATTCCAGGGCTTGAGTGTCTCCGCAGCTCCCCTAAGACTCTAAGGTATTGATCCAATTACCACTTGAGGTCACTTATCCTACTGCTGTGTTTTGAGCTGCTTATTGATGCACCTTTTCTCCCTGGAGAAATTACAAGCTTATAGCCCAGAAGGAAACGCTGTGCTCTATGTGCGGCAGGTGTCCAGTGGGAATTTATTGAGCGCATACTGAATAAAATTGCTTTACTTGTAACCCTGGTCCTAATTCTGGTCTAGAGATCCTAGGAGTCCAAAGAATACAGTAAAAGAATTATGTGGAACGATGTGGAGCCAGCTGACAGCTCTGCTACTCTTTGCAGATTTTTGAAGTCTCCGTTGACCATTCTGTCGCATGGACGTCAGAGACACCTGACTGTCAGAGAATCAATGTGTGATTCTGAGGTTTTGTCAGATAATATTTAAATGCCAAAGGCCCTATAAGATATCATTCCTTCTCTTTTAAAAAATGCTTATTTTAAGGTATAGAGCTATAAACTTTGCAAGAAAAATATGCAGAGAGAGATGTCTTTTAAAATGAAAGAGGCAGAATTGATGTGCTTATCACTGATATGAAAGGCTGATATGAAATACTTATCCTTCAAATCTCTGCAACATCTCAGGGGCTGTGCACAAACTCAAACATGTGGACACATTCATTCAGATGACACTGTTTAGTGCCAGAGCCCAGGAATGAAGCGATGGAGGAATGGCTCCAGACATGAAGTCATCATTTGCTGTGCTCCCCTCTTCCTGCAATGAAGTGTCATCCATACTGGTCCTTTGTGCACTCTAGTCTGTCTGCCTCAGCAGGTGGAGACCGTCTTTCTCTTCACGAAGTATGTATAGTTAGCCATACACTGACTCCTAGATGCTCAAAGAATTGATGAAGATTTCTCCAGGAGCTGTTGTTTTTTGCTGACTTTAGGCCAATGCTTTGTCACAGAGACATGTTTACTTCCCCTCAAATTGTATGGACCGAGGTAGGACTGCTAATCTTTTATAATATCACATAAGGACTGAAAAAAAGTACTATTCTGATCACCATTATCCCTTAATCTAGAAAGAATGAAAGTCAGTCTTTACATTGAATAAATTTACAACATTGTTCTTATTTTTCTAATTTCACTTACCTGTACTTGGCTGTCCTGTCCCCAGCACAAGCATTTCAATGATGAAAATGTCTCTCCTTGAATGCTGCTAGATAGGTTCTGAAATACTGAAAAATCTAGCTGGCTTTTCTTACGCATGTTGGCATTGTATGGCATATCACAAAGCTTAAGGGTAGAATATGGAAAAGGAATTGGAAAATAATTGTACAAATCATCAGGAATCAAAGGGTTTCTATGAATTTTCTTATTGGCAGGAAAAATATGGAATCTCTGATACAGATTTTGGTGACCAGATCAGAACTTTGTTCTTTCTTCTCTGTTCCAGGTACATGGCCATCATACATCCCCTCCAGCCCCGGCTGTCAGCCACAGCCACCAAAGTGGTCATCTGTGTCATCTGGGTCCTGGCTCTCCTGCTGGCCTTCCCCCAGGGCTACTACTCAACCACAGAGACCATGCCCAGCAGAGTCGTGTGCATGATCGAATGGCCAGAGCATCCGAACAAGATTTATGAGAAAGTGTGAGTAGAGATGACTCCCCATGCCAAAGAAACGATGGTGCAGGCTGCCTTCCTGGCCCCTTCTTGCTCTTTCTTTCTTTCCATATTCTTTTGTTGGTACAGATTTAATGTGTATCTGCAAGCATTTCTCACATATACCCTCATATCAGGTTGATATGTCCACAGTTGTCAGGGGACTATAGTATCCCAAATACTATTCTGAGCATTGAAAGATAATTTTTGAAGTGTAAGATCTAGATCCTGTTATAGCAGAGCCATATCCCTCGGGCCTTTTACCAGAGACATTACCCTGCCGGGATCTGCCTTTCTTTGCCTAGGAACTTTTTCCTAAGCTACAGAATGCCGCTCTTCTCTCCTGCACAGGTTGCAGGAAGGTGGGGAATTACCTCCCACTCCCAGCAGCTCTCAACAATGATTGAGGGGCTGCTCTGTCTATGGAGTAGCCATTCTTTTATACCTTTACCTTCTTCATAAACTTGCTTTCACTTTGCACTGCCAAAAAAAAAGAACAATGCCTAAGGGGAGCTGGCATCTGAACACCCATCTCTCACCCCTCAGGGGAGTGTGTCTCTGTGGTTTGTGTTTTACATCACGTCCGAGCTTTCCTTGTGGGATTAATCTCCACGGGTAGCTGCCTGGGTAATGTACTCTTTATTGGCCACTGCATCTTCCCTATATCACTGCTCCCTTTTCCTACTGGTGTTTCTTCTCCCGAATAAGGTACTTGCACTTGAAAATCTTGAGATAAGGATTCCCCTTTGCGGAAGACCAAAACAATACACCTACACCCAGGATTTTACAGCTGGAGAAATAGAATATGTGCAGGTGAAACACATGGGAAGGTCAGGCCAGGCATTGAGACCTTATGAGTTACAGGTCCCTGACAGGGCAGACATACTTATCTTCTAGGGGCCTGCCTGATCACATTTAGGGTTTCTCGAAGTATCCCAGCAATTTTCTCCAAGACTTCTTATCCTTGAAACAACATTGAAATGGCATATCTTTGTTTCATTCTGCTCAAGTGAGCCACAATGTGACATTTATATTACAGTTAGTTTTCTGGACTCAGAGCACATGGATAATGTGGATCTTTTTGAAAGCCCTCTATAATTCTCCAATCTCGGGTTTTTTATGTGAATCATAAAAGAACACTGGTGTTAGAATCAAAAGATCTGAATTTTAATTACAAGATTGCCAGTTACTGGCCATATGACCCTGGGCAAGGGTCACAGCCTCTCCTCGTTATTAAAATGAGAGATAATAGAGCTCTGTTTCCTATAAACAATTCTTGTGAAGATCAAACGAGATAATGTATTCTCACCTTGTAAGCTACTAAATGCCATACAAAAGGTATGAACCAAATTCATCAGATAGCAGTATAATTATGAGACCTTTAAACTTAAGTTAAAATGGGACACCATACCTGTCATTTCCCCCAAGCTTTGAGGGCTGAAAGCCTGTTGCACACAGTTACCCTGCTGCATCTGTTCCATGAGCATGGAAATGTAGCTTGCCAGAAAGCAATACATAAAGCTCAGACATCGCCTTCCAGACACAGACAGTGGGATTTAATCGATCAAGCAATGGAGGGATTAATGCTCAGCCTAGGAAATATCGAAAATTATTCTTTCAGATGAAACTACAAGCCTGAGCAAGGTCCCAGCGGGAGAAAGAACACAGCTTTACAAGCCATACAGAACCTGTGAACATGTTCAAGCCAGAAGGTTTCCTCAAAAGGGAAAAAAAAAATCTCCGAATTAAAGCTCGTTATATAAACTGTTTCAGAAATATCTCCCATTGTTTCCACGGGCTGTAGCTCAGCTCTTAGTTTTCATGGTCTTTTCAAAATCTGATCACTTTCTACAACTTTTGTTTCAAAATACTCATAGTTCTTTAATCTTACAACAAATTCAAAGTTTAACTTGGAAATAAAGATTAATTTTCCCACAGATCTCTGGGGTCTTTTCCAAAAAAGAATAATATTTTGGGGGAGTCTTAATTTTGAACATTTTGGTGTTTTATGCTTATGAATGACTAGAAAATCTCTTTGAGACTCAATATGATGTGTTGGATTGTCTTATTTCCTTGCTTTGAGAATTTAGGGTAGCTGCTACTGGATGTACAGTTATGTTTGCCATTGTTGTTTATTTCATCATTTTAATCTAAAAAGTAAGCTTGGCTTAAGAGCATCTAATGTTATCTATTCATGAAGTGTAACATGTTTATTGATACAATAGTAAATCAAAATAGTATATTTGTCATTCACTTAATGACAGTGATGGAAACATAAGTGCATAGCATAGCTTTATTCAAACCTATTTTCTTTTTGTCAGTATCCTTCATAATACATTATATTATTTTTCTAGACAATTTCAATTTTACCATGTCTAAACAGACTACTTAATTATATTCTCTTCTTTTAGAAGAAATGATTGCCACTTTCACAGTACACAACAATCCCAAATTTGAAACCAGATGGAAACTTGTTTTGAGGCAGTATAATAATTAGAAGAGTGTGTGTTTTGGAGTTAGATGAGCGATCAGCTCCCAGTCCCATCACTCTCTAGCTGAGTCATAATGGTCAAGCAATTTAAGGCTCTGAGCCTAATAGTACAGACAGTCCCCCATTTCCAAAGATTCAACTTGCGATTTTTCAACTTTACAATGGTGGGAAAATGATATGCATTCAGTATAAACTGTAATTTGAGTATTCATACGACCATTCTGTTTTTCATTTTCAGTATAATTTTCAATAAATTACATGAGATAGTCAACACTTTATTATAAAATAGGATCTGTGTTATATGATTTTGCCCAATTGTAGGCTAATGTAGGTGTTCTGAGCACATGTAAGGTAAACCAGGCTAAACTAGGATGTTTGGTAGGTTAGGTGTGGTAAGTGCATTTTCAACTTAAAATATTTTCAATTTATGATGGGTTTATCTGGATCTAACCCTATTGTAAGTCGAGGAGCAGCTGTACATTCCACAAAGAAGCATTGAGAGATGTAAGTAAAAATAACCTATATGAAGTCCTCAGCCTAGTGCCCTGGATAGGGGTAAGGGTCTAGTGAATGTTAACTACCAATGTTAGCATCATTCATTAATCTGGTTTCACTGGAAGATGACAGGCAGCAAACAGTGTGATGGGAAGATGCTTAGACCCAATTTAATTGATGAATAATTGTGTAAGCTAATTACATAAAATGTTTTGTGAAAAATCTCAGGTTGCTGCACCTGCCTTCTGGCTGTATGGTGGACCTTCAACCATGATCATTCATTCAAACTCTTTACTAACGTTTGCAAATACAGTTAAACTAACGTTTACTAAAACATCAATTAAATTAAGCACTATTAAAGACAGGAAATCCAATAAAAGAATGAGCAAAGGTTTTGAACATGGGCTTCACACACACACACACACACACACACACACACACAATCCACAAAGTCAATAAATATTATGAGGAGGCACACAACTTCATTTGTTACCAGTGAAATGCAAATTAAAGTGATAATGAGATCTTACTACACAGCCATCAAACTAGAAAATATTAAGAAATCTGACAAAACTAAGTGTTTCAAACTAAGCAATAAGAACATTTGTCAACTGCTAGAAGAAGTATAAATTGATAATTACATTGGAAAATACTTTTTTTTTTTTGAGACGGAGTTTCACTCTTGTTTCCCAGGCTGGAGTGCAATGGCACTATCTCAGCTCAGTGCAACCTCCGCCTCCTGGGTTCAAGTGATTATCCTGCCTCAGCTTCCAGAGTAGCTGGGATTACAGGCGCCCATCACCACGCCCAGCTAATTTTTTGTATTTTTAGTAGAGACAGGGTTTCACCATGTTGGCCAGACTGGTCTTGAACTCCTGACCTCAGGTGATCCGCCGGCCTTGCCCTCCCAAAGTGCTGGGATTGCAGGCATAAGCCACCGTGCCCAGCCCAGAAAATACTTTTATACTGTCTAGAAAAGAAGAAGCTATGCATACCCTATAACTCAGAAATTCCACTTGCAGGTAATTACCCTAAAAAAAACCCATTCACATATACACTCAATGACATCAAACATAATGTTCCCATCAGCATTGCTCTTAATACCCCCCAAACTGGAGATGTTTCAAATATCCATCATCAGTAGAACGGATAAAACAAACAAAAAAAATTGTGGAGCCCAGTGCAGTGGCTCATGACTGTAATCCCAGTATTTTTTGGGAGGCCCAGGCAGGTAGATCGCTTAAGCTCAGGAGTTCAAGACCAGCCTGGGCAACATGGTGAAACCCCCTCTCTACAAATAAATTAGCTCTGCGTGGTGGCAAGCTGACCTGTGGTCCCAGATACTTGGGAGGCTGAGGTGGGAGGATCACTTGAGCCTGGGAGGCAGAGGTTGAGAGGAGCTGAGGTCACTCCACTGCACTCCAGCCTGGGTGACAGAGTGAAATCCTGTCTCAAAGAAGAAGAAAAAAAATGTGGTGTCTTATAAAAATTTAAAGTGCCTTATATAAGTACAAGTCAACACAAATATAGATTGTTTCCCTCTTTATAACACAAAATATAGCCTATTATGCACACTGTTATGCACCTTGTTTTTTTAAACTCAGTATGTCTTAGAGATATTTCCATATTATTCATAAAGAGCTTCTCTTTTTTTTTTTTTTTTTTTTTTGAGACGGAGTCTCGCTCTGTCGCCCAGGCTGGAGTGCAGTGGCGCGATCTCGGCTCACTGCAAGCTCCGCCTCCCAGGTTCACGCCATTCTCCTGCCTCAGCCTCCAGAGTAGCTGGGACTACAGGCACCCGCCACCATGCCCGGCTAATTTTTTTGTATTTTTAGCAGAGACGGGGTTTCACGGTGTTAGCCAGGCTGGTCTCGATCTCCTGACCTCGTGATCCACCCGCCTCGGCCTCCCAAAGTGCTGGGATTACAGGCGTGAGCCACCGTGCCCGGCCTCTTCTCTATTCTTTTTTTAGTATTCTGCTTTTTGAATGTATGCTATTATTTAACCAATCATTTATTGGTGGACTTTAGATTGTCTTCAACGGTTTGCTATTACAGAGTGCCACCATGCATAACATTTATATATATCATGCAAGAATACCTATAGCATAAAATCTCAAAAATAGACTATATCATCTTAATTTTGATATTTGCCCTCCATACAAGGTTGTACTAATTTACATTCTCACCTGCAATGTGTGAGAGTTCCTGTTTCTCCACAACCTCACCAGCAAAGTATATCATCAAGCTTTTAGATTTTTACCCATCTGATGGGGGAAAATAATGAGAATGGGATCTCATAGTTAAAATGCTCATTTCCCTTTTAGGAGTGGGGACGAACATCTTTTTATAATTTAATAGTCATTCATATATATATATTTTATAATCTGCTTATTTCATTTACCATATAGACAATTTCTATGTTATTAAAATTGTTTCTATGACATGATGTGAAGACACACACACACACACACACACACACACACACACACGTATGTTAACAAATCCCCTCCTTTGAAAATTTATTACTTCAGTGGTTTCTCTTAACTGACTGGTAAGATAAACCACCAGCTTCAAAGTTAGCTGCTTCTAGCTATATTCCTAGATCCCTGGGGGAACTGGCTCAGTTTTATCTGCCATTCCCTGTCTGTGTTTACAATTCACAGTTATAGATAATTATGCTAACATTATAACATTCATGAAAATGGGGAGTTAGGCTCATCATTAATATAATATTATCATAATTTGTAATTAAGTCCTGCAATAATTAGCAACCCAGCAGCTTAGCGTGGCTGCTCTGGCAAAACTATGACACTACACAGGAAGTTCTAGGAAGGTGGAGATGACTGACAGGTGATAAAGATTTTACATGTAATCAAAGGTGACTCTTCCCATTGAAGAAGAAAGCACAGAGAAAGAAAGGTGAATGTATAAAGAAGAAAAATTTGACTTTGCAAAATGCACTGACCCTTTCCTTTTTTCTATAAAAACTGTGAGGAGCATGCAGTAGCTTTCAAAGTTAATGAGAGCTAAGCCCATTCTTGTAGTTGTTATGTGGGCTGTAGGGTGGCAATGGTCTCAGAAGGTACTAGGGCAATGCCCCTGAGGACAAGGAAGATGAATGAGCCAACATTTCTTCATCAGAGAACCCACAATCAAGGCCAAGAAAAAATCTGTAATGAGGATGAAAAATGAAAAGGACATCCAAAAAAATGAGATTTAGACAAGCTGGGAATTTCTGCTTCCCTGAGTCATTTATTAATATTGGTCATATGTCATTTTCTGATAATTAAATTTCTATGTACATAATTTTATGGTAGAGTTTTAGCAAGAAGTAAGACATTCCTATTCTGAATTCTAAATATTACCAATAATAGTGGGAGAGGAGGCTATGTTAGAAAACAGAATCGTTCATTTAATTAACTGGATATTTTGTGGAAATGTGAGTGAATATGAATATGTTAGCTCTAATATAATTCTCTACAGGTACCAACTGTAACAGCAGACTACAAAAATATGCCATCGTCATTATTTACTTCATCTTTTGTATATTATGATTCATTATCAAAAATCAGCCGAAATTTTTATATCTATGTGTATTCTTTACTTTCGTTCACAATAATAAAAATTGAAAATCACCTCATTAACAGGGAGTAAGAGAGGAATATTTAAAAATATACCTACAGCACTACTTCTTAAATTTTCCGTCTTCTTGATTATTTTACAAATTTAAAAAAAAATGTGGATCCTTTGGCAAGCTGCTCTAGGCCTTGGCCAAAGGGGTGTCAACATATTTGTGTTTCCAGGATTGATTGTTTATGCTAGCTGTTGTGATTACTCTCTTCCCCTGACACCCACTACACTTATAAATACAGCCCAGAGCCCCTAGTATTATCGCTTTGGTTGATGAAAAGCAATTAAATGGAGAGGGAAAAGTGCATTGACACTGCAGGGGAAGATGCTAGCATAAACACATGCCCTTAACCTTGACTCCCAGACAGAAATCAGAGTGAACAAAGTAAAAAAAAAAAAAAAAAAAAAAAAGGAAGAAGAAAAAAGGAGGAAAGCCAACGTTACTGCAGAAACTAGGAAGGTTGCCACACAAATGCCAGAAATTTTACTACATTTCTGGTAGACATTGTGCAGATAGCGCCAAACAGGAGGCAGCCACCAAGTGCTTTATGGCCTCTACATACCAATAGCCCCTAATTAGGAGGTGAAAGTGTGAGCCTTGAAGCCTTGAGAAAGATGGGTCCACCCAATTTAGGACTCCTTTGGGGTGCTGCCATCAACTTCCGGAGGCAGCTGTCCTCAGATGGAGAAAGAGAAAGCACAGAGGCCAGAGAGCATAACTCACAATAAGAATAAATGGATGATTTTCCACAAAACCATAAATTATCAAACTGATACAGCTTGGAGGTAAAGGGGAATGAAACTACTGTTCAAAAATTACATTTACAAAAGGCACTGGGATCAAAATCTGTGCAGGGAAAAATCTTTCAAATACTCTTATAAGCTCTTCAAGAGCACAGAACAATATGGAAATCTTGCTCATTTATTATGGAGATTTGGTAAAACCTAAATATAGAAAGCTAACAAAGACAACTCCAAAAACAAACCTTCAGACCAACTCCATTTACAAATATAGATGCAAACATCCCAATTAAAACGTTCACCAAAAAAATAAAAATTATATTGAAACAGTAATGTTATGTTTTTGAGCATGACTTTTTCCAGCAAATAATACTAGCAAATAAATTATCAGGAAATCTGTTATTATATTTCTTCAAATTAAATTGTTAAAGGGGAGCATCATATATTTGTCTCAAGAAATGCCAAAATTAAATTTGTTAAAATGTAGTGTTGAAGAAAAAAGTAGCTTATTTCAGCAATAATTATTCAGCAATAATCCTTGACAAAATAAAATGAAAAATGGATTTCCTTTTCAAAAAAAAAGTGAAAACCCTTAGAATAATTAAGAAATAGCCAGAACTTATGTAAGCAAAATGAAAAATATCATGCTAATTTAGACTTTACTGGACGGCATAAGAAAATATTTGAGAACTACATTCCACATGATTCAAAACACAGAAAGTGTTTAAGGATATATAGAAAACAGTTTCCCTTCTATCTTTATATAATTCCTAAGGATATCAGTTCTTCTCAAACTATTCCTAAGAGTACGTTTAGGCAGTTTGATAAAGTGAATCATCTGAAAGAGTTAATGGATAAAACTCGTTCAAGAAAATAATAAACAACAAGAATTAATTTTTATATCAGCAAAATAACTTTTAAGAGAATGATAATAAATGACTTGCCATTCGAGATATCAAAATACTCAGTACTAGGGGTAGAATCATTTAATAAAAGCAGACTAGAAATTACACATGCACACACAAAAACTCAAACGTATAAAATTTTGTGTTTAGTATGTGCTAAAGATAGCATGTCAAATTTGTAAGGATTATTCCATCACTATTTTTGGAAACCTGAATAACCTAAAATTGTAGGATTCTGTACTTGAATGAGTTTGTAGATTACTCTCTATACTACCGCTGCCCACAACTTGGATAGTCACAGTATATAATAGCATATTGGAGCCTTTGAGAGGGTTTCCTTTTTAAATTTTTTTTAAAAATTTATACATATTTGTGTGGTTTAGAAATCAGAAAGTGTAAAAAAGTAATTAGGAAAAGGTTTCTCTCTCTCTCTCTCATACTCGCCCTGTTTCTACCCCTACCACTTTATGGACAACCACCATTCTTGGTTTCTAATGAACCTTCTAACATTTCTTTATGCCATCTAAGAAAGTGTAAACATATATTCTTACTGTCTCCTTTCTTAATGCACAATACAATATACAGTATACCCTATTCTGACTTTTTCTGTTAACAATCTTGGATATCCTTTCCCATCAGTATTGCAAGCATTCTCACATCTTTTCTTTACAGCTGCATAGTATTCTTTATATGGAGAAACCATAATTTACTTATCCAGTATGATATTGACATATATTTGCATTGTGTCTAATGTTTTGCCACTTCAAATTCTATTACAAAGACTAGTCTCCATCCTAGTAAGTATTGCAGTGAAGAAATCCAGTGGTTTTGCTTAAACCTTCTGCTTCTCAAACTTATTTGATTGTGGAATCCTTCTTTTGATTAATCCTGTAAACATCACACAGAAGTATTATCCATAAAACATATTCTGGGGAAACTCTGGACTAACCATAAAACTGGATTCCTTTCTCACAACTTAAAACCAATATAAATTCCAAATAAATTGGGATGGAGTAGAGGCTTTCAATGCATAACCCTCAAGGTAGAAGCCAAAATGAAAGATTGCTGGTTTGCATATATAAGTAGATACACACATACAGATATAGTTATAGATGAGTTTGTTAAATTCTATATATCAGGAAACTCCATGAAGAACTTCTGCACGTGACAAACTGAGAAAAAGATTATAATATATGAGAAAAACTAACATAGAGGACTGCAACTTATCAATAAGAGTAAAGCAACCCTCAAAACACTATAGCTCATAAAAGAATATGAAAAATTATATTCCAAATAATGTATACAATTTTTCCTTTATTTGAGTGGCCCATGTTAAACTTAATGAAAATGTTAAGTATC
Organism: Homo sapiens; assembly: GCF_000001405.40. Lineage (NCBI taxonomy): Eukaryota > Metazoa > Chordata > Mammalia > Primates > Hominidae > Homo > Homo sapiens. Next base: position 75,110,938 of record NC_000002.12, on the reverse strand, counting down.
AGTGAGGTTATGGGGAAGGTGGGAGCTGTTTTCAGGAGCATAGTTTGACAATATCTGTCAAAGTTTTCAAATGTGTAGTTGATTTGAATCAGCAATTACATTCTTAGAAAGTCTTAACAGCAATTATGTAAGATTTTGTCAGCATGGTTTATAGAGCTGTAAAATTAGAAACAAATATCAAATCATAAAAGATTGATTAAAGAAATGATGGATCATTCATACAAAAAACTATACAACTGTTAAAATGGCATTATACAAGCACATTAATGTGAAAATATTAATAATACCGATCATATATTATGATCATAATATTATTTATCATAATATTATAATCAGTAAATAAAGCAGGCTTCAAAGTAATATGTGCAGTTAGTGCCCCTTGTATGTTTCATAAAGTATATTCATGCACTTATGGATTATAGGTAAAAAGTCTGGAAAATTATGCAGCAAAATTTAATACGCAATGTTTTTGCCTTTGATGTGGAATTATAGGTCATCTAAAATTTTTACTTTAGATTTTCTGCAATTTAAAATAATTTATCTATACTGAAAATAAATTATTGCCTTGACTGCATTTTTAAATTAAGTAAAGTGAAATTTTTAAGACATCTACTTCTAGAATAAAAATATTATCACTTGAAAAAAAATCACCAAGAAATAAAAAGATGAGATAAAATGAATATATGAAAAATAGACCACAATCATTTTCTCTCTAAATTCTTAAGACACTGTTCCATGGTCTTCCAATATTTACTTAAGTGAAGAAATCTGATACCATCTGATTTTTTTCCCATTTTACATAATTTGTGATTTCTGCCTGCATACATTTAAGATTTTTCTTTATCTTATTGTAATGCTTCATTTCGTATTGTATTTTCAAAAGCCGCACCAGAAGACATGTATATGTAGAGGATTTTGTCATTTTCTGTCATTGCTGAGACCTTTTAATCTAAAGTCAGATCTCTAGTTCAGGGAAATTCTCCTTTAAAAACAACATTTTTTAATGGCCTGCCCTCTTTTCTGCTCTCCTTTCAGAGTTACTGCTACACATAAATTGTGTACTTTCCGTGTCCCTTACTATTTTACTAACTTGATTATTTCTTTCACCATTTTATGGTTTCTGGGTGAATTCTTAGGCATTTCTGATGAAACTGTAAGATGAAGAGATTATCTGCTCTTCACGGCTTCCTCTGCATTTTTAATGTTGTAATCCTGTTTTTATTTGAAAGCAGTATTTTCTGCCCTTTTCCTAAGTGCAACAGCATTTTTAATTCTGTAACCATGTTTTCATTTGAAAGAAGTATTTTCTGCCCTTCTCATAAGTGCAACAGCCTCAAATCTCGTTTAAAAACAAATATGGAATTACTTTGAATTTCCACCTGTTTCTTGAAGTAAGCTATCTCACAAAGAGACATTTACTTTTCTTCCCACATTAGCTTCAGCAAACATCCAACCATTTTCCCTTTTTGTTCATTCTAATAACTGTAGTCCGGTATGGAGAGTTAAAATAGATTCCAAGTTAAAGGGGTCTCTACTCAAGTCTTTAAATTCCAGATTTAAAAAGGAGTACGTGTGGCTTTGCTGTGGTTCTGCCCTTCCCAGCTGCCTCAACACTGTACAGGAGCAGCCTGAGGATATTCAGAGCCCTGCCCTCTCCCTCATTAGTCATTACGGTTCATGTCTCCAAATATTCAAGCCAATGGGAAGTGCACATTGGCCCGCGAGCTGTCAGTTTCTTACCGCGATGCCGATTGTACATCCCAAAGATGACAGAAGGTTCAAGGTTTGTCCTCACCCCTTCTCTCAAGCCCTTCCTCAGCTCCACCCTGCAGCCTTCAGCACTGCAGCAAGTTCCTTAAAATTGTTTTCCCAAACAGGTTGTTCTTCCTGCAGCTGCCCAGATCCTCCTTCAGTTTGGTCTCAGCTGCTCAGTAACTGAAGAAATTTATTCTGGCCAGTGGGTGACCTCCTGCACTTGTTTCCAGAGCTGAGACGAATTTTTACATTCCTTTGATAATCTCAGGAACCATTTCAGAGGGAAAAGGAATTAACTACATGGAGCTTAAATTTGAGTATTATGTACAAATTTTGAAATGATTTTGAAATGATTTTATTTTTTCCAGCTGGTGATACATCAAAGTAATTTAGTTTTGTGAGCTTATCTTTTATCTAGCCAATTTATTGATTCTAATAATGATTAAGCTGTTTTTTTCTAGGAATACAATCATATCATCTATAAATAATGATTTTGTCTCCATCTTTCTAGTGGTTATGCCTCTTATTTCTGCTTCATGTTGTATTGTAAGACCATAACTTTCACAGTATTAAGTAATAATAATTTTGTTAACTTTCTTACTTTTCTGGAAACACCTACAATACTTCACCATTAAGTAAGTTTTGGGTTATTGGTTTCACAATTAAGTTCAATGTTCAATGAACTGCTGAGAAGACTGTTTATCAATAGTCACACATTTTATTATTTTAAGAAGCATTATACTATTCCTAGTACGACAGAGTTTTGTAAAAATATATCAGCATCTGTTGAGAAAAGTATATTTTTAATGTACCCCATGTATGCAAATCATTTTAATTCTATTCCCTGTGTCTCTTGAATAAATCTTAGTTGGTCATGGTAAGTTATGCTTTTAATATACTGACTAGTTATATTACATAGGATTTTTATATCAATATCAAAAAGTAATATTTGTTTGGTTTTCTGTGTGCTGTCTTTGTCAGATTTTGGTATCAAGGCTAGGGATGCTTTTAAAAACTGTCTTTGTTTTCCAAAATAGCATTGGAATTAGCAAAGGAACTTACCCATAAAACCAGCTCGCCCTTGAGCCCTTTATGAAAGAAACTCTATAATACATTTTATTTCATCACTGCCACTTATAGTTTTTCTGCTTTTTCAATTTGTTAATTTATATTTTTAAGAAAAAAATCTATTTCATAGTGACTTTTTAATTTAATAACATACAATTATACATCATCTTTTCACATTTTTAATTTCTACTTCCTCTATTTTTTCCAAAATACTTGCCAAAATAGTTTATTTACCAATTCTATTGCCTTTCATTCTTTAATGTATCTTTTATCTTTATTTTTCTCCCCCTACCTAAGTTCGTTTAAATGCACATTTTCTGGATTTTTTATTTTAATACTCAGTTCATTTATTTTCAATTGTCAAATAGTGAAAACATCTACCAATAAAATTCATTTTGTCTCCATTCCATAAATGCTGATATATAGTGCTCTCGTATTCTTTACTTTTTAAACAATCTACCACTACCTAAATTTTTTTATTGACTCAATAGGTATTTAGAAAAATTTTAAGTCCAATGTATTTCAAGTTTTCTTTCTTTCTTTTCTCCTTCCTTTCTTCCTTCCTTTCTTCTTTCCTTGCTTCCTCCATTCCCCCTTCCTTCTTTCATCCTTGCCTCCATTCCCTTTCCTTCCTTTCTTATGCAAAACAGACTATGGCATATATCAAAGGTTACCTTTTGGGACTTATTAGAATGCTCTTTTTGGCCTGAAATATGGAGACAGATGAGGATTCAAAGTTGGTTAGTGAATCATCTTATTGTTTTGTTCAATTTGTTGCTGTTATGGATTTTTGATAACTTATCCAATCATAGAGTGAGAGTGATACCTTAAAATCTTTCATTGTAATTGTCCTTTTGCTAAATTCTCTTTATATTTTTAAAAGCTTTGCCTTACATGTGCTGAAGATATGTTTGTTTTCACTATAGATTATACATTTAGTAACAGAAAATATATTTATATCTCTATTTAGTGCTTTTTTGCCATTAACACTACTTCCTGTAGTATTAATAGTAACACCTCTGATTTGTTTACTTATACTTTTTCATCATTTTATTTTAGTTTTTTCCATATATTTAGTTTTCCTCTATCATTTTGTTGTGAGAATTCCTCTTACATACAGTATATTTTGATATCGGTTCATAACTTAAGATTCTTTTTTCTTTTAATAGGCTAGTTGAACATTTCCACACTCATTGTCTTTATCTATATATATTGTTATAGTTGGTCTTCTTTCATCATTTGGTTTAATACTTTCTGGTTTTTGTTTCCTCTTTTTTCTATTTTTCCTTTATAGATGGTTTGTTGACTATTATCTTTGGTAATTTCAAAGATACATATGTTTTATTTCGTTATATAAATAGTTATCCTAAAGTTTTTTTAAAAATATTCCCTACTTCCATAGCTATTAACATTTACAATATTTATAATGTCACTTGGCATTATATTGACAACTATTGACATAATTTTAATAACAGAATTCATTTTTTACTTCCATTTATAGGAAAAGGAAATTTGTCACTTTCTATTCTCATATTCCCTTGCCAGTTTTTCTGTTAATAACCTGGAGTTTATAACCTGTGTGTTCTACAATATATGTCAGCATTCTCAAAGTGTAGTAACAAAACTCCTGCGATACATTTAAGAGGTATATGAGGTTAAAATTACTTATATAAAGACAGGAAGACATTATTTACCTTTTTCATTCTCTCATGAGTCTACAGTAGAGTTTTTCAGAGGTTCCATGATTTCTGATATCACAACACACTGAATATAGAAGCAGATATGAGAATCCAGATGTCTATCAACCTAGCTATTAAAGGGATTTGCAAAAATGCAAAACAATGCCCCTCTCTTTAATAATTTTTTTGAAATAAATAGAATAGTTTGTAATTCATGTATTATTTATGTTAACTTTCGATGAGTTTATCATTGCCATTTTTAATAAAGTTATATTTTAGAACAGTTTTAGATTTACAGAAAAGTTGCAAAGATAGTACAAAAAGTTTTCAGATACTCCACACTCAGTTTTTCTTAGTATTTATGTCTGATAGTATAGTACATTTATCACAATGAATAAACTCAATATTTATAAATAATTCATAACTAAAATCCATACTTTTTTCCCAGTTTTTCTTTAGTGTCTTTTTCCTGTTCCAGGATCCCATCCGGGACGCCACATTACATTCATGTCTCTTTAGGCTCCTCTTGGTTGTGACAGTTTCTCAGACTTCCCTTGTTTGTGATGTCTTTGATAGTTTCAAGGCATAGTGATCAGGTTTTTTGTGGCAGATCCCTCAGTTGGAATTTTTTTGACATTTTTTTCATGATTACACAGGGGTAATATGTTTTAGGGAAAAAAACAGAGGTAGAGTTCCATTCTTGTCACCTCATTAGAGGGTATATGCTATCAATATGACTTACTACTATTGATGTTAATCTTTTTTCAGCTTTATTGAAGTATATTTAACTCATAAAAGTATGTGCATTTACGGCGTACAATATGATGTTTTCATACATTGGGAAATGATTAAACCAAGCTGATTAAAATATTTATCACTTCAATACTTATCATTTCTTTCATGGTGAGAACATTTAAGATCTACTCTCTTAGCAATTTTCAAGTGTACGATGCATTATTATTAACTATAGTCATTATGTTATACAATAGATTGCTGCAACTTATTCATCCTAAGTGACACTTTGTGCCCTTTGACCAACATCTCCATTCCCCTCCACCTCCAGCCCCTAGAAACTACCATTCTACTCCCTGTTTTTATGAGTTCAACTGTTTTAGAGTCCACATGTCAATGAGATCGTGCAGTATTTGTCTTTCTCTGCCTAGCTTATTTTACTTAGCATAATGTCCTCTGGGTTCATCCATGTTGTCACACATGAAAGCATCTTCTTTTTTAAAGCTGAATCATATTCCATTGTGTATATTTATCACATTTTCTTTATCTATTAATCCATTGAGGAACACAGGTTGATTCTATATCTTGGTTATTGTGAATAATGCTGCAACAAACATGGAAGTGCAAATATCTTGTCAACATACTGATTTCATTTCTTTCAGATATATACCCACAAGTAGGTTTGCTGAACCATATGATATTTCTATTTTTAATTTTTTTAGGAACTTCCGTATGGTTTTCCACAATGGCTGTAATATTTTACATTCCCATCAACCATGCACAAGTATTCCCTTTTCTCTACACCCTCTCCAACACTTGTTATCTCTTGTCTTTTTAGTAATAGCCATCATAACAGTTCTGAGCTGATAGCTCATTGTGGTTTTAACTTGTATTTCCCTGATGATTAGTGCTGCTGAGCATTTTTCTCATATACCTGAAAGCCATTTGTATGTCGTATTTTGAGAATTTTTCCTCCTGTTATTGATTTGTAGTTTCATATCACTGTGGTCAAAAAAGATACTTGATATGATTTCAGTCTTCTTAAATTTAATAAGACTTGTTTTACATCCTAACATGTTATCTGTTTTGGAGAGTATTCTGTGTGTGCTTGAAAGGAATGTGTATTCTGCTGCTATTGGATGGAATGTGCCATATATGTCTGTCAGGTACATTTGGTCTAAAGCATGTTTCAAGTCCTATGTTTCCTTACTAATTTTCTGTCTAGATGATTTATCCATTGTTGAAGTGGCTTATTAAAGTCCCCTACTATTATTATGTTGCTGTCTATCTCTCCCTTAAGACCCATTAAATTAATATTTGTTTTATATAGTTGGGTGCATATATATTTACAATTGTTATATTCTCTTGATGAATTGACCCCTTTATCATTATATAATTATATTATTTTCCTCTTTTTGCAGTTTTGACTTAAAGTCTGATACAAGTATATCTACACCTGCTCATTTTTTGTTTGGATGGCGTATCTTTTTCTACCCCTTCACTTTCAGTCTTTGTGTGTCCTTAAAGCCAAAATGAGTCTCTTACAGGCAGAATATACTTTAGTCTTAATTTTTCAATCCATTAAGCACTCTGTGTCCTTTGATTGGAGAATTTAATTCACTTATTTTCTGTTTTCAAGGTAATTATGGATAGGTACATACTACTGCCATTTGGTCAATTGTTTTCTGGTTGTTTTGTAGATTCTTTGTTGCTTTCTTCCTCTCTTGCTCTCCTCCTTTGTGATTTGACTATTTTCTATAATAGTATGCTTTGATTCCTTTCTCTTTATCTTTTATGTATCTACTTTATGTTTCTGCTTTGTGGTTACCATGAGGCTTATGTAAAATATCTGACAGTTATAACAGTCTATTTGAAACTGATAACAACTTAGGCTTGTATCCCCTACTCCACCATCTTTGTCAGATTTCTCCACAAATACTAAAATTATTATTTTTCCCCTCTTTCCCATACTCTAGTCTTTGGAAGGAAGTTACTGTGTGAAGGCTATCCTTAAGGAGTGGAGAGGAATGTTCCTACTCCTTTACTGCAGAGTAGCTACATAAATTCTTTGCAATTTTTATGCACTGAAGATTTGTCTCTTCTCCATCATTTACATATTTATTTATTTATTTATTTATTCAATCATTTATTTATGTTAGTATGGACTCATGGGTATTTATTTTGGTCTCAGGGTATAATTTCTTTGAGTTACTCAATTTATTTTATTGCTCAAATTGTTCCAGTTTTGGCCATTGGGGCCACTTTCAGGTTGCTTCTGTATCTCTTTGACATACCCCATTATGACATATTCCATACTTACAGGGATTCGAGGGTTTTGTTTTGTTTTTAGTTTCTAGTTTTGTGCTTTTTGTGTTGTGTCGTGTGTTTTGAGGACTTTCTTACTTTGTGCTACTACAGGATGCTCCAGGCTCATCTTGTATATTTCCTGCCCCAGTTCTACAATCAACCACTTCTCTAAGAAGCCCTGGTTTCTTCTATTAGGGAATGATATTAGAAACCAACACCTGGGCTCTAGGTATATTATTGTTATTTTTAAACAACTTAACAAACACTGTCAAATGGTTCTCTGCTTTTGTTTCTAATATAGTAAGTATTGATAGATACGACCCACATGAACAAAAGTTCTTTGGGAGTCCTCAATTATTTTTATTAGTGTAAAGAAATACCAAGACCAAATAAGTTGGGAACAAGTAATAGAGATCTGCTCTCTTAAAAATGTTTTCTATTCCATTTCATAATTATGGTCCACAAACAATGATTTACTGTCATCTCTATATATTTTTATTTTACTGATAATCACCAGTTTATTAGTTCTATGGCCTCATTATTTTGAATTTTCAGTTTTGATCCATCATCCATCATTCTGAATCATGTCTTTTGGTAGTTTCTCTGCAGAAAATAGTACTTTCTTACATATTTGATAATACCTTTATTTGGCATATACTTACCAATGGCTGCTTGATTGGGTATAAATTGTGGGAATATCACGATTTATAAATATATAAATAATTTTTTTTCTTTTAAGCTCAGCATAGATTGCTCCTTTGTTGTTTGAAGGCAAAGTGATATCTTCTTTTGTGGATAACCTAATATGTACCCCCCAAGATACTTGTATGATTATATGTTAATCTAGAAAATCCAAACAGGATTTAAATAGTAAGTCTTCCCATAACCTAACACTTACTGTCAATGTTCAGACCAAGATATATTTTAGATCTGAAAAAAAAAATTTACTCTATTACAGTTAGAACCTTTGGCTTCAAATAATAGAAGTAAGATCGTGTATCAGTTAGTTCCTGCTGCGTAACAAATCATTCCGAAACTTAGTGGTTTAAAGTAACAACTGTCCATTTAGGTCATGATTTTGTGGATTGCTGGCTGCTCTGGTTTGTGCCAGCTCAACTGAATTCTGTGGGAGTGTCTCATATGTCTGCAGTCACCTATGGGTCATGTGGCTGCTGGATAACCTAGGAAGCCTTATTCACTTATCTTGTACTTGGAAGATTGTCAACCAGGATGACAGAGGTAACTGAACCATGTGTTTCTCATTACCCAACAGGCGAGTTTAAGCTTCTTTATGGTGGCCTGAGTTCAAAAGCAGGAAAAGAGGACAAACCCCATGGCACTAATGCTTTTTGAGCCTCTGCTTATCTCACATATGCCAGCATGCCACTAGTCAAGCAACCCATATGGCATGTCTTTATTTTTATTTTTTTATTTTTTTATTTTTTATTTTTGGAGAGACAGAGTCTCACTCCATCACTCAGCCTGGAGTGCAGTGGCACGATCTCGGTTCACTGCAACCTCCACCTCCAGGGTTCAAGCAATGTGGCTCAGCCTCCTGAGTAGTTGGAACTACAGGCATGTGCTACCATGGCCAGCTAATTTTTGTATTTTCAGTAGAGATGAAGTTTCACCATATAGGTCAGGCTGGTCTTGAACTCCTGACCCCAAATGATCTGCCTGCCTTGGCCTCCCAAAGTGCTGGGATTACAGGTGTGAGCCACCGTGCCCGGCCTTTATTTTCAATTGCCAAAGAGAACCTAGCATTTATTTATCAGGTGCAGTTCCAGAATCATGATGACGATTTGCCCAATGTGAGTCAAGAGCTCACTCCCAAAGTAATCTACAGTGGAGCTACCACTCATGAGCTATGTGACTTTGGCAAGTTACTTTTTACTCCTCTGAGCCTCAGTTTCCTCAATATGAAAATTAGGAATAATAATATTACCTACATCATGAGTTATTGTGAGGATTAGATAAAATATTGTATATAAAACCCTTAGCACAGTGTCTGGTACACAGTGATCATTCATCTACCTTTAAGATGCTTTATTTATTAGTATTACTAATATGGAAAGTCTTGAAGTATCATTAATGAGAGGACTTATTAAAAAGATGCTTACATCATTTTTATTTTTTGCTTCATCTCTATTATTTTTATCTCTTTCGGAATATCTTCTTATTAGAAGCTAGGATTGCTGAGAATCTCACTTCTATTTCTATTATATTCTTATCTTTATTTTCACCTTGTTTTCCTTTTTCTAAAATATTCTCAGTGAATAATCAACTTGTCCTCTGCCTGACTAATTCAGTTTTCTGCCGTGTCCAACATGTTATTCATCATTCTTTTTTTTTTTAATACAGCAACCACATTTTTCATCATGGTTGTCTGGGTATAGACATTGGAACTCATTTCATGGAAGTCTCCTTTTGTTTCTTGAAGACAGATGTTATTAAGTACATAAATTAGCTATTTCAACAGTATTTTTTTCTTATAGTAATCTATTTCAGGGGACACATTTATGTTACCAAAAATATTCAGTGAATTGAAGGTTGCATTCTTCTGAACCACAAAATTTCCTTATAGTTACCAAGAACATTATTTTTTGACTTATTCTCACAATGAGAGAGCTATGGCTCTGCAATGTGATTTATCATTTTATTCATTCACTTAGCAAATATTTATGAACCCTTACTTTATAGTACGTACTATGCTATAGATAAAACAATGACCTATCACACTCGTCACCTTAAAGCTCTTAGAGTCTACTGCACACTTGGGCAGGGAAGCAAGCATGTGGATACAGTAGTTAGTGCTGCAATAAATCCACAGTGCCATTCATTACCACAGAGTCATGAAATGCTCAACAGACCAAGATAGTAATCAGCTGAGTCCTGGAGGTTAGATATGAGTTAGTCATATGGCATTTGGAGGATGAGGGAAGCAAATCAGTAGGCAGAGTTTGTTGGAAAAAAGAATTCCAAATCGAGACAACCACATGCACAAAGATTTGAAAGAGAGGTTATAATTTATGCCAAAGAAACTAAATTTAAAAATAATAATTGCTAGCATTCATTATGCACCTATGATGTTCCAGGCACTCTGCCAAGAACTTTGCATGCATCATCTCATTTCATCCCCTCAGCAGCTCAAAGTGGTAGGCAAATTGTCCAAGTGCTCCAGCAAGTATGTGGCAAAACCAGAATCTGAACTGAGGGAGTCTGTCTTTGGAGCTCACTCATTAGCTACTACATCATCCTGCCTCTCTGAAAAAACTCAGCATGGCTATGTGGAGTGTGTGATGTGTGTGGGGGTGTGGGTGGCATGGTAGGTGAGGAAGAATGGGAATAAGGGAAGAGATCCCAGGCTGGAAATCATAAAGAGTATTGTAGGATCACTGAGTTTATGCTTTATTCTAACAATAATGGGGAATAAATGCTGGAAGAAGACAGTGGTCATGAAACGCCTGTGAAATGCATCCCAGTGGACATATGTGTTCTGTGAGGTCTGAGGTATGGATATAAAAACGTGAGTCATAAGCTCATAGATGGATTTACAACCTTGGGGACAGATTAATCACCTGGGGAGATCTGGCTGAAGAAGGTCTAGAAAAAGCCCTGAGGAAGTCGATAGAAAAGGAGGACTTGATAAAAGGGGCTGTGAGCCAGTGGCCAGCAGGGTAGGAGAGAAACTAGAGGTGTGGTGTCTGAGAATGCAAGGAAAGGGGCCTGAGAATCTACAGTGACATCAGTCAACCTGGCCGCGCAAACCTCTCCCTGGGTTCAGCCTCTGGGGCAGCTGTGGGCAAGAATGTGGGTGGCTGGATTCATCTCAGCCTGAGATTTTTATCAGATGAGTATCATAGAAGGAGGAAAGAGTAAGGGAATTGGAGGTGACTTGTATAGGAGTGATTAGATTGATGGACAAGGAAGGAAAGAAAACATGAAGAGTCTGAGGAATAGGAAGAAAATGTCAGGTTCAGTGAATGTGAGTTTCCACAGAGAGAATTGTAACAGCAGAGGTACTCAGGCAAGTGACTTGGGAGGATGGACATGGTATTTATGGACAGGATGTTTTAAAAAGTCATGCATATCCCAGGTGTGGCCAGGATGCAGATAACTGATGCAAAAGAGAGAAGGAGCTCACTGGAGATGAGGAGTCTCAGCACTGAGATGCCAGAGTGCTGGGTGGTCCTCCTCAAGGAGGATGAAGTCACTGGGGTGAGACAGAGGCTGGGATAGTGAGGGAGGCTCCGAGCCAGAGCTGAGGTCCTCAGTGATCAGGGAAGAGTGACCAGGAGGCTGGAGAGTGACAGCAGCAAGTGAAAAAGAAGATGTGGCAGGATATGTGCTCCTCAGAGGGGTGGCATCTGACAGGACACAAGGGGAAGTGGTCTGGAAGTGGCACGGAGGAGCAGGAGAACCCTCACTCCACCTGCTGGTTCTGAGGGGAATAAATGTGAGAGCAAGAAAAGAAAAAAAAAAAAAGCCTTAATTTGCAAGAACTACAAAGAACACATATTCTCAGGAAGCAGCCAGAGTTCTATTAAGGCTGGAATTAAAAAGAACATTCCTAAAATTTCAAGTATTGACAGGAGATTGCCTGCCACAAAGCAGGAACCCAAAGGCAGAGCAGGAGAGTTTGAGAGGAAAGTGGGAGAGACTGGGTTAGCTAATGGGACCAACCCAGAAGTTGGGGGATGAGAATCCACTCCTAGAGCAAGCTGGATGTGGTGGTGAGCAAGGCTGGTAGGGATGTGGGTTTCAGGGACTGAAGCCTGGAAGTCTCTTAACAGATGAGAGTCGCTCACTTCAAGGCTTTGTGGTCCTCAAGGATTGGCCAATATTGAGGCAGCTATTCTCAGAGGTCTCTCTTCATCTTTCTCATCAGACAACTGCTCCCTCAGGCATCTCCAAGAAATATTTCTGGGATATTTGAGGATGAATTTTAAGGTAAAAAAGATAATTTTCTATGAAAAACTAGAAACAAACCCAATGTGCCATGATATGGTCTGGTTTGATTATGCATTAGAATATTCTATATTCTAAAATGAAAACATCTAGGACAAATTTGTGATAACATGAGAAAATGCTCATGTTATGTTTGGGTAAAAAAAGGAAACAGAACTGCAGTATGGTAATGACAATGATGTAAAAACTAAGCACTAAAAGCAATCTATGCATAGAATTGTCTTTCTTTCTTGAGAATGGAATATATCAAATTATTAAGTCTTTTTGGAGAATGAATCTGTCTCCTAGTACTTTTTTTCTCTCTGCATCTGCCCTGCATTTCTACGATCTTCAGATTTTCTATGGTATGTGTATTATTTTTTAACAGAATGTGTGGCATATTCAGCAGTGTGCCAGAGCCAGCTGGCAAAAGCCAACTGTGCACATCTCTTCCCAACTCCATGTTCAGTGACATCACATTGTATTTTGAAATTGTAATTAGCTATAACCCAAGTATTGACACCACAGAATGCTACAAACTGGGGATGTTTTTCTTTTCAAAGAGCCAAGTGTTACCAGCATACCACTGGCCTTGTACTACCACCAGGAACAGGTAAGGATTGGAGAGACCAAATGCTCCATTTGTCCTTACCTTAATGCAGATCCCTAGGGAGGAGAGAAATCACTTGTTCACATTTCAGCTGAGCAAGAGAAAAAAACAAAATATCTCTTGGATTTAAAGAGTAAATAATAGTTGCCTCAAGTTTGGGTGACCCTGGGCATGGACAGTGGTCAGATGCTCACCCCAAGACTGAGAATAGGAAGGGTGCCTGAGACTGGCTTAGCCTCCCACAGTCTTCTGTGATGACTCTTCTGTGATGATCTGTCACTGTCATTACTTTTAACATGTTGAGCCCCATGATTTTGCCACCTATTTAAAAAGATCCAGGTTGTCTCTAATCCTGAATGTGCCATTTATTAGGTAAGAGAAAGTTTAGGTCAAGTCTCCAAATACTTATGTACTTTACAGAACAGAAATAGTTTCACCACCTACAGTAGGAAAAAAAAAAAACTAATGAAGAAATGGTGTTGCTGAAAACCCAGAGTGGGAAAGGATCAAAGAAATGTTAGCAAGTTATTTCACCTAGTTCCTTCATTGTAGAACATTTTTTAAGTACTGTGTACCTACTCAGAACAAAAGACTGAAAAAAAACACTTCGCTATCTTTATTTGACCACATTTATCACTCCCATGAAAAATTAATTGACTGTTTAATTGTGGTCAGAAGGCACCTACTTCTATTCTTCCCACCAAATGCACAAGGAAATGGGGAACTTGGGCTAGTCTCTCAGAAGTGCATGTGGTAAAGAGGAGAGAAAAATAATACTTAACTTTATGAGGCAACATGCTATAGTAATGTCATTTTCCAGGATACAAGAGACTTGAACACATTATCTGACTGAATGATGGAAGTACTGGAAGATACAAGAGAGATAGGGGTTGACTGTTGGAGCAAAGTCCTGAAAGAGGTGTAATAGAATGGGGTGTGAGCCCACATGGAGGGTTTGGCCCTGGGTCTGAGGAGGATCTCATCTTCCACTGAAGCAAGAGAGAAGAATGAGTGGATGTGCAGAGGTAAAGAGAGAAGTTGAGATACCTATGTTGGAAGCTCTCAATATTCTCAGTGAAGTGGGAGGCAAGGTCACTGACAGAAAGAAGTGAGAAGGTTCTGGAATGTATACCATAAACAACATGGGAGGGTGTAGTAAGGCCCCAGCTGAACCAGTTTTACAGCTATGCATTCATGATAACAAACAAAATCCAGATATTTGCAAAGCTCTAAATATGTACCAAAGTGTCGTTTACACATCTGCTCTCTATTTGCACAATAGCCCTGTACAATACAAAGTGCAATTATCATATCCAATCTTATATTAAGAATACAACACAAAGTGATCAAGAAATTTACCCCAATACACACAATTAAATTTATCCATCACACAACTGGTGATGCCAGGATTTAAATCCAGATCTTCCAAATCCAAATCTGGCACCCTTTCATGCTACCAGGGCATTTTCAAACTGGACTCTGAGTTGCATGGGGAGTTCTAAGGAGCCTCCACTGGGACTGGCTGATGTTTAGGGAGAGCAGAGGGGCCCTGCTTCCACTTCAGTATAGCTCTTCTTTTCAAACTTGTTAACCCAACCACTCCAAGATGTTCAAAGAGCAGCACAGGCCAAAGGCTGGTATCCAGAGGAAAGGAGAGGGATTTCATGAGTTTTACAATCAACTGCTCTCCCCAGTGCCCAAAAGAGCACTGCAGAATCTGATTGCTTCACAGATGAAGAGGACTTGACTTTGTACATGTCCCCTTTTGTACAAAGTTGCCCCTCACTGCCTCCACTATTTCTCACCTTGATCCTAAGCCTTAGAGGCTGTCAAAATAGTTGCTCTAACAAAATAATCCAAAACCCCAGATCCTTGTCACAACAAAACTTTATTTCTCACTCACAGTGTAAGTCCCGCCCAGGCCAGGAGAATCTTTCTCCTTAGTCAGGAACTTAGGTGATGGAGGCTCTGCCATCTTGTAGCTGTACCACCTGGAGCATCTAGAAGGGCACACAGAAGGGACAGGGGGATGGACGAAGCATCCTAAGGGGACTTGACTGGAAGTGATGCCTCACTTCTGCTCACATACCCACTTGCCAGAGTCAGTCAACTAACTATAATGAAGACCAGTCATGAGGGAGAGCTCCTGGATATTAGGCGAGCGCTAATTCTCCTGACCCAAAAGCCCCTGTCCTGAGGGTAAGCCCAGCTTCTTTACCTAAGCATTTAAGGCCTTTCCTACTTTGACAGAATGAGTCCATCCAACAGTGCCCACTTTTGCAAAACTGATCCATTCGTGCCAGTGCTTAAACCTCAGCCCCTGCTTTCTTCCCTCTCGAAACGCCCTCCCTCCATGCTGATCCAACCCTACCCTTCTCCAAGATTTAGATCAATATCACCTCTTCTGTGAGGTTGTCCAGACTCCTTACCCTCCAGTGAATTCCCTCCTCTAATGGAGGCTGTGGAAAGAGAGCAGTATACAATGCTAGCATCTCTGGCTGATTACCTGAAGGCTGACCAAAATATGAACTGGGTTACAGCCACGAAAATTAAAATCATGTGCGGGTGTGCCACCACCCAAGTGTGCACCCTCAGGGAGAGTGAAGGAACAAGAAAAGGGTGAAATCCAGCCACATGTCCACTTCCTCAGCCAGGGTGACTCAAAGCAGTTAAACAGATACCAGACATTTTCAGAAAGCTTACCATGTACTAAACACAGGAACAGACCCTATGGAAGAACCAAGGGACACAATTCCCCGCCCTTGCCCTCATGGAGAGGATCACAGAGCATGACTCTCACTCCATCCTCACTCCCAGTCAGTGGTCAAGTTCTGTTGATCCTCAGAGGACTCTCATACTTACTGTAGCTTCTCTATCCTAAAGGCTACTGCTGTGAGTGAATTCCTCATCATTGCTAATCTGAATGATTCCAGTCATATTCTAGCTGTTCTCTTTGCCATCTTGGGCAAAAAAAAAAAAAATATATATATATATATATATATGTTTCTGCTTCCTCAGCTTGCAATTTCCATTCCCACAAACTCTGCATATTGAAATTCTTGCCCATCCTTGAACGCTGAATGCAAATGGCACATCTCTCATCACTACCACTGCCACCACCTTCACTGCTGCCACCACCATTTCCACCACTTCCTCACCTCCACCACCTCCACCTCTATCACCACCATCATCATCACCACCACCATCATGTCCATCTCCACCACTACCACCATCACTACCACCAATGCAACCACTGCCATTATCACCACAAGCACCACAACTCACTGTCTTGGAGAACCCTCACTACAGAAGGGTTTGAGAATCACAAACTATGTAGACTTGACATTCTGTAAATGTTGTTTGCCTTAAGAGGCCAGCTACCATGCAGGGAGACTTCAAAGACCACTGTGGTCCCTGGACTACAGTGAATACCCCTCCTAGTGATAAACAATTTCATGGCGCCTGGAAAAATCAAGGAAATGAAGCTTTGGTTCTATTTTCTTAATACTTTACCCGACGAAATTCCATAGCCTACTTACTTCTCTTTATTTTAATTCAAAGAGTATTTATGGAACATTTAATCTGGACCTGGAACAATGCTTTAACTCTCTTGTTTATTCAACTTTATCCCTTCCATTTAGAAAACTGTAGAGCTTTTTTCCCCATGGCATCCTATAATTAAATCAGCACCAACAGCATTGTCATCATCCACTCACAAATATGTTTTCAAGAGCTATTTGCATGTGGTGCTATCTGCACATGGGACAGAGTATCTTAAACAAAACTACGAAAACGTGGTGTCAGGTAAGAGCACTAAACTGTTCAGAGTTCAAAGACTCAGCTTCTAGCCCTGGCTTTGCCTCTAACATGCTGTGTGACCTGAGTACATCTGTGCTTCTCTGTGGGCCTGTTTCCTCACATGTAGAAAGAGAGAGCCTCTTAAACGAGATCAATTCTAATACCCCAGGATTCTAAGGCAAAAACACTCAGCTTTGTCTTGTTACCCCACAGGTAAATCCAGTTATCAATGGAATAGCCATGAAACTTTTCCGTTTAAAATGCCTAACAGCATTCTTATGCTTAATAAGAATAATATATATTATTCTTATTTATAAATGACTATCTGCCAAACAGCCTATATGGTTGGTTGCTGAAGTGTTACAAATCAAACAGAATGTGCTAGTTGTAACCCCACAAAGACTTAAAACAGCACCCAACCAAATACAAGGCAGGGAGCTCCTGCAGTCTACGCAGATGGGTGGGCTCAGGGGCTGCAGACTCCTGTCTACTTCACAGATGTTAAAGCCTTTGTCCTCAATGCTCACCCATAACGTTTCATTAGTGTCTATAACCTGTGCAGCCTGGAGTTTGTTGAGAATTCCACAGGGGAGATTAGCAGTAGATCACACTCATTCTGCTCCAAGTTGACTGATGGAGAAAATCTAGCTAAGAGAGCAAGGCTTACAGCTGTCACTGACAAGCCTTCTGCTTCCTTTCATTGCCCAGCCTCTAATTCCTGAGATCTGTGAAACTTTTGCTGCATAGATGCTATGCAAAGATGGAAAATTTAAATTTTTAGTGTTCAGGTATAGTCATTTTCTGCTCTGTGGAAAGTCATACAGGAGAACTGATTTGTGAAGAGAAGAAAATCAGGATTAAACATGTGTAGGCTGTTGTAAATTGTAATAATGAAACTGCAACATATTGTCACCTTCTCTCCTCTCCCCTTCTCCTTTGCACTCTTAAGGGGTCCCACTCTCAGATACACAGCCTGTTTCTCCTGTTGCCTGCCTCCCACTGGCGGATGATTAATAACTCACAAAGACATTGTAAATGAATTTAGTTTACTACACATAAAATAACTTTTCCTGTAGATAAGTAGTTGAAAACTTTTGATCAGGAATTTTCTTATTTTGATAGCTTTAATTCCATTTCTCCGTATCTTTGCAACTCTCACTGAATGGTGATCAGTGAGATTGGTCTAGTGAACCAGATTATAGAGGATCCCATGTATCTGCCCAGAAAGTAGGGTTCTGATCTTCTGGGTGAGGCAATTCCAAGTGGTCTTTGGAGGCCGCCTTACCCCTCTCCCAGGAGCTTTCACAGATGGAGTAGCTGTGAGAATCCAGTGGGGCTCTGAGTCTCCAGTCTACACTCAACCAGTGTAGAGTGACAGGTGAGCTTTGGTGGCTGGACACAGTCGGTTCAGTTATTCTGACCATAGGAGGCTCATTCCAGAGCTACTTTATCCAGTGCTAGATTTTCCTGATCCATCTATGAATCTCTTGAAAATTGTGCTACAATGTCCCCATTTCCCATTTTCTAGCATCTCTCTGAATCATTCTTCTAAGTTACCAGGTAAAGTTTTTGTTGATGAAAATGATGATGATAATGTACAAGGAAATAAAATCTTTTTTTTTAACCCCAAAGACTGCCCAAAGAGAGTAAGTCCTATTAACTGGCAGGGACTTGGTTTTCTGAGCACCACAATGCATTAAGGGTCATGAGTTTGGAAATTAAAGCTGGTGGTGTTGCATTCTGCATAATCAAGCAGGGAGGTTTTTAAAATTGGGGGAGGGATGGGAGGTAGGAACCAGTGAGGCTTAGCACCGTGTGAGGAAAGGCAACTCAGAATGTGAATATTAAGTTGTTTGCTACAGTGTATGTGATATAAACCCTCTCTTACGTCACCCTACAAGATCATCACCCTCTGCTGCTCACTAGTGTGTGTATGTGCTTTTGAGAGAACTAAATAGCATGCTGAGTTCTGCATTCAGATTTGTTTGAAACAAAAACAAACACCTCACACTGATGTTATGCCCATTTCCTCATATAAAGTTCTCCTCACAATCTTTGGAGATAGATATCGTTGTCCTTATTTAATAGATGAAGACTGTTTGTAAACTGAGGCTTACAGAACTTACATAACCTGTCCACAGCCGTACATTAGTGAGGGGAAGAACTGCTTCTTCCCCATGTGGGCTTCCTTTTGCCCAACTTCCAGCATCAAGGAGCCCCAAGAGTGCACGGCACTGCCCATACAGCAGATAAGTCACAGAGCCAACCAAGAGAATGTGAGTGAATCCCTCTTCTTAAGTTTTGGAACCCACTTCTAGAGTTCACGTCAGGTCATTTGTTGTGCCTAGGTCTGTCAGTCATGGCTAAGAGTGATATGAAAAAGTAGAAGACACAGGACAGATCAGAAAGGAGAAAGGAACACAGGCTGTGACTCAGGGTAGAATCCCAGCCCTGTTGCAATAACAGACTCACTTAAGCAAGTTGGGTTTTATAACAGTTATGAACGTTAGTTTTTCTCATCTTTAAAATGGGTATTATAGTACCTCCCTTATAGGATTATGGAAAAGATTGGAACTGACAAAGTTGAAGGGTCTACCAGGCCCTTGTGAATGAGAAATGTCATGTTATTATTGGTCATGAACCATGCTGTTAAACTGCCTGTAATCTCCTAGAATGTGAAATCTGAGGAGGTCTTGAACATCACCCAATTCAACTCCTTATCTATAAAATGGAGTAAAGGAGATCCAGAATGGTTGAGTAATTTCCCGAGTTCACCATGAGTTATGGTAGAGTTAGGAGCGGAAATTCAGGGGAGATTTTTTTTTTTTTTTTTTTTTTTTTGCACCTACGAGCCCATAAGAAATTGAGGACTGCAGGAAGGAGTTCTGTGAAGCACTATAATGTGTGAGATAAAAAATTTACTCCATGAGCAATCAGAAGGAGGTAGAATTGATGCAAACCGAGCCAAGAATGAAGGTTATATCTTGATTAGAACTTGAAGGAAGAGTAGAATGCTAATGGACAGAGAGTGGCTGCCTTTTCAGATAAGGTGAGAAGTGCTGGAAGCTTAGCTAGGTGGCCCCGTTTCCACAGTGTGACTAAGAACAGACCAGTCTGAGAGATAACAGAAGCAGGGAGACCTGTATGGTCCAAGTTCAGAAGTGTCCTGAGTTATAAGCACAAGTTACTCAGGAACACTTCTGAACTGGGACCACACACTCTACTCTTCAGAGAGGATGACTTTGGGATCATAAGGGATACATTCTTGGTGACACTATGGGTCTGATGGGGAACGGTCACCACTCTTCCTTGAGAAATTTTTGTCCTAATTCTCAAAAGGTGTAAGAGAGCATACAGATTAAAAGAGTGGTGATTGGGGATGGGATAACAACTACTAGCTGACATTTGTTGCTCATTATGTGAGAAACTTGCACTTAGTTTCTTACCTACAGTTTCCAGGCTATAGGTAAATTTAAACATTTTTTGCTTGACAATTGGTTGAGTTTGTCTAAAGACTTGGGATCAATAGAAAGGAATGTTTGGTGCAATAAGAGGTTGTGGAGACCAAAGTTTTGTCATGCAGGTGAAGCTTTTAGCTAGCAGGCTTCAGAGAGAACAGGCTGTGAAATGTTTAAAGTCCGTGTTGATGTTAATGCCCCATACAGGTATGATGAGGCCTGTTCGACCCCACTTCCCTTCATGGCCTGAACCAGTCTTTCAGATTAAATTTTAAGAGCCCTGGCTGAGGAGGAAGTCTGTTTAGATGGTTGGGGGGCCTTAGAATTTTATTTTTGGTTTACAAAGTAAATTATATCATATGTTAGAAAGTGAAAAGTGCTATGGAAAGAAAAGAAAAAGCAGAACAGGATAGGAGGATGGACATTCAGGGGAGGGCACAGCAGGGAACTGCACACCCCAGCAAGATGGTCATGTCATTGAGAAGTGACCTTTGAGCAGACTTGAAGGAGGTGGGGAGTATATTTGTTTTAGCAAATGTATGTGGTAAGTCCTAACACTCTTCTTATTGGCAAAACAATGAAATACAGGCAATTAGTTGAATGGTGATGATGATGATTTTGATGAAGATTAAGATGGTAATGAGCTGCTGGTGCATTTATTTTAGTCTAGGTGGTGCTTTCCAGAAATTTGTTTGTTTGAGATTTGTAAAACCTTTGTAATGTACTATGGTTTGGCTGGGTTGAGAGGACATGGGGTGGTAGTGGTGACAAAGCCAAGACCTTCAAGCCCAGATTCCCCTTCACTGCTCCCAGTGTCTACATTAAGAATTTAAACTCTCTCAGCCTCACTTTCCTCACCTCTCACCTAAGGTACTGACAGCCTCTGCCACCAGCGCACCATGTGACTCAGCAATGTGTCCACATGGCCAAACATCTCATTTCTCTAAAACATGCAGAAGTAAAGTCTTCTACATATGATTTCACTTAATGAAAGGGCTCCACTTATTTTTTTAAAGTTTGAAACCATTGCCTTAGTCTCTAAGGTCTCTTTTAAGTCATCAGATACTTTCAAGCAAGAGTGATGACTCCCGAAAGGGTGCTCTTAACCCGCTCATGTTTAACGTAATCTCAATGGTTTGTCTTTCTGTTTTCAGAGTAAAACCCAGGAGGAGTCCAATGAAAAGTTAAGAGAAAGACATTAGGTCCACACATTTATCAGATCAAGTTTGAGCAGAGTCCTGGAGGAGGTGAGGGCAGGGGCTGCCAGTGGAGGTGGTGAGAAGTGCTATTCTTCTTGGTATATCTTTGAAGGGAGAGCTAGAAGATTTTACCAATGAAAGAAAGTTCTCATTTATGCAAAAGGCAAGTCATTCTGTACCTACTATATAAGGTCATGACAGCTATGATCTCCAGGAGATGAAGAATTCTCTACCAGTGGACTAATTTAGAGCTCTGTACCTGCCTTGCAGCCCTGTGTTCTAGGCCAAAGGGCAGCACATATGGTGAAGTTAATTGAACCTGTGTGATTCAGTTAGGGTGCGTTAAAACTAGAAACCACTATAATCAGATGGAAAAGTGCCTACATGCATCCCAAGAGAGCTTGATGCTCTCTGTGGGAAACTGTCAAACTCACAGGAGGGTGGGGGCAGCATGTGGAAAGGGAAGGAAGACAACCACACGCAGCTAAAGCAGATGAGCTGTGGGGAAGAGGGAGAAGATGTGAAATTAGAGAGAAGGAAATTGCAGGGAGTGAGGAGAATCAACCCAAGCCACGGGAATAAAGAAGGGAAGAATGATTCAAGATTCAGGGGCGAAGGGGATACCATCCCCCTTCCTTGTCACCGATCCGCCTAAACCCCCATCACCCCACACATGGTGATTGTGGTCTAAAGCACAGGGGTCTCCTCCACCTGCTAGAAGGAGGAGAGGACAGAGAAATGCCCCCTGCCATGCAGACAGCACCTGCAGGAAGCCTCCAGCAGTCTGCAGGAGGAACATAACAAACACATTTATACACTCATTCAGTGAATATTTATTGAGTCTCTAACCCTGGGATACAACAGTGAACAAAACAAACATTATCCCTCTAGCTACTTAAAACCAAGTAGTAAGCACATACTTTATATAATTATATAACCATGTTGACTATATATCATTAGCTGTGATAAGCACTTTGATAGAAAAGTTCAGGCCCTCATGACAGCAAATAAAAAGGCTGGAGATTTCAGGAGCTAAGCTTTGAGGAGTTAGCTGCGTGGAGAGGGAAGGAAGGAGGGTGTATTCCAGGCAAAGAGCACTGCAGGGCCAGGACATAAGGGTGGACAGCAGGACCTGATCAAGGACAAGAGCCAGGGCTAGCCAATGTGGCTGGAGCAGGGTGCAGAGGAGAGTGGGCTGAGTGCGGCCACAGAAGGAGCAGGAGCAGGTCAGGCAAAGCATCACTGGCTACATGGATGGTTTGAGTCTTTAACTCAAAAGAAATAGGTTGTAGTTTTCAGCTAACAAGATCCAGCTGCAAGGTAGACGTCAGCTAGAGAAATGAGGACCGAGACATGGGGGGACTACAGATGAGGGAAGTTCATTCCACCACAAAGGAGAGCTTTCCTTAGAAGGATTCCAAAAACAATCCCTTCATGCCTGCCACTGGAGGCTGAGTTCATCATCAGTGAGTAGTTCTTTATGTAATGCTATGTAGCACTTTGCCAAATACCACTAACAGCAAAGAGGCAATGAGACTCCTGAACCTGCTACAGCTGTGACAGATGTTTAAGTCTCAATATCAAAAACATTTCAAATTTTCCAAGGGGATAGACCAGTTATGTCTAAATGACTGGACTTCAGCAGGGGAAAAGTGATTAAGAAGGCAAGGAAGTGAACAGAAACCCAATTATTTACTGTTTCAAATGGCAAGAGGTGAGGGGAGTCACTGACAATGTGGAGATACAGCTGGGGAAATGTTAACTAGCACAACACGGCGTTTAATCACAGATTTCTGCTTAAAGTTGCTTGGGTTGGTGGGGCTTCCTTAGGCAAGGGTTTTAATTAGTTTCAAGTTTACACTTCTACAGCCTTTCTTAATAGTAAGTTCTGTCAAATGTGCATGGTGAATGATGATTGTTGTTTGCAACCATCTATTAATGGTGTCTTCCAAACACTCCAGAGAGAAAAGCACTTTTTGCAAAGGGAGGTTTGCAGAAGTTTATCACTGGTAGTCTTTGGGGAAGAACTACTGGGATATCTTCTACTGGATCTGTTACCAGGTCATCTTACTTCAACATTCTAGACCAGCACTGTCAATATAAATAACATGCAAACTACAAATGCAAGATGCAAGTGGAATTTTTAATTTTCTAGTAGCCACATTTCTTAACGTACAAATGAGTGAAACAAATTTTAAGAGTATATATTGTTGAACCTATATATCCATAGTAGTATCATTTCAACATGTTACCCATATAAAAAGTATGAATGACATATTTTCTATTCTTTGGGTATAGGTGTGAGTGTGGGTGTGTACTTGTCTTCAAAATTCAATGTGTATTTTAAACTTACAGCACAGGTCAATTGGACCAGCCACATTTCAAGGCTCATTGGCCACATGTGGCTACCATATTGGGCAAGATGGGTCTAAACAGTGATGATTTCTCTTACCAGATTGAAGATTTCACATTTTATTGAAAGGTGAAAGTCATTGTCACATTGACAATGACTCTCAAAATCCCCACTGCTAGGAAATATGACCTAAGAGTACCTGAATCTGACACTGTCATCACAAACTCAGAGGCCAAAGTTGAATTAAACATTCTCTCTCTTTTGAAACTTCCCCATTTCCGATTATCATCCTTATTTTTGGATTCCATTTGCAATAATTTAGTCCCTTTTATTATTCCTTTGAAGTGTCTCTCATATCCATCCTTCCCCTACACTGCCAAAACCTTGACCAGGCCCTTTTCCTCACATATGGACCATTGAAATAGCATCATAATCCCCCATTTCACAAAATCAGGCTTGCTTCCTCTTGGAGATATAGTACAATGGACTGGGTGTATGAGACTCCCCAACCTGGTTCATTCATTCAGTCAGTCAGTCAGTCAGTAAATATTTATTGAGTGTCCACTGTGTGCCAAGTACTGCACTTGGACCTGAGAATAATTTGCACTTTATAAAACAGGCATGATAAATCTTACAAGACAGTTGTCTTATCTCAGTGATAAGTAATTTAAAATTCTGTTTTAAGACATGCAAAAACATATCATGGACTAGAATATAAAATCTGCATGAAGTTTTTAGATAAAACAAGAGATTTTATATAAATGTCTAGACTTGACATGCATAGCCTAGGGCTATGCTCTCAGTCTCCCCAGAGGATACACATTCCCAGTTCCTCTGCTGTGAGAAGCAACTTTCCTGGAAAAGTTTGAGGAGACCAATAATTGTTCCTCCTCTTCCATTTTCTCTCTCCTCAACCCAAACAACACAGAACTGTTAAGATGACCTTGTTACAGCCCAGTTTCATAGTCACTTTGGGTTTAACTGAAGAGCTCTTGATCTCTGGGAACTTCTAAGAACATGAAACTAATACTCCAGAAACTATTACTTTCATAATTAAATTCTATACTGGGTAGTGCCAACTAATCTACGGTGTCACATACAATAGCTTCTCTAAAAATACTGGTGCATACTAGTGGTGTACATAAAGAATTCCAGAGGGGATCAGAGAAAGAGAATGAGTTTATGGAATGAGGAAATCTGAAAATGTTCTAACAAGTGAGTAGAGCTTCAATAAGATATGAAAAAAGGGTGGGAATTTAACCCCAGGGAAGAGTAGGGAGAGTGGTTGGGACTGGAAGGAATCAAAAGTGACTGACTCCAGCCAGGTCACCGTTATTACCCTCATTATCTCCCAGACATTGCTCAGTCATTCACATGCCTTGGAATTCCTTCCCAACCCAACAGCTAGCTCAAGGCAAAAGTCAGATCCCACCTCCTCAAATCCTCCATGATATTTGCCGTTAATTTCAGTAAGAATTAACTTTCTCCCAATCTTAATATTCTGAAGTATAAGTAATAAACATGCAACAATCTTTTGCAAGATTGGAGAGTAACTACTTCCTCCAGTGCGATTGCGCTAGGACCAATGGGTTTATATGCCCATTGCGCAGTAACAGACCAATTCCACTGAGACAGAAGTGGCAGAGAAAGAGAAATGATTGCAGGACACCAAGTGAGGAGATGGGAGAAGATCCTCAAATTTATCTCCCCAAGGAGTTCTGGGCTGGGTTTTTTAGGAGATCATGGAGGGTAAGGGGCTGGAAAATTGGGGGTGTTGATTGGTTGGAGTAAGGGGGATAAAATCAGCTTCTGACAGGCAAACTTCTTTGGACCTTGTGATGCAGCAACTGCCCAAGGTGATGCATCGGCTTAAGAAATGTTGGTTTCTCCCAACGAGAACAAAGACACAACATACCAGAATCTCTGGGACACATTTAAAGCAGTGTGTAGAGGGAAATTTATAGCACTAAATGCCCACAAGAGAAAGCAGGAAAGATCTAAAATTGACACCATAACATCACAATTAAAAGAACTAGAGAAGCAAGAGCAAACACATTCAAAAGCTAGCAGAAGGCAAGAAATAACTAAGATCAGAGCGGAACTGAAGGAGATAGAGACATAAAAAAATCTTCAAATAATCAATGAATCCAGGAGCTAATTTTCTGAAAAGATTGACAAAACTGATAGACCACTAGCAAGACTAATAAAAAAGAAAAGAGAGAAGAATCAAATAGACTAATTAAAAAATGATAAAGGGGATATCACCACCAATCCCACAGAAATACAAACTACCATCAGAGAATACTATAAACACCTCTACACAAATAAACTAGAAAATCTAGAAGAAATGGATAAATTCCTCGACACATACACCCTCCCAAGACTAAACCAGGAAGAAGTTGAATCTCTGAATAGACCAATAACAGGCTCTGAAATTAAGGCAATAATTAATAGCTTACCAACCAAAAAAAGTCCAGGACCAGACGGACTCACAGCCGAATTCTACCAGAGGTACAAGGAGGAGCTGGTACCATTCCTTCTGAAACTATTCCAAACAATAGAAAAAGAGGGAATCCTCCCTAACTCATTTTATGAGGCCAACATCATCCTGATACCAAAGCCTGGAAGAGACACAACCAAAAAAGAGAATTTTAGACCAATATCCCTGATGAACATTGATGCGAAAATCCTCAATAAAATACTGGCAAACCGAATCCAGCAGCACATCAAAAAGCTTATCCACCACGATCAAGTGGGCTTCATCCCTGGGATGCAAGGCTGGTTCAATAGATGCAAATCAATAAATGTAATCCAGCATATAAACAGAACCAATGACAAAAACCACATGATTATCTCAATAGATGCAGAAAAGGCCTTCAACAAAATTCAACAGCCCTTCATGCTAAAAACTCTCAATAAATTAGGTATTGATGGGACATATCTCAAAATAATAAGAGCTATTTATGACAAACCCACAGCCAATAGCATACTGAATGGGCAAAAACTGGAAGCATTCCCTTTGAAAACTGGCACAAGACAGGGATGCCCTCTCTCACCACTCCTATTCAACATAGTGTTGGAAGTTCTGGCCAGGGCAATCAGGCAGGAGAAAGAAATAAAGGGTATTCAATTAGGAAAAGAGGAAGTCAAATTGTCCCTGTTTGCAGATGACATGATTGTATATCTAGAAAACCCCATGGTCTCAGCCCAAAATCTCCTTAAGCTGATAAGCAACTTCAGCAAAGTCTCAGGATGCAAAATCAATGTGCAAAAATCACAAGCATTCTTATACACCAATAACAGACAAACAGAGAGCCAAATCATGAGTGAATTCCCATTCACAATTGCTTCAAAGAGAATAAAATACCTAGGAATCCAACTTACAAGGGAAGTGAAGGACCTCTTCAAGGAGAACTACAAACCACTGCTCAAGGAAATAAAAGAGGATACAAACAAATGGAAGAACATTCCATGCTCATGGATAGGAAGAATCAATATCACGAAAATGGCCATACTGCCCAAGGTAATTTATAGATTCAATGCCATTCCCATCAAGCTACCAATGACTTTCTTCACAGAATTGGAAAAAACTACTCTAAAGTTCATATGGAACCAAAAAAGAGCCCACATTGCCAAGTCAATCCTAAGCCAAAAGAACAAAGCTGGAGGCATCACGCTACCTGACTTCAAACTATACTACAAGGCTACAGTAACCAAAACAGCATGGTACTGGTACCAAAACAGAGATATAGATCAATGGAACAGAACACAGCCCTCAGAAATAATACCACACATCTACAACCATCTGATCTTTGACAAACCTGACAAAAACAAGAAATGGGAAAAGGATTCCCTATTTAACAAATGGTGCTGGGAAAACTAGCTAGCCATATGTAGAAAACTGAAACCGGATCCCTTCCTTACACCTTATACAAAAATTAATTCACGATGGATTAAAGACTTAAATGTTAGACCTAAAACCATAAAAACCCTAGAAGAAAACCTAGGCAATACCATTCAGGACATAGGCATGGGCAAGGACTTCATGACTAAAACACCAAAAGCAATGGCAACAAAAGCCAAAATTGACAAATGGGATCTAATTAAACTAAAGAGCTTCTGCACAGCAAAAGAAACTACCATCAGAGTGAATAGGCAACCTACAGAATGGGAGAAAATTTTTGCAATCTACTCATCTGACAAAGGGCTAATATCCAGAATCTACAATGAACTCAAACAAATTTACAAGAAAAAAACAAACAACCCCATCAAAAAGTGCATGAAGGATATGAAAAGACACTTCTCAAAAGAAGACATTTATGCAGCCAAAAGACACATGAAAAAATGCTCACCATCACTGGCCATCAGAGAAATGCAAATCAAAACCACAATGAGATATCATCTCACACCAGTTAGAATGGCAATCATTAAAAAGTCAGGAGACAACAGGTGCTGGAGAGGATGTGGAGAAATAGGAACACTTTTACACTGTTGGTGGGACTGTAAACTAGTTCAACCATTGTGGAAGACAGTGTGGCGATTCCTCAGGGATCTAGAACTGGAAATACCATTTGACCCAGCCATCCCATTACTGGGTATATACCCAAAGGAATATAAATCATGCTGCTATAAAGACACATGCACACGTATGTTTATTGTGGCACTACTCACAATAGCAAAGACTTGGAACCAACCAACCCAAATGTCCATAAATGATAGACTGGATTAAGAAAATGTGGCACATATACACCATGGAATACTATGCAGCCATAAAAAAGGATGAGTTCATGTCCTTTGTAGGGACATGGAGGAAGCTGGAAACCATCACTCTCAGCAAACTATCACAAGGACAAAAAACCAAACACTGCATGTTCTCACTCATAGATGGGAATTGAACAATGAGAACACTTGGACACAGGAAGGGAAACATCATACCCCAGAGCCTGTTGTGGGGTGCGGGGAGTGGGGAGGGATAACATTAGGAGATATACCTAATGTAAATGACGAGTTAATGGGTGCAGCACACCAACATAGCACATGTATACATATGTAACAAACCTGCATGTTGTGCACATGTACCCTAGAATTTAAAGTATAATAAAAAATACATATATATATTTAAAAAAAAAAAAAAGAAATGTTGGTTTCTCCCTTCTACAAGCTACTGTAGCACTCAGACCTATAACTAACATTTGCAAGTCAGAAACAAGAGCAGAGTCTGCATATCATCTCTAAATATTTAAGTTATAGGTCATGCTAATAAATGATGAATTAAAATCTCTATCCCTTACCTTGAAAAACATGCATTAATGTGGACCTGGAGGCCAGATTTGAACCCCTGGACTCCTTGGAATTATTTGTGGAAACTTGCCCTTGCAGGACAATGCAGCCCATAGCTCTCATCCTGGCCCACTTTCTTTTCCACCCCTCCCTGACTCTGCCCCCAACCTAGAGGGGTCTTATACATGTGACACCCCAATCTCTACATCCAGGTTATTTTCACCCTTTGGCTACCCCTAAGGCAAAAAGAGCAGGATGGTCCACCCTTGGAGAGACTAATCCAATGGAAGAGGCTCACACAGGCCCTAGAAGAGGCTCCAGGGAATTTCAGCATCCCCTGTCTAACAGCATAATGAGGGTAGAGGGTTCTTGGTCCTGCAGATTTTTCACCATATGGTGGTGGGCTGGTCATGGAAGAGCCTTCGTGGGACCCCTGTATCACAGGACCAAGGACAGGAACCCCTCTTGCCTTCATATAAAGGTAGGCCTGGCAGCACTAATACACGCCCGTTATACAATTTTTTGTTAATTATTATACAGTCTTGTTTTGTTTACTAATTTACATCGTGTTTCTATATTCAAAGTGATTTCCCCCAGGGCAGGCCTGGCTCTTCTTTTGTATTCCTCCTAGCACCTCTGGTGTGGTGAATTGAGAGGCTGATGCATTGATTGGCATGCCCATTTTTCTCTCGAGCAGTCTGCCATAGGGCCTGGAATTATAGCAATTTCCCAGTTGGTTTTGTAAAAATAATCCTTCCCTCACTCTTCCTGACTCATTCATCCATTCTCATTCTGTCTTTTCTATTTCCTTATCTAATTTCTACCCACGGCTTCCTTCCTTCCAATTATCCCCATCCCAGGTGGAGATGGTTTAAGAAGTATTTCTTTTGTATGTGCTAATCTATCAGCTAATAGGGTAATAACTGAGTAATAATTACATCAACAACAATAATATTTGGGTGCATTTTTTAACTTTCCTAAGTATTTTCACACCAGTTATTTCTATATATCCTCACAACAGGCCTGGGAAGTAGGCAATGGATCTGCTAACCCTGCCTGGAAATAGGAAAGGATAAAAGACTTATTTAAGCTCATGAGATTGGTGAATAGAAGAGCTTGAATGAAGGCTCTGATCTTCTGTCCTCTGTAGTTAGGTGATTTCCCCCTAAACCAAGTGATGGCTCTAGACATCAGGTTCCTAAGCCAGTTAATAATGCTCTTATATAATGGGCAATTCAATATGTTTCCAAAGTTCTGATCTAGGAAGACTATAAAATCTAACTATAACTGACCCAATGGGACAGTGATTGTGGGAATAAAAAATCCAGATAAATAGCTATTTTTGAGCATACCAATGGCGATAGATGCTCAAGTGAAGAGATGATGGTTGTGTGTGTATGCCTGCATGTGTGTGTGCATGTGTGTTGTCATGCATGTGCTTTGTGTGAGTTCTGCCTCTTGAAGAGCCAACCTTTTTCCAGGACGGAGTGACTGAGCACTGCATTTCTCTTCCTCAGCACATTTCAAAGGGACGTTTAGCATTCACCCCTTTGAAATGTGCATTATACTCTTTTAAATATTTACACCAACTTAATTAGAAAGTTCTAGTTGCATTTAGATTTCTAATTTCAGTAACAATTAACCTTATCTCAATCTTACTATCTCGAAGTATAAGTAATAGATATATAATAACCTTTTGCAAGATTGGAGGGTAACTGCTTCTAGTGCTATGATCTGTGGACAGAACAACTTAATTATTTCAAAATTAGTTTCTGCCAAACTTCTCTGTACCTTGTGATGCAGCAACCTGCCCAGAGTGACACAGCTGCTGAGGCAGTATGGTGGTTTCTCCACCTGCAGTCTTTCTTTCTTCCCCAGATAACTCCAAAGACCAACATGGGATCAATACTCCAGAACATTGTTACGACTGGTTTAACCCCCTGCAGAGCAATCTCTCAGAGGATGAATGGAAATGACTCATTCCAGAGTGAGACCAAAAAAAAAAAAAAAAAAAAAGGCATTAGGTTTAGATGCACAGTTTGGACTTTTCCTGAGATGTAAATGAATCCAGTTTGAACACAGAGGGTGAAGTGGGGGAACCTTCAAGAGAAAGAATAAATATGGAACAAGTGAAATCAAGGAGGCAGAAAATCACAAGGTATTTTTGGCAACAAATTGTCCATGGTGCCTGGAGATAGCACTGGGTACCACTGGTGTAGGGTTACATTAGGAGGGAAATCAAGAAAGACAGACTGGGCATGGTGGGGCTACCAGTGGACAGCAGGGAGGACACCACAGGCAGCAGCACTGGCCCAAGTGCCAAATTTAACACTTTAACCAGTAGAAAGTAACTGGGTTTGGGGAATAGAAATCTGGCACGAATGGGGAAGATGGGTTGGAAGGGAGAAAGACTACACACAGAGAGACATGCTCAGGAAACTTATTATAGTAGCTCATTCAAAATGATAGCAACCCTACAGCAGCGGCCATGTGTTGGACAGGAAGGGAAGTATATGAAAGAGAGAGTGAAAAGCTGTCACATGGAAGAGGCATGGGACTTACTTTGGGTTGCTCCAGAGAGCAAAATTAGGACAAATGAATGGAAGGGATGTGAAGGTATATCATGTGGCTTCTATATAAAGGCAACTTCAGGAATAATTACTCCTGGAAATTAATGGTATAGGCTGCCTGGTGAGGTGGTGAGCTCCCCAGCACTGGTAGGACCTCAAGCACAGACAGGATTTTGATGTTTCGATGTGTTTGCCAGAGTGTATGTTTACTTTACCTGAACTTGAGAATATTTTGTCATATTTTTCCCTTAAAATACTGAGACTCTTCAGGATTTGTGACTAGATGGAGAGTGAGTAGGAAAAGGGGGTCTAAAGCAACGAAAGCTCTCTTCACCCAGAACCTACAAAAGATGGATCATGGTGCTCAGCATTTTGCATACAGAATGATTATCAGAAAAGGAATAAATAAACCTGGAATATCCATCGTTTGAAAACCACTTAGAATTACTATTTGCTCTTCTGATGCAAAGAAAATTCTTGGTTTCCCTGAATACACTCCTACAAGGGCACAGTTTCGTGTTTGTTCTACCCCCATGATGTTGGAAATGGCACAAATGATGTGACTGGAGTAGGTTCAGGTGGAACATGGGAGAGCAAACAAAGATGCCATTGGATATATTGGCTAGAAGAAGAGTATCTTAATACAAAGAAAAAAATAATAAAATAGAGACAAGGTAGAGACTAATAGAAATTAAACTCTTATTATTTTAAATAATTTTAAGTTTTTATCTAGCTCCTACCATGAGGCAGGTACTGTGCTAGGCTCTTTAAATGAATCATCTCATTTGATCCTCACAACCTCCTGTGAGGAGGGCTATAATCTCTTCTCTACAGATACATAAGTTGAGATTCAGAGAGTTTAGAAATCACTCAAGGTCATGCAACTTAAAAAAAAAAAACATGCAAAACTCCAAGTTCAAAAGAGACAAGAGCCCAAATAGAATCTGAATGGGGGCACTGAACTAGGCTCATAATTCAGCTAAGTATTGTAGTCAAAATCGTCACACTTCACAGCTCTTTCAGGTAAGCTCTGTGCCACTGTTCTAGACCTCCATGATGGTAGTAGAGACCTACCTCGGTGATCTGGGGAACACCCCCTCACTCTTGATTTGAAACACCGTCCTGCTGCAGTAATAGCAGTTACGCCAGTAGAGAAGTGGTTAATTCAATCTCAGGAGTCCTAGGTTAAAATGCAGATTCTCCAGAAGAGGTAATGCAATAGATATGAATGAGCTTTCCAACTTGAGCTCACTGATTTAAGTTTGATTATGGGAAGAAAATGAGATGAACACAGAGCTTGGACTGACTAAAATTGGGAAATTGGAGGAGAAAGGAAAGAGGAAAAGATCATTAATGGGTTATGTTCCTGGGGGCCTTCCCTTATACCTCTTATCTGGGGATGGGTACAGCTCCATACTCCCAAGGATGCCCCTAAATTCTCAGTAGATTTGAAGTACAAGACAGGAGGGCTGGTCTGTGTTGTTCATCACTGTTACCCCAGCATCTCAGGCCTGATCCACAGTAAACACCAAAAAAATTCAATAAATGGACACAGGAATTAATGAATGCAGACACTGACCTGTTACCTGCAGGCTTCTGCCTCAGGATAGCCTGCTAAGCATCATTTACCAGGATGTTTGTGTATTGTGTTGTTCCCACATCAATTATCAGATACTTGTGGATTTTACCAACAACCTCTCCTCTCAGCTTCTTCTGGAAGAGTCTACCTTACAGGAATGAAAATTCACAGTAGGTCCATCTAACTTCTTACTGGAGGTGTCCTACCCACTGGAGAAGGTGGTTATAGTACAAACAGTGCAGTCCTTAGTTTTAAAAGACCTGAGTTCAAATCACCACTGTCCAAAGTATTCTCTCTCTGAACCTCTGTTCTCATCAGTAAAATTAAAATAATAGGCCGGGTGCGGTGGCTCACGCCTGTAATCCCAGCACTTTGGGAGGCCAAGGTGGGTGGGTCACCTGAGGTCAGGAATTCGAGACCAGCCTGACCAACATGGAGAAACCCCATCTCTACTAAAAATACAAAATTAGCCAGGCATGGTGGCACATGCCTGTAATCCAAGCTACTCAGGAGGCTGAAGCAGGAGATTCGCTTGAACCCAGAAGGCAGAAGTTACGGTGAGCCAAGATCGAGCCATTGCACTCCAGCCTGGGCAACAAGAGCGAAACTCTGTCTCAAATGATAATAATAATAATAGATGTGTGGTGAAAATTACATGAAATTACCTGTGTAAAGCGGAAGCTAGTAGGCACCTGGTAAATTTTAGCTCACTTCCCCCTTCCTACTGAATAAAAAAGTCAATTAACAAAAGAGATATCCTACCAAAACTTAGAGTTCTCAGGCCTTACCGAAGATGCGAAGGCCTCAGAAGTTAGAACACAATCCCATCACTTCAGAAATGAGGAAGAGATGTAGAGACAAGCAGCACCTTGGCTAACGTTGCCCCAGTGATTGTCAGGTCCAGAAAACCAGCACCAGGCTCCTGACTCCTGGTCTCGGGCTCCATGTTACCAAACTAGCATTTCCCAGTTCATCTTTTTATGCTGCGTTTGAAATTACCATTTAGGGAAGCTGTACTCCAAGCTTTCACAGATGGCCCCTTCCATGTTTCCAAGCATGCATGTCCTGT
The DNA here is from genome assembly GCF_000001405.40 of Homo sapiens. Lineage (NCBI taxonomy): Eukaryota > Metazoa > Chordata > Mammalia > Primates > Hominidae > Homo > Homo sapiens. Next base: position 75,076,534 of record NC_000002.12, on the reverse strand, counting down.
TAGTGTCAGCCCGCCAGTGGAATCAGTCTATACTGACTTCCTCTCTCACCTCCTAATTGACTCTGAGAGACAAACCAAACATGTAGCTCCAAGAAGCTGGGTCTATGAGTTTTCACTCTGTTGGCCCTTGAGCTGACAAAAAGGTTTATAAGCTTCTGTGTGTGCAAAGCTGCCTGCAATCAGTAAGGGGGATTTGAGAGTGGCGTTTTCAGGAAAGACAACAGGTGATGGATTCTCCTGGGACATGCTGAGTAAACAGCGCCAGCTGCCACTGGTCTCAGAAGCATCCATCATGTGACAAGGCTTTTTCCAGGCACTGACTGGCATGGGAGTATGGTTATTTCATGGAGTCCTCACCCATCTGGTCCAATTCCCTCTTTTCAGGTGCAAGAAACTAAGGTCTAACAGAAGGAAGAGACTTGCTTAAAGTCCAGTAGAAAATAAGAAAGGACAGAATAAGCAGCAAAGGCAGATCAAAGCACAAACCTGCCATTCATATGCTGTGTTTAAATCTCCCACTATGGTTGTGAATTTGTCCAATTCTTCTATTAATTCTGTTGGGATTTGCTTTATACACACTGAAGACATGTTATGTAGATTCAAACAAGTTATAGCTTTATGGTGATTTTGTAAAAACTATGAATTCCTAATGTTGGACATTAAGATTATATATTCCTATTTTTGCTTTAACGTCATTTGTCTGATGTTAACATATTTACTTCTAGCTTAAAATATCTTCTTCTGTCCTTTTACTTTTAATCTGAGTCTTTACATTTCACATATGTCTCTAACAAACAGCAATTAGCTGAATTTGTTCTTGTTGTTATTGTTGCTGTTTAAACACATTCTTATCATCCCTGTCCTTTAACTGATGAATTTAGTTTTTACATTTATTGTGAACATTGACATATTTTGATTTATTCTGCCTTATTTTCCTAAAATAGTTATCATATATTTTTATTTTTACAAATGAATGTATATAGCATATATGTAAGTATGGGACATAATAATAATTTGAAACAAGTAATCCTAACACCCATCTTGTGAACTAAAGCATTATTAGGTCATAGAATCCCTCTCTTCATATGATTCCTGAGGCCCAAGTACAAGAGCTTCTCTCCGACATATGTTTTAAAGTGAAATTCATTTGGGTTTGCACATGTTCAACTTTGTAAGATAATTGTTTTCCAAAGTAGGTGCACGAATTTACACACCCACCAGCAGTAAATAAGAGTTCCTGTTGTAGCATGTCCATACCAACACCTGGTATTGTCAGACTTTTTATTTCTTCCCTAGCTAGTAAATGTAAAATGCTATCCTATTGTGGTCTTAATCTGTATATCCCTGAGGAAAGAGACAGTTAAGCAGGAGGGAATAATCAGCTGTGTAGAATGCCGCTTCTCAGCTTTAATGGTTTAATGGGTCACTCTTCTTAAAGCTGCCTGCATTTTAACATGGGACAATTCCTGGACTCAAAAGAATAGATCTTAAATAGTGGATGATAAGCCCTGTCACATGCCAGTGAGGGAAAATGACAGCAGGTTCTCAGTGCTTCCACATCTAAAGTGACCAACCATCCTGGTTTTCCTGGAACTGAGGGGTTTCCCTAGATGTGGGGCTTTTAGTTTTGAAACTGGGAAAACCCCAGGTAAATCAAGACCAGCTGGTTACCAACCCACGCTACACACATAGATGTTCCCTGACCCTGTTAGTACTAAAATGCTTTATTCCATGCACAGAGCCTAATCCTCATGCACACACACAACCCAAACACAACTGCCTTCTCCATGGCAGAAGGCAGCCTATAGACTATGATCTGAAGCCACCTTCTTGCCTGGAAGAAAAAAAAAATCCCTGCCTTCAGGGGCCATTCCTTAATGGCTAAGGTGAGTGAAAGAGTTTTCTCACTTTAAAAGAAAAATCTGGGTCATATTACTTTTTATTATAGTGTATTCCTCACTAGCTGCTCTTCTTAAAGTTTCTATTTCCCCAGTCTGGGGAAATGTGACATCTTAACAAGACATTTCAAAGCTGACACAACAAGCTCTAGGGCCAATCTTCCTGGGAGAATGAGCCACATGCTGTAGGGCCATGTTATACGGACATGAAATCTGAGCTCTGCATTCCCTACAAGACCCAGGGGCTCCAGATAGATGCCTATGTCTAAAAGCAGGTTTAACAGAGCTCTTGCTAGAGGCTGAAGTTTCAGGGAATTAAAGTGACAGGAATCCCTGTTGTCAATTTCTCTCCTTTGCAACAAGTCACAACTACACAGCCAACACTTGCCACTTGCCTCAGTTTCTCACCCTGCTAATGAGCTTGATGCTCCTGGTGAGTAGAGCTGGCATCCAGGAGCACAGGTTACAGCTTGCCCCGCTTGTGAAAATATTTTGATTTTTCATTTCCATTTCGTAAATAGTATTACATAACAAGTATTTTTTAAAAATAAGTAGAAACATAAATTCTGGTATGTATGCTTTATCTCAGGCATAACCATACTATATAATATCAAGATACATTTTTGATTTGGGCAATGCACAGAATGAGAGGGGTAGGTACCACCACAGTTCTATTTCAGGGGTTGAGGAGTTGCCTTCAGGTTCACAGCCCTTGAGTAGGAAAGGGCCTCACAGCTGTGCTGAGGAGAACATATTCTGTAAATGTCTAAAAGTAATGCCTCACCCTATCCAGCAGAAACAGCCCTTCTGGTGAGAAGTGGCATTCCTATGTGAGGCTATAGGAAGGAGAATCTGCCCAGGGCCTCATCACAGGCCAGAAGAGTGAGTGAGTTTCCCGGCAAATGGCAGGAGGATTTTCTTCTCTGTGCCTGGTCTCCAGACAGAGGAGCCTCCTGTCAGCTCCCACCTCCCCCCAGACCCACTGCCCCCTCCTGCCAGACCAGCCTCAGTGGGTGCCCACCCGACACCTGACACCAGCCAAGGAAATCCTGACCTTCACCTTCTCTTCCTTTATTCCCTCTTGTTTTCTTTCCCTCTTTGGCCTTGGTGCCACTTAGTTACAGGGCTCAAACCAGTTGCTGCCTTTCCTTACCTTACCAGCCAATTCCAACCTCATGTATGGTCCCCTTGCCACACACACTTACTCCCTTGAAGGGGGATGTCAGTCCAAAGAAGTTGGCTCTAAGCCCTGGTCACCAGGTAGTCACCACCTACTACTCCATTCTTCTCCTCTTAGAAATAAAGTGACTGTGTGAGAATTCCACTGAGAGTGTCCACACACAAAAGATGTGGGAGCTGTCTTTAAAATGGAGCTTCTCTGTAAAAATTAGACTGCTGGGTTTAGGAACACCTAAAGCTCCAATCAGGGTGATTGTGAGTAGGTGGAAATGAAGTCAGCTGTGCTGTAGCTCTTCTGGAAGGTGACTATAGATTCTCAGGGGTTTCCAAACACCGGGTCCCTATTCCTGTGAGTAGTGAGGTTTTCCTCTTATATAGAGAGGTTTCTATATTTAAAAATCTGACTTTTTTGCTGAGATTATTTGTTTTCTGGTGTTGAGATAGTATTTAATGAATGTGGTGATGATGACAATAGTTGTTTAGTCTAGTTTAGTTTAGTTTAGCTCAGCTTAGTTTTTTAATGTTTTTATCTGGCAGAATAAGAGACTGAAAAAAATCTACATCAATCCTCAAATTTTGTTTAAACATTTTCCATAAAACGCAGAAAACTTGGAACCATAGACCTTGAAGATTTGAGGAAAAAAGTCCTGAAGTTGGTCTCATCCTCCTAAGTCACCTCCAGGACACCAGATGTGTGCCAGGCGCTGTGCAAGGCAGCAGAGCTGGGTGCCCTCAGGGCAAGCATATCCATCCTCCTGACACTCAGATCCTCACTGTGGAGTGGAGTGCACATGCCCTTCAGGCTATCAGAGTCTGATGCCAGGAAGCCCTGGAATCAACCAAAGAACCCTCCAGGTGCCATATCTGATTGTGATCTGCGACCCTACTAATCTGGCCAATGCCAATGCCCAGTTTGGGTTAGGCTTAGGGTTAGGGTTAGGGTTAGAGTTGGGCTTTTCATGCTCTCATGGACGATCCCCAACCTCAACTTTTCTGCCCTATATTTTCCTTATATTTTCTTCCCTCTCACATCTGGGTCTCCAAGGAATGCCAGCAAAAGACGGGAAACCAGGCTAGTTGTGGCCATATTGATTATGATACTTGGCGATCTTTCAGCACTTCTCTTACTGATGCCATCAGCTGCCTTCTTGTGGCTGGTCTCAGATCGCTAATCCCGTCCTGCATCCTTGACCTGGCAGACGACTCACATCAGACTCACTGAGAAGACAGAAACTGGATCCTTTCTTTCTTTCCTTCCCTTCTCTCCCTCTGTGCCCTGGATCCCTGTTCCTGCTCCTCCTGAGCTGACCCTAACTAACTCCTACTTCACGGTGCCATTGACTCCTTGTCTTTCACCCACAAATCCACTCTGTGCTCCCCCTAGACTAAACACTGGCCTCCTGGCTGCCACTCCTCCAGTCCCTCCTTAGCACAAACAAACATCTATGCTACGCTTGCTGCAGTTATTTTTTTCATGACGTACGTACTCCTTCAGTTCCTGCTATCTGGCTTTTGTCTCCATCCCGACACTGAAATTGCTCATGAGTGACCTGATAATTGTCAAACCCAGTGGTTTGTTCTCAGTTCTCTCTTCCAGTTTGGCAAGGGCATGAGAGATAGCAAAGAGAGGGAGAGCAGGAGGGAGCATTGATGGAGCAGGCACTCTATGCCAAGCATTAATCTGGGCACTAAGTAGTAAGAATTAAGGTTGGGAATTACATTATGGAGAGTTTTAACTGTCGTGCTAAGGAGTTTGTGCTTAATTTCATAGGCAATTGGAAGCCTGGACAGGAAGGTCATTTGTATCAATGATCAGAGCAGGGTTTTAGAAAACTTAATCTGTGGTTGATAACATAGGGAGTGGAGAAGAAAGATATGTGAGGTCTCTGGTTTATAGGAGCCTGCAGAGCACTTGGAAGTAAAGCTAATGTGCACGAAATGAAGAACTGCACAAGGCATCAGTTAATGAAAATGTAAGTCGATGTTGAATACTCTGGGATATGAGAGCGGGAAGGGATTAGGAAGACCATACTGGTTCAGAGAATCTCCCAGCAGCACAAGATGGACCTTGAAGAAGGATAAGATTTGGATTGGTGCCAGAGAAGGGAGGGCATCCCAATAGCCTAAATAAGGCCAGTGAAGGCACAGCATTGGCAAGAGTTGGGCCCAGCCTAGGCTGCTTTCCTCTATAATGATTGTAATTCAGCCCCTTCCCTTTACAGTTTTAAGAGGATGACTTTAGATTTTTCCCTTACAGCAGGGATCAACACATTTTTCTAAGAGGCCAAGTAGTAGATATTTGATGCTTGGCAGGTCCTACAGTCTCTTCCACAGCTACTCCACTCAGCCACCAGAGCACGAAAACAGCCACAGACAATACTTAGTGTGAACGGGCATGACTGTGTTCCAAGGACATTTTATTTACAGATATTGACACTTGAATTTTGTAATTTTTACATGCCATAAAACAATATTCTTCTTTGTTTTTTTTTCCCTGGTCATTTAAAAATATAAAAACCATTCTTAATTTGCAAGCCATATAAAAACAGATGGCGACTTGCTTTGAACTGGGGCCATAGTTTGCGGCCCCTGCCATAGAGGACTAGGACATGGAGCCCATGGAATTGGAGGGTCTGGGTCCATGTCTGACCTCTGCCACTCACCAGATGCATGGCTATGCATAGCCTGCTTACCTGTCTGTATCTCAGCTTCCTTACCTGCAAAGTAGAGCTAAGGATATAGCAGTACATGTCTTCTCTGGTTGTTATGAGAATTAAATGAGTAAAAATTCTTGAACCCATGAAATTTACCCAGAGACACACAGGAGAAACAATGCAGAAAATAAAAGCGTGGCTAGAAGAAACTTGAGGCTTGTTGCCATGAGGCTTAGGGTCTGGTTCGAGGTCTGCTGTGTGACCTTTGGAGGCCATTTCCTTAGTTTCTTCTTATGTAAAATAGGATAATTTTACTCACTCTGAAGGATACATGTGGGAAGAAATGGCATAATCAACATGATTTCATTTAGAAAAGTTAACAAGGCTCTGTACCACCCAGCATCTAGATGGTGGTTTTTATTCTCCAATAAAAGGAACCAGGGCTCCTTAGAGTAATGGCTGATTCTATGACAGAAGCAGTGCACTTACATGAGCCTGAAGTACCTTGTATTTCCAGAAAAGAAGTGCTCAAAACACACACACACACACATACACACACACACACACACATACACACACACACATACATACAATGTTGGGGGTAGGTCAATTGAATGGGCTTCTAATGTCCAAAGTTGAAGCAATTAGAGCAAAATAAATGACATAATATTGAATTATAATGCCAAATATATAATAAATTTCATGAGTCCATACTGATATAAAGGAATGAATGAATAAATAATAAATGAGATAGAATAGACAAACCTCCCACACAGGATAATTCCAAAAATTTCATACAGATATCTGTCTTCAAGGGAGGAGCATGACTCCTCATCCTGTGAATGTGGGCAGCACATGGTGTCTTGCTTCCAAAGATTAGAGTATGGAAAGAAAGAAAAAAGAGTGTCTTCACAGTGGAGAAACCTGACAATGCTGTCTCAGCCTGGAGATCAAGCAACAGTGATAAATAATAATAATAGCATGTACCCTTGATATGATGTGATAAGAATGGCACTTCCTCCCAAAAAGCCATAACCCCATTCTAATCATGAGAAAAACATCAGACAAATTCCAGATAAGGGACTGTCCACAAAATATCTGACCAATACTCCTCAAAACAGTCAATGTTATCAAAAACAAGGAAAGTCTGAGAAACTGTCACAGCCCAAAGGGGTTTAAGGAGACATGGCAAGTAAACTTAATGTGAGATCTTGGAGCAGAAAAACAATTAGAGAAAAACTAAGGATATCTCAGTAAAGTGTGGACTTTCAGTTAATACTATGCCAATATTAGTTCATAAATTGTGACAAATGTACTACACTAATAACATGTTAGTAAAAGGGGGCACTGGCTGTGGAATAGCCACTGTGAAACTCTGTTTTATCTTTGCAACTTTTCTGTAAATCTAAATTATTCTAAAATAAAATTGTCATTTTTTAAAACTCACTATATTAATAAATAAATATATACATATATAGATATAGATATACATATACATATATATGTATATACTGTATTAGTCTGTTCTCACACTGCTAATAAAGACATACCCAAGACTGCGTAATTTATAGATGAAAGATGTTTAATGGACTTACAGTTCCACATGGCTGGGAAGTCCTCACAATCATGGCGGAAGGCAAAGGAGTGGCAAAGTCACATCTTACATGGTGGCAGACAAGAGAGCTGGTGCAGGGGAACCCCCTCTTATAAAACCATCACATCTCGTGAGACTTATTCACTTTCACGAGAACAGCACAGGAAAGACTCACCCCCATGATTCAATTACCTTCCACCAGGTACCCTCCATGACAAGTGGGAATTATGGGAGCTACAATTCAAAATGAGATTTGGGTGGGGACACAGCCAAACAGTATCATGTACATATAATTTTAAAAAGTATGTATGCCATACTGATGGCATTCCTTCCCATACAGTTTTATAATTCTTTCCATCCTGGACAACACTAATCTCTACAATGGAGAATTCTTGGGCCAGTTACTTAAACTGTCTCTCAGGGTCAAGTGGATTGCACAACTCAAGGGGGTGCTATTTACCCAATAGTCTCTGTGAGTGGTGTCCCGAGTTATGCTAAGGGAAGTCTGTAAGCACTCTGCAATGTTTGTACCTAAGTTTTACTATCTGTAACACAGAGATTGCTGTTGGGAGAACTGAATGAGGTTATATATGTAAAGAATTTAAAAGAGAGCCTGGCATATAGGAAACACTGTATCAGTGTCAGCTATTAATATGTTTATGGTGGTAGTAGTGGTAGTTATTATTATTGTTACTAGAATGCTTCCAAATCATGCCCTGGGTTTTCCCAGCTCTTTCCATCCAGCTGTGCCCTTATGATGGTTAATTTTGCGTGTCACCTGGGCAAGGCTACTTGGTAAACCCTAGTCCATATGTTGCTGTGAAGGTATCTGTAAACGCGATTAACATTTACAAAGAGTTGGCTTTAACTAAGGCAGCTTACCCTCCATGATGTGAGGGACCCTCATGCAATCAGTTGAAGGCTTTAAGGGCAAATGCTGAGATTTTCTAGAAAGAAAGGAATTCTGCCTCAAGACCACATCAACTCTTACCTGAGTTCCCAGCCTACCAGCCTGCCTTGCAAATGTTAAACTTGCCAACCCCCACAGTTGTGTAAGCCAAGTTCTTAAAATAAATAAATCTCAATAGATAGATAAATAGCTACTTAGAGACATAGACATAGATATCTCCTATTGGCTCTGTTTCTGCAGAGAACCCTGACTGATACACCCTTCCAGTCCCAGTCTTCATTATATCTTGCCCAGATGAAAGTGCAGCCTCTTACCGGGGCCCAGGCTTGCATGTCTAACCAAATCAAAGCCAGATCATATCCCACCCTGCCTAACCCCTTCAGTGACTTTACTTGGCACTTTGCAGGCCCAGCTCCTGACAGCATGGCCTAAGGACCCTAGAGGCTGTGGCCCCCACCACATCTCATGGCCCTCACCCCTCAACCCCTCCACTCAAGCCACAGAGGCATTCTGTTAGCTTCTCCAATGTGCCCAGCACATTTGGACCTTAGGGCCTCTGTGCCTGCTTTTGTCTCTGCATGGGGCACCCACCACTGCACCCTTCACGTCGCTGCTTTGAACTTCAGGTCTCTGTTAAACATTACCTTAACAGAGTCCTTTGTGTGGACACCCCTGGTACTCTCTACCACTCCCCTTGTTTGGCTCCTCTATTCACTTAGCAACATTTATGATTTTATATTTATTTGCTGATGTATCTGTTTATTATCTGTCTTCCCCACTATACTTCAAGCATCTCAAAAGCAGGGACCATGTCGTTTCTATTCACCATTATATCCTCAGCACCTAGTACAAAATAGAAGGTTCATGAAAAATTGGGTAGCTGAACCCATGGGGCCTAGCAGCAACTATGCAGCCTCCTCTTCCCATGTTCCTCGCCCATAACTGAAGATGCTACCTCAACACACGGCTGGCCCCAAACCTGAACAGGTGACTTTGCTAACAATATATATGAAGCCTTTATAAAGCCTAAATCTGCATGATTCAGCATCTAAGAACTGTGAAGTTGAGGAAGCCTGGCTTAATTAGCAAAAGTGATAAAATAGAAATTCCATTAAAAAGTGCCCCAAACAACTGTCCACCACAATACCTATCAAAAAAAAGTCCCTGTCTTAGCTAACCTCCTGCTCTCATAATCTCCCACTGCTCCCCTCGGACCCTCTCCATTCAAAACCTCCTCTCCCTCATCCAATCTGCATAGACTTTCTGTCTCAATTGCATAGATTAGCTTAGCTTTTCTTCCAGCAATAAAGACCTTTTTTTTGTAAGACGAGGAGGTTGCATAAAAGATAGTCCAGAAATTATTAGATTCTCTTTGGATGCCTTGGGGAGGTAGAAAAATCTGTCATCACTCCCACATTAAATGTTTGTCCTCTCACACACAATTCACAACAGACTTCAAATTGATTAATGTAGTATCCTTGACAATTTCTTGTGAGACACATAAATTGCATTGCCCAATTTGTTAATGGAAACTGTAGACTGGCAGTCTATGTGCCTCATGGCATAATGGTCTATTGTCTATGCTGGGAAACTTTTGGCTAAGAAAAGAAAGTAGGGTGTTTGTCTTTCCCACATATTTCAGTTAACCGAGAGTCTCTCTGGGCTCAGGGTTCAAGACAAGAACAGGCTGTGGAAATACAAGAATGAATCCAAACATGAAATGGAATCGAAGACTTGGCCGCATTCCAGTCACTCGTCTAGATGAATTTCAATCCTGGGCCTGCTTTTTTAAGCTACACAATTTTTCAATAAATTATCTGCCATTATAAAATGCTGCAGATAATTTTTGTGCTTGACGTATTTGTTCATTCTTGAAAAACTGTGGTTTCCCCGCTCTGAGTGACATTTATCCATTCTTCTTCTTAGCTCATCTGAGCAGAAAGAGAAAGAAATGCACAGGGCTGAAATGAGACAAGGACTGATCTGTTTTCTATTCCCATTTCAACCCTGAGTGACTTGAACAAGGCAATTACCTTCCTTACACCTTAATTTTTCCTGTTGAAAGGAGGTTAGCAATATCTCTCTTTTACCCAAAGTCCCAGAGGTAATGAGATGAAGTGGAATCCACTCTCCAGAAACACCTTTACAATGAAACTACTGCAGGTAGAAAATATGAAATTTCTACATCTTCTAAGCCGATAGCTATTTACATTGTATTACACTTGATAATAAATTTCCTCAGAAGAAAAGGTTCCTGGCCAGTTGTTAGTAGTGGCTGTATTAAGATTTGTCTTGTTGAGAGTACATATTTTCAGGGCACAGCAAAGAGAATGGGCACTTAGCATCAGGGCTGTGAGTCTGGATGCTTAGTCCAGACTTAGAGACATGGATGGCTATTAGTCACAGGCTATTGGGACTAAAACTGTTTTGATTATTTTAAGTGCTTTTTCAAACTCCAGAGAGAGATGAGAGGAAGTGTAAAATACCAACCAACACCCACATTTATGGTGTAACTTACGTATATCAAGAAATGTTTACTCATATCCGTTGGCACCAATTGAAGCAGTTTCTAAACAATGTCCCACCAAAAATAAGCTGATTTGGAGTGCGTGACAGAAGGATAAAGTACAAGCTTCACTTCTGCATGTATCCAATCCGTCTCCCACAACCCCCAACCCCAGCCCAGTGTTCATTCCAGCTGCTGCATCGAGAGAAGCTCATCCCAGATCTGTCCCTGCCTACCCACCCAGCAAAAAGCCTTCCACTGCGGCGATGCGATACTCAGCTAACTCAACCTCAAGCAGAGCACAACACAATAGAATTAAGACCCATCTAGAGGGTTTGAGAGTGGGTGGATTATATCAGCAAAACATGTATCAGTACCCACTGATACTCAGAGCAAATGTCACATATAAAATGCAGCCTTGTCCTCAATAGGGTTGCAGTATTCCAAGGGGATTTGCAAAACTCATGCTACAGTGGTTTAAAACAAAACACCCCACATACTGGAAAACTGCACCATGACATGGTAAGGAATGTAGGGGTTGGGAGGTGGGCACTGTGTGGTGTGTAATGAATTCGACCTCATAAAATGCATGCTGCTTTCTTGCTAGGTTACTGAAATGCCTAATGAATACTGGTTGGTCCAGGTGCCGGCTGCAGATTGGCGCCACCTGGTGGCAGTTACCTGCCTCACATTTCCGTATCTGGGGCCGGAGGACTTGGAGAACATCCTCAGAGATTCCAGGAATCTTCAGATGACTGATATCATCTTGCCAGGCTGGAAAGGCTGACCAGGGAGCATAATGCAGATTCAGGAGGTCCCTTTCTGTCTCCCTGCTGCCTGAGGCAGGGTCTCCCTCTCCACCACATCCTCTTCTCCACCCTAAGTAAGAACCTTAACTTACCACTAGGAGCTTTGTGGTCGCCACCAGCCCTGGCCTGCCCACTTGTCTCCACTCTGGGAAAGAGTCACTCTCCTTTATTTCCTCAAAGCCCCACTACCATGGAATTTTTGGATGAGGCATATTTTACTAAAGATTTGAGGAGCTGAATCGGGGAATTACAGCCTAGGACAAAATTGTGTTTTCTTGAATTCGCACTCAGATACCACTGTTCTTTACAATGCATTGAGCAGCCATCCCTGCAGGAAATGTCTTGCTGGCTGTGTCCTTTTGCAAGTCCCTCTTCCAACCATGGGGCTCAGGTGCACTCGCACTCTTTCTCGCCCCTCTTTCTGTCATGCTTAATATGGTATCTTTTTCCCTTTTTCTTGTTACCTGTACTCTTTATATTTTTTCCCCACACAGATCAATTTAGCATTTTCACTCTCCACCTAAATTAGGCTTCTGCCCTATTTTTTCCTATCCCAAAATACAATAAGCTCCCCAGCCAACCCAAAGACCGTCTAACTTGTCCTCTCTCAGCAATTCAAAGCCTGCAGAAGCTTTAGAATTCAAGTTTTGTTTGTTTTTCTTAACGTATCTACCCAGTTGAAATTTCAGGCAGGACTATCAGCCACTTGCCTCCTCAAACACCATTACTGCCCTGCCTCCTCTCCCTAAGCAGACTGAAGGGAGGAGGAGTGTGGGTGAGGGAGCTCAGCTTCTTCTGCATGAGTCTGTGTTTCAATGTCTCTCGTTAGAGCATTCCCAGACTCTTGAGCCATTCCTAGCAATGCACCCTTTTCAGAACCTTTTTTTTTTTTTCCTAACACTGCTGCCCAAGAAAGAATCTGTAAGGGGGCCATGAGGTCCAAGGCAGACCAACAACATTCACCACTACACTTCATCATGCATGTCATGCTGGGAAGGGCCAGTGGATTTACAACCTGATCTCTTCTGAGAAGCTGCCAACCTGGCTCTAAATAACTGAGACCATTCTCTAACCTTCTTCGTAAGAAATGTGCAGGTCTGAAGATATTTTATTTTAAAAACTAAGTAAAATTCAGGACATTCTAATGGTGTAGCCACTATTAAGGGTTCATTTGTTCAACGATTAAAGTCCTACGTGTTCTGAGTTAAGACCAGAGTAATCCAGGTCGGTTTCTATCCCAGAAATAAGAGGAGATTTGTACTGCCATAGATAAAGGATGTGTTACAAAGTCATAAAAGTTGAGATGGTGCAGAGCTGACACCAGTAAGGAGGGATAGATGAAGGAAACAGAAGAAAAACCCAGAAACAGAGCCAACAATATAGTGAGTGGTATGTGGTCCAAGTGCAAATTTAAATCATCAGGAAAAGGATAGAGTATCCAATAAGTGGTCCTGGGAAAAGTGTAAGCAATGTTGGAGAAAAAAATATTTGGAGTTTCTTCTCATAATACTCAACAAAATAAATCCTTAATGGGCTGAATAGTTATAATGCAAATAAACAAATAAATAAATATCAGTAAATGTTTTTGTGATTTTGAAATGGAGAAGGTCCTTCTAAGTATAACACAATAGAAGCCATAAAGAGTTCTTTCCAAATTAGGAAAGACAATATGACCACCCCAATATACAACTGAGTAAATTATACAAGCAGTCAGTTCACAAAAGAAGAAATGAAAATGATTAAAAAGCATAATTATTGATATGGTTTGGCTGTGTCCCCACTCAAATCTCATCTTGAATTCCCACGTGTTGTGAAAAGGACCCAGTGGGAGGTAATTGAGTCATGGGAGCAGGTCTTTCCCATGCTGTTCTCGTGATAGTGAGTAAGTCTCACAAGATCTGATAGTTTTAAAAAGAGGAGTTTCCCTGCACAAGTTTTTCTCCTGTCTGCCACCATGTGAGATGTGCCTTTCACCTTCCGCCATGATTATGAGGCCTCCCCACCCATGTGGAACTATAAGTCCAATAAAACTCTTTATTTTGGAAATTGCCCAGTCTCAGGTATGTCTTTATCAGCATGAAAACAGACTAATACAATTATAAAATTTTAAGTTACAATGAGTTAAGAATTATAATTAAAGTAGAGAACCATGTATGACCTATCATGTTGGCAAAAACTATGATACCTGATAGTGCCCAGTGCAGCTGTGCAAACAAAAGGGTAATCTCATAAACTGGTACAGATTGGCACGTGTTTTCTGGAAAATGACAGTATATATCAAACCTTTTAAAAACCCTTTAACTTAGTTCTGGTGACTTTAACCTTGGGAAATAAAAATGGGAGCAACAACACATATTTGAATATGTTAATTAAAGTATCGCTTAAATATTAGATCATTGTAAATAACTCAAATGTCCCGAATAGAAGAAATAGAAGACTAGCTAAATAACTATGGTACCTCCATGCAATAGAACATTATTGCAGCTATTAAAAATTTTGTTATAGAAATACTTATTGACATAAAAAGATGATTGTGACATAGTGTTGTTTTCAAAGTAATCTAACAGTATTCTTATGTGTGTACAAATATGAGTGTGTGTAGGAAGATATCAGGAAGATAGAGGAAGATATCAATCCATTTTCTCAGAATTTATTTCTAGGTGATATAATTAGAAAAACCTTTGAAGTTTTTTTCAATGCTTGTCTGTATTTTCAAATCGACGATGAGTATATAGTACTTGTAGTGAGAAACCTATCTATTAAAGAAGAAAGAGGTAAGAAAAGCTCAGGCACTCGGGCTCTTTGCCTGAAGGCTCTCATTCAAGCAGATGCTGGGCCAATTTCTGAGGAGGACGCTGTCAACAGGGCTTCTTGCTGGATGAGGGGGACAAATCTGGTGAGAATTCCAGTGTTTTTTGAAACCCAAGATGATATTTTTCTATGAAGTATTTCCTTGGTGCTGATTTTGTGATGAAAACAGAGGAGCACCACATGGGCTCTGCCTAGAAGGAACATTTAATCTAATCAAGCAGATGAAATAGTCGTATATAAAAAGTAACCTGGAGAACAACACAACGAAATTCTGACTTGTGCAATTTGAGCAGAGACTGCAGTAAGAATTTGCTTCCTTCCCTGTCTTGTTCATGGGTAGGTGTCAGTGTGGCCTTCCCTCTGAGGAGCTGCCCCATGGGAATTGACTCCACCAGAAGGCAGCAGCATTTGAGCATGGGGATCCTGTGACGCCAGTTCTTCCATGAATTTAAGTGCATGCGCTTGAGCATCCACCTTGATTGGTCACCCCATCACGATACAGGGCGACTCTGGGACATTCCTGCCCAGAGCCTATGTCTGGATGCAGTTGATGGAGGCTTGGTCCTGGCCTGTCTCTGCAGAAAGATGGGACATGTACTCGTGTCGCTATAACCCAGGGAAGACTGGGTGATGTGTCAGAGAGGTACAGAGGGCTTCATATCCCCTATCCTTTCAACCAAACACACAGACAGCTTCCTTCGGCCCTTGGCCCCATTTAACGACTGCTCTCTCCTCTCCCTTTCGTGGCCAAGTATATTAAGAATGGAATCTACACCTACTGCTTCCACTTCCTCACTTCCCACTCGACTCACCTGGTCCATCATCACCTTCTCTGACGATGCCACTAAAATTGAATCTGCCCTGGGTCTCTGATGTCCAAAGCAGAGAGCAAGTTCCTACCCTCATCCTCCCTCCCCTCAGAGGCAGGCTGTACCCGCCCCTGGAGTCTCTCTCCCTCCTGCCCCTCCCTCTCCCCTCCAGCCTCTCCCCTGGAATTGCCCCCAACCGCAAGATGTGGACCTCCTCTCTTCTCATGGCCATCTTGCATCCGCTTGTCTTCTTATGGTTTTTGGACACATGAGGACTCCCAAATCTAATACCAGCCCAAATCCAGATACAGACATCTAACTGCTGGCCCTCAAAGTCAACATATCCAAAAGGCAATCTACCAACTTTGCCCGACAAGCCTGTTCCTCTTCCCTGGGTCCCCACACTAGTGACAGTCACCTTCACTCCCCCATTCACCCAGGCCAGAAATTCAGGTAAATTCTGCCATCCACAGCCAAGTCCACCAGCTCTTCCCCCAAGCCACAGTGCTTCCTGAATCTCTCCCCTCATATCATCCATCCATCCTGCCACAGCCCTCACTCAGGCCAGCGCCACTTCCTGCCAGGCCCGCAGAGCACCCCAAAGGCTCACTGCCTCTGGACTTTTCCACCTCCATCCATGCTCCACTATTGCCAGAGCACAAGTATCTGACCATGTTCATTCTCTGTTTAAAACCACCTCATGGTTTTCCACCAACTTCAAAATAAATCACAACTCTCCAGTCTGTCATAAAAGGCCCTTTGTGATTTGCTTCTGTCTTCCTTTCCAGCCAAGTCTTGTGGCACTTCTTCACACAGCCATGTCCTTTTCAGTTCTAATGGCATCTTAGTACCTGCCTCATGCCAGGCTCCTCCCCCATGCCTTTGCACTTGCTCCCTCCCCTCCCTATAGTGCCCAACTCACCTGCCTACCTCCAACTTGTATATCAGGGCTTAGCCATGCAATTCCTCCTCCAGGAAGCTTCCCTGACCAGCTTGGTTGAATATCTCACCAATGCATTATGCACTAACGCACATGCACAAAACACTGGACCATGTATTTAGGCTTATTTTTAATTTTTACATTGTATCTATATTTGAAAAAGGCTCACTCGTGCCTCTCCTTAATGTCTCCACTCCCCTTGAAGAGGTAACCACTGTCAGCCACTTCCCATGGCACACTCTTTGGCACTACTCCCCTGCAGACTGTGAGCTCCGGAAGAAGAAAACAATGACTAGAACTCTCCTCAGTGTCCCCAGCCCCTAGCACCAGACCAGATATAGAACAGGTGCTGAATAAATCTTTGCTGAATTTATCGATTAACCAGTTGCAATTTTTGCCTGCCTGCAAGAGAACTTTCAAAGGTCTTTGGAATTTGGCTCTAACACCCAGATGTGAGTGAACCAATAAATACATGAGTATTGCTTTCTTTTACTATCAAGAAGCCACATGGACCTGAAATTTTTTTTCCAGGAAGTAAAAAGTCAAGCATCTAGCACCATGCTGTGAGAAGGAGAGAAAGCCTGAAGGACATTTGAGGAAGAGCAGGAGGAACGAGGCTGCTCAGCTTGTATCAAATGAGAGATGGCCTCAAAAGCCCTCAATGCAAAGGGGGCTCTGGGGAACAGCAGGTTCATGGTCACCTTGCATTTGCAGGACCATCCCAGGAGGTTTGCAGATTCAGGTTTGTTTGTGACATAGGATAAAGTGTGAAAGCTACGTGACCACAGGTTTTTTCACTGGGTTTAAGGAGGAACTGCATCAGTTGCAGCTACCAGCATCAAAAGTCTCAATGCCAGTAATTCTCAGCCCCAGCTGCACAGGAGTATCACCTGGAGAGCTTCTAGATCTCTGGTGCCCAAAGCTGCACTGCAGGCCAATTAAATCAGAAGCTCTAAAGTGGGATCTACACATTGGAATTTTTCAAGGCTCCCTAGGCAATTCCAATGTGCAACCAAGACCAAGAGCTATGTGCTTCCAACTTGAACATACACAGGAATTACTGGGTAGTCTTGTTAAAATGCATATTCTGATTTTGTCCCTCTGGGGTGGAGCCTGAGAGTCTGCATCTGTAATAGGCTTCCAAGGGTTGCTGATGTAGCTCAGCTTTAGAAGTAGTGAGCAGCCTGTCACAGGGGTATTCAAGAAGATTCTGGATGATTATGTGGTATGGATATTGCAAAGAATGGTAATGCACTGGATTGGGGTTGGGATTCTATCAATGCTCTTCGACCTTTCTGTAACAGCTGAAATTTTCTACCCACCCACCCCGAAACAATATCATCCACAGAAAGCCAATATGTAAACCCAGCAAAGCAGAACTATCTCATTAGAATAAAGATGGAGAACCCAGAGCTGTGCCCTCTTGGCTGCCTTCTTCCCCTACCTTAAGGCACCCAGAGTCTCCTCCAAGTACATTATGAAGACACCTAGTTATTATTTAATTAGCCTATCAACCTTGATTTCAAATGCTGAGGATTATTTCAGAAACTGAAACTGTTCTTGCTTTCAACAATGATCCCACTAGTGAGATATAAGGAAACCTAGATTAATGAGCACCAAGATATTGTGGCATTAAGGACAAGGGAATCTGCAGGATTTGAGGCTACATGGTCTGCATTCAGCAAGCTTATCCTGTAAAATGTGTCAAGCCTCATTCACTGCTTACAGGGATGAACAAAGGCATGAAGTTGTTGCTTGAGCCTTCCTTCTGAAAGTTCCGATAAGCTCATCAGCAGGATTTAATGATCAAAATCATGGTGCTGGGTTCTCTCAGGTCTATGACAACCCAGCACATATCTCACCAGGTGGGGGTCAGCCAGTCTCTTCTGTTGCTGTCTCTTGCTGTTGCTGTTATGTTCACTTATAGTGCATCCTTAACCCCAGATCTCTTCTCCCAAGGCAGATATTAATTCTGAGAGCTGATAAAATCCTAACTGGCAGAAATCTAGGAAATAGCAGAATGAAAGCCAAAGCAAGCATAGAGCCACACAAAATAAGATTGTGCTGGCTCATTGACCAGCTCTCTAAAATAATGATTTTAACAAATATATACATATAAATAGACATATCTCCAGTTAACTACAAGATATGATTTTAAAAAATACTTTTCTGAAAAAGACATCAAGATCAAAAAAAGTATTTAATTTTATGTTTTCTAATAATGGAATTTCATTGATTTGACCTACATTCACTTATAATTTTTGATAAGTTGGACACTGTTTGGATTGAGCATTTGTAATTTCTATGTAAATGGGGTTTATCTAAGCAATATTTAGAAGGATGTGTTTAACCTTTTATCTCATCCAAGGATCAAATCTGCCTTTTATTTTTCAGTGGGGATGTGGCACGGGGAGGGTGTAGTTGTCAAGTGCCTGGGGGAGCAAAAGACTGCGAATCTGGAAACCTAGAATGCCAGCTTAGCTGAATTTTTCTTACATAATTTATTACTAAATTTTATTGTGATAAAATATGTATAACAAAATTTGCCATTTTATAGTGTACAATTCAGTGACACCAAGTAAATTCACAATGTTGTGCAACCATCACCACCTTCCATTTCCAGAGATACTTCATTTCGACCTTTCTGTAACAGCTGAAATTTTCTACCCACCCACCCTTAAACAAAGTTATCCACATCTTTATCTCAAACAGATTCTGTACCCATTAGACAATAACTCCCATCTCCTCCCTCCAACTCCTGGTAAACCTCTCATCTACTTTCTGTCTCCACGAATTTGCCTATTCTATATAGATCATATAAATGCAATCCTGCAATGCTTTTCCTTTTGTGTCTGACTTATTCAGTTAGCAGAATGTTTGCAGGCTTCATCCATGTTGTCGCACATGTCATAACATCCTTCTTTTTTAAGGTTGAATGTTTCACTCGCGTCCATGTGAAGAGACCACCCAACAGGTTTTGTGTGAGCAACAAGGCTGTTTATTCCACCTGGGTGCAGGCGGGCTGAGTCCAAAAAGAGAGTCAGTGAAGGGAGATAGGGGTGGGGTCATTTTATAGGATTTGGGTAGGTAGTGGAAAATTACAGTCAAAGGGGGTTGTTCCCTGGTGGGCAGGGGCGGGGGACACAAGGTGCTCAGTAGGGGAGCTTTTGAGCCAGGATGAGCCAGGATGAGCCAGGAGAAGGAATTTCACAAGGTAATGTCATCAGTTAAGGCAGGAACAGACCATTTTCACTTCTTTTGTGATTCTTCAGTTACTTCAGACCATCTGGATGTATACGTGCAGGTCACAGGGGATATGATGGCTTAGCTTGGGCTCAGAGGCCTGACAGAATGATATTCCATTGCAAGTATAAGCCACATTTTGTTTGTCCATTCATCTATTGGTGGGCATTTGGGTTGTTTCCACCTTTTAGCTGTCGTGAATGATGTTGTGTGCAGATTCAAATAATGTCTGTTTGAGTCCTGGCTTTCAATTTTTGGTGTCTATACCTAAAAATAGAATTGCTGGATCCTATTTCTATGTTGTATTTAATTATCTCTATAGGAACATGGAAAAACCAATGCTCCTGACTGTAACACATTTTAGCTGAAATTAAGCCCATTTTTTTTGTTGTTTTCAAATAAATAACAATAACTTTTGCTTCTTTAAAAAGGGAGGGATTTTTTAAAGGCTGATAAATTATGTTTACGTATTTATCTTTGCATGTTCATAATGATCTGATCTGTGATTTCACAAAGGGAAAGAGCAGATTGTATTTTGTATTCAGGTATGGTGTGGCCAACAGATCAGGACATGGTTACCACTGAAAGACACTTTATTACTCACAGTTCCCAAGCTGAAGGGCCATGGCCCCACACCAAGCCAAGCCACACAGGAAAGCCTTTATTGGGGTTTTCTCAGGAAGGAGCAGGCAAGGCCGGGTAAACAGGTTTAAGATTGGCTGGTTTGAATAACTTCGGCAGGCTCCGGGGTGTAGGAGCTGCCCCTAGTTGTCTGATGCCTGCCGTTGGGTGATTAGGGCGGGAAAATAGTGTCCTACCCTGTAAGAGCCCAAGAAAGCAAGCAAGTGGAAGTATGGGCTTTGTTTCGGTTAGTTTGCATATGAAAGGCATCCAAGTGGAAAGTTGTTTGTTTTCCAAAGGAATTAGCTCTGCCTGAAACAGTCCCTCCCTGAGCTGCAGGGACCCAGATGCCAAAGTATCAGATACAGAACCAGAAAACACAGTTAATACACACTTGAATAAAGTCATTAAATCACGGACAACAATGGAGTCCCAATAGACTTGCATACCTAAGGTCTGAAACAGTTCTCAGTGCTAGATGTCTATTACAGTAACTTGGGGGAAGTTTCTAAAATGTAATTTCCTGCTCCCAACCTCAAGTCAATTGAATGAATACCTTTGGGCACTGATCATTTTAAAAGTTTCCCTGGTGATTCTCTTTTACATTTGCGGTTGAGAACCGTTGGCCTAAGACAATGTTTCTCAAAGTCTGAACCACAAACAGCAACATCGGCATCTCTTGAGAACTTGTTAGAAATGCAAATTCTCAGGCCCACCCCAGCCCTGCTGAGTCTGAAACTCTGGGTGGGACCCAGCCCTGTGGGGTTGTCGAAGCCCTCCAGGTGATACTGAAGCCCACTCGAGTTTGAGGGCCACTGGTCCAGGGTAAGGAGTATCGGCGAGTTGACCATAGTGTCCCTCCCATCACACTCAGACCCAATCTTGCTCAGTGCCCTGTAGCAATGTCTCGGCAAAGCTCAGCTAACATGTTTTGGTCACAAACTATTAGTCTGCATGAGGCAGGGCTGTTCTTTCAGGTAGGAGAAGTCAGTGCAATTTGGAGGTTTTCAAGTTCTCCCTGCCCCTGTAGTCTCCAAACATTTTGCTTACAAGCAATGCCATTACAGCAACCAGGAGGGACTGAGATCAGCTAGGAAACACAATATGCTGTCCCTGCCATAGTGGTTGGAGAGCCCTGAGGCTCCCAAAGGAGGCGACAATTCAGAGGGCTTTGAAAGCCAGGTGAGACTGGAGCAGCCTGTCTGCACAGAACACATGCACTCACACCCTGCTTGGTGCAATCTGTGATTTGTCACTTAAGCAGTCTTTGAGTATCTTCAAATGCAAATTTGATATGCAGAGGGACTGAATAAGTAGCAAAAACTGTGGGGCTTTACAAAGAAGTGATTAAAAGCAAACAGTATCTACAAAGGAGAAATTGAGTGAATAAGTGGGTTTTCCTCATTGGAAGAAAATCATTGCATAAAATAATCATGAATGGTAAACAGAGGGGAAGAAAAAAATCATTGGGTGGCTTTTCTCCATTGACAAAAGGCTGGTTTTCTGACATCACAGACCTGGATTCTAATCTCAGCTCCTCCCTTTACCAGCTGTGAATTTGGGAAAATTAATTAAATTCTAAATGTGGTTTCCTCGTCTACAAAATGGGATTCATAGTACCTACCCAATCATTTGCTTAAGGATTAAATAAGATAATGCTAGTAAAATGCTTGGCTTTGTGCTTTTCATCAACACTCAAATTTAACTACCATTTCTGCTATTAATACTATCATTAGCATTATTATTAGCACAGTGACCTAGAGTAAGTGCCCCCAAACATTAGCTGTTCTTCCTAGTATTATTATTATTATTATTAGGAATTCTGAGTATCTCCATTATACTCACATCTAAGAAAAGGGCTGTAACTAACCAGACAAACCAAGGACCCCCAAACCCCCAAGAAAAATATATTTTCCCAAAATTCAAAAACCTTATTTAAGTCTGAAAAGGAGCCTTCCCTTTAACAGAAAAGGATAAATTGTGCTGCTGTAACAAACCTCAATATCTCAGTGGCTTAACACCACAAAGGTTTATTTCTTGCTCATGTCCCAGTCAAACGTGAGTCAGTTGGCACCTGTCCTCCAATGGGTAATTCAGGGACCCAGGCAGCTTCTATCTGAAGATATATTCTTAAAGCCCAGTCTTAGAAATGGCTTATGCTATGTGGCTTTCACCCACCCACTAATTCTAGTTCTAGGATTACTCTTATCTCTCTCATTCAGGCTAATTATTCTGATACCGATAAATTCACTTATCACATAGCATAAACTGGGCCTTATCAACCATCATGGTAGTTCTCAACTGAACGTACTAGTTGGTCTACAACCCTGCACTAAGTTGAGCATAAGTGTAGTCTGGCGGGTATGAATTGAGTGGTATAATTACTTCCTTCATTCAGAGACTATACTTCTATTAATGTAGCCTGAGTTTGCATTCTTGTTTTGGGGGGTGGTGTGGGGCAAGTGATATTGAACTGATCATCAACTGAAATCGCTATGGGTATACAACAGATTCAGTGCCCTGTCATCAATGTTTTCTTTTTTTTTAATCTGAACAGGAGTATTCATTATGGAAAAAGTCCACAAGAAAAACATAAATTGTTTTCTGTAGTGTATTCATTAGTATTACCTATCCACCCTATGCAGGTGACAAGTCTCCCTGGAGTGGGCTTTACAGCCCAAGCTTATTAATGGCATATGCTGAGAAAGGTAGCTGCCAAACCTTGACTGCAATAACAATAACAAAAATTAAAAACCTAAAATAATAAGTATATCATACTGACCTTTCCTGTTTACCTTGCTGTAGGTACCACATCTGTGTGACTGTGCTGATCTACTTCCTCCCCCTGCTGGTGATTGGCTATGCATACACCGTAGTGGGAATCACACTATGGGCCAGTGAGATCCCCGGGGACTCCTCTGACCGCTACCACGAGCAAGTCTCTGCCAAGCGCAAGGTGAGCAGGGGACAGGCAGAACTAACCCACCCTGGCACAGACAACAGGCTGTCGAGAAGGGATGGCACACTTGTGAGCCCCAGAGGCAGCTAGCACAAAATATCCCCAGGTATGGGGAGCAACAGAGAGGAGGAGAGGAATCTTTCTTCAGTGTCTTTGGAACCCAGATCTGGCTGGACAGGCATGAGCCACTTCGCTTGCTCTTAAAGAGTAATTGCAACCTCTTGATCCATTAAAACACACACACACACACGCACACTTAAATAAAAGATCAGTGAAGAGTGATTTGGTCCTCTTCTTAAAGTTTGACAAGATAATACATTCACGTGGTTCAAACATCAAAAGGCATTCAAAGGAACAAAATTATAGTGATGAAGAACGGATCAGGGGTTTCCAGGAGTCAGTGTTTGAGGGGGCTTGGGAGGAGTGGCCTACAAAGCGAGAGCGTGAGTGAGTTTCTTTGCAGTGATGGAGCAGCTCTGTATCCTGACTGTGGTGGTGTTTTCATCTATACCTGTGATGAAATTTCATAAATCTATACACCAAAAAAAACAGTGCATGTAAAAACTGGCAAAAACCCAAATATAGTCAGTAGTTTGATGAATGGTCAGTGTCCTGGTTTTGATAATGTGGTATGGTTATGTAAGATGATATCATTGGAGGAGGCTAGGTGAAGACTACCTGGAACTGCTTTGCACCACCTTTGCAACTTCTCGAGGGCCTTCAATTAGTTCAAAACGAAACATTTAAAAAAATTTAATTCTTATCATGGAAAGCCTCTCTCCCTTCTAGATCTGTCATCTACCCAGGTCCCAAGCTTGCACACACACACGCACACACACACACAGATATGCATACAATGGTAACCATTGTTATCTGTTTCTTAACCCTTCTAGCTATTGGCACTTATAAATAAGTAAATATATATTATTTTCTCTTCTTTTTTACACAAATAGTAAATACACACTGTTCTCACTTATTTCACTTAAAATTGACAAGATTTTTGAAAATCAGTATATAAAGAGCTTTCTCATTCCTTTTTTTTTTCTTTGGTACTTCTTTGCTTAGTATTCTCTGTTGGTACTTCTCTGCATAGCATTGTATGAATGCTGTAGAGTTCTTTGCTAAAGATGCCTTG
The DNA here is from genome assembly GCF_000001405.40 of Homo sapiens. Lineage (NCBI taxonomy): Eukaryota > Metazoa > Chordata > Mammalia > Primates > Hominidae > Homo > Homo sapiens. The sequence goes on along the minus strand of NC_000002.12, from coordinate 75,052,466 downwards.
GGAAGGGGTTACATCGCATGGTGTCTTAGTCCATTTGGGCTGATGTAACAAAATGCCTTTGACTGGGAGCTTATAAAAAATAGAAATTGATTTCTCACAGCTCTAGTGGCTGAAAGGCCCAAGATCAAAGCACAGACGGATTTGGTGTTTCAGGAGGGCCTGCTTCCTGGTTCATGGATGGCACTTTCTAAGTCCTCAGATGGTGGAAGGGGCAAGGGGTCTTTCTCAGGCCTATTTTATAAGGGCACTAATTTAATTGATGAGGGCTGTGACCTGAAGACCTAATTAGTTCCCAAAGGCCACCTCCTAATACCATCACCTTAGGGGTTAGGATTTCAACATATAAATTTGAAGTGACACAAACATTCAGATCATAGTATCCAGTATTCACAAAACCTTTTAAATCGCTTTTAAACATCTGGCACTCTCTGACTGCAGCTAGTCAAATCTTTTCCCTTCTCCTTCCCTCCCCTTCAGTCTCAAAACCAAGCAGCTTGCCCTAGCTCACTGCATCTCCCCTTGTCCCACCCCTTCTGCTGTGCCCGCCCACCCAGCCTGCTGTTCCAGGCCTTTTCCTCCTGAACACCCTTTCACCTTTGCTCATTAATTTGTCTCCCTGTGTTCCTCCAGTCATGAAGAATAATGTAACACAGTAGTCCCCAAATGTGAGTATGCATCAGAATCATCTGAAGGGTTTGTCACACTCAGAATTTGGGGTCCTATCCCCAGAGTTTCTGATTTAGTAAGTCTGAAATAGGGTCCAAGAATTTGCATTTCTAACAAGCTCTGAGGGGATGGTGATGATGCTGGTTTTGGGACCACACTCTGAGAACAGCTGACATAACCGAAGTCTTGTAGCACCATATAGTAAAGATCCTTTCTCCTCCTTGAAGGGGCGTCTTTTAAATACTTCTCGCTTCATCCCATACTGTGCACAGTGAGGGCGTGGGAGGAGAGAGGAAGCAGCCGTGAGAGAGGGGGATGTGCTGGTGGTCTCACCTGTCTCACCCTCTTGCCAGGTGGTCAAAATGATGATTGTCGTGGTGTGCACCTTCGCCATCTGCTGGCTGCCCTTCCACATCTTCTTCCTCCTGCCCTACATCAACCCAGATCTCTACCTGAAGAAGTTTATCCAGCAGGTCTACCTGGCCATCATGTGGCTGGCCATGAGCTCCACCATGTACAACCCCATCATCTACTGCTGCCTCAATGACAGGTGAGGATCCCAACCCCATGAGCTCTCCAGGGGCCACAAGACCATCTACATACACAGTGGCCAAGCGGCCATCCTAAATGAGTAAACCCAGCTGTGAGACAAGAGGGACAAGTGGGGACTGCAGCTAACTTATCATCACACAACTCAGCCTGGCTGATTATCACCATCCAGGAATGGGAGCCCGGAGTGGACTGATTTTCTTTTTTTCTTTTCCAAAGGGAACCAGAAATCCATATTATTGTCCAAAGTCTTCTGATTCATAAATACTGGCAGCTAGTGGGGGAATTAAAAACTTCTGTGGTTAATGCATGTAAGGCAGGTCTGCAAGCTGGATCCAGGCTCCAGGCCATGGCCTGTGAGTTTATTCACTCTGCTCTATGGATCCAGTACACAGCGGGCTATGCATGCAGAAAGAGAATTTCATCCCCCCACAGAGCACATTCGCCCTCTCTGATCTCTCACTGTCTTTTTCCCATTCCATCTTACGATCTGAGCAGCTTTACCCATTTTCTTCCAGCAGTTCCAGCAGGACAAGGTAAGGCAAAAAGGAATTGTGACCCCAGAGGCCTGATTCCTGCCCTCACTTAGTCAAAGGGGTTGGGGAGAGCCATCCTGCAGATGGCAGAAGCCAATGTCAGAGAAGTAAGAGAAGGCAGAGCCCATCCAGAATGGTGGTCAGCATTAGGGAATTCACCATGGGGTGCAGAGGGCTCCCAAAAGCAGGCAGGGACACATAGTGGCTGCAGCACAGTCTGTCATCCAGAGCACCACCAGCCTCTGGATGGGGAAGGAGGCGGGAGAGGAATAAAATGCTTGTTACCATCTTTATATCCATCAGTCCTCAGCCTGTAAGGTGCCTTCTGTGAATTAGACACTCAGGTACTAGAAATTTGGGGAAAGACATTCTCTTCAACTTGTCCAAAGGGTCTCTGTTAGTCTAACTGACACATTCACCCTTATTTCTAAGAGTTTCATGACCCACCTACACTTTTTTTAGGTTAAGTCTAGCAGCACGCCTTTAAGTAAAGGTTAATTCTTCCTATTTAACAACCAGAGAAACTGAGGCACACTGAAGAAACATGATTGGCAGAGAGTCCTCCTTCAGTTAACAGGCTACTCGAGGGGAAGGACTGAATCTTGATATGTGTTTTTACCACCCAGTAACTAGCACAGTGCTGTGCACATAGTAAACACTTGGTGAATGCGTTTTGTTGAGGTAGAATTGACTCAAAGTCTGCTGACCCCATGTGAGGGGAGACAGCATAGTTCAGGGCCACCCCCAGTAAAGACGTATTTCACATAAAGATTGTTCCAGTGTTGGATTTTTTTTTTCTAGTCTTGGATTTGACCTTGTTGACTGACCCTTAAGCCTTTTTGGCCTCAGCATCTCCAGCTGTCATTGAATTTTAAAAACAATAACAGAATCACGCTTGGGTATGTCCATGTGTTAACAAGCTGATGCAGTGGTGGGCAGCCCTCTGAGCAGGCCGTCCCAAAGGGTCACCTCTTCATCTGCTCGCTCTCCAGGTTCCGTCTGGGCTTCAAGCATGCCTTCCGGTGCTGCCCCTTCATCAGCGCCGGCGACTATGAGGGGCTGGAAATGAAATCCACCCGGTATCTCCAGACCCAGGGCAGTGTGTACAAAGTCAGCCGCCTGGAGACCACCATCTCCACAGTGGTGGGGGCCCACGAGGAGGAGCCAGAGGACGGCCCCAAGGCCACACCCTCGTCCCTGGACCTGACCTCCAACTGCTCTTCACGAAGTGACTCCAAGACCATGACAGAGAGCTTCAGCTTCTCCTCCAATGTGCTCTCCTAGGCCACAGGGCCTTTGGCAGGTGCAGCCCCCACTGCCTTTGACCTGCCTCCCTTCATGCATGGAAATTCCCTTCATCTGGAACCATCAGAAACACCCTCACACTGGGACTTGCAAAAAGGGTCAGTATGGGTTAGGGAAAACATTCCATCCTTGAGTCAAAAAATCTCAATTCTTCCCTATCTTTGCCACCCTCATGCTGTGTGACTCAAACCAAATCACTGAACTTTGCTGAGCCTGTAAAATAAAAGGTCGGACCAGCTTTTCCCAAAAGCCCATTCATTCCATTCTGGAAGTGACTTTGGCTGCATGCGAGTGCTCATTTCAGGATGAATTCTGCAGCACAGCTGCGGACCCGGAAGACTCATTTTCCTGGAGCCCCGTGTTACTTCAATAAAGTTATCTCAGATTAGCCTCCTGCAGCTGGAGGCTCCTATCACCCCAGCCTACGCTTGACAGGGTGAACAAAAGAAGGCACCACATAACATCTAAATGAAAAATTTAGCCCTGTCTTCTAAGCATCTGTGAAAAGAAACATATGTATTCCCCTTTTTGGCATCTCAGTATTTCAGTACATTTATACATCATGAGATTGAGAACCTCGGGCTTCCACATTATGTCCCCGGTGACTGTCCTGAGCAGCCGACGCAAGCAGAATATGTCCACTGATACCTGCTAGTTCTCTTACAGACCAGGAATTGGGAGACTTGCACTACATTTAATGTGTAGTTGACCCTCTTTTCCTACTTGTAAACAAGGGGACTGAACTAGATAATCTAAGTGTTCCTTCGAATCTTAACATCCCGTGGTTCAAGGATTGTATGAGTTTTTTGTTTGTTTTACAAAAAAAAACAAAACGAAGAATAAAAGAATAGAAAAGAATAGGAGCAGTGAGTCTTGTAACTAATACCCAGTTCCTGGAGATGTAGCAACTGCTAAGGCCATCTGTAACTATCCATCTCAGACATTCTCCGATTTATCTTAAAATCCTGAGTACATTCCTTCTCATGGAAGGTTTTGGCTTTTGACAGAGCAGAGGACTTCATGCCAAGGCCTGCATCCATCCAGCTTTAGCAGGCAGAATTTCATAGCTGCAGAACACTGTCAGAGAAGACAAATGTGGGCTCCCTGCTTTAACCTTTTGGGTATTTTAGGGTGGGGGCCCTAACCTTCATTCTTAGTTTTACACTAGCATCGTGCTCATATGTGCGACAAGCAAGAAGGCTGCACTTTGCAGCTGCACTTCTGGGAAGAGGGCATCTTGCATCTTCCCTTCAGACTCTCTGAATGTCTCCTCCCTGCTCCATGGCTTTGCCAGCTTCCTGTCTCTAAGGGGTAGAATGACTCATCAACCCTAAAGGACAGTCAGTCTTCCAAGAGCCATGAACTGAATGCTTTATATCCTAATTTAGATTTAGAGTTTCCAGAAGGTGAGCATGCAGTTTTGTTTTGTTTTTTTTTCTGTCTCCCAAATCTGTGTTTTTTCCAGATATGGCTGGAAGCAGAAGCTTCATGTAACATCCATGAATGTCCTCCTGGTAGTTTGCATAATGGATGCACATGTGCCGCATCCATAACATTAAGGGGAGAATAATGCATGGTTTACAGCCTTTGCCAGCCCTGCTGGCTCTAATTCTACCAGGGCATCCACAGGCCTGGGGGAAGAAGAAACAGTATAAGCCAGAAAACCTCAAGAACTACATTCTCTAAAGCAGCATGGAAAGTTTTAAATAAACTAAGTGAAGCCAGATCATTGCAGATATATAAATGGAAGACAAAATTTAGAAGCAACAAAAGTTAGTGCCCTAAGCATTAGTCATACTTCCAATAGAGAATCTTGCTGTGTATGGATTACTCACTTTGGAAGAATGTAAAGAGCTAACATGATTATGAGAAGTACCTGAGAAGATGGTGTCAAGAAGTTGGGGACACCCCATCTATGGAAGAGAAGGTTAGAGTTGAGCTCAACGAGGATTAACTGAGTGCCTCCTCTGGACTTTGCCCTGAACTGGGAACACACAGCCCCTGCAGCTCTTGAAGAGCCTACCTTATTGGCCATCACTAACTAACTCACCAGTCCTAGTGAGTCTAAGCTGCCCAGCAGTCTTGGAGGCATCTGAGAGGACAGATTCTCCACAGAATTCTAAAAACCCACACTCAACATGGGCAGTCAAGCCAAAGACTGGGACCTTTGGAGAGCCTCTGGAATGAGAGTTCTCTGGGGTACTTCCAAAGGGAGCTGGCAGTCAGTCCAGGGGACCTAAAGGAATTTGGTTGAACAGTATCATCTCTGTGCATAGTAAGAGGGAATGTTGGGTGGTCCGGGCAGTTTCCAATATGGCAAAGCATCTGCTTGGACAGTGCCAGCAAGCCTTCCTCTGACCCAGTCTCCAATGTCCACTAACTTATAAAAATGTCATCAACTCCCACATGTAAGAAACACCATGATTTGTACTGTGCATGGGTCACATTCTTATTCTAGAAATGCATCACCCTGTGTTTATCCAAGTGTGTTTACTTGGTGTAATGTCCAGTAGTAATAGAATATGAAATATCAAGGAACCATCTTTGTTACGTGACTTCCAAAATGTGAGATCTCATTGCTGTCACTGTGATATTTGTATTGTGTGAATCTCTTCCTCCTCTTCCTCCTCATGCTTTCTCAGGGAGGAGCCCTGATGTATATCATGAACTCACAGTTCCTAGACCACAGTAATTGAGGGGCGGTGGGGGGGCCTTTATCGGAGAAGCTAGAGAACAAGAGTCCTTCTCCTCCTTATCCCCCAACAGGACACTAAGAGACAAGGACTGAGTGGAATCCTGGAGAAAGGGGACTCAGGAACTGACCTCATTGGCCTGATTTGTGAGGAGAGGAGTATAAGTGGAGAGGGGCCATTCCTGAGGTTTCCGTGTTTTCCAGCCTGGTCTCCTGGAAAGAATCTTTATACAGAAATAAAGTATGTGTTTCACTCTCTCGTGCCTCTGTCTCTTCTCTAGGGGTCCTAAACATCCTATAGGATGCTAAATGGGATGGTACTAGAAACCCTAATAACTTGCATAGCTAGAAGGATGGAATCAATGTTCAGTAAACTCTTAACTCTGTGATGAAATGGGTTGGGAAGATGTGGGAACAGTTCCCAGGTTGAGATCTGGGAAGGGAGGTGGGATTATGCGAAATGACAGTGATGTTGCCTATGAATAAAGCTGTGTCAGGATGCAGACACAACAGAGTTATAAGCACAAGAGTTTTCGTAGGACAGGAGGTTGGGGGGAATAACATCTGAGAAAGACAAAGGGGAAAGAAAGCAGAAGTACTCAGGGACAGCCTTCAAACCACCATGCCAATCTGACACCTGGGAAAAAAGGGGTGGTTAGGAAGAGCCTCAGACTGTGGTGCAGCTCCCAGCCCAACACGTGCAAAGATTGCCCAGAGAGACATTGCACGTTAACAGAATGGCCAGGCCTGATGCCCTGCCGTGCTCAGCCGCTGGCTGGGGCTCTCTAGGGAAAGTGTTCTGTGTTTGAACACCATGGTGGATGCTGAAGCCCTGCAGCTGGAGGCTGTCAGCCAAGTGCCCTGCCATTCTTCCTCAAAGAGGGATCTGAGCCATGTACCTCCACAACTACCACCCAAGCTTTGATCCAGCCCCCTGTGTTTGAAAACACAAGACAGGAAACCTGTGGCAGGCTTTGAAACATCAGTGATAATCCCTGTGAGCCCTGGCAGTCTGCCTCCTACACCTTGGGTTGCCTATCCTCTGTGCCACCTCACCCCTAGCAGCTCCATCAAAAGAACAATAAGCAGCTGGTAACAGAATTGTAGTGGCAACAACTGCAAAGGCACTGAAAGAGGGAATTTTGAGAAGATAGACTATCCAACACAGTTAGTATCAGAAACAAGTAATAAAGATGTTTTATTTAAATTGAGGCATCTTCAATAGGGGTATGTGGATAAGCTTTAAGGAATCCACAAGTCCCCTCCAAGATCCCCACAAATCATATGTCAAACATTGTGTGTGTTTAATAAGAGGTGCAATTAAAGCTGAATCTTCTCAAAAGAAATCATTCACCCTCTGCTCCCCAGGAGGAGGAGACAATTTAAATTGTTTATAAAAGAGTGGCAAGGAACTGGAGACTTTCAGAGCGGTGAGAGGCAGATGAGCCCCGAGAGAACCAGAATGGTTGCTGGGAAGCTAGAAACAGCTTTGGAATAAAATCATAGCTCACCTCAGATACTCAGATGAGTTAAAGCTGTAGAATGTCATTTAAAATATTTGTGGCAGTAAAAACGCCAAATTCATGATGAAGGGGTATGCTCACTCTTCACTTGTTAGCTGAGGGAAGACTACGAATTGAAGAAATTATAAATCAAGAAATAACACAGGATGCGGAGTGCAGACATTCCCGTGCAGAGGCAAAGTCGTTTTCACTTATTCCTAGGCATGTGTGGCCTGCCTGCACAATGAAAGTGCTCAGCGCTGGGCACCACAACTGGCTTTAGTAATACTCTCTAATGGAGCTCCTGAGCTCAGAATCCAAGAGCAGTATTTCAGTCATGGCTCCCAGCACAGTGGGTATGGTGGGGACACACCAAGTATGTTCTTCTCCTTCATCTTCAAAGGTGAAAGGAGCATCTGATTGTAGAAATTGCTTCTCTGAACCCCACAGGCAATGCTCTGAGACACTGTTATTTATTTCTACCCAGTTCAGGAAAACAGAGGAAGAGGACGGAGGCCATGGAGCCTCATATCTCACAAGCACCAAATTCAGCATCAAGGAGTTGCATACTTTGGTCCTGGCTTCTCTCTCAAGCTGGGCAGCTTGCAAGGGGAAAAGACTGACAATTAGAAACAAGTGACTAAACAACATCAGCAATGACATGAACCCTAAGGGCCAGCTGCCCTGTCGCAGTCACTATCTGATGGCATGTTAGCTGTACATATTCCAGTAGCTGCAGAGATTTTCATACAGATTCAAAATTAGGTTCCCTACATTTTGTGTATCTCTCTCTCTCTCTTGCTCTCTCTTCCACCTTCTTTCCTTCCTTTCTTTCTTCTTTTTACTTCCAGTTTCTGTTTGTTTTCTACTCTTTCATCTGACACTGCTCCCAACCCTGGAAGCCCTCTCCTCCCAACGCTCTCTATGCTGAAATCTCTAGGTTTTATCTCACTACTCTAGATGCTTTACTGATGCACTAATTAATAGAAGACTTGATATGTGTTATAGACTGCAGCTTTGTGTCCTTCCCCAAATTCAAATGCTGAAACCATCACCCAATGTGATGAGCCAAGGGCTTTGGGAAGTAATTAGGTCATGAAGGAGGTGCCCTCGTGATGGGATTAGTCCTTTATAAGAGACACAAGAGAGCTTGTGTCTCTCTCTCTGCTCTCTGCCATAGGAAGGACAAGGTAAGAACATGGCCATCAGCAAACTAGGAAGAGTGCCCTGACCAGAAACTGACCATATTGACACAGCGACCTTGGACTTCTAGCTTCCAGAACTGTAGGAAATAAATTTCTATTGTTTATGCTACTCAGTCTATGGCATTCTGTTATAGCAGCCCCAGCTACCTAAGACAATGAGAATCTATCCATCCCTACTCACAAATTCCCGTTATCCATCTCTCCAAAGCCCCTTACCCATCACATGTAGTCACTCACCCACACTCTCCCTTTATTCCCTAACCCTCTCACCCACTTTCCCAAACTGAGATGGCTTTCACAGCAGGATGCCCAAGTTGGTCCCAACACTAAAAAGAAGCAGCTGAACAGAAGAAGGCACTACAGCTGTTCTACACCAGCATGCAGGACCTCAGAGCTCATCCCCAGTGATCACCAAGGGCAGGCGGCCCTTGCCTTTCCTGTGTGTTCCCCTCATGCTGCAGAGCTCTTTGGCCTGGGTGTTCATCTGTATACTAAATGGGGTGGGAAAAGACACACAGTGCAAGATACCCCCAAGGTCCTTGCTTCATAGAGGAAAAGGCACATGAGTGAAAATAGAAATGTATGCTCCCAAAAGTTTGAAGCTCTGAAAAGTGGAAGAACAAAACTGCTTCCTTCCCTCTCCCCATTTCAAATGTTATAATAATGACTACGATAACAACAGGCATTACTCTGTAGATCTTGTGCCAAGCACTGTATGTGCATTATCACATTTAATCCTCATACTCCATGAAATCAGTATCATTGTCCTTAATTTAATTTGAGAACAATGGGGCATAGTTGAAGTAACTTCTCTGAAATTTCTTTGCCAGAAGTGAATCTCAGTGATGACCAATTCCAAAAGCCCAAGGTCTTAAGAAAGATCCTCTTCTGTCTCTTTTATTTATCATATTCCTGGACCTCTATCCTTTTCTTAAAGATGACCCAACACAGGCTGGCATGACCTCCCTACACACATTGCCAGGAAGCTAGTTGATATGGTAGTATTTCAAGAAGCAGCAAGCTTCCATAAACCCATTAGATCATTGGACAAATATTTCAAAGGGTAAATTGTCTTCACAGTCACTATAGTGATCCCTACGATTAGGTAAGATGTGCAGCCAGACTCTAACTATGATTTGAAGAGTGCTTGTCAAGATTTCCCACTGAAATTAACCTTGGTACATTTAGTCTTGAGTGCACAAAATTCCCCAGATATCTATTTGTTTGGAGAATAAAGTCTTCTTTTAGAAAGACAAATGTCATTGGGCAGGATAATATCTCATGTTTACAACTAACAAGTTAGATATCCCTGTCCTGCCCATAAGGCCAAACTCACCTAGATATTGGGGTCAGGAGTGTGGAGTGGGACTGCTTGATTGCCTGAGAAAATGAGGGTGTCCTGAGGCTAAGATGAGCCAGAAAATTACCTAAAAGGCTGCCCACAGGACTGCTGATTCAGGAAAGAAAGGTAAGCTCAGTACCCAAGCAAAGGAACCAGGAATTTAAAAACTAAAGGGACCAAGTGAATGGTTTTCAAACCCTAATGTGCATAATTTACTTAGTAAGTTGGCCAAAATCTGGATTCCTGGCCTCATTCCCAGAGATCCTGAGTGCTGGCTAGGCCAAGGAATCTGCATTTTAACAAGCATGTCAGTGATTATAGTGCAGACGGCGCATGGCACCACCAGAGTAGGCAAAATAGAAACAGAAAATGGGCTGGAAAGTCGATGAGGAGGGGCTTTGACAGGAAAGAATGAAGTATGAGCAGGTGAACGGAGGGGATTCCTAACACGCAGGCTTGCCTCACGTGGTCAAGGTAGCCTCTCAAAGGACTGGGCATGAGAAGCTGACTGAGTGCATGGATGCAGGGTCAGCACCACCAGAGGGAAGAGAGACAGTGGGAGGAGCTGTAGGGAGATGGGGTTACCACCCAATCCACTTCTCAACTTTGCCCTATCTGGATATTCCCAATGTTATTTTTTCCAACATTTTAATTCTATTCCTCTGAAGGAAGGAAGCTCACTATCCCCCACCTACTACTTCCTGTTTTAGTCTTCCTTTATGGAAATTTGCCAAATCAAAACTAAAATCTAACACTTTCACTTTCTAGATTTTCAGACATATGCCATAGCGGCTGACTTCTGGGAGGCCCTAATCTTGAGTGGTGTCCAACTCAGAGTGGAATTGTTTGTGTTTCCTAAATTCTAAAACAATTCCCAGAGCATTTTATAGGAAAATATTTTTATACAATCCTAACATTCAACCCAGTTTTATGGCTTTGTTGATTACTTACAGCTTCCCTTTTATGCTCAACTCAGATTCATATCCAAGCAAGAAAAGAAGTCTATATAATAGAGCAATATTTTTTATGTGGGCAGTGGGAAAGAGCGAGAAGGAAATTAAAAAGCAACTGAGACAAAAACAGCAGAAGTCAGATAGATTTTTCTCTTCTAACAAGTAAAAAATAATAATAAAAAAAACTATAACCCACAACTCTTCCCAGTTTTAACCATCTTTAGATAACAGTACTGGGTTCCATGATATATCATGATGACAGGAACAGCCTCCAGCATGTGGTTAGGAGCTGGGTACACAGTATCTGCATATTCCTTTTTGGCTACATAATAAGAGAAAGGCTAACTGTGAGATTTCCCAAAATCCATTCTTTCAACAAGTATTTATCAAAACCCTAGAAATATTTCTTCACAGAATATAACTCATTCCCATGGACGGAGGGCAATGTTGGTGCTTTGATACACCAGAAATAATCTTTGATGACCCCTGTGACAAGAAATATAAAGCATCCTTCGAGCCAGGGCACCTAGCTCTTCATTCCTTCACTCTTTGATCTCCTGCAACACACCAGGCCCAGTGCTGGCATCAGGATGCAACAGGAGTAAAAACAGACATGGTTCCCACTAGAAAACAGCTTTCAGGCTTATGGAAATGTATGCTAATCAAATCACCCCACTAATGAGAGTATAATTAACAGCTGAGATAAGGATGATTAATGGAAGAAAGGCTCTTTTATGAGAGCCGGTAACAATAACAAAAAAACTGGATCCACAACTTGAGGTCAGGAAAATCTTCCCTGAGAAAGTGAGACCCTGAAGAAGAGCAAGAGTTCATTAGACAGAGAAGGGAAAGACTTGGTGTGGAGAAAGTCCTGTGACTAACGAGAATATAGCATTTTGAGGTACTGAAAAAACAAGAACAATGTGCCTGCTTGGAAGAGGGAGGAGAGCGTAGTAGGTGAGGCTGGAAAAGAGGGAGGCAGAGAGTGTTGGAGAACCTTGTAGGCCATGATAAGAATTAGCAAAGGAAGTCACCAAAAGATTTAGGAAGTGGTAGGATCAATCTGCTTTTGGAAAAGATCACTCCAGCTGAAGGGAAGCTAAATTAGAAGACAATTGTTATCATTCAAGGAAGAAGAGATGGGGTCTTGGACTAAATTGGTGGGTGTGGATGGGTAGGAAATGGATGGATTTTAGAAGTCTTTAGAAACTATATGAGAAACTTTTGTTTGGTGATGGCACTGGCTGTAAGGAAAGGGGAGGCTTCAAGGGTGAATTTGGCTTTTCTTATGTAACTAGTTGAATGATGCCACCATTTATTGAAACAAAGAACACTTGGGATACCAAGCTTGGGAGAGGAGAGAAGCAGAAATATTATGGGTTTGATTTAAACATGCTATGTGAGATAACTTTTAGACGTCAAAGAAGGCATCAACTAAGCAGTTGGGCTGAGAATATAAATTTGCAGTTCAATTACAGATGGCAGTCGATGCTATGGGCATGAATAAACTTGCCAAGTGTGATAGCACTGGGTAATCAACTGCAACTTTTAATAGCTAAGTAGAAGAGGAGTCAGATTGTGCCCAGAGAGAAGAAAGGAAAACAGGGAATGTGATGCCTTGGAGGCCAATGAAAGAGAATATTCCAAGAAAAGATTTCTGTGATGTTGAATACTGAGAATTAATAGAGAAAGAGGGGAAATAGAAAATGCCTGGTAAGTTTAATGATAAAAAGATCAGTGGTGGCCTTACCAAGAGCTGTTTGAAAGGAGTCATGAGTTAAAAGCAGATCACAGTGAGCTGAAGAATGAACACATGATGAAGAAAGAAATAGAAATGCAAACCTACAGAACTCCTTCTAAAAGGCTAGTTTAGAAGTAGAGGGCAGAGAAGATGGTAGCTAGAGGTAGTATGGGACCAAGGGAGATATTTTAAATTTGTATTTGTTGTTCAATAAAATAGACTTGAACATAATTTCCTGCCTCGAAGGATAATCCTTTTGAGACGGCACAGCTGAATACACAGGAGAGAAAACAGAGAATTATTAGTGGACAATTTCTGAGAAAGCAGGACAGTGGAAAGCAGAGTACAGCAGGAAGATGGCAGACAAAGGGGGAAGGCAGTCTAGCAGACTCAATGGTTGGATATCAGAGAAATTCTTCTGGCTGATGGTTTCAATTTTTTCTGAGATGCAGAAAGCAAGGTCTTCTACTAGGAAGGAGGCAGGAAGTTGTGGAACAGGGCTATAAGTATACAGAAGATTTCAAATAATCATTGCAGATTCCCTAGAAACTGTGATTTAGTAGTTCTGGGGCAGTGCCTCCAAATCAACATTTTAAACAAATCACACAGCTGATTCTGATACAGGGATCAGGCTTTGAGAAACACTGGCCAAGAGTTTCAAGACATGTTCCTTTTTGTGACCTCATGTGAAACCCACCATCAAGAGCAGAAGAAATAGATATTTCCAAAAAGATCATACTGGAGTACACAATTCCAGGGAGTTGTTTGACCAAAGCGGCTCTGGAGCCATTCTTGACCTTATGGGAAATTTAATAGATCTTAATTCAGTTCCAAGGCACTCAATATTAACTCAAACTAGTCTTTTATTCTGAATTTAGGTCCTTGCTCTAATAACAAGGTGCAATGAACTGAAGGTTTTTGCCCCCACCTCCGAAATTCATGGGCTGAAACCTAATCACCAATGTTATGGTACTTGGAAGAGGGTCCTTTGGGAAATTAGATCATGAGGATGAAGCTCTCATGAATGAGCCTAGATCCGTATAAAAGAGACTCCAGAGAGGTCTTTGTTCCTGTTTGTCATGTGAGGACACAGCAAGAAGACAACTGTCTATGAACAGGGAAGAGAGTCCTCACCAAACACTGAATCTGCTGTTGCCTTGATCTTGGACTTCCCACCCTCCTGAACTGTGAGAAAAAAAATGTCTGTTATTCAAGTCTGTGGTATTTTTCTTACTAGCTGGATCAGACTTAGAGACCAGGATTATATTTTGTCCATGTTCCACTCAACCATGTTCCACTCAACCCTTCCATCCCCAGAATTACCACGAGTTACAACACTAATCCTTATCTAATTTATCTATGAGAATTTCAAGGTAACGATACATGAGTATGCACAAAAAGATAGATCAACACCAACTTCACCCAGCTTAATTTTGAAAGAATAACTGTACAAGTTTTACAAAAGCATTGTAACTATGCCAAGATTATACATCTTGACACAAAAATAGTTTCTGTCCATGAATTTGAAGCCTGAGGATAGATTGATGAACTCTACAAAGGGTCTTACTTGGTTTTTTGTCATCTTCTTAATGAACTTCCCCTCATCTTTGCTTGGTTAACTGCCATTTATCCTTCAAATCCTAGATCAAATGTTACTTTCTTGGAAATGTTTCCCATCACCCTCAGTCCCATTCCAAATAGATCCCCATATTTATTCTCTCTTATATCATCCTGTTCTCTTCCTTCATGGCATTATCACAATTTCTAATATAAATTATTTGTATGACTTTTTTAAAGTATGTAATCTCTATTAGACTGTAAATCCTATGGCAAGGAATTTAGTTTTGCTTTACAATGTACACCCATTTCTTAGCATGTATCAGGCACAAAGTGCTGATTTTAGATTAGATTAGCTTAATAAATATCTTTTGAGTAAATACAGTAAATGAGTGAGTAAATAATTGAGATAGAATGAAGTTTAATAGGGGCTGATAATATTATAGCTGTGTTTGAAATCTATTTTCTCTTCATACCAAATATTCAATTAAGAGATCCAAATCTGAAATATGTCTCTAGAGTGAAGCTAGCAGAAGGTTTAAATATTACTTATAGAGAAATAGCTCTATGATTAGGAAAAAATAATTAGTTATCCTTATTTGAAGATGGGTAAGCCCCATTTTGAGTTTCCGAGGTACACAAGGAGACTATATTGCTTAATATTAGATGGTTCCCAGATAGTGATATGCTGGTAAATATTTAATAACTGGCTCTCTGGAAAAAAATATTTTTGTAACAGTTGCTGGTTTTCCCAGTGTAAATATTACCACTGTGGCCAATTTCAAACTACCAATGATTTAATAACCATCTCAATAAATTTCTAAAAAAATGGACAATTGACTCTCACAAGGTGGTACAGACCAGTTGTAGTACACTATTACAGACATGGTACTGAAGTGCTGAAAATTTTCTAAGTCACCATCTTCTCTGCCATGTTTGATAATATAACCCTTGGTAACTGAATCAAGGACTTCATTCAAGAGTTAAAGTAGATCAGGCCAGGCATGGTGGCTCGTGCCTATAATCCTAACATTTTGGGAGGCCGAGGTGGGTGTATCACTTGAGATCAGGAGTTTGAGACCAGCCTGGCCAACATGGAGAAACCCTGTCTCTACTAAAAATACAAAAATTAGCCAGGCATGGTGGCACATACCTGTAATTCCAGCTACTCAGGAGGCTAAGGCAGGAGAATTGCTTGAACCCAGGAGGCGGAGGCTCAGACCACTGAACTGAGATCAGACCACTGAACTCCAGCCTGGGTGACAGAGTGAGACTCCGTCTTAAAAACAAACAAACAAACAAACAATGTTAGAGTAGATCAATAGGTCAAACTTCTTTCTAAGAAAGAAAACAAATCTGGCATTTTTTGAAATTATCACCATGGCTCATTTCTGTATAGAAGCAGGCTGACTTCCCCACTTCCATCTGGGAATGATACTGGAGAGAGGCTTTCAACTTTAATAAATCTGTATAAACTACATCCGGTCATTTGGAACATCACAGGGTCCACACATACATTAGGAAGTCAACCCTACGCCATCCTTGCTGGTTTCCAGAGCAACATGTAGTGATAGCCCTCCAAGTGCTAGTCAGTCTAACTGAGAGATGTGATACCCAGAAAAGAAAATCTAAGGCAGTGGCTCTCAAATTTTTTTGACTGGTCACTTAGTCAGAGAAAGCTATTCCAGTAGACAAAATTCCATGAGGACAACACCCTGGAACAAAGACATTTTGAGAAGATCATACAAACAGTAACTTCAGCAATACTGTTAATGCAAATATACATCATAGCCCATTGTGGGGCTAGCCAAACGAACTTCAGAAAAATAAATTAATACATTAAAAATCAAGTACAGTTTCCAAGGAAAAGTCCAATAAACTCAGGGTACTGCTAATGATGAACTGATAAGAAGCCCTCCCATTCTCTGATCTTTGCAGTGTTATCAAGCACTGTGGAGTAGCCAGACTTCTTGGTAGAATGCTGAATTAGGATCCTCAGCAAATTTTAGTATAATGTTAATGTGAGTTTTTTGAACACCAAATTTTAGTAACCCTTAATATTTCACTTAGTAGTTACTGGTAAGCAACTTACTGAAAGTCTCTAGAATTGCACATCTTTGCCCTTAATTAATTTGTATTTTTTAAATTAGTTCCCTCCTCACCCGATGGATCCTCATGGCTTACTGCATGGCCAAGAACCATATCTGAGATGTGTTGTCTAGGAGTTGTGCAATCCAGCTATTCCTCTAGGTCCCCTCTGCTCTGTTACTTGATCCTATGAGGCAGCCCCATGCTTGGACCACATTAGCTGTGGCTCCTGTTGGACACCTTCACTGTGCTCTTGGCTAAAAACAACTAATACAAACTGCTTCTGCATTTGCTATAAAACAGTTATTGTGAATATTATTAGTGTTTATTAATGCATCAATGTATTTACTAATTACATTAATAATTATTAAATTGTTTTTAAATAATGTAATTAATTACATTAATAATTATTAAATTATTGAGGACCTTAACCATTAAATTATTAAAAACAATATTAACTTAACGATGTAATATATATGTAATTTTAGATCATGCTGATGACAATAGTGAATGTTTATTTGAGGTTACTATGTGTCAATCACAAGTCTAAGGGTTCAGCATGTTCTGCTTTGTTTAATCTTCATATATCCCTAAGGAAGAAGGGGCTATTATAAGTCCATTTAGCCACAATGTCACACCACAGTCCTTAAATAATCTCTGCATGAGAATTTTTTTTTGAAGTTTACTGCCAAGAAAATTTTGACTCTACTGGGAAACCGCTGTACTTCCTCCTTCCTGATCTTGAGTTGTGTAATATTCATTGCATGTCTTTTATCCCTGGATTCCAGAAACTTCACAATAGAATTTTGAGTCTCACACAGGCTGGTGTTATCTTATCATTAGTATACTTGTTTCCATGTATTTATCTTTGTCTGACTCCATTTTCATTTTATTTGCTTTGTTGCATATATTCTTGCTAATAATTGCCTCAGAACTTTTTGGAAAGAGGAAAAGCAGAAAAAAATTTAATTAAACACACAAAAAATACACACTTTGACTTTATCCTAAGAGCATTACACCTGAGGAATCAGTAAATGGAGATTGAGAACGACAGCCCCATCACTTGGGACAAGCTTGAAACATGGGAAGTAAAATATCTTTTCCTGGAGCTTCCAGGATATGATGGCTATTCGTATGTTTTAATGAGAATAGAGTTGTTAACTCTCATCTGGGGAGAGCCCTGAGATCTACAGTAAAGCTCTTGGCCAGAATATCAGAGGTCTTTAAAGGAGGTGGAATTTCTCCTATTATAGAAATCATCGGCCAGGCGCGGTGGCTCACGCTTGTAATCCCAGCACTTTGGGAGGCCGAGGCAGGTGGATCACGAGGTCAGGAGTTCAAGACCAGCGCGGCCAACATAGTGAAACCCCGTCTCTACTAAAAATACAAAAATTGGCCGGGTGTGGTGGCACACGCCTGTAGTCCCAGCTACTCGGGAGGCTGAGGTGGGAGAACTGCTTGAACCCAGGAGGCAGAGGTTGCAGTGAGCTGAGACCATGCCATTGCACTCTAGCCTGGGTGACAGAGTGAAACTCTGTCTCAAAAAAAAAAGGAAAAAAAAAAAGAATTCATCCCAGAAGCAGCTATCTTAGTACATATGCACCTATTCAGTGCCCTTTGCTGTAATATGAATACATTATTTAAGGGAAATATTTTATTTATAAAATATTTTAACCTTAAGCATGCATGTGTTGCTAGGGGTCAGAGGAACAAAGAATTATGCAACTATCACACTCTGTTTCCTCTGGCAAATGAGTACAGCTGCTCATAAGAGTCAACATATAAGAAAATAATAATAATAATAATGTATTCAGAATAAAAAGGTTTATTACAACTCTCTTATCTAATGGGATATGATATTGTCAGTGGGCGTCAAGCAATGGGTCTAGAAATGCCAAATATTTTATTTTATTTATTTTTTGAGATAAAGTCTCACTCTGTTGCCCAGGCTAGAGTGCAGTGGCATGATCTCAGCTCACTAGAGCCTCCACCTTCCAGGCTCAAGCGAGTCTCCTGCCTCAGCCTCCCAAGTAGCTAGGATTACAGGTGTGAACCACAACACCCAGCTGATTTTTTGTATTTTTAGTAGAGACGGGGTTTCACCACGTTGGCGAGGCTGGTCTTGAACTCCCGATCTCAGGTGATCCACCCACCTTTGCCTCCCAAAGTGCTGGGATTACAGGTGTGAGCCACTGTGCCTGGCCAAGTATTGCATTTTAGCAGCTATGGTGACCACAGAAATGTGGTCATATGACACTTAAAATTTCTTGAGACATGTGGTTTAAAGCTTAATAACAAATGGCATTTACTATTTGAATTTCATCAAAAAAGAAACTTTAAACACAAAGTAATTGCACTTCTTTCTGTGTCTCTCATCAGACTTTTCTTAGCCAATTCCTGCTGTAGTTCCATGCAGACCTAGAACTCAGAATGACGTGAACCCCTTTATCACTCTAATGGTTCTAGCCATCCTCAGCAATGGTGCTTGCAATCTAAATTTTGATTGCTCAGAATCTCGGACTTTATTAGAGTTCCAAAAGAGTTTTAATTACTTCCTTAAAAGTTTATGCTTCAACTGATGAGGATGATTTATTATGAACTTGTAATTTAAGAAAAAAAACTGTCAGTTTGTTAAATTTACTTCCTCTTAAACCTCTGTGCTCAGAATGCTTGATTAGGATCTAGGAATTTGTATCTGGTTTAAAGAATTTTTTAATCTAACAAAATACTCCAGATTTTCATTCTTTTTCTTTTCTTTTTAATTCCTCTCCTTAAAGCAAAAGGCACACCTGTAGCCTTTGGTTTAGGAGGTGTAAGAAGTATCTGCATCCAGAAAGAATGAGTAAGGCTCTGTTCATCCCACCCCTTCTCTATAGACCAGCATTTCTCAACTCCAGTGTGTGTGTAAATAACGTGAACATCTGGTTAAACTGCAACATCTGATGCAGTAGATTCATGATAGGACCTGAGATGTGATTTTCTAACAGCTCCCAGGTGATGCTGCTGGAGCTGCCTCACAGACCACACTTAGAAAAGTGAGGAGCTGTAGGATCTGGAGCACTGCACAACACATGCAACTGTAAATTTACGAGTAGCCACAATAAAAAATTAAGAAGAAGTAGGCAGAAATAATTTAACAATATGTTTATTTAACCTATCAAAATATTATTTCAACATGTGATCAATTTAAACATTATTAATGAGATATTTACATTTTTTTCATTCTAAATCTTCAAAATCCAGTGTGGATTTGTCTTAGTCCATTTTATATTTCTGTAACAGAATATGACAGACTAGATAATTTATAATAAACAGAAATTTATTTGGCTCACAGTTTTAGAGTCTGGGAAATCCAAAAGGATGGCACCAGCATCTGGCAAGGGCCTTCATGCTGTGTCATCCCACGACAAAAGGTGGAAAGATGAGAGAGGGTGAGAGACAGGAGAGGGCCAAACTTTCATAACAAACTCACTCCTGTGATAATGACATTGCTCCATTCATGAGGGCAGAGTTGTCACGACAATCATTTCTTATTAGCCCCATCTCCCAACACTGTTGCACTGGGGATTAAATTGCTACCACACGAACTTTGTGAACATGTTCAAATCATAATGGTATTTTACATTTACAGCACATCTTAAACTACACTAACCACATTTCAAGTGCTCAGTGCTCACATGTGGCTAGTGGCTGCTGTATCGAACAGTGTAGGTCTAGAGGGTCTCACTGTTTCCTTGAAGAAATTCTGTCCAATAACTTTTGAGTGTTACAGAAGTCTGTGAATGTCAGGATGTGAGATCACCCAAGATGACTATCTTTAGAGTGAGGGCTGCACCTAAGCTGAAAATGGCAGTTCTAATTTGAAAGATGAGTTTATTCAAAAGCAATACAGCCTCCCTGGGTGGCAAAAGCCTCTTGTGCATTGGCCACAGACTTAGCACTGTCTTCTTTGCCTTGGCACTTCCTGGTTGCAAGTTAAACAAGGCCCAGGGGTAAGAGAAGGCACAGAAGTTTTGAGGCCTGTAAGCAGTTTAAGGGGCTAGGTCAAAATGTATGAGATGGGAAGTAATAAGCCAGGATACAAGCAGAGACCAGGTAGTACAAGTCCTAGAAATCCTCACTTAGGGGTTTGAATTTTATTTAAGAGCAATGAGGAACCATTCAAAGGTTTTAAACAGAGAAATATGATCAGGCTTTCATTTGACTTATTTATTTATTTATTTATTTATTTATTTATTTATTTATTTGAGATAGGGCCCCAGTCTTTTGCCTAGGCTGCAGTGCAGCAAAGTGATCATAACTCACCGCAACCTCAAACTCCTGGGCTCAAGTGATCCTCCTGCCTCGGCCTCCCAAAGCACTGGGATTACAGACCTAAGCCACCGTGCCCAGTCCAGGTTTTCATCTTAGAAAGATCTGTTAGCAACAATGGAAACAATTTCTGAACGAAGACAAGATTGAAGGCAAGGAGACTAGTTAGAAAACTTTTTCAGAAATCCCAGTAAAAGATGATAATGGCCTGAGTTAGGACACTAGTTCTGAGATTGGAATAAAAAGACAAAAAAATTTTATTTATACTTTGGTGATAGATTAGCGAAAGAAAAATGATGAGAGAAGAATCAGGGATGATGCTCACATATATCAGACAGGACCTAAAACAGAAAATCAAATTAGAACATCAAGAGGATTAATAAAGGCATTGTTGAGAGAGGTGTGGACAGGGTGTAGGGGAGCCACAGAGATCAAGCAGTCCCCAGAGGTGGAGCTTATACCACCCATAGGCCTGAAGGCACAAGCGAAAGCAGCAGTTACTTGACCTAGAAAGACGGCGTTGTGTAACAAGGGCTGCCATGAGAGAAACAGTGACCTCTGGTTGAACAACACAGCCAAAGAGAGGCAAACCAGCAGCATGAGCCTGCGGGAAAAATATCCAGTTCTCACTCTCCTCCCTTCTTCTTATTTCTTTATAGGACTCCCCATTGGCTGACCCCTCCCAGAAGCCAGAAAGCAAGGGAGTCCTTTGGTGTGGTCCATATAGCACCCACCTGGATGCAGAAGAGGATAAAGACAGAGAGGCTCTGGAGAGGTAACGGAAGATATCTGGCAAGCCAGTTTTCTGGCCGAGGTGGCTGTGTGGAGCCATTTGTTGAGATAGAGGACAGCAGGATGCTGGTGTGGAAGGAAGAGGGTTATCGTGTGTCTCAGACTCACACTCATCCCTGGAATCTCTTTCTAGTTGATGTGATCTTGCAACCCCCAATCCTCAACTCTTTCTGTTAAGACCCCCAAAAAAGAAGGGAGACTCACCATGAACTTGTAACAGCTCCTTATGGTCTCCCTGATTGCTTTCCAGCTCTACAATCCATTCTCAACACACCTCTGCAAATATCAATCAGGTCATGTTTTGATTGCCTTGCTTAAAGGCCTTCAGTGGTTTCCCACTGCTCTCAGAATAAAATCCAAACTCTCAGCCACAACCCACAAGGTGCTGTAGATCTGGGCTCTGCCCTGCCTTTGACCAATCTTTCACCCACTCACCCCATACTGTCTTCTCTCCAACCCCCACTCACTATGGGGTGTACTTCTCCCAGATCCCCATACGTGGGCAGTGGGTTCCCTCTCAGCTCCCCATTAGCTCTCTGGGGAGTACTCCCAGACCCTACCAAAGTAGGAGCTCCCCCATCCCAGCTTCCCTAGCACTTATTATGACATGAAATTGTCTTACTTTTTACTCTCTTCTTCCAGTAGGAAAAAAAGCTCCAGTATATACCTAGGTATCTTGCCAGTCTTATAATTGCTGTTATCCTCCAGCTAGAAAAGGGCCTGGCCCATAGCTAGCACTCAAAAAATACACGGTACATTGACCACAAGTATGAATGAGTACAAAATGCCAGTCTCACAAATGGCTCATCTCAGAGGAAGCAAGTGGGTTTCCTACTCTGACTCTGAGAGCTGTACAGCTAGGACCTGAGCTGGGTGCAGGGCCTAGGCCTCCATGAAGACCCAGGGCCATGTATGCATGATCTAGTGCATGATCTGCACGTGAGGTTTTCATATACATGAACATATACCTGTGGAAATTTAAAGAAAGGAGAATATGTTAAATTAAATACTACCCTTCATGCACATTACCAATACCCCCACCTCAGAGGTAACACTAGTAACAGGTCCCTGTGCAGTCCTCCCTACTCTACACTTAAATACATACACAATATACATATACACACATACACATGGTATATATTATACATATATATATAAGCTATGTATATATAAAGTATTTATATATATACTTATCTACTTCTGCTTTTAAAATACAGATATATACTTTAAATGTATACACATGTCTATGGATACATGTATATTTAAATACAAGCATATATATACTTCTCTACTTCTACATTTAAATATATAAATAGCTTGGCTTTTTTGTGTAAACAGAAACATCCTATTTGAATTTTATCCTGTGGCCCTTTCACTAAACAATATGTCTAAAATATATTTTTATATCAGTACAAACAGATTTATCACTGTTTAATTGCCACGTAACATCAAGACTTCACAAATTATTTAATCACCCCCCTCTGGGTAAATATGTAGGTTATTTGCTCCTTGCGCACAAGTACAATTATCTCTTCATGGTGTAAACAGCATTTGTGGGTGAGAATGGAAACAGGCATGAGATTTGCCTCCTGAGTTAGAAATGGATGGCCAATTCCACTTCCCCCATCTCCCAACAAACCCAATGCTTAACAGAATTCTGGGATGGCTGCTATATTTGCCATTTCCCCACCCCAATCCAGCTAGCTCTTCTCCATTTTCCTTTGGGGAGATTTTGAGGGGAAGGGAGAGGGTACATGAGCCCAGCTGGCCCCAAGACACAATTTGCAGTGCAAAAAAAAAAAAAAAATTAAGGGCACTTGCTCAACAGTTATTAAGAGTTTCAAGTTTAATGCTGTGCATTAAACTAAGCAGGGGCCTTTTGAAGACAGGTACACACCCCTGAAGCCAGCCCTGGTTAGCCTGTTGGATTCTTGAGAGGAGAGCCACAGTGGGGAAAGCAGGGGAGCTAAGTCACCTCCTGCACACAGCTCTGCAGAGACATCCACTCATTCCTGCAACCAGATCCCCAGGACCACCTGGCCTCTGCCCTTTCCTTTCCAAGGCTTGGTTGTCTATTCTCCGGCTTTGCCTATAATTCTGTGAGCGCTCACCTCATTCCAAAACTTTCTTTCGGTTTTCTTTTGTTTTTCTTTGCAAGTTCCTGTGGCTTGCACTAATTGACATGGGAAGTCAACAAGTGATTCCCATTTATTGGGCGTATTTTTATACTAGACTTAGGGGATGAAGCAGTGAACACTCAGCAAGATCCCTGCTTTCATAGAGCCTCCCTAATGTAACACAAAAACAGTAAGTCAATGAATAAATAAATAATTTCAAACAGTAAAAGGTACTAGGAAGAAAATAAACAGGATGATATGACAGAGGGTATCTCAGGAGAGGAGTACTCCCAGTTCAGGGCCTTGGTACCAGCTGTTCCCTCTCTGGGAACACCATTTCCCAGACATTCCCTTTGCTCACTCTCTCAGCTTACCCATTTCCTACTCAACTGTCATCTTATCAAGGTAGCTTCCTCTAACAACCCTATTAAAATGGCCCTGGCTCCAATTCCTGTTCTTATTTCTTCTCCCCTGATTCTGCTTTCATTTAATTCATAGTATTTGTCACTACTTGATGCACTGTATACTTATTTTTTTACTTTTGAACTATCTGACTCCGCCCGACCTTATGGGGACAGTCCATAGAGAAGAGGGGTTTCATCTTTGTTCACGGCTGCACCATTGCACTGAGAACAGCACATGGCGCTGAGTAGACACTCAACAAATATTTGTTGAGTGAATAAATGTGAAAGTGAATGACTGAGAGTGGTCAGAGAAGGTCTGTCTGAGAAAGCAACTTTAAGGCTGAAACCTAATGAGGAGAAGGAGATGGCCACGTGTAGAATGATCTGTGCAAAGGGAGCAGCAAGTGTAAAAACACAGCGATGGAAATGTGGTTCTTGTGTTTGCAGGACAGAAAGACAATGTCAGCATCCATTTCACCCTGACTTGAGGTGAAAAGAGGCTTAAGGACAACTATGGTATAACAGGCCACTGGAGCTCAGACCACCTGCAGAGTTCTACCCACTGCTGTCCTCTGGGTCCACAGGTGGTCATCTACCAGTCTCTGGTGGCAGTGCCAGAGCCCCCTGGCTGCCCCAGGTTGTGACGGCAGCCGGTGTGAGGTCAGGGGCCTGACTGTGGGCAGCAGGTATGGCAGCTGGAGGCTGGCTGGATGCAGGGACAATGAGATGGTAAATGCCTGCCAATCAGGGTGGTGCTACCAGAACCTCACAGTTCTTAGAGGATGGAAGGTGCTGCTTGAGATGAGTGAGGCAGATGGGGTTTAGAACATGATGGATCACCGAAGAAACCATAGGCAGAGAGGTGCAAAGGAGTGTCTATGGCACATGGTGGTGCTTCTGAAACCTCAGGTCCATCCTGTGTTGGTACAAAATAGGGTGTTTTATAAGCAAGAAAGTAGCTGGTACGTGACGACACCATCAACAGGACTGGCTAGTACTAGGCACAGTGCAGCCAGTTCTCTCTCCTTCCACCATGACAGAGGTCTCTTCTCAGTCATAGCACTCTGCTGTTGTTGAGCCCAGAAACTGACCCAAAACCCCTCACAATGCAGCATTCCAGGCAGTCACCACTAACTGATCGGAGTTGGCATGCAACACGTACTTGCCAATCCTAACCTACAGGCTGATGCCCAGAAGTCACCAGGGCAGAGTTTCAAGTGCCTCACTGGGAATTTACAAAAAGAGGAGTCTTTCTACCTATAGATCTGCAAACCCAATTTTGCAGCTTTAAGCTTCTTTCTTGAACTATAACAAACCTACAGGAAGGTATACAGATTGTAAGGCCACAGCTTGTGAATTATCACAAAATGACCACACAGCCACTCAAATCAAGAAATAGAGTATTACCAACACCTAGGACCTCCCCTCAGCCCCTGCCAATCACTTCAACATCTCTCCTCCCAAGGGGAACTACTATCCTGACTTCAAACACCATAAATAAGTTCTGCCTAATTTCAACTTTGTATAAATAAAAGCAGACAGTATGCACTTGTTTGTGTTTGGCTTTTTTCAGTCATTATATTTGTGAGAGTCATCCATGTTGCTGGGGGGAGGTACTACTGTTAGAATATATAAGGCCTTGGGCCAGGTGCAATGGCTCACGCCTATAATCCCAGCACTGTGGGAGGCCAAGGCGGGCAAATCACCTGAGGTCAGGAGTTTGAGACCAGCCTGGCCAACATGGTAAAACCCCAACTCTACTAATAATACAAAAATTCGCTGGGCTTGGTGGCGGGCATCTGTAATCCCAGCTACTAGGGAGGCTGAGGCATTAGAATCGCTGGAACAGGAGGTGGAGATAGCAGTGAGCTGAGTTTGCGCCACAGCACTCCAGCCTTGGTAACAGAGTGAAACTGTGTCTCAAAACAAAAACAAACAAACAAACAACAACAACAAAACTATATATATATGGCCTTGGAGGCCAATCTAAGGACTTGAGTCTTTACTTCAAGCAAGATGGAAAGCCAGGGTGTTTTTTGAGCAATGGCATGATGCCCTACAATTTATACTTCTAAATGACGGTTCTGACCGAAATGTGAGAATAGCTGGTAGACCCACAACGGCAGAAGCAGGGAGACCAGTCAGGAGGCTCCTGCAATAACCCAGTGAGAGTGATGGGGCTTGGACCAGGGGGACGTACAGAGGTGGAGAGAAGTGGTCTGTTTCCAGCTGTATTTTGAAGGCAGAAACAAGAGGATTTGCTGGTGGACTGCAGTTTGGTGTGAGAGAGAGGGAGGAGTCAATAATGACTGCAGGATTTGGGAACTGAGTAACTGGGGAATGGAGCTACCATCCTCTGAGATAGAGAAGGCTGCAGAACGGGCATATTGGGGTCAGGGGATCAAAAATTCTGTTTGAGGCCTTTCAAGTTAGAGATGCCTAGAGTCATCCAAGTGGAAGCATCACATAGGCAGTTAGTTGTAGGAACCTATGGTCCAGACAGAGGTCAGCATGAAGATGACTCAGCATCAGTCTATAGATGGTATTTAAAGCCACAGAACTTGTGAGATCACAAGGCACATAATAATAGAAAGAAAGGACAACTGCAAGTCTGGCATCTGAGCTGAGCCTAAAGAATGAGCAGGATCCCATAAGTGAAAAAGAAGGAAAAGACA
The DNA here is from genome assembly GCF_000001405.40 of Homo sapiens. Taxonomy (NCBI): domain Eukaryota; kingdom Metazoa; phylum Chordata; class Mammalia; order Primates; family Hominidae; genus Homo; species Homo sapiens. The sequence continues at coordinate 75,026,031 of NC_000002.12, read as the reverse complement.
AATGAATGATAATAGCAGTAGTTGGCATTTACTGAATTCCTACTCTGCATCAGGCTCTACACTAAGCACTCACACCATCATCCCATTATCGCATTTAGCCCCCACAGCAACTACATAAAGCAAGAGCTATTTACCATCCCCATATTACAGATGAGAACACTGAGACTTGAAAGAGTCAAATTTGTTCAAGTTCTGGAAGTGATAAATCTGGGCTTGGAATCCAGACAGTCTGGTTCTGAAGTCCTCATGCCTAAATACTATTCTATACTACCTGACCATGGACATTCCAGGCAGGCTAACAAGATGTACAAGTGTATGGAAATGCAAGTATAACCCAGATATCCCCATGAAATATCAAAATAAAATGACCAGCCCTCTATCTCACATAAACACAGGATCTTGCTCACCTTCCTCAATATCCTTAGGGGTTCACTTTTTCCTAGAACTATGTCTTTGGGAGAAGTAGAGGTTTAGCTCATGTCCACTGCTGAGACAGCCCAAGATAGATCTGGTTCTGCTGTTCCCTGACTCTGAACCTGGGCCTCCAACTCTGGATTTCTGATCAGCACACTTTGCTCCTGATCAAAGCTCAGAACCCAAGGCTCATCACCTTCCCATCTTATGTATATCCCCCATGCACATGCCCACCCCCAAAACACTCACACACTACTGCAGCATCCTCAGACTTTTACTAAAAGGAATAATGGTGGGGACAACCTCACAGCACAGAACTAGTAGCCACTTAAAGCTGATTAGGCATCATTATCCTAAAGTTCAGATCAAGAGCAAGACTTGACTAACTGGGCCACAAAGTAAAGATCTGCATAGGAAGGAGGGAGGCACCTGCCTCTCACAGGGCCCTAGGCATTGTGGGGAGGGGAAGAAAGAGAAAGAGTAAAAATTAAGAGATGTATTCTCATTTTACCTCCCCAAGATTTAGCTCAGAAGAGGGAGGAATGCCCCATTTAACACTCACAAACCAGATAAAACTTATTGCTAATTTTGTGTCCACTGCTTGAGTGGTGTAAGACTCATGAAGACTCAGTCAAACACAGACAAAGGAACAGGATCATCATGTTCTCTTCTCGTTTGATGCAACACTTTTTATATATACATTTCAGAAACACACTATAGTTTTGTTTTTTTCGTTAAAATTAACATTTTTCTGTTGTCATTAAAAATTCTGTATAATAATTTTTATATTTTCAAAATATGTCTAGAGGTGTCTACTATAATTTGATTAACTATCACCCGATTTAGGCTTACTTTTTCCATTTTCACTGTTGTAAATAATGAGGTGATAAGCTCTTTGCATTCCTGGTTATTTCCTAGAAGTGAAAAAGTTAAAATTAATGAATACCATTTTCAATAAGTTCTGCCACATTGTTTTGCAGAAATAAAATACTAAAATTAACAATTATAGCAGCAGTGGATGAATGAACCGATTTCACCAAAACCTTATGATCATTTATTCAACAAATGTTTATCAAAGGTCTGTTATGAGCTAGTCATTATTCTGCATGCGGGGGATATGTTGATAAATGAGACACAAAACATCTCTTTTCTCAGGGAGCTTCAATATAGAATACATCATGTAGCAGTAAGTTCTGTGAAAGAAAATAAAACAGGGTAAAGGGATACAGCAGAGACCTGGCAGCCACCTGGAACAAATCTTACCAGCTGCCTGTTTCTGTAAGTAAAGCTTTATTGAAGCACTGCCACAGCCATTCATTTAAGTATTGTCTGAGACTGCTTTCCTCTGCAATGGTAAAGTTGAGTGGTTGCCATAGAGACCATATGGCCCACAAAGCCCCATGTGTTGGCAGCACCCAGTTTGTTAGAGTAAGACTGGGCCAAAGCATCCTGGGATGCAGTAGTGGTATGGTAGACTAACTGCTGTAACAAATAGACCCCAAAGCGGATGGTAGCTCATACACAACAGGAATTTATTCTTGTTCTCATTACAGTAGTGGATATGGGAATAATAAGCAGGCTCCAATCTATCTGGGTCTTTCAGGGACCCAGAATTGACAAGGCTTTGCTTTCTTCAACACTTGGCTTCAAGGTTATCCTGGGGTTGCCTTCTATTCTGGCCAGCCAGAAGGAACAAAAAACATGATGTATTTCTATGCGGGAGGCTTTTAGGGGCCCAGTCCACAAAAGGCTTACATCAGTTCCACCAACTCTCCATTGGCTGGAACGCAGGCACAGGGTGGCACCTGACTGTGTGGGAAATGTGGTCCATGGCTGCTCAGCACTTCCCAGCATGATGCTTGGAGCAAGCAGGCCATCTCTGTCTGAGAGAGGATACAGCTTCCAATTTTCAACCAGACTTGGCAATCCACTGTGCTTTATTGTGCATTTCTTTGATTAACACTAAAGTTGATATATAAAATGTGTTTCGTTTTGTTTTTCTTTTCTTTTCTTTTGTTTTTGAGTCTGAGTTTCACTCTTGGCGCCCAGTCTGGAGTGCAATGGCGTGATCTCGGCTCACTGCAACCTTTGCCTCCTGGGTTCAAGCGATTCTCCTGCCTCAGCCTCCTGTGTAGCTGGATTTACAGGCATCTACCACCACACCCAACTAATTTTTGTATTTTTAGTAGAGATGGTGTTTCACCATGTTGGCCAGGCTGGTCTCAAACTCCTGACCTCAGGTGATCCCCCCACCTTGGCCTCCCAAAGTGCTGGGAATACAGGCGATATATAAAATGTTTTAGGGCCAGCCCCAGTCATTCACACCTGTAATCCCAGCACTTTGGGAGGCAGAGGCAGGAGGATCACTTGCAGCCAGGAGTTCGAAACCATCCCGGGCAATATAGCAAATCCTTGCTCCCTCTACTCCCCCTGTCTCTAATAAAAAGTGAATAAAGCTTTACAATATATGTATTAGTCATTTATAATTTCTCCTTTCTGAATTTTCCATCTTCTTGTTCTTTGTTCATTGAGATCTCAGAATTTTTTAAATCATTTTTATGAGGGCTTAAATGATTAAAACTTATAATCCCCATTTGTTGTTTTCCTTCTCATTTTTACATCGTTTTTGAAGAGTGGAAAATTTAAAACTTTATGTAATCAATTCTACGTGTTTTTTCTTTGTAATTCCTTCTGTTTTCTACTGGGGGATTTTTTTTTACCTATTTAGAGATTAAATACATAATCTCTTCCTTGCTGGTTTTTTTCAAGTTTTTTTTAAAGCTTTGCATACACTTCTAAGTGAGGTTCTAAGTTAACTGCTTTTGAAAATAGCCAATTTTCTCAACACCAGTTATTAAACAATTCATGTCTTTGGAATAGATTTGTGATGACTCATTTGCTACATTTTAAGCTATTTAGTCTTCTAGAGTGTGCGTCTATTCTTTATCACATGGTCTTAATTCAGTACCATGAAACTTTGTTACATTTTTATAGTCTTTTCATATATTATATTCACATCTAGTAAGGTAAGTCCTTCCTATATTACTTCTTGCTTAAATATTTTAAGAGTATTTCTCATGTTTTAATAATTTTTATCTCATTGCAAAAATAATAAATACGAATTTTTATTTCAAAAATGCAACACGAAAGTAGAAAGCTTTTAGTTAACTTTAGATAATTGTTTAAATTCCTTTTAAATTTCTATCACTATTCTAATTGTGTCTATATGATATCCACAGATTAATTTGGGAAACCAACATCTTCAAAACATAGAAAAAGCTCCCCATTTGTTGTTTTATGGTTTTCAGGAACACTTTTTGACTTTCTTCATATAGATCCAGTGTATTTCTTGTCAATTTTATTCCTAAGTATTTTATAGTTTCATGGTATTTAAATATAATTTTTTTTCTATTTTATTTGTACCTGGTGTTTGTTGGCATGTTGAAAAGCTATTACTTTGTACATAGTTATGTTGTAGCTGGTCATATAGGTTTTCAATTAATTTTCTTACACTTCCTAGAGAAACGATCATATTCTCTAGCAAACAAAATTAATGATCTATTTTTGTAAATAAATTTATAGTTCTTTTTGTGCTGCTTTTCAGTTCTTGCTTCACCACAGCCCCTAGCACAGTGTTGTGTAATCCACAGTCCACAGGGCCCTAGCATTCCATGAATTTGAAAAATGCTGGATCCTTTATCTCCCTCTCGTAGGTTCTCTGCTTACATTGGAGTGTTGAGGGCTTTGAAAAGTCATGTGATAAAGAATCCTAGCTAAACTTATTCAACCTTTCATCACTATTATACATCCACTAATATGCAAAACATCCACTAATATGCCTCAGGACAATGGCAGTCCTGTCTCCAACACCCCCATGCCACAGCCTGTGTTCTCTTATCCTTTCCTACCCAGACCTTCCACAGCCACCACTGCTTGGAAAACCTGTGCTACTGGATTGAAGTTAGGGTAATTCTGCATAATTTCCTAAACAATGCTGAAAAACAGCTGTGATAAAAAGGCATCCTTTGATTCATTAATGTGATGTACAGTATATAGGTAAATCTGCTTGTGTTCTCTTTTTTCTCCTGAACAGACTTGCCAGAAGTTTATATAACTTATTGCTTTTTTTAAGAGCCTACTCTTTGATTTATCAATGCTATACTTTTTGTGGGTGTTAATTCAATAATCACTGTTTTTATATTTATTGTGTTTTCCTCCTACTTTCCTTAAATGTATTTTGCCATCATCTCTTCTAACTTGGGGAGCTAGGTACTTAGTTCATCTATTTTTGTATTTACAACTACATATCAAACTGTATGGAACTTAGCCAAATGCCAACATGCTCCCATTATTAGAGAAAAGAAAGGGAGAAAAAAGATTAACTCATTAAATTTCAGGCTCATTGCTTCTCTCACAGAATCTAATACATTAATTAAACTTTATCTCAAAAAGAGCTAACATAGATAAAAATAGAGAACTACTGGCTTTGTGAAACAACTTTGAAAAACTAATGAGGTGTGGAGAACTGGAACATCCAGAGTCCCTTCAGCTCCAGGCAAATCAAAGTCATGCAACAAGCATAGAAAGAGCTCAGCCAAACTTCATACCCCATCTTCCAGGGCTCTTTTGAAAGTAAAGGTTGGTCTTATATTCAGTTCAAATTTGTCCTACAATTTTGGAGTCTGCTTATTTGGGTTCCTTCCAGAGGCCAATCTTGAGGCAAGAATCCCCAAGCAAAGTATTTTATTGGGGAGGCAATCCCAGATAGCACCATTAGGCGAGTAGGGAAGTGAGATGAGCAAGGAAGGAAGTCAGTGAAAGGATTATTATCAAGCAAGCTAATACATAAGCAACTGGAGCTTGATTCTGCTGTGGAACTCTGAGACCAGTGTAGAGCGTGGGCCTCAGGGTTGTCCCACCCCCAGGGTGAGCGGTTGGGGTATTCACATACACCGACTTCTGTCAATCAGTGGAAGGCTGCTGAGGGTAGGGGCGCTGCTGGCCTGCAGCTCCCACGGGAAAAACCCACAATTTCGGAAATGCAGGCGCTGGCAGTCAGATGTCAGACCAGGGTGCAGTAAAGTGGTAAAGGCGAGGGGATAAGACAGCAGCGGAGAGCGATGGGATGGGGAGTGCCCTGGCAGCCATTATAGGGGCATTGGATGTTCTTCTCTTCAACCAGCCATAAATATCTCACCCAGGCTTGAGAACGTGCCTGGAGTTACTTATGGACTAATTTGCTTTCTGAGAGATATAAAAGGGACTTTTTTCTAGGGTTAACCCATGACCTACTATACTGTCATCATCAGAGATGTGCAACAAAGAAGGAGCACAGGTTGTGTCTGACCGTGGACGCTGTCCAGAGATAGTCAAGCTACGTGCGTGGGAGCAAGGGCTGAGGATGGTAAAGTGAGGAGACGTCAGAGGTCCCTGAGGGTGTTGCTAAAGGGATTCAAACTTTAGGGAGTTGAGATGGACTGGGGAACAGAAAGCACAGAGGAGACAAATTGCACCTTCATGACAATTTTATTGTCTTAATAATTGCTTTCCTCTTCTAGGGAGTACCCTTGCTACAAGATCCTAAACCGTTGTTAAGAAAAATGTCATGTCTCCTCTGTGTAGTTCTATCTGGATGACCTTGAGTCAATTTCTTCACTGCTGAATAGGAAGGGAAATAAAAACTGCTTCACCAGGAGAGTAGTTGTAACAACTGATTAGATGAAAGGAAAGCCTTGTGATTAATAAGTGCTCGCTAATAAAAGTAAGTCCTCTTCACAAGAATTTGTTCAGCTTAATTAATGTGACAATCTGTTCTCCAAAGCACAACATAAATGCAATATAAATAAAGGGGATTTGACCCTACTTGTCATTGCCAATTTCCCAATAGTGGAGAATAATAAAATCTACGTTCCAGTCAGCTCTTTATGCAGATAAATTCACTCTCTGAAATGATACCTTGAAAATTAAAATGCATTCTTATCAATATCATGATCTTTTAATAAATGTAGCTTTCTCCCATTCGTTAGCTGAGTTTTATAAACTACTTACTACAGCCACAGTACAACAGTCACCAATAGTACTGGCCTTTATTTTGCTGTATGGAACTCTGAGTAGATACTATGAAAATGCTTTTCCTCTGCAGAAAATATATTACCTAGGTCATTGTCACCTGTCTGCATTTTTGACAAATGGCTTCCTCAACTAAAACCCTTATATGCTGCCAGGCACGGTGGCTCACACCTGTAATCCCAGCACTTTGGGAGGCCAAGGCGGGCAGATCACCTGAGGTCAGGAGTTCGAGACCAGCCTGGCCAACATGGTGAAACTCCGTCTCTACTAAAAATACAAAAATTAGCTGGGCTTCATGGCAGGCGCCTGTAATCCCAGCTACTAGGGAGACTGAGGCAGGAGAATTGCTTGAACCCAGGAGGCGGAGGTTGCAGTGAGCTGAGATCACGCCATTGTAATCCAGCCTGGGAGGCAAGAGCGAGACTTTGCCTCAAAATAAATAAATAAATAAATAAATAAAACTCTTACATGCCAATTTGCAATTCTGTTTTCCTCCCTATTTCTGGTGACAAACAACAGTGTCCTCATAAAACTCCTTTCCTGATTTCAGCTTAAATGTAGAACCCAGGGAATCACTGTACTAGGCTCAGTATCTATGCCACTCAGGTCTATGCACATGCCTTGCTTTCTGGCCCTAGAAGTAGCTTATGATCATGGAGCCAGGTCACTGCTGCTGCCACCACAGCCACAGGTTGAGAAGCCCCATGCACAGAGCAGACTAAGAAAGATTGCTGCACCTGCAAACCTGCCAACTTCTGGTGACGTAGCCAGGGGTACGGTGAGGTTACACCCCCTAGAGTGACTTTGATCACTGGTAGACAAAGTGGGGTTGGAGCTGGGAGATAACTTCTTTTCCCTTTCTTCTCCAGGTGGACTATTTGGAAACTCGGAAGGTATACTACAAAACCACACAATTAGCTGCCCTTAAGACTCTGAGACCAGATCAATAATATGCCTCCTTATATTTCTTTTCTTTTTTCCTCTTTTCTGTATGTTATGTAGTAAAATGCATATAATACATGTATAAAAATATATATAATACATATAGTTAAGTGGCATAAAATTTGCCATCTTATTTGTAAATGTTTACAATACATCAGTGTCATCTATGCGCACATCATTGTGCAACAGATCTCTAGGACTTTTGCATCTTGCAGAACTGAAACTCTGTTCCCACTGAACAGCAACTCCTCTATCCCCCTCCCTACAGTTCCTGGCAACCACCATTCTGCTTTCTGTTTCCACTTCTGTTTGACTACTTTAGATACCTCAAGTAAGTGGAATCATGCTGTATGTATCTGTCTTTGTGATTGGCTTATTTCACTTAGCCAGTGTCCTTAACGTTCTCAAGGGTTCATCTGTGTTTTTGCCTATCACATAATTTTCTTCTTTTTTAAGGCTGAATAGTATTCCATCCTGTATATATAGCACATTTTCTTTATTCATTTTTCCATCAATGGACCTGTAGGTTGCTTCCATCTCTTGGCTGTTGTGAATAATGCTGCAATGAACACGGGTGTGCAAATAACTCTTTGTGATCCTGTTTTCAATTCCTTTGGATGTGAACCCACACCTCCTTATATTTGCACTGTTTCTTTCCCTACCTCACTTCCTTTTTCCCTCACTCCTGGCCCCTGGGGCCTGTGCCAGTAATGTGCTGGTGAATATTTAATATCTGGCTCTCAAGTGTAGTTCCAATGTAAATGTTGGCTGATATTTTCGTTTAAATTAATAAGTAAGATGAAAGGGAAAGTACAAAGACATGTGACTGAACTGTAATCGTCATGGCATGAACAATTTCTTTGTTGTATTGGACAACAGTTTTCACATTCCGGAAGAACATTTCCATTTTACGTAGTATTCCTAACATAACGGCTCCAAACATGACATGCTTTTAAGTTTAATTTGTAATATTAACATTTTCTTCTTTACTTTCTTAACTCTATACAATCAACAAGACAAATCAAGCCCTGATTTGTAGCCTTTGCCTCTATCTGTGATGTACAGTACTCCCAAAATGTCTGATTTCAACCTAACAACATAATGTTACTGGAAGTGGAGTTGCTCTGATACTACATTTTTTTGGTATATCCATAATAAATGTAAATAACCTCAAAAGCATAGATAATAGAAAAATATAGTCAAATAATTAGGGAGTCATGAGTTTTGGGTATTTATTGCTTTTGTTTTTAATATAATTTCTTCTAATTGTACGTTTATGTAATTTAATTATTAAAAATTAAATGGCTGTGTTTAACAACAGTCTCTGAAAATTAAATGATCAGCTTTTGTGAGGCAGTTCAAGCTAGCTCTAGGACACCACTGGTCTGCATTCCTAAACAAAATATAAAGCCATAAGCTTTTCTTCTCCAGCTTTATTTAGGTAAAATTAACAAATAAAAATTATGTGTAGGCTAGGTGCAGGGGCTCATGCCTGTAATCCCAATACATTGGGAGGCCAAGGTGGGAGGATCACTTGAGGCCCGGAATTTGAGACCAGACTGTGCAATATAGACGACTTCATCTCTACAAAAAATTTAAAAATGAGCCAGTTCGTGATGGGTGCCTGTAGTCCCAGCTACTCAGAAGGCTGAGGCAGGAGGATCACTTGAGTCCAGAAGGTCGAGGCTGCAATGAGTCATGATCATACCACTGCTCTCCAGCATAGCTGGCAATAGAGCAAGACCCTGTCTCAAAAAATAAATAAATAAATAAAACTATATATATTTAAGGGATAAAATGTGATGCTTTGATATGTATATACATTGTGGAATGATTACCACCACTATCACGCTAATTAACATATACGTTATCTTAGTTATTATTGTGTGTAGCAACATTTAAGATTACTCTTTCAGCAAATTTCAAGTATACAATCCAGCATTGGTTACTAGAGTCACTGTACTATGCATTAGACCTCCAGAACTATTCATCCTGCCTAACTAAAACTTTGTACCCTTGACCAACATCTCTGCATTTCTCCCAACTCCCAGCCCCTGGAAACCACCATTCTACTCTTTGCTTCTATAAGTTTGACTTTTTTAGATTCTACCTAACCATGAGATCATGCAGCATTTGTCTTTCTGTGCCTGGCTTATTTAACTTAGCTTAATGTCCTCCAGGTTCATTCATATTGTCACAATAGCAGAATTGTCGTCTTTTTTAAGGCTGAAGAATATTCCGCTGTAGGTATACATGTACACAGTTTCTTAATCCATTCATCCATTGATGGACACTTAGGCTGATTCCACATCTTGGTTATTGTGAGTAATGCTGCAATAAATATGGAAGCACAGATATCTCACTGAGATACTGATTTCATTTCCTTTGAAATACCATAGAAGTGGGATTGCTGGACCATATGGTATTATATGTTTAAATTTTGAGGCACTTCCATACTGTTTTTCATAATAGCTGTACTAATTTGCTTTGCAACCAACTGTGTACACGGGTTCCCTTTTCTCCACATTCTCATCAAGACTTGCTATCTTTTGTCTTTTTGATAACAGCCATTCTAACATGTTTGAGGTGATATCCCATTGTCATTTTGATTTGCGTTTCTCTGATGCTTAGTGACATTGAGCACCTTCTCATATAACTGTTGGCCATTTTTATGTTTTCTTTGGAAAAATGTTTATTTGGGTCCTTTGCCCATTTTTAATCAGGTTATTTGTTTCTTTGCTATTGAATTGTGTAAGTTCCTTAAGTATTTTCGATATTAACCCCTTATCAGATGCATGGCTTACAAATATCTTCTCCCATTCATAGGTTGTCTCTTCACTTAGTTGATTGTTTCATTTCCTGCACAGAAGCAGCTTTTTAGTTTGAAGTAATCCCATTTGGATGTAATCACATCCAAAAAATCATTTCTAAGACCAATATCAAGAAGTCCTATTTTTTTTCTACTAGTTTTACAGTTTGGGGTCTTATGTTTAAGTCTTAATCCACTTCGAATTGAATTTTGTAAATGGTATGAGATAAGGGTCCAGTTTCATTCTTCTGCATGGGGAGATCCAGTTTTCCCAAAACCATTTATTGAAGAAACTATCCTTTCCCCATGTGTGTTCCTGACACCTTTGTCAAAGATTAATGAATCATAATCATGTGAGTTTATTTCTGTGCTTGGCTTTCTGTTCTATTCCACTGACTTATGCATCTGTTTTTATGCCAGTAACATGCTTTTTTGATTACTATAGCTTTGTTGTATATTTTGAAATCAAGTAGTGTGATGCTTCCACTTTTGTTCTTTATGTTCAAGATTGCTTTGGCTACTCTTGGCTTTTCGTGGCTCCGTATAAACTTTAGTATTGTTTTTTCTATTTCTGTGAAAAAATGTCATTAGAACTTTGATAGGGATTGCATTAAATCTGTAGATTGCTTTGGGTAATATAGACACCTGAACAATATTAATTCTTCCAATTCATGAACATAGGATATTTTTCCATTTATTTGTGACTTCTTGGATTTCTGTCATCAGTTCTTTATAGTTTTCAATGTATAGAGCTTTCACCTGCTTGGTTAAATTTATTCCAAAGTTTTTTTATGCTCTTATAAATGGAATCATTTTTTTAATTTCTTTCAAGGGCTAGTTCCTTGTTAGTGTATAGAAACTAATGTATAGTTCATGTATAGCTACTAATTTTTTGTATGTTAATTTTGTATTCTGCCACTTTACTTAATTTGTTTATTAGTTCTAGTAGCTTGGGGGTAGAGCTTTTCTGGGTTTTCTATATATAAGATCATGCCATCTGCAAGCAGAGAAAATTTTAGTTTTTCTTTTCCAATTTGGATGCCTTTTATTTCTTTTTCTTGCCTAATTGCTCTGGTTAGGCCTTCAATACTACATTAAAGAAGATGTGACCAAAGTGGGCATCATTATCTTTTTCCTGATCTTAGAGGAAAGGCTTTCAGCTTTTTACTGTTGTGTATGGTGTTAGCTGTGGGGTTGTCATATATGGCCTTTATTATGTTGAGGCATATTTCTTCTATATCTCCTTTATTGAACGTTTTTATCATAAAAGGATGCTGAATTTTGTCAAATGTTTTTGCTGTCTCTATTTAGATGATCATATGATTTTTATCCTTCATTTTGTTAATATGGTGTATCACATTTATCAATTTGCATATGTTAAACCATTCTTACATGCTTGGAATAAATCCCACTTGTTCATGGTGTAAGATCCTTTTAAGGTGTTGTTGAATTCAGTTTATTAGTTACACCATAAACTTTTACCTTGGGTTCTGCTTTCTAGGCAAATAGACTATGAGAAATACCCTCAAAACAATTGTGAAACACTTTATTCTTTCTTATTAGTTTAGCCTTTTCTTCCCCCATTTATCTACTTATTAAAAAGGAAAAGAGAGAGAAAAAAAACCCCACAGCACTCAACAGTAGCCAAAACCCTCATAATCCTCCTCAAATATTTTATTCTTCATAAAGCCCCTGGAACCTTTATACCATTCTGAGGCAAAGAAGGGTTGAAGGAGAAAGCCCTACAGTACAATTCCCCTCTCATCCAACAGGATGGGGACTCAGAGTTGGTTTTATTTTATTTAAATTTACAAGGTTGTGCCTTTGTTCACAGAGCACAGCCCCCTCCTGGTCTGTCCCTGCTTCCATCACTTAACCCCATAACAAACAGGGAGGGTGGCAGGGGACTATCAGAGAGCCATAAAGGAGGAATGCCAAAATTAAGACTGTGTCCCCTCCCATTTGGAAATGTTGGTCCTTGGATTTTCCTCTCATGATCAAATCATCTCCATTGGAAATCTTGTTGACCCCTTGTAAGGTGCAACCCATTCGTGAGCAGTGCAAGATTCCACACTCTCACATTTTTATCACAAAATATCTCTAGGATGTCCACATGAATTCCCCAATCCTGGCCCTCAGAAGATGATGAGATGAGGAGCAAATTTTGTAAATTTCAGAGAATGCCACATTCTCTGAAGCCCTCCTGCCTGTCAGTGCCCAGACTCCCACTGCATGCCTTTGCCACCAGTTGCTAATTGCCTGCTCCTGTACTTGCATTTCAGAAGGTGGCCTGTTGCTCACTCAGCAACTCCAGACCAGCTTCAGACTGGGAAAGCCAGTATACATTTCTCCTGTCAGGTGGACTAAATCACATGTTCTTCAATCACATCTGAAACCTTTCCAATTTAATTTTTTCTTGGGTACTCTCTCTCAGCCCTAGGGTACTATATAGTTTCCTTATATCTTATAGTGATTCTTTTTTTTTTTTTTTTCACTCTGTCGCCCAGGCTGGAGTGCAGTGACACAATCTCAGCTCATCGCCTCCTGCGTTCAAGCGATTCTCCTCTCTCAGCATCCCCAGTAACTGGGACAAGAGGCATGCGCCTCCCAGCTAATTTTTGTAGTTTTTGTAGGGACGGAGTTTCACCATGTTGGCCAGGCTGGTCTCGAACTCCTGACCTCAAGTGATCCACCCACCTCGGCCTGCCAAAGTGCTGGGATTACAGGTGCAAGCCACCGTGCCCAGCCTCTTTTTATCATATTTAATAATTCTCATATTAAGCTTCTGCTTAAGCTACTGTGTTTTACATCACTTGATTTGATCTAGACTGCTACAACTAAGAACAACTTCATCTTTTCCTAAGAATTGGTGAGGGCTGGAGACTCAGGCCATCCCTGAGAGGTGGGTCAGGAGGAAATTCCAGTTCTGCAGGCAGCAGCAGATCCTGAAGGCACCCTCTCTAGCCAGCACCTACTTTTAACACGGACCTTCTGCCACATCACAACCTTTTCAGGTGGATGCAGCTTGCTAGGTATGAACATAGCCACAGAGCTCAGTACCCCATTCTTACTGCCACACTATTTCTCTTCCACTCCCATACAAAAATCCTATATCCCTTAAAACTCACACCACAGGTTTTCATCTCCCTCTGGATGTGAGGAAAGGAGATCATCTTCTGACATCTCTCACCCACTGAGCATCCAGAGTTGTCAGCTGATCTGACCGATTACTTTGGGAAACCTTTCTTCTTTCACCTCTCTGAGTACATCCTTTCTTTGGCCCTTGATTTGTAACATTTCCCACATCCCAATACAGAAAAGTGGTTAAGGGTGTGGGCTCTCCAGCCTATGTGTGTGGTTCGAGCCCCACCTCGGACTAGCTCTGTGACTTTAGATACGCTACTTCACTTCTCTCTGCCTCAGTGCTTTCACACGTGTAGTGGGTAAGAAATAGTAGCACCTATATCATGGGACTGGTAGAGGAGTTAATGCATTTAAAGTACTTTGATTTCCTGGCCCACAAGTGCCCAGTAAGTTTAGCTAACATTGTGATTCATTTTATAATCATCTTCATGGGTAGTTTCGTTTTGTTTGTTTTGTTTTGTTTTGTTTGAGATGGAGTCTGGCTCTGTCACCCAGGCTCGAGTGCAGTAGCACGATCTCGGCTCACTGCAACCTTCACCTCCTGGGTTCAAGCAATTCTCCTGCCTCAGCCTCCAGAGTAGCTGGGATTACAGGCATGCACCACCACACCCGGCTAATTTTTTGTATTTTTAGTGGAGACAGGGTTTCACCATGTTGGCCAGGTTGGTCCTGAACTCCTGATCTCAGGTGATCCACCCTCCTTGGCCTCCCAAAGTGCTAGGATTACAGATGTGAGCCACCATGCCCGGCCTTCATGGGCATTTTTATCATTCATATAGGTGAACCATTCCACACATCAGCCTTACAGTTTGACTATCTTAGCTCTATAGATTCCCCCACCCCACTCTGATTAGGCTGCCATAACAAAATACCACAGATTGAGTGGCTTAAACAACAGACACTTATTTGCCCACAGCTCTGGAGGCTAGAAGTCCATGATCAAGATGCGAACCAATTTGGTTTCTGGTGAAGGCTCTCTTCCTGGCTTATAGCTGGCCATCTTCTCTCTCTGCCCTTGTATGGCCTTTCCTCTGTGCATGTGGGGAGAGAGAGAGAGCTCTTGAGTGTCTCTTTCTCTATAAGAACTTTATGTTTCCAGGCTGGGAGCAGTGGCTCACGCCTGTAATCCCAGCATTTTGGGAGGCCAAGGCAGGCGGATCACGAGGTCAGGAGATCGAGACCATACTGGCTAACACGGTGAAACCCATCTTTACTAGAAATACAAATAAATTAGCCGGGCATGGGGGCAGGCACCTGTAGTCCCAGCTACTCGGGAGGCTGAGGCAGGAGAATGGCGTGAACCCGGGAGGCAGAGCTTGTAGTGAGCCGAGATTGCACCACTGCACTCCAGCCTGGGCAACAGAGCTAGACTCCGTCTCAAAAAAAAAAAAAAAAAAAAAACTTTATGTTTTCCCATTAGAGCCTTATTTAATTAGGGTCTCACCCTTTAAATTAACCTTAAGTACCTCCTTAAAGACACAATAATGAGGGACCCTTATTGGGGTTAACTGACCTCATTTAACCTTAACTACCTCCTTAATGGCCCAATATCCAAATATGCTCACGTTGGATGGTATAGGGCTTTGACATATGAATTTGGCAGGGGTTGCTATTCAGTCCATAACAGGCACACACTTCCAAATTGTACCCTGGAACATGTCATTTTTCTGGAAACGTTAACACCAGCCATGATTTCCTGTCCTTCAAGCTCTCCAGTGCCCTTATTCTCACTGCATCTGCTCTCTGACTTCCCTGGGTCCTTCCATTTCTCTCTGTCATCACCTCCCCAGTTCCCTCCTCTGCTCACTCTTTTCCCCTCTTACACTGGACCCATAATTGACACTCCATGAACCCCTGGTTAGACATTTTAGGATACCTATTGCATCACCTCTTCTGGGCATCCCCAAGAAATGTGTGTTTGAGAATCTTCAGGTGGGCTTCACAACCACATCCTATTCCCCGAGTGTTGAAATGATGCCCAACAGGATGTCACCCATTTGGGAAGGAGGACCTCTAGAATATGCAGAGATGGGCAGCAATCCTGGATCCATTGGATACTACAATAGTTCATCCCTCAATTCCCTGCCGGGACAGCAGCACGAGAAAAACAGCTGAGGAGAGAACTTGCCCTCACCATCCCATGTTGCCAGTGAGTAGAATGGGCTCTCTAATCCCTGCTACTTCTTAATTGTCCTGCTGCTGGACAAGTTCCAAATCATGCTAAATGTTTATCTGTTTTCTTTCCACCTCCTATTCACCCTCAATCAGCTTCTCTCAACCTCAGTTTCCCCATATGTAAAAATTCAAAAAGAGACATCGCTTAGGACAGAAATAAAAATTATATTAGATAACACATATATAAATAATACCTGAAACTTAATAGCCCCTTAATGCTAGTTCTTGCCCCATTTGTTAACCATTTGCATTTTATGTATTTATTATGTATTATAAGGGACATATAATAACTTTACATTGGGTGGATATAAAAAGAAAAAACTAACAATAATTCTACCACCTTAACACAGCTATTTCCCATTTTATGTATCTTTGATTATATGAGCATATATTTTTAGGGCACTACAGTTAAGTGTGCATAAAATTTTATATCATTACTTTCCTATGTTGCTGTCATCTCTGTAATTAAAATTTTCCTGACTTCATAATATTTGATCAGGGGAATGCAATATGAGTTAATCATCCTTCTATCATTGAGTAGTTAAGTTGGTTCCAATGTTTTCCTATGATAGAATGGGCTTGCAGTAAACAATTTTGTGTTTATTACTTTTTTCCCCTTATTTGGGATTTTTCCTTCTGACTTACTCCTGGAAGTGAAATCTCTGTGTCACAAACTGTAAATATTTTTTGAGCTGCTGGTGCATTTGGCCTAGTTGCCTCCCAAAGCATTTCCAGCAGTGTCCACTGCCACCAGTAGTGACCAAGAGGGAGTAGTGGCTTTTTTTTTTTTTTTGAGACAGCGTCTTGCTCTGTCGCCCAGGCGGGAGTGCAGTGGTGCAATCTCAGATCACTGCAACCTCTGCCTCCCGGGTTCAAGCAATTCTCCTGCCTCAGCCTCCCAAGTAGCTGGGACTACAGGCATGTGCCACCACGCCCAGCTAATTTTTTTTTTTTTTTTTTTTTTTTTTTTTTTTTTAGTAGAGACGGGGTTTCACCATGTTAGCCAGGATGGTCTCGATCTCCTGGCCTCGTGATCCGACCGCCTTGGCCTCCCAGAGTGCTGGGATTACAGGCGTGAGTCACTGTGCCTGGCCAGCAGTGGCATTTTAAAAAGGACATTTGTTATTCTCCAGGTGTATGTGCCTAGTTATCTAAAGAATTTAAAACCAAGAATGGTCAACTCCCTCAGGCTACTTGACCCGAAGTGGAAGGCAGTGAGCATATAGCTTTATTTTCATGTACTATTTTTTCTAAAATAATTGCTCTCCAGAGATAGATTATCCCTTGCCTCTCTTTGTTGTTACAGCTTCCTTTTCCATGCCAATCCTGAATTCTCATCATATCCAGCCAGGCACAGGCTCTCTCATTAATCATGTAAACAGGACAGCTGTGGACAGTATTTCAATCTCATGGATGCTCTTGCTGCTCATAACACAGTTTTATTTTTGCTGGACTAAATTCCAGAGGAAGAGAGAAATGAACAAGGGAGCAGGTGAACAAGGCCTCCTCACCCAGTAACACCTTAGTGGGATCCCCAGGATCCAGGAACAGACGCTTACCCTTGCAAGTCCCAAAAGTCAATTTTGCCTGATCTCCAGCACTACAGGAAAGCCACAAAAAAAAAGGTGGATTTGCCCAAACCAAATCCAGGCAAAGTGGTGATTTTTTTTTATTAATGATTAGAGCATGGGGATAATGTATAAATTTGAGACATTGTGTTCCAAAAAGAACCTGAGCAAGGGAAACAGTTCATAACTGAGTCAATCAATCTGAAGAGATGGAGAGAAACAGGAGTTCTTGATTTGGTAACCTGGTAAGATGGAGAGCCAGGCAGCTAAAGACTGAGGAGTAGAAACATGAGTGGATGGAAAAGGGAGGAGCTTGCATAATGGGGAGTAGAGTGCCATGGTCGTATTGAACCCTGTGCTAAGGGTGCAAGGACACGATGGGATAAGAAGGTTCAGTGAGAAGGACATTCAGGGTGAAGATGGAGTGGGGATTTGTAGCAGCAGCAGCTTCCCTCCAGTGCCCAGGCAGTATGCTACCTCTGGCTTCAGTCTGCAGGTCATCAGAGGTGAATGCAGATGTGCAGGGTTTGGGCTGAGGTCCCACTGGGATTCAGACCAGGAGCCCCAGCCTGAACCCAGCCAGGACCCCTCAGTGACCTGAGGGGCCACACTTTGGTTGGACCCAGGTAACGCATATAGGTGTGAGCCTTGCACACCAACACACAGAGCCACCCACTCTGGCCTTAGACAGGCATCTCCTAAGGTACCCCAGGAGGCCTGGAACCTCCTTGATTGATTCTGGGGTGCTTACGTGTCCCAGTTCTGTAGTTGTAGGCAGGAGGTTTGTGAGGAATTTCCCAGAAACAAGTTGCCTTGCTCTCTCTTTCTAGGATGGAGCATCTGCCTATTGGTTCAGCCTGCCTGAAACTCAGCAGATGGCGCACAGTTCCCAGCTGGTGAGCACTCCAGTGGGAATTGGACAGAGAAAGCTAATCAGCCGGGAAGAAGTGGTTGGCGTTAAATAGGATAATTTGCTTTGAAGCACCCAAGTCACCCATAATGCAATCATTCCCCTCCTCATGGTGAAAGTCAAAAGAGCAGAGATTTTCTTAGCTATTCCCAGTCCTCAGGGACTTCTTCTTCATATGCAAGAGCTTAGCTTGTAAGGTGGATTTCTTTTCTTTTAGGAAATTTTGAGGTTGTGGTGAGGGCATATCTGTCAAGTGAAGTATTTACTCATTAGACATCTCTGCCATACCCCAGAAACTGCGACAGTTTATCAGTTTAAGTGCATTTGGTTACGAGTGACAAAATCTCTGGCTAACAAGGCTTAAATGATGAAGATATTTAATTATCTCACAGAACCCAAAGTCTGGACATAGTGCCAGAATTGTTACAGCAGCTCAACTATGGCAGCAGGAGCCCAAGATCTTCCCATCTCTCCCCTCTGCTCCTCTCAGTGAGTAAGCCATGTATTCCAGTGCCTTCCACAGCCCCAAGCATCACAACCTTATACAACCTCCTAAAGAGGGAGAAAAGGATCAGAGACAAGAGTTTCCACTCACATGGACTTCTCTTTTCACCAAGGGATTAGATCTTTCCGGAAGCCCTCAAAAGACTAGGGCTGGATCACATGGCCATCGGTACATCAATCACTGGCAAAGGAGGATAGATTTACTTCATTGGCTTAGACCACTGTGGTTCATTCCTTGAAGATGAGCGCAATATCCTGAGAACAGAACTGAGATTCAATCATTAAAGAGGAGGCAGAGGCCTGGCTTGGTGACTCATGCCTGTAATCTCAGCACTTTGGGAGGCCGAGGAGGGAGGATCACCTGAGGTCAGGAGTTTCAGACCACCCTGGCCAACATGGTGAAACACCCTCTCCACTAAATCCAAAAATTAGCTGGGCACCGTGGTACACGCCTGTAATCCTAGCTACCTGGGTGGCTGAGGCAGGAGAATCACTTGAACCCAGAAGGCAGAAGTTGCAGTGAGCCAAGACGGCACCATTGTACTCTAGCATGGGCAACAGAGTGAGACTCCATTTCAAAAAAAAAAAAAGAGGAGGTAGAAATAGCTGGTGGGAGGCTACCTCTAGTGTTTGCCACAGCCAGGCATGAGGGAGATAGTGATGAATAAGATAGGCATAGTCTCTGCCCTCATGGAGCTTACAGTTCAGTGAATAAGATAGACAAGAAACAACCCCTAAATATATGATCTAAAATTGCTCTGATCACTATGAATGAAAAGCTGGGGCTTATGAAACAAAATCTCATTGAGATTAGAAGGTAAGGTAGCCTCCATCACTCATTACATTCATCTTTCATTGTGGCCGCAGGGTAGTTTCCTAAGCCACCTGTTTCAGACCAGGTTCTCTAGTTTGAATCTGGGGTAGCAGGCAGAATAATGTCCCCCGCCTAAGACGTGCATTCCCTAGTTCCTAGAACCTGTGAAACATTACCTTACATTGCAAAAGGGACTTTGCATATGTGATGAAGTTAAGGATCTTGAGATGGGGAGGTGATCCTGGATTATCTGGGTGGGCCCAATGTAATCACACATGAGTCCTTATGAGAGAGGCAGGAGGGTCAAAGGGAGAGATGTTATGGTAGAAGCAGAGGTCAGAGTGATGCAGCCTCAAGCCAAGGACTGTGGGCAGCATCTAGAAGCTGGAAAAGGCCAGGAACAGATTCTCTCCTGTAACTTCCACAAGGAACACATTTCTGCTGACACCTTAATTTTAGCCCCATAAGATACATTTTAGACATCTGAGCCCCAAAACTGTGAGATAATAAATTGGTATGGTATCAAGCCATTAAGTTTGTGGTAATTTGTTACAGCAGCAACCAAAAACAGGGTTACATCCAGTGAGTCCAAGTTCAAACTCATAACATCTGCAGGCACCTATGCATACCTGTAGATGAAAACCACAGGGAACCTGGGGGAGGAGCAACGTCAATCATTTTGAACAACTTTAATCTAAGGGTAGGTGACATAAAATGAGTTGCTGCAATATTTTCATGAATCCGTCCTCTTCCTCCCTCTTAAGGGACATATTGGGAGGCTTAGTGTTTTCTGAGTACTCTCTAAAATATAATCTGAGTTCATTATATTGGGGTTCTCTCTAAGCTGAACTTCCCAAATGCCCATCATCTGCTGTACATAATAGAGAGCATGCCTTAAGATTGTAGGCTTCCTCTCAGAGAAACATAGAAACAGCTAATATTTTTCAGCAATTCTTGAGAGCTGGTGCTGGTGCTGGAATAATCTGTATCGGGAGGAGGATTCTGCTGTACATCTCACCTGTGATCTACTAATGCAAGTCAATCTTGAGCCTTCCCTTGAGAGCAGACATGAAGATCAAGAGGTGCTGAGAAAGTCTTTTGTAGGACTCAGGAAGAAAACTTAATGAGACAAAGGCATTCAACCATCATCGTGTGGACAGAGAAACTATTATTATAGCACATGCCTAAAAGAAAGTAAAATAAGATCAAAGGGAATGTTCCAATGAAAATAAAAAATATGATAATATGGCCAGGCACAGTGGCTCACACCTGTAATCTCAGCACTTTGGGAGGGCGAGGCGGGTGGATCACCTGAAGTCAGGAGTTCGAGACCAGCATGGCCAACACGGTGAAACCCTGTCTCTACTAACAATACAAAAAATTAGCTGGGGATAGTGGCAGGCACCTGTAATCCCAGGTACTCGGGAGGCTGAGGCACGAGAATCACTTGAAACCGGGAGGCTGAGGTTGCAGTGAGCCAAGATCGCACCACTGCACTCCAGCCTGGATGACAAAGCAAGACTCTGTCTCAAAATAGAATAAAATAAAATAATAAAATAAAAATTTGATAATATGAAGAAATATAAAATCCCAATGATTTTTTGGTCCTATAAAGGGCCAAAAAGTCATTTTATGAAATTGAAATGGCCATCAAAATCCTCTCCACCCCTTCCTGCCCAGCCCCATTGCCACTGCCTTGGCATAAGCTCTCAACATCTCTTGCTGGTTTTAGCTTTCTCACAAGTCTTTCTCCTGCAGCACTTGCCAGTCCATTCTCCACACTCCTGCCAGAGTGGATTTTAAAAACATGAATCTCATCAAATCACTTCCCTGCTAAAAATAATTTGCTGACTCCCAAGGACAGGCACCTGATAGAAAAAGTATTTTTTCCACATGGCACATGTATATTTTTTATACATGTATGAGCTGGTCTACCTCCCACTGCACACTACCTCTTACCCTCAGCCTACATACAGGTCAACAACACTGAGCTGACTGAGCATGCTGTGCTGTTTTAGGACTCCATATATTCACGCATGCCCTTCTACCCATCAGCAATGCCCGTTCACCCACCCCATCCTAAATCCACCTAGAAAATTTCAACTCATTTGCTAAGACTAAAAGCAAACATCACTTTCTTAGTAGTCTTCTCAGCCCATTCAGAGTTGATCTTCACTGGCCATCAGCGCTCATCTCTCCAGTAGCTATTATCACACTGTATTACTCTTGTTTTTATATATGTGCCCTCTTACCCAGACGGTGGGCTTCCTGAAAAAAAGAGCCTGGCTTAGTCAGCCTTATATCCCTGGCAGCTAACAAAGTCATGCACTCAATAAATGTGTATTGAAAGCATATGAATTAGAGGTTGTATTTGGCTGCCTGTAACAGTGGCACAAACATAAACTTGTGGGAATTATTTTTCCTCACATACTAAGACTGGAGGTTGGAGGTCCAAGGCTGCTGCATCAGTGCTATGGTGACATCAATGCCCCAGGTACTGTCTATGTTTCTGCTTCTCTTCTTTGAGCTTGGTCATCTCAAGTTGCCTGGTGTCTGCTCTCCATTCCAGAAAGGAGGAAAAAGAAGAATGTGGCAAGGATTAAAGGAGCTCTGTCTGTATCATGAAGGCAAAACTTTCTAAAATATCCTTGCCAACTTCTACTTATATCTCATTGGCCAGAACTGTGTCACACTGCCACCCTTAGCTGCAAGGACAACTGGGAAATGTAGTTTACTAGCTGGGCATATTGCCATTCTGAACAAAATCAGCATTTTCTTAGAAAGAATTAGATAATAAACATTGCATAGGCACTGAGCACAGAACGTGTAAATGGGAGCATGCATGAGAAATTGAGACTTAACAAGGTGCGATTAAGACAGTAACACCTTGGTAAAAGCTATACTCAGAGGTAAAGCTTCTGAGGACCAAGGTGCCCAGTCCAGGGTCAAGCACAGAGAACACTTTCTATAGTGGTTCTCCTTCCAGTTGTGGAGCTTTTTTAAAAAATTCAGATGCCCTGGCCCACCCTCATGACACAGAATCAAAATCTCAGAGGTTGGGAATCTAAAATGTAGGTCTACCACCACTGTGTATAACTGATGCAACCATAGGGCATGGTCTGGCAGACACGTGTGGCTTTTGAAAACTGTACAGGTTTTTTTTACTGCATGACCAGGGTTCACCCTCGGCCTTGGATGCTTGCCCTTTGGTTTAAGCCTCAAAGTCAAACCTCAGATAAGAAGATGGGCCTATCATGCAGTGGCTAAGGGCATGGGCCCTAGAATCAGACTGTTTCAGCTCCTCCCCTTACTAGCAGTGTGTGTAATCTTAAGGTAGTTGATGTCTCTGTGAATCATTTTATTATCTTCAAAATGAGAATAATAGTCTATATCTCATAGGGTTATTAAGATAATCAAAGAATAATACCAGTATAGAATTTGGGTTATAGTCTGGCACAGAGTAAGCATTCAAAAGATATTTGGTACTGATGTCTGTACCTAACAGATGCAGATCTGATACCCTAGATCTGTGAGCAAAGAGTGAGGAGATTGTATTCATTTGGTTTGTTGAAGATGCCTTTTACTGGGTTAAAGAAATTCCCTTCTATTTGGTGTTAACTGAGAACTTTTATCACATATCGGTGTTGAATTTTGTCAAATGCTTTTTCTGCAACTACTGAGATGATAATTTGATTTTTCTCTCTTAATCTGTTAATGTGATTGTTGCATTGATTTTTTAAATGTTAAACAAAATTCACATATCTGGAATTAAACCCCATTTTGGTCATGTTGTTTTATATCTTTTTTTATGTTGTTGGATTTGATTTGCTAATTGTCAAGAATTTTTGTGGCTATGTTCAGAAGGATATTGATCTGTAGCTATCTTTTTTTCTTGTAATGTCAGTCTGATTTTGATATCAGAGTAATGCTGGCCTTATAAAATAAGTTAGAAAATATTCTCTCATCTAATTTCTGAGAGAGTTTATATATACAATTGATATTCTTTCTTCCTTAAATGTTTGCTAGAAATCATCAGCGAAAAAATGTGGGCATGGAGTTTTCTTTGTGGGAATGTTTATAATTATATATTCAATTTATTCACAAATGCACAGCTAGTGATTTTATTCCATTGGAAAAAATGATCTCTGCATCTATGAAGATATGTCACAGTACCTCCTTTACTGTTCCTTGCATGAAACACAATTACATACAACTTGTTGGCCAAGGCTTGCCCCGTGGAAGCACAATGCAAGTTGCAACACCCACTGGGACCCAGGACCTCAGCTTAGATTCCAGCTGAGGTAAAGAGAGACCACTGTCAAGTTGGGCCTGAATATAGCTTCCCTAGCAGTTCGCTTTATGTGGGGGAATGATGAGCCAGGAGGATGAAATTACTCTACGTGGGCCCCAGCTGAAACTACAAGCATGTTTGAGCATGCTGGATATTACACAATTCTGGGGGCCCCGTTTGCATTCAAGATATCATAGTTTGCATATTTGTTACAAGTTTTCCAGCAGATATCAGGGAAGTCTCCTGAGGAAGAAGTGCTGACCTCAACTGACTAGTGAGCCTACAGCATCCTTGAAGAGGATCCTGTGCCTAAGACAGCAGGCAAAGCCAACCAATTCATTTATTCACTGGTCCTACAAATATTTATTGTGTGTCTCCTATGTGTCAGATATCAGTCTAGGAGCTGGTGTTTTCCTGGCGTGTGTTGTTGGAAAAATTATTTTATCTCAAAGTAAACACAGATATATTACTGAGTCAAAAGCATAATTGATGTAAACTATTAATATTAAAATTTAAAAAAGCATTCAAAAATGGTTAAGTTCCTGTAATTCCAATCGTGGGCCTCCAGGCCTCTTAAGGGTGCACAATCTTTTTCTGTCTGGAGAGGTCCTTTACCTTAAAGGAACAATTATCCCTTAATTAACAACATCAAAAGTTTATAGAAGCCAGTCATCAACTATAGTATATGCTTTTTTTTTCAAGTACATGTGAAACATTTGCCAAAATTAAAAATATGCTAGGCCACAAAATGAGTCCCAATCAATTTCAAATGTTTGAAACATGCAGAATATTATTTTCTAACTACGGTGGAATTATTTTAGAAAAAAATAAAAAGATAATTAGAAAAATCTTAAAATTAAGCAATATACTTCTGGGAAAAAAACTCTTGGGTCCAAGAAGAAATCATAATTATTCTGAACTTAATTAGAATATGACATATCAAAATGTTTAGGATGCAGCTAATGTAGTATTTAGAGGAAAATGTAGAGCTTTAAGAACTTGCATTAGAAAAAAGGCTGAAAATAAATTATCTTAGTATATATTTCAAAAATTATTTAAAAATCAACAAATTAAAATATATTCAAAGCACTTACTGCCTGGTACATTATAAGTACCACATAAGCATTAGCTATCATTCTTACTACCTAGCTTAGGTGGAAAAAAATAAGTACTATATATAGTACGCAGTACCACAACTTACCAAATTCCTTGCACTGGAATTTGGGCTTAAAGCCAATATGTTAAAAAAATAACAATTCCCATTTTATTTTATTGATTTATTTTTGACAAATATATGACTGTTTCAGTTCTCCTCTTCTGTGTAACAAACTATTCCAACGCTCAGTTGCTTAAAACAATGTCATTTTATCGCACAGAATTTTGTGGGTTGGGAGTTTAGGCAGGGCTTAGCAACCCTCTTCTCCATGTGGCTTTAGCAAGGCTCATGAGGCTGGAGTCAGCTGCTGAAGAGGCTGGGCTGAAGGTTCAAGATGGCCTTGTCACATGACTAGGCCTTGGTGCTGGCTGTCAGCTGGCACACATTGATTCTTCTCCACATTGCCCCTCTCTCCACATGGTCCAGTTGCTCGTTCTCCAGGATACCTATTACCATGTGGCTCATCTCCAACAGGATAGCCTAGACTTTTCGTGGAGAGTGAGAGGACTAAGAGAGTGAAAACAGAATCTGCAGGGCCTCTTAGGCCTAGCATTGGAAGTTGCACCATGTCACTTTACTTGTGTTCTACTGGTCAAAGAAAGTCATAGACCAGTACAGTTCAAAGAGGATGGAAATAGACTGCACTTTTTGATGGAGAAAATTGGCAAAGTCACATTGAAAAAGGAGGAGGGATTGCTGCCCACATCTTTGGAAGCAATACACCACAGGGACCTTAAACAATTTACTCATACTCTCTGCTCCTCAGTTCCACCATCTGTTTGGAGGATAATAATAGTTCTTAAATTAAGAGTGGTTGTGAAAATTAAATAGAAAAAATTATGAAACACTCAGATGTGTCTAGCACAGTGATCCACAAACTCAATGTGTATCAGAATCATCTGAAGGGCTTATTAAAAAGAGATTCCTTGGCCCCACCCTCTAAAAAGTTTTTAATTGAGCAGATCTGGGGCAAAGCCCCAAATTGCATTTTTAACAAGCCCTCAGGTGACACTGCTCTTCTACCAGTCTAATAGGTCAGGTGGAGCACACATCATTGTTAGCTTTTTTTATTTTAAAAGAAAGGAGGAAAAAAGATTATGGACAGCTTTGTTGTTTCCATCCTGAAGGCACAAGGAAGTAAAAGTTACTGTTTTTCCCCACTGAAGGACATAGTTTATGTGTATAAAAAAAAAAAACAAAAAACTATTGTAAAGCAGGACTCAGTGGAAGAGCCTTTGAATGCTGTGGTTTGCTGAGTACCAGTGAATGAGGAATCGTTCCTGAGGAAGCAGGTTTGGAGCTATTGAGTGAGAGATGAATAGAAAGTAGACAGAAAAGGAAGGGAGTGCCTTCCAGGTAGGGGAAATGCATGAAAAGATGTTCATCAGCCACAGTCTCTGTGCATGCTGTTTAATTGCATCAATTTTTTAAAAATCAGGCAGTGTGGCAGAAGTGTACAGGAATAGAAGAATATTCATTTCTACCCAATCCCCAGGCCTCAACAGCCCCGTTTCTCTATTGTAGAATCGGGATGCCCAGCTTTGTCAGCTCCAGGGTACCAGCCAGGCCTCTCCACGTTGTCATGGTAACAGAATCCCCTCATCCCTCTTGTTTTTTTCTCACCAACTATTCAAGAGAATGAAATGCCATGACACTAGGATCTCTCCCATCTTTCTATTGAATTTCTTTGGGAACTGCACGTTCCTGGGTGCGATCTGGAAGTTTTCAGGATTGGGGTCTCTTTGGTGGGTAACCCTTGTCAGAAATCCATCTCTTTGTGTTCTGAAGCAACATATAACCTTGCATTTTAGTTATGGGAGAACTTGACTTTGCATTCTAGGTCCCTGTTTTCTGTGACTATGAATATATTTGTGTTTTCTCAAAGCGAAATAAGTACATGCACTTTAAATACCAAATTTATTCCAGCCCTATGGCACATCATCCTGCTCGATAAGTGTCCTCAGACAAGGAAAGGAAAGCATGATTTAACCTAAGTGCTGATACTAAAAGGATTACTTGGGTTGTCAGAGGCTTTTTTAGAGTCAGTTCTCATGTTTTCATATCATCTATTTTAATTTAAGAGAATCCTCAGATCATCTACACCAGAGATTCGCACACTTAAGCCTGCATCAGAATCCCCTGAAGGGCTTGTTCAAACACAGCCTGCGGGACCCCACCCCACCACTTCTGATTCAGCAGTTGCAGACTGGGGTCTGAGCACTTATATTTCTAACAAGTTTCCAGGTGATGTTGAGGCTGCTGCTCTGGGGACCACACTTGGAGAACTACTAATGGTCACTGAGGCTAGTTAGTAATGATAGATGCAGGAGGCAGATAAGGCAGGGTCCCTGGAAAATCTCCGACCTGCCCCACAAGTGTTTGTGCCAGATGTTTTTGTACAGATGAGGGAACCTGCACAAGGTCTTGCCTGGGCATGACTGCAGCAGGCCCACATGCACTGGGGAAATGGGATGGAACCACCAGGAATTCACGCCTTACGCAGGAGGAGGAGTAGGTCCTCTTCAGCTCGTGTGCGGTGGCCTGGTATTCAATCTGTAAAGTGGGAGTTTGTTGAGAAGACCTCCTCTTTCTTTGCTGAGAGCTTTCTTTTTGCCTAATGAATCCATCCTCCTCACCTTTCAATGTGTCCATGTGCCTAATTTTTCTTGGTTGTGAGACAAGAACCCGGATTTTAGCTGAACTAAGGAGCAAAAATTCCTGTATCATTAAGCTATGAATGATCAAAATTTGCAAACTCCTGAAATGCACCTCTGGTTTGCCTGTTAAAAGCAAGGGCTGAGAAAGGACTCTCGCAGTACTTGGAGACAGATAGACAATACTAGCTCCACATCTACAGCCCTCCCTCACCCAAATAACTGGATCACCTTAGGGCGAGTCATTAAGGCTCTCTAAATTTCAATCTTACCTGAAAAAAAAAATACCCTCTTACCTAACCTTGCAAAATTATTATTCCAATTAAACAAGACAAAGCGTGAGAGACTACTCAGTCAATGGGACTGCCATACAAACATAAGTTAAAAGTGTCGCAGCAGGCCGGGAACAGTGGCTTACACCTGTAATCCCAGCACTTTGGGAGGCTGAGGTGGGTGGATCTCCTGAGGTCAGGAGTTTGAAACCAGCCTGGCCAACATGGTGAAACCCTGTCTCTACTAAAAATACAAAAAATTAGCTGGGCGTGGTGGCAGGCGCCTGTAATCCCAGCTACTCAGGAGGCTGAGGCAGGAGAATCGCTTGAACCTGGGAGGTGGAAGTTGCAGTGAGCCAAGATCACGCCATTACACTCCAGCCTGGGCAACAAGCACGAAACTCCATCTCAAAAAAAAAAAAAAGGTGTTGCAGCCAAGACTAATTATTTTATAACCGTTGAAGTGAAATTCCATTTATGCCCCAAGGGTACTTCAAAGATTATCTTCTCAGGGTCTGGTCCATAATCCTCACAGACAGAATTGATTCTTTTCTCATCAGAGCTTCCACGTTACTTGTTGTATACTTCTCTTTTAACACTTCATTTCTGTCAGATGTAAAATGTAATGAATTACACGCCTGTCTCCCCCAAAGATCCTGAGCTTCTTGAAGACAGGGCACACAACTTTTTTTTTAATCTTTCTTCATTCTTGGCATAGTGTTATATAATTTTTAGGCTTCGGATAACCATTGAAGGTCACTGAGGCTAGTCAGTAAGCTGTGAATTAATGAACTAATTGATTAAGCAAATTCAGATTACATATCCTTGACTTCCAGGTAAGATGATAGCATATAAACAGTGTCTACTGCATTCTCCCATACAACCTCACCATCCACAAAATATGTATATAATATATATGCTATATGTTAAATCTAATATATATTTGTAGATATATACACTATATGCTATATGTTAAATCTAATATATATTTGTAGATATATACACACATATACACATATTTATACACACACACATATATACACACACATAGACACACACATAACACACACACTTAACAAAGAGTGAACTCAAGAAACTAAACATTTTGTTCTGCATGACTGGCCTGACCTGAGCTTCTGGAGCCAGCATGGCTCTCCCAGTTGCCATGGTTCAGGTAACCTCAACACAGACTCTTTGAAAGCTGGAAGCAGGCTTGGTAGTGAGCAACTCCCATTCCCAAACTAGATGGTTGGCCTCTACCAGAACCGGCTCCCAAGACAGTACAGAGATTTGCCAGAGCTGAGGTCATCTTATAATATGACTCCCAGTGCTGTGCGGTGGGCATTGGCCTGGACCTTGTAAGCCTAAGTGGAGTCAGGGACACCAGGATTAGTGAGGATCTATACAATGCTTTTAGTTGCCTTGACCACTAAAATTCTGCAACTGCAAAACCCAACCCTAATCCCACCCCTCCTCCCCTCCTATTTCTTTCTTACAGATGCTGGTTAAAGAGAAGAGAGGGTGGAATGTGAAGAGAAGCGAACACCAGTAATTTTCATGAAGCCCATCTGGGAATCACTGAAATACCTTTGACTAACCAGGAAGCTCCCACACCTTGCCATATCTTGGCTAGCAGCTGCCAGGAGTAAGTGTAGGTGACTTACCAAGGGTCTTGGCCTCAAGCTCAGAAGGGAGCACCCTCTCAGCTGGAACTCAAGCCTAGTACCAGATGAACTGTAAAGTCCTAACATAATGGGGGGCACTTCTGCATATACATGTATCTGGAAACATCTTCCCCTAGGCAGCATGTTTATCTGCAATCTTTGGCATGGGGTACAGAGGGTAGATTCTGATGGGGAACTTAGGCAATGCTGGCTACAGAAGTTTGAGATGAAGTGGGAGAGGCAGGTACTTCAGATGGCTCAGTGACAGACCCCTGGCCAGAGGAAGCCACAGATGGTCCAAGGAGGGGTGCACCAAAGGCCACAGCAATGGGAAACAGACTGCATCTGCTGCTCATTCTTCTCACCCACAGCCCCACACAGGGGTGATCTCCGTGGTGCCTCACCTGCAGGGTATGGAATATCCATATGCATAAGTCTCCTATGAATGTGGTTTTTATGAGACTGTCTCTGAATTTCTGGCACACAAAGCAAAGACCCAACCGTGGAACTGATGCACCTCTGGGGCTCTAACCTGAGCACCTACATTCCGTCCTCTCTCCTCAACTTCTGTCCTCTTGAATGTCAGTACAGAACAGAAAATATTTAAATAACACTTTCCAATCCAATTCACATTTTTAAAAATATTTTAATCAACTCAAGTTTTTGTCATCCGAAGTTGGGCACAGCTTTATTATTGTTATGCAAATATTCCCAGAAACACATTTCCTCCTTAAACTACCACTGGAAATAAAATACCTAGGAGGCCTTTCATTTGTAACTGTCACTCAACCTTTCTAAGTCCAGCAAGATAAATGGGTTATGGAGAATTTTCTTTGGTTATGTTCTGCACCCTTAGTGTGTGCTCACCTAAAAGAATTCTTGCTCTACGCTTGTAAAACAGGAAGAAGGATAAATTTCTGGTTATCTTTTAAAGGGAATTTCTGGTGATGTTCAGTATGAAAATCCCTAGAAGAGTAACCCCCCAAATTTTTGACTGAAGCCCTGAGTGACACTTAAAATCACCCTCCATCACCCCTGGTCCTTTATCACTTATCCAACTTTGGTGGAGGCAGGCACTGTGACCATTCTTGTCATCGGATTCATAACTCTCTCATCTATTATTTAAGGGAATGGCCAACAGGATGCACAAAGCTTCATGTGTTTACAGAGCCTGGATTTTTCTATTCTATCAAGTAATTTTGAAGTGGTTTCTTTTTTTTTTTTTTTTTTTTTTTTGAGACAGAGTCTTGCTCTGTCGTCCAGGCTGGAGTGCAGTGGCACAATCTCAGCTCACTTCAACCTCCACCTCCCAGGTTCAAGCACCACCACACCCAGCGAATTTTTGTAATTTAGTAGAGACAGGGTTTCACCATGTTGACCAGGCTGGTCTCGAACTCCTGACCTCAAGTGATCCACCAACCTCAGCCCCACAAAGTGCTGGGATTACAGGTGTGAGCCACCGTGCCTGGCCAAGGTGGTTTCTTCAAACCAGCTAGAGAGCTGATTGTTTGTGAAGGTGACTCAGACAAAAGCCAGCGACAACAGAGAAGCCATGAGAAGGAAGCTCATTCAATCCAAGGCAGGCTTTAATCAGCAGCACTTTACCTGGCCCAGAAGAAAGAAGAGAGGCCCTGACTTTGCATCTAAAGAACTCTTAGAAGAAAAGAGAGAGAAGAAAACTCCAAAGAAACCTCTCGGCCTCTACACCCCCTACTCTCATTGGCCAGAGGGAAGCTGTCTAATGCAGACAACCCTCACTTAAAATCTCTTAGCACAGCCTACAAAGGTGGTTGAACCCATGGAAGTATAAGGCCTTTATTGTGTGTCCAGGCTATTGGGCCTCACCCAAAAGGGAGAAAGAATATCATTTCAACAAGAAAGAATATCTTGTTACATACATATATACCCATGTATAAGTAAAAAAAAAAAAAAAAAAAAAAAAGCTCTGGAAAAATTATACAAGAAATAACCCACAGTGATAAACTCTAGGGGTGAAATGGGGACCAAGAGAGAGGAAATTTTACTTTTCATTTGTTAATATTGCTTATAATATCATGTATTACTTTTAAAACTAAACCAACATCTAGTGAATACATTTTAAGTTATGAAGGAGATTTATATATCAAAAGGAGATTTACAGATCAAAAATCCTCATTGATAGGATGGTAAGTGAAACACCAAACAGTTACAAAGTATATGGGAAAAAATGATCTCATTTACAACAACAACCAAAGAGATAAAATTCAAAACATGGGCAAAATCTACAAGAAGTAAATTTTAAAATTCTACTGAGGGACATAAAAGATAATTGAATAAATGAAAAACCATACCCTGTCTTTGAAAGACTCAGTAATTTAAAGATGTCAATTCTCCCCTAAATTAAACTATAAATTTAATATGATCTCAATAAAAATGCCAATAGATTGAGGCGGGGGGGGGGGGGGAACCTATACGTTTCTATGAAAAAATAAAAATAAAAGATGGGCCAGAAAAACTCTTTTAGCTCCAGCAGAGAGCAGAACATTTTGTAGTGTTCTGGTAATTAAAACTATTTGGGACACTCCTGGGCAAACACAACCATTGAAACATCATTAAAAGGACAGTGAAATAATAAAAGGGAAAACAAAAATCCAAAGAGAAGGGGAGGGGCAGAGGAAGCTATAAATGAGGCGCCTTTATAGCCTTTATTCCTAATGAAGGAAGGCAGTAAGGATGATGCACCTCACCATCCCTATTGCCTTCCTTAATTCTGCCCACACCTCCAAAAATTGACTCTTTACTAAAGTCTCCTGAATGGTCTGAGTGCCTGTGTTTCCTGCCAGGACCCTTGTTGATACAAATAACATTGTGTGACTTTTTAAAACCTTGTACAAACCCAAGTTATAGTCTTAAAAAATATTAATGACCTGTTTTCTTTTCAAAATGTCAAAATCATGGGAAACAAAAGTCTGAAGATCTAATGTAAATTTAAAAAGACATAAAACCTAAATAAATGGTGTGATCCTGGATTGCAATTGAACCAGAAAGAAAAGATCACTATGAAATTACTGTAAAGGACTTTATTCAGAGTAGAAGATGATATAACAATGAGGACAAGATCACAATGCCCCTTCAGACACCCAGAAAGTATGAGGACAATGTTCTGAGGGAGGCAGGAATGAGGCAAGGAACTGAAAAAAGGGAGACAGGTGGGAAGTCTATTTACAGGGCACTGAGAAACCCCTTGTCCTTTCCCCAACTCTGCCAAGTAAATAATGTCCCCAACTCTCCCACTCGATACCATTGATTTATTCTCTGGGGAAACAAAAACGGAAAACTATAATGATTATCCACCTAGCATCTAGCTTATACCCAGCCAAACTACCAAGCCAGCATGAGGCTAGAAGAAAGGAATTTTCAGACATATAAGGTCCCCAGAATACTGTCCTGGCTAGAAGCTACTGAAGAAGTGCCTCCCAAACTTCCATGAGCACAGGAGTCACCTGAGGATCTTATAAACTGTGCATTCTGATTCTGAAGGTCTGAGATTCCACATTTCTACAGATCTCAGATGATATTGTTGCTGCTAGTCCCTGAGCTACACTTTGAGCAGCAAGATACTACAGCAGCAGTTTTCAAAGTGTGGTCCAGAGACCAGTGGAGGCTCAGAGACATTTTCAGGAATCAGCGAGGTCGTCACTTTTCCAACTACATATCTGTGTGATAACAGATTTTCTTCACATACCTCGATCAAAACAATACATCAAACCAGATCTGAGCATCTAGATGTCTTCTCTTTTTTTTTTTTTTTTGGAATGTGATGTAGGCTGAACCCCTACAGCTGTCTTCTAATAAGCCAGACATTAAAGAGATTTGCAAACATGTAAAGCAATGCCTCTCTTCTCAGTAATGTTTTTGTCTTTAAAAATATAGTTGTTTTTCATAAACAATGTTACTTATGTTAATATGTAATATGTTTTATTATTTTGAAATTAATAAATATTTTAATGATCTCTCAGTTTTAATTTCTAGGATGGCAAATAAATGTTGGTAAAGATAACCACATCGACAAAAATTCTTTGGGGTCCTAAATAATTTTTAAGAATGTAAAAGGATCCTGAGACCATGATGTTTAAGAACAGCTGTACTAGAGAATATGCTCCAGGAGGAAGATAAAGGACCTAGAAAATAGGGACTCCAATACAGAAAACGGAAGAGAGAAGCCATGACAACAGCTGTATTGGCTTTCTCCGGCTGATGTAGCAAATTACCACGTAATGGCTTAAAACAACTCAAGTTTATTACCTCACAGTTTCTGCAGGCCAGAAACCCAGGCACAGAGTGGCTTAGCTGATTCCCTGCTTATAGCCTCACACTATATCAAGATGTTGATAGGGCACATTCCTTTCTGGAGGCTTTGCGGTTAAGTCTGCTTCCAAGCTCATTCAGGTTGTTGGTAGAATTCAGTTCCATATAGTTGTGGTAAGGTAGGAGATCAGCAAGACTCGTCTTCCGAGCACTGATCACAAGACCCCACTGAACAAAACAGGAGCTGATTTAAACCAGCCAAGACCAGCTAGGGCTAGGAATCATAACACATTTGCATAAGACACTCCCACCAGCAGCACAGCAGTTTACAAATGCCATGGCAATGACCGGGAAGTTACTTTATATGGTTCTAGGAACTCCCTGCCTCTTTTCCAAAAAGGTTGTGAATAATCTGCCCCTTATGTAGCATGCAAGTAAGAGTGGGTATAAATATAGCTACCAAGCAATCCACGAGTGCCCCTCTGTGCCGCCCTATGAGATAGCCCTGTGCCCTCTATGGAGCAGCCATTTTGCTGTACACTATTGCTCTAATAAATTTGTTTTCTTTCACTGTCAGCTCCCTCTTGAATTCTTTCCTGAGTGAAGCCAAGAATCTTCCCTGGCTGAGCCCCACTTTTGGGGTTGGCCCGTGTCAGTAGGATGGAGGTCCCTGTTTCCATGGGGTCAGTCTCAGCAGCTTCTAGAGGCCACTCCAGTCCTAGCTCATGATTCCCTTCCTCCATCATCAAAGCTAGCAACAGCAAGTCAGGCTTTCTCATGCTTCAAATCTCTCTCACCTCTCCCTCCGCCTCATCTTTCCAGCTACATCTCCCTGACTGACTTTTCTGCCTTCCTCTTCTGCTTCTAAGGGCTCATGTGATTACACTGGGCTCACCAGGATAAAATTCCTATTTTAAGGTCAGCTGATTAGTAACCTTCCTAACATCTACAAAGTGTCCCACAGTAGAAACTAGACCAGTGTCTGACTGAAGAACCAGTAGATGGAATCTTAAAGAACAGCTTTAGAATTCCGCCTGCCACAACAGCATAGGGAAACTTCCAGATAACAGCAGGTAGAAGGTCTAGGGCCTGACCAATCCCGATTGGAGCGGGCTGACAGGAATATAAAATAAAAGAAGCAGATATGTTAGAGCATATGAAAATATTTCTAGAGAGTTTAGATGAGCTTAGCAAGAAGTTTGTTAAAAGCTAGACAAATTAAAAAACAATGTGCTTATTGCTCCAGAAAAAAGGAATTTAAAAAGAAAGGAAGCTCAACCATCATGAAGCCCTTGGCTTAAACAATCTTTGCAGTCATAATAATGTAAACACTGACTATTGATTTAACAACAACAAAATATGTAACTGTGATGGGAGTAGAGGAAGGGAAAATAGGAGAAGGAAGTCAATTGATAAACTGAAAACTAGCAGTATATTGTTTAGAAATATGCAAGGGCTCAGTAGAACACTATGGAAATGAACTAGAACAGCTGGAGGTGGTTGTCTCTGAGGAGCAGGACTGGGTAGCGGTGGACAGTGTGTTCCTCATTTGATGCTGTTAGCATGGTGCCCAGTGTTGTGGCTTTGCCCTGCTTTCCCACTGTCAGTTTCCCCATCTACTCTGCCCTCCTCTGCCCTGCCCTGGGCCCCAGGAAGCTGACCTTGCTGCTCCGTTGCCCCTGGGGCCTGGTTGAATTCACCCAATGGAAGGCACGGCAGAGATAAAGGGGCAGAAGGAGGGAGAGGGGCTCCTGCGACATCCTGCACTGGGCAGAGCTCCCACGCGGTGGCTTCATTTCTTCTCCAAGCTCCGGATCTCTCCTGGCTTTTGTCCTGTGTCCACTCCCCTTACCCCTTCAGACCTAGAAATGAGATTGGCTTCTGCTGTTGCCCTCCCCTGAGCACCTCACCATCCCTATTGCATTCCTTAATTCTGCCCACATCTCTGAAAATTGTCCCTTTACTAAAGTCTCTTGAATAGCCTGAGTGCCTGTGTTTTCTGCCAGGACGCTGGCAGATACAAATAACATTGTGTGACTTTTTAAAATATTGTACAAACTCAAATTATAGTCTAAAAAATATTAATAGCCTGTTTTCTTAAAAAAATGTCAAAATCATGGGAAACAAAGTCTGAAGATCTCATCTACTTTAAAGAAGACAAAAAGAAAAAGACATAAAAATAAATAAATGGAGTGATCCTGGATTGCAATTGAACCAGAAAAAAAATGACTGAAAATTACTGTAAAGGACATTATTCAGACAACTGAGAGAATGTGAATAAATTCCTTAGATTAAATAATAGCATTGTAACAATGATAAATCTCCCGATTTTGAGCATGGTACTGTGGTGATCTAAGTGAAAGTCCTTGTTCTGAGGAAATAGTTACTAAAGTAGGCATAAAAGGACATCATGTCTGCAACTTCCTCTTAAATGGTTCAGAATGAAAATTTCAGTGATAATATAGTATAGGTAATAAAGAGAGTGAGAAACTAAGCTAGATGATAGAAATTCTTTGCACTAATTTTGCAACTCGAGTTTGGAATTATTTCAAAGTATAAAGTTTCAAAAAATATATATTGATTATTTTGAAATTAAAAGTAAACAGTTTGGTACTAGTCCATGAATAGACAGATCAGTGTAAGAGAATAGAGGATCCATGAATACATATATTCAAGCACACAGAGATTTAATACAGTAAAAGGGTGGCATTGCAAAACATCGTGTACCAAGGGCAGGGTGAGAAAGGATTACTTTTATTTATTTTTTATGTTTTTTTAATTATACTTTAAATTCTAGTGCACATGTGCACAATGTGCAAGTTTGATACATAGGTATACATGTGTCATGTTGGTTTGCTGCACCCATCAACTCATCATTTACATTAGGTATTTCTCCTAATGCTATCCCTCTCCCAGCCCCCCACCCCCCGACAGGCCCGGTGTGTGATGTTCCCCGCCCTGTGTCCAGGTGTTCTTATTGTTCAATTCCCACCTATGAGTGAGAACATGTGGTGCCTGGTTTTCTGTGTTGTGATAGTTTGCTGAAACTAATGGTTTCCAACTTCATCCATGTCCCTGCAAAGGACATGAACTCATCCTTTTTTATGGCTGCATAGTATTACATGGTGTATACATGCCACATTTTCTTAATCCAGTCTATCATTGATGAACATTTGGGTTAGTTCCAAGTCTTTGCTGTTGTGAATAGTGCTGCAATAAACATATGTGTGCATGTGTCTTTATAGTAGCATGATTTATAATCCTTTGGGTATATACCAAGTAATGGGATCGCTAGGTCAAATGGTATTGCTAGTTCTAGATCCTTGAGGAATCGCCACACGGGCTTCCACAACGGTTGAACTAATTTACACTCCCAATAACAATGTAAAAGCGTTACTATTTCTCCACATCCTCTCCAGCACCTGTTGTTTCCTGACTTTTTAATGATCACCATTCTAACTGGCATGAGATGGTATCTCATTGTGGTTTTGATTTGCATTTCTCTGATGACCAGTGAAGATGAGCACTTTTTCATGTGTCTGTTGACTGCACAAATGTCTTCTTTTGAGAAGTGTCTGTTCATATCCTTTGCCCACTTTTTGATGGGGTTGTTTGTTTTTTTCTTGTAAATTTGTTTGAGTTCTTTGTAGATTCTGGATATTAGCCCTTTGTCAGATGGGTAGATTGCAAAAATTTTCTCCCATTCTGTAGGTTGCCTGTTCACTCTGATAGTAGTTTCTTTTGCCATGCAGAAGCTCTTTAGTTTAATTAGATCCCATTTGTCTATTTTGGCTTTCGTTGCCATTGCTTTTGGTGTTTTAGTCATGAAGTCCTTGCCCATTCCTATGTCCTGAATGGTATTGCCTGGGTTTTCTTCTAGGGTTTTTTATGGTTTTAGGTCTAACATTTAAGTCTTTAATCCATCGTGAATTAATATTTATATAAGGTATAAGGAAGGGATCCAGTTTCAGCTTTCTACATATGGCTAGCCAGTTTTCCCAGCACCATTTATTAAATAGGGAATCCTTTTCCCATTTCTTGTTTTTGTCAGGTTTGTCAAAGACCAGATGGTTGTAGGTGTGGTGTTATTTCTGAGGCCTCTGTTCCATTCCATTGGTCTATATCGCTGTTTTGGTACCAGCACCATGCTGTCTTGGTTACTGTAGGCTTGTAGTGCAGTTTGAAGTCAGGTAGCATGATGTCTCCAGCTTTGTTCTTTTGTCTTAGGATTGTCTTGGCAAAGCGGGCTCTTTTTTAGTTCCATATGAACTTTAAAGTAGTTTTTTCCGATTCTGTGAAGAAAGTCATTGGTAGCTTGATGGGGATGGCATTGAATCTATAAATTACCTTGGGCAGTATGGCCATTTTCATGATATTAATTTTTCCTATCCAAGAGCATGG
Source organism: Homo sapiens (assembly GCF_000001405.40). Classification (NCBI taxonomy): domain Eukaryota; kingdom Metazoa; phylum Chordata; class Mammalia; order Primates; family Hominidae; genus Homo; species Homo sapiens. Next base: position 74,987,957 of record NC_000002.12, on the reverse strand, counting down.
AATTTTCTTCCATTTGTTTGTGTCCTCTTTTATTTCGTTGAGCAGTGGTCTTCTTGAAGAGGTCCTTCACATCCCTTGTAAGTTGGATTCCTAGGTATTTTATTCTCTTTGAAGCAATTGTGAATGGGAGTTCGCTCATGATTTGGCTCTCTGTTTGTCTGTTATTGGTGTATAGGAATGCTTGTGATTTTTGCACATTGATTTTGTGTCCTGAGACTTTGCTGAAGTTGCTTATCAGTTTAAGGAGATTTTGGGCTGAGACGATGGGGTTTTCTAAATATACAATCATGTCATCTGCAAACAGGGACAATTTGACTTCCTCTTTTCCTAATTGAATATCTTTATTTCTTTCTCTTGCCTGATTGCCCTGGCCAGAACTTCCAACACCATTTAGAAAACGAGTGGTGAGAGGGGCCATCCTTGTCTTGTGCCGGTTTTCAAAGAGAATGCTTCCAGTTTTTGCCCATTCAGTATGATATTGGCTGTGGGTTTGTCATAAATAGCTCTTATTATTTTGAGATACGCTCCATCAATACCTAGTTTTTAGCATGAAGTGCTGTTGAATTTTTTCGAAGGCCTTTTCTGTATCCATTGAGATAATAATGTGGTTTTTGTCATTGGTTCTGTTTATGTGATGGATTGTTTATTGATTTGCGTATGTTGAATCAGCCTTGCATCCCAGGGATGAAGCCAACTTGATCGTGGTGGATAAGCTTTTTGGTGTGTTGCTGGATTCGGTTTGCCAGTATTTTATTAAGGATTTTCGCATCGATGTTCATCAGGGATATTGGTCTAAAATTCTCTTTTTTTGTTGTGTCTCTGCCAGGCTTTGGTATCAGGATGATGCTGGCCTCATAAAATGAGTTAGGGAGGATTCTCTTTTTCTATTGATTGGAATCGTTTCAAAAGGAATGGTACCAGCTCCTCTTTGTACCTCTGGTAGAATTCGGCTGTGAATCCATCTGGTCCTGGACTTCTTTTGGTTGGTAGGCTATTAATTATTGCCTCAATTTCAGAGCCTGTTATTGGTCTTCCTGGTTTAGTCTTGGGAGGGTGTATGTGTCAAGGAATTTAGGGAATGGGTTACTTTTTAAATGGTATATTGAAGCCAGGCCCTGTGGCTCACACCTGTAATCCCAGCACTTTGTGAGGCTGAGGCAGGCAGATCACTTGAGGTCAGGAGTTCGAGACCAGCCTGACCGTCTCTACTAAAAAAGTACAAAACTTAGCTGGGTGTAGTGGCAGGCACCTATAATCACAGCTACTCGGGAGGCTGAGGCAGGAGGATCACTTGAACCCGGCAGGTGGAGGTCACAGTAAGCTGAGATCATGCCACTGCACTCCAGCCTGTGCAATGGAGTAAGAATCTGCCTCAAAAAAAAGAATAAAAAATAAAATGACATATGGAAAACTGAGTACTCAGAAAATCAGTAAAGTTGGATTCCTATGTCACTCTGTGGGCCAAAATTAATCCCAGATGGATCCAAAATTTAAACATTAAAAGAAAACAAAAGAATATTGAAAAAGAAAAGCTTGGGAGGAAGGAGAACTAGTAGGAGGGAGAGGCCGCCTGTCTCCAGACACCTGTGTGTTCAGTCCCACTGCAGCTGGTTGCAGTCTCCTGCCTAGCCCTGACCAGTCCTCTGACTGGTCCTTCAAGTCAAAAATTAACAGTGCAAAGATCACTGGGGGTCGGGGTGGACTGGACTTCATCATAACACTAGCAACAGCATCAATCAGCATTTGCTGGTCAGCAGTAAGCTGCCCTGCTGGAGACAGTCGGGTACCCCCGACGAGCTCAGGGCTTGCAGGACAGCTGCAGGGTCCTCATGGGACCTGCTCTGTGGGGAAGTGTAGCTGTGCTGCCGGCTGTCCAGCTTCCTGTTCTTCCTGCCCATTTTTCAAATCTGCTTATTTAGCCTTCCTGCTTATTTTATGAGCTACTTTACATTAAATTATTTTTGTTTAAAATCAACGGTTCATTTGCTGCTGACAACTTAGAATGTTAACTACACACATATATTTTTAACATAAATTGGGTGTGTCAACATGTGTGTTTCACATATGTACCCTTATATGGCTTGCTTTTTGCCTTAAAATTATATATCTATGAATATGAAATTTGCATACAAAAAGGTTGGAAGGTTAACACAGCAAACTGGTAACAGTTGTTACCTATGGGGATGGTGAGATTGACTGTGGAGTGGGAGTAAAAAGAACTTACATTTTTAAATTTATCTTCTGTGGTTTTAATTTTCCATAGTAATCATAGATTTACCTACTACTCTTTTAAACCAAAAACATCTTAATGAGATTTTTGAGATCAATCTTCTATTTGTCTTACAGCAGACCCTGAGTGGGGACACTGAGGCTGTAATGACAAAACAGACAGACCCCATCATTCCCTAATGGAGCTGGCCATCCAATGGGAGGCTCAGACTGGGAAACAGGCAATTACTCAACAGTGTGGCGAGCCCTGTGATGGGAAGAGAGAGGGATATGGGATCCCAGAGTAAGGGCATTTACCTGCCTCTAGAGGGTGGACAGGAAAACCTTCCTGGCCTCAGACTTAAACAGTGAGTAGGAGTTAGGCAGGCAAACAGGGGAGAGGAGAAGAGGCAGAAAGTACACCAGGCAGGGTGAACAGCATCAGTGAAGCCTCAGACCAGGGCTTCCTCAGGAACTCCAAAGCAGCTGAAGCACAGGGAGGGGAGAGGGGAAAATCAGCATAGAAAGGTGGGCAATGTCCCATCACAAAGACTTTTTGAAGTCTTACTAAGCAGTCTGGACCTTATCCGAGGGCCTGAGGGCAGTCACAGGAGGACTGCATTCCCTTTAGAATGATCCCTTAGCTGTCTTTTCTCCACGAGATTTCATCAGCTGTGAAGCAAGCATGTTTATTCTCAGTGTCTCACAAATGCAAAATTCTCTTTTAAAATACTGGGTAGTGTTTTCCTAGCTTCAACTGAAGGGGGACCCTCCATCCATCTGTCCCCAGCTTTTGAATCCTGGCTCTCAAGGCTAACTTAAATAGATACTTTCCTTCAGGACTGACTATACCATCATTCCTAAACCACTAGCTATATAAAATTGTGAGAATCAGACCCTGGGAGAAATCTTGCCCTTTACAAAAGTTGAGTGCAGTGGAATTCCCTTGTCAAATCCTCCACAGGTCTATTCAGCGGTAGATCACAAGCTCTCCTGGGAATCTTCTCTCCCCATTTCGGTTATGTCTGACATTTTTCTCTACTAGGATACTTGTTCTGAATTACAGACCTTCTCACTTTTACAAACTATGTCATGAAATCACTGTATTTCATGTCACTCATGATTATGAGGGACATTAAGAGAAAACAAAAACCCAATTTAGCTTTCGTTTTTAACATGCGCCATATAGTAACAATTTAAAGAGGAGGAATCTAGAAATTATCCCTAAAATTTTCATCCAGCATTCACCAGATTAGTATTTTATTATTTCTAAACACAGAAGGCACAAAGTTTCTTTTTAGCAGGTAAGACAAATAAGAAATACTGTCACACAATGTTTTGAAATACAGTTTCACAGATGCTTATTCTGAAATGACACATTTCTTTAAAATGCATTGACAGTCTCTAGTGAATTCACTATCTTTACTCAGGTAATTTTAAAAGCTAAATGTTGATCTCTGTTTTGTGACACTGGTGTGACATCCCTGAGATGAGAGCAGATAATTTCTACAGCTGTCACTGCCCTGCAGCGCCCTAGTCAGTCTCTATTTATCTTTTCTAATAAGGTAGAGATGCGCTCATTATCGGCTCATCAAGAAACATCACAAGCTGACCAGCACAGACATCTTTTTAAAAGCATGTCTTTCTCCTTTTGCTATCCTGCACTCTATTAGGGAGTGGGGAGGGCAAGGGACATGTTGTCTGTCTTTGGCTGTCCAGCTCTCCAGCTGTCTCCAAAGAGCCCCTTCATGGTAACATTAATAATCTCAGTGAGTATTTCTCAGGCCGAGAAACCTGGGATTGTCAGCACATAAAATGAACCTTTTTCTCAGAAACATACTCTCATTAGCCAAGCTCAGTGTCTGATGTACATGTCTGGTGTTTCCCTTATGTGTCTTTGAAATAGCCCTCATTACTTATTTAGAGCTTTTGTTACCATAGGCAACCCACACTCAGAACAGGAAAGTCTGGAAGGCTCAGTATGCATTACTGAAGGCCAAGATTATAGGTAAGAAAAGCTACGATAGCAATGTCTAATGTTGACTGAACATGATGTGCCAAGCACTGTGCTGAGAGTTTTAGTAGTGTTATCTCATGGGACCCCCACAATAACCTCATGAAATTGTGATGGGTATTATTAAGCAGGCTTAGAAATGCTCATATGAGCATTCTACACAGTCATACAGTTAAGGGTTGCAAAGATGAGATGCTGTGGCTTAGGCTTCTGGATGTCCACTAAAATCTGTCACTTGACCATAATAATAAAGTTGTACCTGGGCACACGGCCTCCTGGCCAGATACTGTATTTCTTAGCTGTTTTTGAAGTAGGGATTGGCCAGTTAACTAAGTGTGGTCAATGGGATTTGAACTAAAATAATGTGTGCAACTTCTGGGTCATTGCCAACTTAAAAACAAGCACCTTGTCCTACTAACACTCTCCTCCCTCTTCGTATGAACTAGAACTAGACTTGGAGACCTCCCACCTTTGATCTAGAGTTGCTCTTTTAAGTACAGTAACCACTAGCCACCTGCAGCTATTTACATTTAAATTAATTAAAATCAATATTAAAATTTTAGTTCAATTTTTATTTTGAACTAATCACATTGGTTCAGTCACACTAGCCACATTTCAACTGCTCAATAGCCAGATGTAGCTGCTGACTGTCATATTATACACCATGGATGTAGAACATTTCCATCATCACAGAAAATTCTATTGGACAGTGCTATAGTAAGGAAAGACAAAGCAGTAAGATGAAAAGAGCCTGGGTCCCAGAATAACCCCATGGAACTGAGCTGCCCTGCTAGTCTAGATCAGTTGAAGTGTTACAAGGAAGAGAAATAAACTTCTACTTTATTTAAGCCAGTATGTTCTAGGCATATTTGTTACAACAAATTAATCTTTACACTAATACAGAAAACCGTGCCTGTCATTGCCAGGTAATTCAGCACAACAGCCAGTGAGTGGCAGTGCTCTCTGTCTTGTGTTGAGACTGGACATTTGTGTTTCAATTATTTTGGAACTGGTCCACGATGCCCCACACCCTCAATGAGGCCAGATCATCTCCTCCTGATTCTACAGCTTTTCCTTTCTCTTTCTTCCTCCCCCAACTCATCTGAAACATCGAAATATTTATAGAATTTTATAAATATGGGCATAATGCAGTCTGCAGTCTCCCAAGTATGAGTGACCAAAATGCCTCAATTCCTTCCTATATCACTTCCTGTGGGAAATTTTCTTTTAACATATATGTTTTCTGGTAGTATAGAATTTTCTAAGAACATATTCCTTGCCCGTATCCCTTGCTTGTCCGTGGCTTGGCGAGTCAGCAATCTACAAGTGGAATCACTCACGAGGACTGAAATATTCCAAGTAAATATGGCCACCACATCCTCTCATCTCCCCACAGTGAAGCAACAAGGATTGAAAAATCATAGCCAGAAATGGCCCCATTCATTCACAAAGAAAAATCAATGTCACAGTGAATGCAAATAGTCCAACTTCCCATAACAAGCACCTTCTCTCCCTACAGACAGAGTTACGTGGGAAGCCAAGTCAGCATCAAACTGTTGCTTGGAAAAGGTGGGCTCAGAACAAAGGAAGTTGGATATATGATTGCAGTGTTTAAAGGTACCTGAATGGGACAGGCTGACAGGTCTGTCTTGCCAATGGGACCATAGCACTATACACAGAGGCACTGACTAAGGCTCTAGTGACCCCATGTAGTGTAGAACAGGCCCTAGCAACATTTGTCTCTGGGACTCCTTCCTCACTTTCATCACTGACCAGTGTCCCCTACTACTGATGCCTTCTTTTAGATATATTTGATCAGGTCAAGTTGAGTCTGAGGCTGAATCGCTTTATTTTAAGGTTCTACTCTCAAGGGACAATCTTCCTACCTCTTGTTCCAAATTCTTGGGGAGAGCCCACCACAGCTTGCATACTAGAGCATATTATTCGGAGCACAAGGCTCTTGATTATGGTATTCTGAGCAGATGCTCACACATTTCCTTTGCACTACAAGAAATTTTTCAAGCAGGGACAATACATTTCTGAGGTTCAGATAACTTGTAGTGAATGATACATGAGAACTCTGTGTATTAAACTCCGTATGTGGCTTGAAAAAAGTCTGGGAGGCTTCTGGGCCAGAATCCGTTGAAAAGTGTAATTGTCATTTCTCAGAAAACTCAAGGGAAATTTCTAAAATCATCACAGCCTAACCCTGATTTTGAAATCGCCCTTGCAAAGATTGTAACAGTGAGACAAATATGGCATGGTTGACTCCATCTTGCCTGTAGCCTCACAGGCTCTCTCCCAAGTAGCTGGGATTACAGGTGAGTGCCACCATGCCTGGCTAATTTTTGTATTTTTAGTAGAAATGGGGTTTCACCATGTTGCCCAGGCTGGTCTCGAACTCCTGGCCTCAAGTGATCCTCCTGCCTCAGCCTCCCAAAGTGCTGGGATTATAGGTTCATGCCACTGTGCCCAGCCCATGTATAACTCTTTTAGTGGATATATGTTTTCATGTTCCTTAAGTAAGTGCCTAAGGCAATTGCTAGTTTATAGGATAGGTGATGTTTAGTTTTATTGCAGTAACATTTCAAATGTTGTCTTTAACACATGAAAACATGTACATCACATCCTTGGACAAGCTTAGGTGAGGATGGACAAGACACACAAAGGTATTTACACTTACATGCACACACTCTCTAAAGAGGACATGTCATTAGCATGATTAATTATTGGCCACTATCCAGTTCTGTATGTTTGTAACTCTCCATGGAGAAATGGAGATCTGGGACAATGGGTGGATTTTGTTTTTAGGAAGTCTGACTTCAGAGGGAATTAAATTGAAGGCCTCAAGTGATTTGCTAACCGGGGAGAGAAATCAAGGAGTAGGTATGGCCAGCAGGCTGCCACCAATGAAGGATTGAAGAGGTGGTCCAATATTGCCTTGTGGTAAGCCCTCACAGCACCACCCACACAGTCAGTTCTACTCGTGTCTGGAAACCTCATTTTGACAGCTTTCAGGGATCTTAGAGACCATCGCAGTGTAGCTTGCTGAAAATAAGCCCTGGAATCACATTGGCTGGATCCAAATCCCAGCTTTAACCCTAATTCCTATGTGACCTTAGGTCTAAGCCTCAGTTTTCTCATTTGTACAATGGAGATAATAGTACCTTCTGCACAGAGCTGTCAGGAAACTTAAATGAGATCTTGCACCTCGAGTGCTTAACACAGGGCCCAAAACAATGGATGCTCCAAGTACACCCTCTATCGTTATCATGTCTACATCCTCGTTTTAGAGAAACAGTGGACCAAGAAAGCAGAGTGTCCTGCCAGTGCTAAACAGCTAGGAAAGAGCAGAGTGAGAGTTAACTTAGGTCTGTTGACTCCAAATCCATGCCCCTTCTGCCTCAGCATGCTGCCTTCTTCAATGAGGCTAGGGGCTCAAAAAGACAACTTTCTCCAACCTATCTGGGCCCAATGCAGTCTGTGCAGAAAACCTAGAAGACATTTGTGGCTGAATGCAGGTCATTCCTAGAGAATGAGGGGGGTGGAATCATGGAATTACAGTTCAGGCTAGGCTCCACCACTTAATTTCTCACTCTCTTTATTACCTATACTATATTATCACTGAAATTTTTATTCTGAACCATTTAAGAGGAAGTTGCACTTGTGAGCATTCAAGCTCACTCTTTTAATATCTCTGAGCCTACTTCCTCTTCTGTGATGTGGGAATAATAATGCATCATGAGAATGCCTGGCATATTGTAGCACTCTACAAGTGAGATCCTTGTTGCCTTTGGGGCTCTAACTCCTGTACTGGAACAGAGATCATTGTCCAAGAGGAGCTATCACCTCCCAGGTCCCAGAGAACACAGAGAAAAAAAAGTGTAACCTGGCTTCCAGAAAATTGGGAGATTTTATCGCTCTTGGGAAACCAATAGGCAACACTGGGACAAGCAATCTCAGGGCCAGCTCAGAGATTTACTGTTTAGTCCCAGCCTAGTATCACAAAGTTTTTCCAATCTCCTCCTAGTTCTTCTGGTCCCTCCTCACAACACAACAATGTGCATCATATACTAAGCAATGCAGAAAAAAATACAGACAAAGGATTAAAAAAAATTGCACCACCTAGAAATAACCATCATTAAGTAAAAATCACTTTACACATACTTCCATGAGAGAAAGATGGGTAGAATGAGCAGACAGGTAAACAGAAATACTTACATAAAATAATACAACACCTGCTATTTTAATTACAAAATACTAAAGTTGCCTTTAGAAGAAAATTTAACAGAAGGAAAAGCTCCAAGTGAAAATGAACTTTATGCTGGACTTCGAATGTTTCTTTGGCATAAGAAAAATGATTTCTGAACACACTCCTTGAAGGTTAAGAGACTATAAAAATTTAAGAAATTCAAGCTATTTTTAAGGTCAGGCATGGTGGCTCATGCCTGTAATCCCAGCACTTCGGGAGGCCGAGGCGGGTGGATCACAAGTTCAAGAGATTGAGACCATTCTGGCCAACATGGTGAAACGCCGTCTCTAATAAAAATACAAAAATTAGCTGGGCATAGTGGTGTGTGCCCGTAATCCCAGCTACTCGGGAGGCTGAGGCAGGAGAATCGCTTAAACCCGGGAGGCAGAGGTTGCAGTGAGCTGAGATTGCGCCACTGCACTACAGCCTGGTGACAGAGCGAGACTCCGTCTCAAAAAAACAAAGAAAAAGAAAAAGAAAAAAAAGAAATTCAAGCTTTTTTTTAAACCATGTTTCCGTTTTAGAGAATATAAATTGACTGGCAATGAAAAGTGAGGTCTGCAACCTCCCCTTCATTTCTTTACGTATTAGTTAGCTTTTGGGCTCGTTTCATTGAGTTTATGATGTTACTATTCTGTAATTCAAACACTCAGGAGGAATTTTCTTCTGTACCTTGGACTATGCTTTCTTCTAGACTGGGCTCCTTGCCTTTGGACACTTTTTGGTTTTGCTCTTGCTTATTATATAGTTGTGCTATTTCTTTTCACTCTGCTCATGTTTGGGCAGTCTTTCCATTTTGCTGTGATATAATAATAACAATATTACCTGACACAACTATATGGCACTTAATATGTGCCAGGTGCTGTTCTAAGAGCTTTCCATATATTAACTCATTTAATCCTCACAAGAATCCTGAGGTATTATCACTATTCCCATTTTACAGATTAGAAAGTTTCAGCACAAAGAAATTAAGTGACTTGTTTAAATAACTTAATCTTTTTTTTTTTTTTTTTTTTTTTTTTTTTTTTGACACAGAGTCTCGCTCTGTCGCCCAGGCTGGAGTGCAGTGGCGCTATCTCGGCTCACTGCAAGCTCCGCCTCCTGGGTGCACGCCATTCTCCTGCCTCAGCCTCCTGAGTGGCTGGGACTACAGGCGCCCGCAACCACGCCCGGCTAATTTTTTGTATTTTTAGTAGAGACGGGGTTTCACCATATTGGCCAGGCTGGTCTCAATATCCCGACCTCGTGATCAGCCCGCCTCGGCCTCCCAAAGTGCTGGGATTACAGGTGTGAGCCACCGCGCCCGGCCGTAACTTAATCTCTTAATGGTGAAGTGGATATGACTCACAGAGTCTCCTTTCTCGAATGCCTCCTAAGTAGCAGATAAGAAACTAGGGATTCTGGCTCCGGCATCCATTTTCTTGGCCACTTTACTTTCCACTACACCTGAGGTCAATTTGTGCTCTCAACTGAGCTGCAGTTTGAGGGCGCTTCTATGTATTTCTATATACCTGACCTGAAGGTATGGTGAGTGGAGAGGGACGATTCAGCTTAGAAGGTGTGCCATCTTGGAGGTTTAACACACAGTACTAGGATTTACTCCGCCTACTTGGAGCTACATTCCATCCCCTTAGCTCTAGATGCATCCTCTAGCTTAGCCTATAGCCCTCACATCCACTGAAGAGTTCATCTCCATCTGCTTCACCCATTTCTCCCCAGGAACCCTTTCCACTTCTCCACAGTCAGAAAAGGGAAAAGCTACCAACCCTTTGGTTTAATTTCCTCCTGACTGAGAGTATAAAAACTCTCCAAGATTTGGGTGACTTATAGTTATGACTTCTGGCAGACGGGTTTAGAAACCTTTCTGTGTCATGCACTTCCTCTCAATTCTAGAATCTTCCATGTCATTCCTTATTTGCTTGTTAAAGTTTGTGGCACTGCAACGTGCCCCATTCCTTGACTGCTGGGGCAAAATATTTTGCTAATTTGTATGAACTTGGTGGGGGGGGGGCAGGGATTGCTCATTTATTAAATTAGGCATTAGAGAGACTGTGAGACATATCTACCTCACCATCCTGATCCAGATATGCATACAGCATACCATCCATTTTTCTTGAAGATTCCAAGTTAGCTAGATATTGTAGATCTGATCAGGGAAACTAGCTTCCTACAGGAAACGAAGGAAGAAGAAACACAAAACTTTAAACAGTATAAAAAATACAAGATGGTACAGAGAACATTCTGAGCTAATTAGGGGAAAAAAAGAAAAATGCTTTAAGTGTTAAGATGTCCAGAGATATGAAGCCTTGAATGAGGAATGTCAGATCCCTGATTCAGATACAATGAAGAAATCAGGAACACATTTTAAATTTCCTAGGTCGAGCGCAGTGGCTCATGTCTGTAATCCCAACACTTTGGGAGGCCAAGGCAGGTGGATCACTTGAGGTCAGGAGTTTGAGACCAGCCTGGCCAACATGGTGAAACCCTGTCTCTACCAAAAATATAAAAAATTAGCCGGGTGTGGTGGCACGTGCCTGTAATCCCAGGTACTTGGGAGGCTGAGGCAGGAGAATCACTTGAACCCAGGAGGCGGAGGTTGCAGTGAGCCGAGATCATCCCACTGCACTCCAGCCTGGGCGACAGAGCAAGACTCCATCTCAAAATAAATAAATAAATAAATAAATAGGACAGTTTTCTACTTTTTAGCATAATGTTCTCTGATTCTTTTTGAATATTAGTCCTTCACACTGTTAATATCAGATTTCAATAGCTTGCTTTTCCCCGTCTCCAAGCATGATCTTTACCACCAGGAAATTCTGCTTTAGTGCTCCCAGTCAGATATACTGGGAATGCCTGGTCTCTTTCTGATCCATTAGCCCGTGACTGATAGACACTGAGGCAGGAGGAGGGCACAGGAGTTGGTGACCACAAAGGAAGCCCTGCTTCTCCACAGGGGCTTATACCAAAAGGTGGAAAAGTGAGGAGTCCCCTGGAAGGCACAGGTGCCTCATTTGAGTCATCTCACCAACAGAGCTGAGTGCAGCTAAGAACCATTTATAGCATTTTTTTCAAAATTTAATGTCTTGTGGAACTGGGAGAAAATATTTACATAATACATATCTGGTAAATGCAAATTAAAACCACATTGAAATACCCCTACACACCTATTATAATGGCAAAAATTTTTAATACCAACTGCTGACATGGATGCAAAACAACTGAAATTCTTAAACACTGCTGGTATAAGTACAAAATGGTACAGCCGCTTTGGAAAATAGTTGGCATTTTCTTTAATAATTAAACATACACTTAAATAAGATCCAGCAATCCTACTCCTATATACCTAAGAGACAACAAAAAGTGATGTTCACACAAAAACCTATATGCAAATGTTACAGTAGCATTATTCATAATCACTAAAAACTGGAAGTCTCAAATGCCCTTCAATTGGCAGATAAACAGATTGTGGTACTTACATCCCATACAACAAAACACTATTCAACAATAAAAAGGAACATACTACTGATAGCATGCAACATGGATGAACCTTAAATGCCTTATGCTAAATTGAAGCCAGACTCAAAAAGCTACATACTGTGTGATTTGATTTATATGACATTCTGGAGGTGGCAAAATCACAGGGACAATAGATTACTGGTTTCCACAGACATTATTGGTGGGATGGGTTGACTACAAAGGCGTGGCATGAGGGAATTTTGTGGTGATGTAACTGTTCTATACCTTGTGATGGTGATTTTAGGTATTTAATGTTCAGAGCTGCACACTAAAATAGGTAAATTTTGCTGAAAAAAATAAAGTTCACAAAAGAAAAATATGTCCTGTGGAAAAAACTTTAAAATAACCCACTTAATTGGTAAGAGAAAGCTCAGGAAGGGTAAGTGATTAACACATCATGGGAGATAATGAGTAGCAGGATGAAAACCAGTGTCTCCCGGACCCCATCCAGGATCCTTTCCACTACAGTAGTATTCCTGATTTTTTTTTTACCTTGACTTTCAGTGAGAAGTATATTAGTTTTCTATTGCTGCTATAATAACTTACCACAAATTCAGCACCTTAGACACTTATTTTCCTCAGAGTTCTGCAGGCCAGAGGTCCAGTATGGCATAACTAGATTCTCTGCTCGGGGTTTCACAAGGCCAAAGCAAATGTGTCAGAATGTGTCAGCTGGCCCGGCTGTTCTGAGGAGGCTTGAGGGGAAAATCCACATTCAACTGGACAGACTACCGGCAGAATTCCGTTCCATGTGGTTGTAAGACTGAGGCTGTTTCCTCACTGCTGATCATCACTCTCAGTGTCTAAATCTGCCCACATTTCCTGCCTTATGCCCCCCTCCATCTTCAAAGCCAGCAACAGGCCTTGTCCTTTTCATGCCTTAAATCTGACAGCCCCTTCCGCCCTCAGCTGGCGGAAAGCTGTTTTTAAGAGCTCACGTAATTACTCTGGGCCTGCACAAACAATCCAGGATAATCTACTTGAAGGTCAACAGATTAGTAACATGACTTATACCTGCAAAATCTGTCATGTAATGTAACACATTCAGGGGCATAACACCAGCAGGTGAAGGTGATGGGGGCCTCCCTTCTGCCCACCATATACTTTTTACACAATAACCTAATGTACACACGTGTAAATGAAACAATTACAACACTTACCTTTACTAAATTCAACACTGTTACTACTTCAAAATGCTAGTGGCAACACACTTTGATTTCATACCCCACTGAGCTGCAAACTGTAATCTGAGTTTATCTTGAAAACGGACCACGATGTCCTTTTAAATTCCCATTGGCAATGATAATAGGAGGCCTACAGAAGGGCCTCTGGGGTCTGTTTCATGCTCAAAATCATATGCAACGTTATAGAACTAATTACAAGAAAAACAAGACAATCCCCAGTTAGGGAGATCCTACAGAATACCCAGCCAGCACTACTCAGGCTGTCAAGGTCATGAAAAATGAGGAAAGACTAAGAAACTGCCATAGACCAGTGAAGACTGGGACAACATGACAAGTAAATGTGATATAGTAACATGGATCTGGGAATAGAAAAGGAGTATTAATGAAGAAAATGATGAAATCCAAATAGACTGTAGTTAACAGTAACCTATAAATGTCAGTTTCTCAGTTGTGACAAATGTACTTGGTAATGTCGTTAACAATGGGGAAACTAGGTAAGGGGCATATAAGACTTCTCTCTACTACCTTTGCAACTCTTCTGCAAATCTAGTATTACTCCAAAATAAAGCTTATTTTTTAAATGTGACAGTACTGAACATCTGTGCATCATTCCAGGGAGCAAATCCCATGGACTATTTTAAAAATGGTCCATGACCCAGTAATACTTGAGAACCACTGTCCAAGGCTTCCTGCTGCTTTCCTTAACTGCTACTTTCTAGGTACTCTGCCTCCTTCCTGTTATGTCACCCACACCTTTCCTCCAAACCAAAATTTAGCCAGGGACTGCAGGATGTAGGGAATGAGGAATGATTATTTAATGAGTATGAAGTTTCAGCTTGGGAAGATTTTTAAAGTTCTGGAGATAGATGATGGGGTTAGTTGCACAACAATGTGAATGTACTTAATGCCACTATATGCTTAAGAATTGTTATAAAAGTAAATTTTACTTTATGTACAATTTACCACAATTTTTTAAAATGAGGTACTAGTAGATGCTATATAGCATGGATAATCCTTAAAAACATTATCAAAGTGAAAAAACCCAGACACAATAGACCACATTGTTACATGATTCCATTCATATGAAAATGGTCAACATTAGACAGATCAACGAGACAGAAAGTCAACAAGGATACCCAGGAATTGATCTCAGCTCTGCACCAAGCAGACCTAATAGACATCTACAGAACCCTCCACCCCAAATCAACAGAATATACATTTTTTTCAGCACCACACCACACCTATTCCAAAATTGACCACATACTTGGAAGTAAAGCTCTCCTCAGCAAATGTAAAAGAACAGAAATTATAACAAACTATCTCTCAGATCACAGTGCAATGAAACGAGAACTCAGGATTAAGAATCTCACTCAAAACCGCTCAACTACATGGAAACTGAACAACCTGCTCCTGAATGACTACTGGGTACATAACGAAATGAAGGCAGAAATAAAGATGTTCTTTGAAACCAACGAGAACAAAGACACAACATACCAGAATCTCTGGGACATATTCAAAGCAGTGTGTAGAGGGAAATTTATAGCACTAAATGCCCACAAGAGAAAGCAGGAAAGATCCAAAACTGACACCCTAACATCACAATTAAAAGAACTAGAAAAGCAAGAGCAAACACATTCAAAAGCTAGCAGAAGGCAAGAAATAACTAAGATCAGAGCAGAACTGAAGGAAATAGAGACACAAAAAACCCTTCAAAAAATTAACGAATCCAGGAGCTGGTTTTTTGAAAGGATCAACAAAATTGATAGACCGCTAGCAAGACTAATAAAGAAAAAGAGAGAGAAGAATCAAATAGACGCAATAAAAAATGATAAAGGGGATATCACCACCGATCCCACAGAAATACAAACTACCATCAGAGAATACTACAAACACCTCTACGCAAATAAACTAGAAGATCTAGAAGAAATGGATAAATTCCTCAACACATACACTCTCCCAAGACTAAACCAGGAAGAAGTTGAATCTCTGAATAGACCAATAACAGGAGCTGAAATTGTGGCAATAATCAATAGCTTACCAACCAAAAAGAGTCCAGGACCAGATGGATTCACAGCTGAATTCAACCAGAGGTACAAGGAGGAACTGGTACCATTCCTTCTGAAACTATTCCAATCAATAGAAAAAGAGGGAATCCTCCCTAACTCACTTGATGAGGCCAGCATCATCCTGATACCAAAGCCAGGCAGAGACACAACCAAAAAAGAGAATTTTAGACCAATATCCCTGATGAACATTGATGCAAAAATCCTCAATAAAATACTGGCAAACCGAATCCAGCAGCACATCAAAAAGCTTATCCACCATGATCAAGTGGGCTTCATCCCTGGGATGCAAGGCTGGTTCAATATACGCAAATCAATAAATGTAATCCAGCATATAACCAGAACCAAAGACAAAAACCACATGATTATCTCAATAGATGCAGAAAAGGCCTTTGACAAAATTCAACAACCCTTCATGCTAAAAACTCTCAATAAATTAGGTATTGATGGGACGTATCTCAAAATCATAAGAGCTATCTATGACAAACCCACAGCCAATAGCATACTGAATGGGCAAAAACTGGAAGCATTCCCTTTGAAAACTGGCACAAGACAGGGATGCCCTCTCTCACCACTCCTATTCAACATAGTGTTGGAAGTTCTGGCCAGGGCAATGAGGCAGGAGAAGGAAATAAAGGGTATTCAGCTAGGAAAAGAGGAAGTCAAATTGTCCCTGTTTGCAGATGACATGATTGTATATCTAGAAAACCCCATTGTCTCAGCCCAAAATCTCCTTAAGCTGATAAGCAACTTCAGCAAAGTCTCAGGATACAAAATCAATGTACAAAAATCACAAGCATTCTTATACACCAACAACAGACAAACAGAGAGCCAAATCATGAGTGAACTCCCATTCACAATTGCTTCAAAGAGAATAAAATACCTAAGAATCCAACTTACAAGGGATGTGAAAGACCTCTTCAAGGAGAACTACAAACCACTGGTCAAGGAAATAAAAGAGGATACAAACAAATGGAAGAACATTCCATGCTCATGGGTAGGAAGAATCAGTATTGTGAAAATGGCCATACCGCCCAAGGTAATTTACAGATTCAATGCCATCCCCATCAAGCTACCAATGACTTTCTTTACAGAATTGGAAAAAACTACTTTAAAGTTCATATGGAACCAAAAAAGAGCCCGCATCGCCAAGTCAATCCTAAGCCAAAAGAACAAAGCTGGAGGCATCACGCTACCTGACTTCAAACTATACTATAAGGCTACAGTAACCAAAACAGCATGGTACTGGTACCAAAACAGAGATATAGATCAATGGAACAGAACAGAGCCCTCAGAAATAACGCCGCATATCTACAACTATCTGATCTTTGACAAACCTGAGAAAAACAAGCAATGGGGAAAGGATTCCCTATTTAATAAATGGTGCTGGGAAAACTGGCTAGCCATATGTAGAAAGCTGAAACTGGATCCCTTCCTTACACCTTATACAAAAATCAATTCAAGATGGATTAAAGACTTAAACATTAGACCTAAAACCACAAAAACCCTAGAAGAAAACCTAGGCATTACCATTCTGCATGGGCAAGGACTTCATGTCTAAAACACCAAAAGCAATGGCAACAAAAGCCAAAATTGACAAATAGGATCTAATTAAACTAAAGAGTTCTGCACAGCAAAAGAAAGTACCATCAGAGTGAACAGGCAACCTACAAAATGGGAGAAAATTTTTGCAACCTACTCATCTGACAAAGGGCTAATATCCAGAATCTACAATGAACTCAAACAAATTTACAAGAAAAAAACAAACAACCCCATCAAAAAGTGGGCGAAGGACATGAACAGACACTTCTCAAAAGAAGACATTTATGCAGCCAAAAAACACATGAAAAAATGCTCACCATCACTGGCCATCAGAGAAATGCAAATCAAAACCACAATGAGATACCATTTCACACCAGTTAGAATGGCAATCATTCAAAAGTCAGGAAACAACAGGTGCTGGAGAGGATGTGGAGAAATAGGAACACTTTTACACTGTTGGTGGGACTGTAAACTAGTTCAACCATTGTGGAAGTCAGTGTGGCGATTCCTCAGGGATCTAGAACTGGAAATACCATTTGACCCAGCCATCCCATTACTGCGCATATACCCAAAGGACTATAAATCATGCTGCTATAAAGACACATGCACACGTATGTTTATTGCGGCATTATTCACAATAGCAAAGACTTGGAACCAACCCAAATGTCCAACAACGATAGACTGGATTAAGAAAATGTGGCACATATGCACCATGGAATACTATGCAGCCATAAAAAATGATGAGTTCATGTCCTTTGTAGGGACATGGATGAAATTGGAAATCATCATTCTCAGTAAACTATCGCAAGAACAAAAAACCAAACACCACATATTCTCACTCATAGGTGGGAACTGAACAATGACAACACATGGACACAGGAAGGGGAACATCACACTCTGGGGACTGTTGTCGGGTGGGGGGAGGGGGGAGGGACAGCACTGGGAGATATACCTAATGCTAGATGACGAGTTAGTGGGTGCAGCGCACCAGCATGGCACATGTATACATATGTAACTAACCTGCACATTGTGCACATGTACCCTAAAACTTAAAGTATAATAATAATAAATAAATAAATAAAATGTTCTAAAATCGACTGTGATGACTGGTGTACATATTTGTGAATATACTAAATACCACTGAATTGTACACTTTAAATTGGTGAAATATAGAGTATGTGGATATGTCAATAAATAAAACTTAAAAAAAATTTAACTGGCTTTCAATCTAGGACCATATTTATTTGAACTCCTGAGGGCAAGTGGTGTTCCATAAATTCTGGAACCACTTTCTGGTGATGTGCTGGAAAAATAAAAGAACAAAATTAATGAAAGGACTGTATGTTAGAATGGCTGGCAGGGAAGATCAGGAAGGTCTGTGACCAGGTATGGTGACTCTCCAGTCACAGGGTAGGAACAAAGGCGAGATTATAAAACACACTGGACTGAGGTTGATCAAAAACCTTTATTCTGGTCCTCATCATTCAGGAAGCCACTTATGCAGAACACTTTCTTCATCTCTGCTCTAAGCAGCAGCAGCTGCATCCAGGCTTGATATGGAAGACAGACAGAAATAGTGGAAGACCTTGCAGAGAAGAGCTAATTGATGAGATCTCTGCTTATCCCGGCATAGGTGAAGGCAGAACAGGAAGAGTGTGTGTAAGTGCAAAGACTCCGTTCTTCAAAGCTGAGGCCTGTGCAGAGGGGTGAACTGAAGGCTTCAGATGAAGGCTCACAAAACTGCCCCGCTCGGCAATCAATCTAAAGTACCTAAACATACAAAGAGCAATGAGTATATCAGGGGACCTCAGAAGCTGGATTAGTGTAACAAGCTGGGCAAACTTAATGCAGAAGAGGCTCCGGTATTGGCAGCAGTTCTCTAAGACCAAAATACTAATTTTGAGGATGATCCATCCAAAATATCCCCAGGGAAAACATGTCATTACAGATGGTGGGCAGTTAGGAATTAAGCATACTAGTCGGAAGAGCTAGAATTAGAAGTGGGAAAAGGGCTAAGAAGTCGTTGTGTTAGTTAATGAACATTGATGAAGACCATATAAGAAAAGAATATAAAATAAATGAGGTAAACTCTCTAATTAAAGAGTTTATAATCTTTTTAGAAAGTTTCAGTTCCAGATGGGGGACTGGGCCCACAAGTACGTATGCCCTCCCATCCAAGATTCCATTCAAAAGGTAAAAAAGTTTAAAAAGTATAAATCTACAACAAATAGGGGCCCACTGGCAGTTAATGGATTTCAACAAAAAACTGAGTAACAGAAACCTGATCAAAGTATGCTTATAAATAGAGCAGAGGAAAAAGGAGCCTAGAATGAACAGAGGGGGCTGCAGCAGAAAAGGAGGCCCATATGCCTAAAAGAACCATGAGGAAGCTCCAGGCTCAAGTCACCAGGAATGGTGATGTGAGATGAAAATGGGTTAATGACCAGAGGGTCTGTATGACAAACAGTTGCCCCTATCTCCCCACAACCCTCCCCACAGGCAGGACAACCAGAAGACAGGCATTTAAACCTAACTTGGAAAAAAAAAAAAAACAAAGATCACAGGGCTCTCTTCTAAAGAACCAAATGAACTATATGGAGAAAACTAGAACAGCCTCTAAAACTGCCAGCTTCCCACAGCAAAGCATTCTGCATTCATACCCTCGGGGTCACCCAGGACAACATCTGGTCCCACCCCTGTTCACCCTAAAGCAAAGCTGCCAGGCAACAACCACCCCCTCATCCCATACACACACACACAGTTACCAAACAGCCTTATTCCCTTATTCTTAAATAGAATGAAAATCACCAGGTATCTGAAGAAAGCTACACAGTTGAAAGGATACCAAAACTTTTTTTAATGACCTAGATAATATAGGGAAAATAAAAACATAAGAAAAATAAAGCAAAAACACTTCTAATTTAAAAAAAAATAGAGGTGCTTTTCATAATGGCAAGTTCCTGTTGAGATCAACTGAGAAAGCTAAATAAAATATATAAGAAAAGGAAATCTTCAGGAATTGAAGAGACATCAAGAAAAAGCAAATGTGAAATCTAGAGACAGTAAGAACACAAAACAAACCCAGCCTCTAATGTTACTTCTGCTCTCATGACATCTGCCAATCTGAAAAAGCTGAGAAACTGGGCGGTTATTTGTGTAGGCTGAAGGAACCAAGAGTCAAATCCCTGAGTCTACCCAAGTAAGGAAGTCTGACACCCATCTTTCTTAAGCTAGAGCCCAAAAGGCTGCCCCCTCAGAGTAAGGACGAACTGGAATTTAATCAGTGCCCCTTCACAGGCCTGCAGCCTGAGTTCATATCAGTATGATAGTCCAGAAACCTTCAAGTCTTAGATCTGGATTCAGAAGTCCTGCACTGATAATGGCTGTAGGTGGCTTCAGGAGCAAATGGAAATTTTCTTTGGAGAAAGTATCACCATATGGCCTCAACTTATCTAACAAATACTTTTTAAAGAAAATAACCATTATCCAAAGATAGGCATATAGGGGGATAAAAGGCCATGTGACAGTACCAAAAGAAACAACAGACAAAAAGACAGTCTCAAGAGACTATGGATGTTAGATTCGGCACAGACTAGCAAACAAAAAACTCAAAAGGCTTTGAATATTAGGTCATATATTGGATGGAACATTCACTATAAAACAACTGTGTTTACTATGTTTACAGAACTAAAAGACAAACTTCAAAATACCTGCAGAAAATAAGAACAACAAAAAGTACTCACAAAAATTGCTTGATACTTTATTAAGCTAAAAAAAAAGACAACAGATTTGGAAAGGAACCAAACAGAACTCACAGTACTGAAAAATACAAAAACTGAAACTAAAAAAAAAAAACAAAAAAAATAGTTTAAAGGAAATGAGACAAATGGAGAGAATAAACTGGAAGATCAGAAAAAATTACACAGAATGCATACTAGAGAGGCAAAATTATGATTGAGTTTTTACATATATTTAATGGGAATCCCAGAGAGAGACACAGGAAAGAACAAGGCAGAGCCAATAGCTGAAGAGACACTCGCTGAGAATTTTCCAGGACAGATGAAAGACATTAATCTATAGATTCAAGAAGCTCAAACAAACTACATAAAAAGAAATCCACACCTCTGTACATCAGAGTGAAACCACAGAAAATCAAAGTGAAAATCTTAAAAGCAGACAAAAAACAAAAAGGATAAACTAGCTTCAAAAGAATTACAAACAGGTAATTTCTCTATAGAAAACATAGAAGCCAAAAAAAAAAGCAGTAAAATGATAGCTTCAATGTGCTAAAAGAAAATAATTTTCCACCTAGAATTTATATTCAACAAATTATCCTCCAACAATGAAATTCAAGGCATTTTCATAAGAAAAAAATGAGAGAGTCAGTTACCAGACCATACTAAATGAAGTTCTAAATGATTTATTTCAGGAAGAAGAAAATGATCACAAATGGAGGATCGGAAATACAGAAAGGAGGCCAAGCACAGCAGCTCACGCCTGTAATCCCAGCACTTGGGAGGCCAAGGCAGGCAGATGACTTGAGGTCAGGAGTTTGAGACTAGCCTGGTCAACATGGTGAAACCCCATCTCTACTAAAAATACAAAAAAAACTAGCCAGGCTTGGTGGTGCATGCCTGTAATTCCAGCTACTTGGGAGGCTGAGACATGAGAATCACTTGAACCCAGGAGGCAGAGGTTGCAGTGAGCTGAGATCGCACCACTGCACTCCAGCCTGGGTGACGAAA
Source organism: Homo sapiens (assembly GCF_000001405.40). Lineage (NCBI taxonomy): Eukaryota > Metazoa > Chordata > Mammalia > Primates > Hominidae > Homo > Homo sapiens. Next base: position 74,966,433 of record NC_000002.12, on the reverse strand, counting down.
TGAAACTGTCTCAAAAATAATAATAATCCAGAAAGGAAAGAAAAGCAAAGGTAGTATGTGACTAAATCCATATATCATTGACTGCATAATTCAGGAATAAAAATGCCTTATGTAGATTGACAAAGACAAAACAAAAATACATGACAATAACAGCACATAAATTAGGAGACGAGGAATTTGAAAATTGAGTTAATGGATCCTGAGATCTCAATTTGTTGAGAATGAGGGGAAAGGTACTAAATAGGCTTTGATAAATTAAGGACTTACATAGTAACTGATAATCACTAAAAGAATAGAAATAGAGCATATAACTTCCAAGCTGATAGAGGGAAAAAAATCAAATAATAATCCAAAAGAAGGCCAAAAATTGAGAGAAAAAAAAAACAAAACATAAAACAAGCAAATAAAAAGCAGGACAAAATAAGACAATAGAATTCAAACTCATAGATATGACCAATTACATTAAACATAAATAAATGACGTGCTCCAGTTATAGACACAGACTGTCTGAATTTAGGAAAATAATCCAGTTAAATTCTGTTCACAAATATATGGAAAGATAAAAATTAAAAGATTTACAAAAATCCGTACCGTGCAAATAAATACTAACTAAAGAAAGCTGATAAGCTTTAATAATATTAAACAAAATAGACTTTAGGGCTCAAAGCAGTTAGAAATAACAATAGCCAATTTACAAATATAAAAGGCTCAATCACCAACAATATATAACAACATTAAATTTGTATATATCTAATCACATGGTTTCATAATATATAATGAAAGAATAGACCCAGAAATATAAGTAGAAATAGTCCATAATCATAGCAGTAGAGTTTTAACACATAACTCTTTGAAACAGGTAAAATAAGCAGACAGAAGAAATTCAGTAAGAACACAGAAAATCTAAATTATACAATAACCAAATTTGGCATTGCAACCCCTCTAACAGCATCACTGAATTCCATCAAATATTCAAAAACAAAATAATTCCAATCTTTCAATAAGTTTTCCAGAGAATAGATAAGATAAAAAGTGGGCCAGGCGCGGTGGCTCACGCCTGTAATCCCAACACTTTGGGAGGCTGAGGCGGGTGGACCTTGAACACCTGAGGTCAGGAGTTCAAGACCAGCCTGACCAACATGGCAAAACCCCATCTCTACTAAAATACAAAAATTATTGGGGTGTGGTGGTGCGAGCCTGTAATCCCAGCTACTCGAGAGGCTGAGGCAGGAGAATCACTTGAACCCAGGAGGCAGAGGTTGCAATGAGCTGAGATCGTACCACTGTACTCCACCCTGGGCAACAGAGTGAGACTCCATCCCCCACCAAAAAAAAAAAAAAAATAGATAAAAAGTGTATAATTGCCAATGAATTGTATGAAGCTCACACACAGTATGAAAAAAAAAGACTAATCTCTTTTATAAACAGGGATGCAACATTCATAATCTGTTAAAAAATCTACATAAAATCTACAGTAAGCATAATTACTAGGTAAATACTGAAAGCTTTCCCTTGGAAGTCAAAAATGCCTGCTCTTACCACTTCCATGCAACACTGTACTAGAGATTCTAGCCAGTTCAGTAGGGCAAGAAAAAAATATATAAAGATAAGGATTGGAAAGAACTTCACAAAATTATTATTATTGGCAGATGATATACTACTATGTAATTAAAGAAATTCAAAAATCAACAGATATGTCATTCAAATTATTAAGAACTACATCAAAACAAAATTTTTAAGTAAAAAAACTAAGAATAACAGCTAAGAAAGATGCTAGTTGCAAAATTAACATAAAATCAATTATATTTCTAAAAACAGCAATATTTAGAAAATAAAATTTTCTTTAGAAAGATACCATTAACAATATCATCAAAAATATTAAGTACTTACAGAACAACATTTAACAAAATACATCAAGATTTCTTCAGGTAAAATAATTTATTAAAAACTAAATATTAATAAATGTTAAAGTAGACCATATTTATAAAATGAAAGGTTCACTATTGTAAAGATATCGTTTCTTCCCCACAGTAATTTATAAATTCAATACAATCCCAATTAATATCTCTTTTTGTGGAATTTGACAGATTCTAAAATGTACATGAAAATGCAAAGATTCAAAAATAGCAAAGATACTTAGAAAAAAACAAGGTGGGAAGATCTGCTCTCTCAGATAAAGCTACCATAACTGAGACAGTATAGTACTGATGTGAGAATACCCATCAATGGAAAAGAGATACAAATAGATCAATGGAAGAGAACAGAAAGGCCAGAAACAGCCTTGATTGATAAGAAAGGTAGCACTGCAAAGCAGTGAGATGACGATATGGACAAGCGGATATCTAAATATGAAGACACAAATGAGACTGGACCCCCAACCCAATACACAAAAATTCAACTCCACTGTTATGAAAGACAAAACTATAAAGATTTTAGCATATACAGAATGTCTTCATGACAATACAGTAGGGAATATTTTCTAAAATGAACACAAATAGCATTAGTTATAAGGAAAAAAATTGATACATTTGATTACCTTTATATTTTAATGCGTATCAAAAGACAACCTTTTAAGGAGTGAAAAGGCAGGAAAAGATACGTCTCATATACTAAAAAAGATTCATATCTAAAATATAACAAGCACGGCTGGGCGCAGTGGCTCACACCTGTAATCCCAGCACCTTGGAAGGCGGAGGCAGGCAGATCACTTGAGGTCAGGAGTTCGAGACCAGCCTGGCCAACACAGTGAAACCCCATCTCTACCAAAAAAATGCCAAAATTAGCCAGGCGTGGTGGTACACGCCTGTAGTCCCAGTTACGTGAGAATCTCTTGAACGTGGGAGGGGGGGCTGCATTGAGCAGAGATCATGCCACTGCATTCCAGCCTGGATGACAAAGCAAGACTCCACGTCAAAAAAATAAATAAATAAAAATGAAATAAAATACAGCAAGCATTTTTATAAGTCAATAAGAAAAAGGACAAAAATAGCTAACAGAAAAATAGAAGACACCCCTCAAAAAAAAATGGGCATGTATATGAAAAGACGCCCAATGTCACCCACAATCAGGGCAATACGAATTAACACCACATGCAACTATCACTTACATTCAATAACAGCTTGTCAAAAATAAAAAACTCTGGTAATACCAAGTGTGGGTAAGAATGAGAAGCAATGGGAATTATCATGCACTGCTGGTAGGAACGTGAATTGGAATACAGGAAGTTCAGCAGTACCTGCCAAAGATGGAGATACGAATACTCTATATAGCCTAGGTCCCAGCAGTATTATATATTTTATACACACATATACATCCACCCTAGAGAAATATGTACAAGATTGTTCACAGCAAATTGTTTATAATAGGAGAAATAAGGTTTCCCAAATATCAACATTAAAATAGTTCAATTGTGGTACTGTCATATAGCAAGGAACACGAACAAATGAGTTATGTGCAATCACACAGATGAATCTCATAAATGTGTTAACTTAAAACAGTTGTGTGACAGATGTTGGCCAACGAATGCATACGGTTTGGTTCCATTTGCAGAGAGTTCAACAAAACAAAACTAAACCTTAGTGTTCAGGGATGCATGCTTATATAGTAAGCTATAAAGAAAAGGAAGTAATTACCAAAAAAGTTAGGAAACAGTAATGTCGGGAAAGGGGATGAGAATAGGTATGATGAAGAATGAATATACGTGGGACTCTGGGGGCTGACAATACCCTATCTCTTGGCCAAGATGGTGGTTACGAGAGTGTTCATTTTATCATTTATTGACTTTACATTTACAGCACACACTTTACATACGTTGTATTTCATATGACTTAGAAAAAGAATATACATATACACATACAAACATATTTGCATAAAATATCCAGATTACAGAAGAAAACTAGTAACAGTTGTTTGCAGGGAGGGGACCTGAATGAGGAATTAAGGGACAGAGAGAAGGTAGAGAAAGACTGTTTACAGTCCTAGTTTTCAACTTCTACAATCAACCAGAGATAAAGCATGGAAGATTTAATTGTGATAAGATACAAATGTTATTAGCTTTGACAATGTCAAATTACTAGATAACACAAATTGATAGCTAGATGTGAACTAGAAAGGGAAAAGGGATACATGCACTAATAGTCATACTTTACAAACTGGGGAGTCAAGGAATACATTAAAAATTGGACACAACAACCAAAGACATCCTAGTATGTTATATAAACTGTAAAGGTAAAGAAACTAAAACTAGTGATACAACTACCAAAAATCAGAAAGACAGCAGGGGATTTATGGGGTTCTACAGGTTAGCCAAATCTTCATTTATCACAGCAGGAAGTCAATACATACCGTCTACAGCTGACAAACCAATGGGTAAGCATATTAGTTAGAAATAAACGTAACCACCAGAAAAGCTCAAAACACAAACAAAACAGTGGGTGGACGGCAGCTGTACTTCATTATAAGCCATTAGGTAACGATTTGATTTTCAAGTATGGATATGTATTATAAAAACGAAAAAAATGTATTTACTTAGACCATACACACCTAAGGACATAAGAACATTTATTTTACCCAGTAAAAAATAATATAATGCAGACTGAATCCACAGGGGCTATGATGGCTAACATTCAGATCTACCAATGTAGGACAGAGCAAAGGGATTCAATTACAGAGATAAATGAGGATGAAGGCAGAGGATGAAAATAAACACACCAATCATTCAATAAATGGCCATTTATTAAAAATCCAAGCTAAGCACTATGCTGTGATAGAGGCTAGAGTGGAAAACTACATAAGACCACCCCACTTCTATTCCTAGTACCCTCCAGTTTATTTTCCCCAGGGCAGCAATGTTGTGCACTTAAAATACAAATCTGATCATATCACTCATGTCTTTGAAAAGCTGGTAATTAAAAATGAAGAGGTAAAGTAGGCTCCAAACATTTTTGACTGCAGAACTTACAGAAAGTCTGTCACAAGGAGTGCCTGCCTTAGGTAGGACTAACAAAAGTTAATTTTAAGAAAAATGAGTAGGTGGAAAGAGAGGCTGAAGAAAAATCTGCAAATTAAAAGAATGCTCAATAGTCTAGACATAGAGTTGGCCATGGTAGTCTATCTATCTAATAAGACATTTAAAAAATATCTATCAAAAGGACCAGGGGCCTAGGTTGACAGGGAGATGCAGAACAAAGGAGTAAAAAAGAGTGGAATAAATCAAGATATTTCTAAAGGTAATAAGGCTTGAAGGAGGTAATGAGAACACCCTGGGAGAATAAGGATACATGGCTTTTGCTAAGCTATTCAATCAAAATACATGTGTCGCTCAACAACAAGGATACATCCTGAGAAATGCATCACATCTTCAGGCGATTTCACCACTGTGTGAACACCATAGAGGGTACTTACACAAAGCTAGATGGTATAGCCTACTACACACTTAGTCTACAGGGTATACCTATTGTTGTCAGGTTACAAACCTGAACAGCATGTTACTGTACTGAATACTGTAGGCAACTGTAACATGAGGATAAGTGTATTTAAACAAATCTAAACATAGAAAAGGTAATGTATTTCATTAGGATGTTATGACCACTACCTCACTGGGCAAAAGGAATTTTTCAGCTCCATTATAATCTGATGGGACCACCCTCATGTGAGCAGTCCATGGCTGACCAAAAAGTTATTACGCAGCACATGACTACATACGTGTAGTGAAGAGTAAGCTGATCAGACTGAAGAATTAAGTAGCAGAAATCGCTCTGAGGCTAGGTAGCTAAAATTAGGTATTTCAAATATTTTCTTTTTTAATGACAAAATTTAGTTAGTACACAAGTTAATCCATGACTCCTAAAAATACAGACAAGTACAAGTCTTATTGCAGCAAAATAATCACTTCACACAGATTGTTGAAGAAAAAAGAACAAGCGGTGACCCTTTAAATGTTAACAATTGTTTCTGATCTGTAACATGATGAGGGGGGGCAAGCCTGACATTTAGGGATGGCGATCAAAGTAGGAATCGAACTTTCGAATTCATCTAACTCCACTGGGATCTTTATATTCCCTCCTATTTCTTTATGGTTAGCAATTTTCAGGTAGAAATTTTAATTCCCCAAGGGAGAAAACTGAACCTCACTAGGTTTAGCAAGTTACTTTTTTCTATCCTAATAGCAAGTGCGGAGAATTATCCCTACACAAACAAGAAGCAGGCATCCGTTTTATGAGATTTTGAATTTCACATCAACATGCAAAAGACAGGCGGAAATGATTGCCCACTGAGAGGGAACTCACCTTCCAGAAAAGCAAATTCATCCACAGCTTCTATTGCATTATCTGAAACACAAGGAAAAGAGACACCTGACTAACTTCAGCCATGCTGACCTCAGTCAGAAAACAGCACAATCTGCAGTGAAGGGCATGAGGCTTTGGGCAAATGAGGGCATTTATAAGATGCGTCCCTTGCTGCCTTGAGATCCATATCTACTCTACCAGCAACTCTTATATATATTAGCTGTCTCCCTAGAAGAGTTAAGAAAAGCATAGGCAAATACCATTCAACGCGGGGGTTGGGGGCCTCCTAAATTACCCCTAAATTATTTATTCGCTTTGCTCTTAAAGTTGTCAGAGAAGAACGTGGCAATAGACGCAGGGCGCATGAGAATACGGTATACGAAATCTTACCCAGGTGAGGGTTCCCAGCCAGACAAGAGTCAGAAATCAAATCCCCAGTTGCTAGGTGAAAAAGAAATATCTTTTTCTGGTGCAATTTGGCAGAAGGTATGAAGGGATCCAGTCCGCTACGGCAACCCCAGACACCTTCACACACTGCCCCGCCACCCCAAGCAGACAGCCTCTACAGGTAGGGCTTCCTGGCACTGTGGCCAACAGAAACCATCCTGGGGAGAGACGCTGTGGCACCTCTCAGATCAGAGTGACGTCTTCTCAACCTGCACAAGGGGAAACCAGCCCAGCCCTCCCTTGTCTGTCCCCAGACACTGCAGTGCCACTCTACCCAAGTCTCTCCTCTGAAGGGTTTTCCTTTTTCCCTGCTGAGCGCAACAGTAGGCATCTTTTGCAATGGTCTCCACAAACAGTTCCTGTGAAGTAAAAAAGCAAAGTTTTAGTAATGGGTTCTAACACACTGAGGAGGTGAGGGCTCCGGTTTGTGGGTGGGGGCAGAAAGGGAGAAGAAAGGCTCGGGGCAAGAAAATGTTCTGGAAGCTAAGATTGTCCTGGACTTCATGAAGATCCATTCCGCTACCCTCTTCCCAGTATTCTCCCTCATTCACTAAAGACTCCTACAAGTTCTGTACGAGGCCCTGGAGATACAAATTAAAGTCACTCACTATCCAGGTCCTCAACAAGAGGGAGGAGTGTTAACAAAACTCGCACAGGTCCCCGGCCCCTTTCCTCCGCCTTCCGGGTCCACGCCCACATCTCAAAACCCGGGCCACGCCGCCCTAAGCCCCGCCCGCGGGAGGCCCCGAGGCCCCGCCCCACACTCCACCTCCCCCACTCCCGCATGCCCTCGCGCTGCAGGCGCACCGCGGCTCGTGCCAGAATGAAGATGGCTTCCTGTCCCGCTAGCGTCACGTCGGGATCTGCCTTCACCAAGGCCTTCACTCGCGCCAGAGGCAACCTCGAGAGACGAGCCCCAGGCACACTCGTTGGGGCCTGGGGCTGCGAGGCCGCTGCCTCCCCAGCAGGTCCCTCCTCCTCTCGGGGCGTCCCGCTTCCTGCCGCCGCCGCCGCCGCCATCCCGGCCTTGAGCGTGCTGCGCGCGGCCGCCGACTGTGCGCGCGCATGCGGCGCAGGCCCTTTCCCGCGCGGGCTGGAGGCCACACCCTGTGTAGGCGCGCGGCTCCGCCCCTACGCGGCAGTGCGCTGCCAGGAAACCGGGTGGGCGGGGGTCGGGCTCCGGCTCTTCCCACGCGCCTAGCCACCCGTGGGCTGTCGTGCACTTGGTTGACGCTACCGGCGACCCTCTGGCCCCGACGGGCCTGTGGAGCCCAGGCACCTCCCATTGGTGCCTGTGCCTGGCTGGTGAGGGGAGAAATCTAGACCAGGCTCGCAAGAGAGTCTCCGTCAAAACAGAGTGTGCATATTCCAAGGCTAACGAGGGCACGTGTCCGAGGGAGGCCCGGCCCTGGAGGGCCCAGCATCGTGGAAGAGGGTGCCAAGGAGGCAGCGAAATCTGGACCAAATTCAAGGATAACCAGTTATAGATGCTCTTGAAGGAGGGGTAGGGCTTTTGGCAGGCAGAAATGAAGAAATTCAGCCCAGCCAGAGGAAACAAGAAAAAGTCATGGAGGCTAGAAAAGATGAAATTGTGGTGGTGAGGCATCCACGTTTGTTCAAAAAGAGGTTGCATCACAGCTTTGGTTCTCAAATTTGACCTCAAGATCCCTTTACGGTCTTAAAGATTGTTAAAGAGCCCAGGGAGCTTTTGTTTCTGTCAGTTATATCAATACTTACTATATTAGAATTAAAGTTTTAAAATATTGATTTAAAATTACTAATGCGTTACCAGCTAACAAACAACATTTTTATGACAAGTAATTTTTTTTAAATCTAGTAAGAAAAGTCTCTAATGTCTGATTTCATGTGAGAACTGGATTCTCTAGCTGCTTCTGTTGCTAACGTTAGCACTTCTCAGGTAGCTCTTAAAAAACTACTACATCTTGAGAGAATGTGAATGAAAAAGGCAACCTCATAGTAGTATTAAGAAAATAATTTTGGCCTCATGGACTCCTGAAAAGGGTCTCCAGAAAATTCCCACCCCCATGAATCCCCACACCACACTTGGAGGTCTGATAGCGTAGAGGAACAGTTAATATTTAAAATAGGTTTAATCTAAGTCAATCATAATAATAGTGAACACCTTTAAACATTTACTATGTGCATGATTCAAAGTGTTTTAGATTTATGTAAATCATAACTTCTGTAATTTTCACAATACCCTATTGAGGTAAATATTATAACCTTCTTTTTCAAACCTTATTTGAAAAAATTGAGGTGCAGAGTGGTTACTGAGTCGCATACACAGGGCAGAATGTGGTGAAGCCAAGATGAAGCTGAATTAAACACATCTGAAATCACTCAGTTCCAAAATTATGTAGTAAACTCTGACTGGTGTAGGAGTGGAAAGGTGTGAAACCTTTCTTTACCCATTTTAAGGGTCACAGCTGACACTCCTATAACACACACAAAAAGCCTAACAAGTCTAATCAAAGTTTTACATGACATGAGAGTCCAAAAATGCAGACCATGAGACCTAGAGGAAACTATTTTTATGCTTAGGTTATATGAAGAAGGGATCGCTGTGTAGAAATGTGATTAGAGGCCTGGTACGGTGGGTCACACTTGTAATCCCAACACTTTGGGAAGCCAAGGCAGGAGGACCGCCTGAGCCCAGGAGTTTGAGACCAGCCTGGGCAACAGATGGAGACCCCATTTCTACACACACACACACACACACACACACACACACACACACACACACAAATTAGCTGGGTATTGTGATCCTATAGTCCTAGCTACTTGGGAGGCTGAGGTGGGAGAGTTGCTTGAGCCCAGGAGTTCAAGGTTACAGTGAGCAATGATTGCACCACTGCACTCCAGCCTGGGCGACAGAGAGAGACCCTGTGTCTTAAAAAGAAAAAGAAATGGGATTGGACAAAAAGGGAATGATAATAGTCTAATGGTAATAGACTGAATGGGGAAACCCAGCAAGGCCTGTCTGTTCATATTCTTCTTGGCCTCCCTGTGTAGCATTCCTTCTGGTATTAGGGCAGGACCCTTCTGGAATGAGGGTCTTCAAGGGAGAAGGCAGAAAATAACCTTTCTAGGTTTTACGACTTGCTTGGAGGAAGGAGAATTCTAGTTTCTATGACCTGCGTTGGGAAAGAGGAATTCTGGTTTCCATGACTCACTGCGAAGAGTGGTGATGTTACAGTGGGTAGCTAGTCAGACACGAACAGGGCAGGATAGGGCCCCCACGCTCCACCAGGAATGTCAGAAGATCATCAGGTGATGGTCAGACAGTGGTCACACCGCCTCTCTAAAATAATAATTGCTCATAGCCAGCGCCAGGGAAAGGCAGTTTCCCTATAGATAGAAAAACCCTGAAACTGATGATCAGGAGCTTCCTGATGAGATCTCAGGAGTTGGGCGAGCGGGCTCACGCATGCACACTAAGAGGCAAAATGGTGGAATTTAACTGATATATGACCTTCTGGGGGCATTCTACTGAAAAAGGGAAGAACGCCTCAGGTGAGCATGCTTACAACTTCAATAAATACACTGCACTTGCTCCCCTCCCCAGCGCTAGCAGGCTACTGTGCATTTCGACAACCCACCCCAAGGGAAGAATCAGGGTAGAAGGGATGCAAGACCCCAGAAGTATGCCAACACATAAAAACCCAAGTCAAAAGGTCAAACCTTGCACTTGTCCTTCAAGTCACCCACTTGGGCCTCTTCTCAGTGTACTTTCCTTCCTTTCGTTCTTGCTCTAAAGCTTTTTAAGAAATTTTCACTCCTGCTTTAAAACTTGCCTCAGTCTCTTCTTTTGCCTTATGCCCCTCAGTCGACATCTTCTGAGGAGACAAGAATCGAGGTTGCTGCAATTTGCTGCCAGTAACTGTAATAACTTCTACTGCTTACAGTGGAAAACAGGACAGGAGAAGTTCAGAAAGACCTTGCTTCTGAGGCCTTTCCAATTTTCTTCAGTTCAAAGTACTCAGCATTCCAAAGTACCATACTTTGGGGTATCATGTAATGAGCCCCAACCCTGAATTAGCACAGAGACACTCCACTATAGCAGAATAAGAGTCTTGGCCCAGAATTAAAATCTGCAGAAGAGGATATGAGTTGCTGAAAATTGAACCAGAGCAGCCATTAGGGCCTCAGTCCTGGGTTCTTTTCAGATTACATTTATGGACACTCTCACTCATGGAAAGCTCCACACAAAATTCATAAAAGCATGACCAGATTCTTGTGTCACAGTGCACAAGAACACCTCACAAGAGCTATACTCCAGCAATCGCAAAGTAGCTAAGTACTAAATTGACCTAAATTCTGAATTAACATAAGACAGTTGACAATGGTGGGGGTGTTACTGGACCCCACCACTTACCCAAAGTTAGCCTTTGGGTCAGGGGTTTCCTTGCTAGAGTCCTTTCGTGGTCACCAGAAAAATGTTACAGGAAAGGGGTTCTGATCCAGACCCCAAGCGAGAGTTCTTGAATCTCACACAAGAAAGAATTCAGGGCAAGTCCATAAAGTAAAGTGAAAGCAAGTTTATTAGGAAAGTAAAGGAATAAAAGAATGGTTGCTCCATTGGCTGGGCAGCCCTGAGGGCTGCTGGTTGCCCATTTTTGTGGTTATTTCTTGATTATCTGCTAAACAAGGGGTGGATTATTCATGTCTCCCCTTTTAAGACCATATAGGATAACTTCCTGATGTTGCCCTGGCATTTGTAAACTGTCATGGTGCTTGTGGGAGTGTAGCAGTGAGGACGACCAGAGGTCACTCTCCTGGCCATCTTGGTTTTGGTGGTAAGTTTTAGCTGGCTTCTTTACTGCAAACTGTTTTATCAGCAAGGTCTTTATGACCTGTATTTCGTGCCAACCTCCTATCTCATCCGCTGACTTAGAATGCCCTAACCATCTTGGAATGCAGCCCAGTAGGTCTCAGCCTCATTTTGCCCAGCTCCTATTCAAGATGGAGTTGCTCTGGTTCACACACCTTTAACGGGCAGGAGGAGTTAAGAGTTCTTGAAAGGGCTGAGTCAACTTGGCTTTCAGAGGATTCTCATTTCAACCCCCTTTTCTTCCCAATTTTGTCTCATTCATATGTTCCCTGCCTTTCCTCCTTTTCTCCTTTTTTGTTCCCCTTCGTGTTCTTTTTTTTTTCTTTTCTTTTCTTTTCCTCATCACTTGAATGTCTCACCACTTGGTGCAGTCCTTCTCTCCCTGGTTTGACTATGACTAACCAAGAGTTTATGGAGACCAGACAGGACTTCCTGACTATAAGTATTGAACAGCACTAAGGTGTGTTAGAAAGGGAAATCACGTTTCACAGTTTTTGAGTTTCAGTGGAAAAAAGGCAGAAGAAACAGGAAGACGAAGGTTGAAAAGCTCAAAAAGCCACACACGCACACACGGTTCGCATTCCAGTCCAAATAGAATGAAGGCTAAAAATATCTTTAAAAGGCTACGTGATGAAAATTAATGCAAAAAAAACATGATGTGTGTTAAGTGAAGTTTGGCCTAAAGCTGTCTCTTTACATAGTTTAAGTTTGGCCTAAAGGTTTCTTCATATGTAGAGAAATGCAAGGTAACTTGATGTGAAAACGGTCACTTACTCTTGTAAGAAATAGCCAAGTTTCAGCCAATTACAGGCAGCCAGCTGCTCAAACCAGGTTCAAACCAGGTTCAAATAAGGCAAACATCAAGCTGTAACCGTTCCAGCTATTTCTGTACCTCACTTCCATTTTCTGGACATCATTTTCCTTGTTATCCTACCATGCGGCAGGCCTAAAATCACACTGAATCTATTCTGGTTCTGGGGGCTGCCTGATTCGAGAATCATTTTTTGCTCAGTTAAACTCTGTAAAATTTAACTTGTCTAAAGTTTTCTTTTAACTTGTGAAGTATTTTATCTAATAAGCTAAAGATTAAAGACAGCTTGCCATCTACCATACTGGAGTAAGTGTCCTATCCAGGAGATAAGTTAGTGGAGGAACCAGTATCACTTCATTTCTGAATTTTTTTAAAAAAAAATCATATATGTGTTGTATGTACACGTGTGTATTGTTAAAAGATAAACCTAGGCACATTAAAATTTTAAAGAGTTGATTTGAGCAGATAGTGATTCATGAATCGGGTAGTGCCAAACCACAGCTGGGTCTGGGCTCCACTGAGGCAGGGGGAGGGGAGATGCTTTATAAAGTATTTGAGGAACAAGACAAAGAAAATATTTGATTGGTTAAAGTAGAGCAGTAGCCATAAAGTTCCTAGTTAGAGGTGAGTTGGCAGTGATAACAGAATGGCTGGGCTCTCAGTTAAACCCCACCATTAAGCCTGGAACTACAGCCCTAAGTGAAAACAGCTGACCCATTTTTCTACCTGAATGTTGCCTTTTTGGCCTGCCACACCCCTATCCTGTGCCCATAAAAAAACTTTAACTGGCAGAGCAATACAAGCAGCTGAGCGTCAGAGATACAAGCAGCTGAGCGTCAGGGACACAAGAAGCTGGGCATTGAGGATACAAGCAGCTGAGCATCAGGGATACAAATGGCTGAGCAGAGAAGCAACTGAGCATCTAAGACTACAGACAGATGTGGCTAACTTCAGACAGTGCAGCTTCAGGCAAAGATCTTCTTCTCGCACCATCCCCTTTCCAACTCCCCATTCTGCTGACAGCCACTTCCACTTCCATCACACAATAAAATCCTCTGCATACGCCAACCTTCAATTCATTCGTGTGACGATTCTTCCTAGACACTGGACAAGAACCCAAATGCCAAGAGGACAAGGGCTGGGACACTCCTACAGGGCCCTGCACAGAGCCGGCTCCCGCCAGAGAGGAGCAACCGGCCAGTTCCAGCATTAGTTCACTTTGGTTCCTGCACTCTTCTTGCTCACATGCTCCCTCTCATGAGGAGTGGCCAGTGGCAGGCTGAATGAAATGTGCTACTCCAGTTCCCTCCCACAAGGTCAAGGAAAAAATTCCAGCTCAACAGTTTCTGACTGGTTAAGCTTAAGCTTTGTTTTCCTGCAATATGGCTGTTCACACTGAGTTAGGTTTCAGTTTGGCCGTATAGAAACCCGAGACAGTGGAGCCATCTCAGCCTAATGGCCTCCCAATTATTTATTTTAACAGGGCATCATTTTATCTATATTTGTGCATGAATATATATGTGTACATAAATGTATACATATACAGACACATATTTGGAAGGTTAATGATTAAATACATCATAGGGAAAATAGAGGGCATACTAGGGTAACAAAAAAGAAAAAAAAAATCACCAGACTCTTTAAAAGGAAAAAATAAAGAGACAAAAATAAAGTATCATAAGTTTGTCCATGGAAATCCTGGGATGCAGGAATTACTTAAGCACTTAAAAACTAATTACAAGGGGAAAGCATGTTTAGAAAAAGAAAAGAGAAAAACAAAAGATACAAAGGAAAATGTTACTCTTAATCAATTCAGTGTTTAAATGAATTGTTTAGGCAGCAGTTCTCAAACTTTCTCAACTTTTTTTTTCAGGTTTATTATATAGGTAAATTGCATGTCATGGGGATTTGGTGTACAGATTATTTCATCACCCAGGTAATAAGCATAGTACCCAATAGGTAGTTTTTTGATCCTCATGCTCCTCCCACCCTCCACCCTCAAGCAGGCCCAAGTATCTATTGTTCCCTTCTTTGTGTCCACATATATTCAATGTTTAGCTCCCACTTATAAGTGAGAATATGCAGTATTTGGTTTTCTGTTCCTATGTTAGTTCATTTAGGATAATGGCCTCCAGCTCCATCCACGTTATTACAAAAGATATGATCTTGGTCTTTTTATGGCTGTGTTAGTATTCCGTGGTGCATATGTATCACATTTTTTTTAACCCAGTCCACCTTTGATGGACATCTGGGTTGATTCCACGTCTTTGCTATTGTGTGAATAGTGCATGCATGTGTCTTTATGATGGAACAATTTGGATTCCTTTGGGTGTATATCCAATAATGGGATGGCTGGGTAGAATTGTAATTCTGTTTAAAGTCCTTTGAGAAATCACTACACTGCTTTCCACATGGCTGAACTAATTTGCATTCCCACCAGCAGTATATCAATGTTCCTTTTTCTCTGCAACCCTATGAACATCTGTTATTTTTTAACTTTTTAATAATAGCCTTTATGAGTGGTATGAGATCGTATCTCCTTGTAGTTTGATTTGCATTTCATTAATGATTAGTGATGTTGGACATTTTTTCACATGCTTGTTGGCTGTGTGTATGTTTCTTTTGAAAAGTGTCTGTTCATGTTCTTTGCCCACTTTTTAATAAGGTTGGGTAGTTTTTGGTTTAAGTTCCTTATAGATTCTGGATATTAGACCTTTGTCAGATGCATAGTTTGCAAATATTTTCTCCCATTCTTTAGGTTGTCTGTTTGGTTTGTTGATAGTTTCTTTCTTTTTCTCTCTCTTCTTTTTTTTTTTGTTTTTTTGTTTTTTTGTTTTTTTGAGATAAGAGACTTGCTCTGTCACCCAGGCTGGAGTGCTATGAGCAATGACATGATCTTGACTCACTGCAACCTCTACCTCCTGGGTTCAAGTAATTCTCATGCCCCAGCCACCTGAGTAGCTGGGATTACAGGTGCACGCCACCACACACCGGTTAATTTTTTTTTTTTTTTAAGTGGAGATGGGGTTCAGACTGGTCTTGAACTCCTGGCCTCAAGTGATCCACCTGCCTCGGCCTCCCAAAGTGCTGGGATTACAACCATGAGCCACCATGCCTGGCTGGGAGTTTATTTTGCTGTGCAGAAGTTCTTTCGTTTAATTGACCATTGGTCAATTTTTGGTTTTGTTGCAACTGCTTTTGGCATCTTCGTCATGAAATCTTTACCTGGTCCTATGTCCAGAATGATATTCCCTAGGTTGTCTCCCAGAGTTTTTATAGATTTAGATTTTACATTTTAGTCTTTAATCAATCTTGAGTTGATTTTTGTATATGATTCTGGTACATTGTCTCTTTCTCATTGGTTTCAAAGAACTTCTTGATTTCTGCCTTAATTTCCTTATTTACCCAAAGTCCTTCAGGAGCAGGTTGTTCAATTTCCATGTAATTGTGTGGTTTTGAGTGCATTTCCTTAATCCTGAGTTCTAATTTTATTGCTTTATGGTCTGAGAGACTGTTTGTTATGATTTCAGTTCTTTTGCATTTGCTGAGGAGTGTTTCACTTCCAATTATGTGGTCGATTTTGGAGTAAGTGTCATGTGGCACTGAAAGAATGTATATTCTGTTGATTTGGGGCGGAGAGTTCTGTAGACGTCTACTAGGTCCACTTGGTTCCGAGCTGAGTTCAAGTCCTGAATATCCTTCCTAATTTTCTGTCTCACTGATCTGTCTAATACTGACAGTGGGGTGTTAAAGTCTCCCACTATTATTGTGTGGGAGTCTAAGTCTCCTTGAAGGTCTCTAAGAACTCGTTTTATGAATCTGGGAGCTCCTGTATCCGGTGTATATATATTTAGAATAGTTAGCTCTTCTTGTTGAATTGTTCCCTTTACCGTTATGTAATGCCCTTTTTTGTCTTTTTTAATCTTTGTTGGTTTAAAGTCTGTTTTGTCTGAGACTAGGATTGCAACCCTGCTTTTTTGTTTTTTGTTTGTTTGTTTTGTTTTGTTTGCTTTCCATTTGCTTGGTAAATTTTCCTCCATCTTTTTATTTTGAGCCTATGTGTGTCTTTGCACATAAGATGGGTCTCCTGAATACAGCACACCAATGGGTCTTTACTCTTTATCCAATTTGCCAGTCTATGTCTTTTAATTTGGGCATTTGCCCCATTTACATTTAAGGTTGGTATTGTTGTGTGTGAATCTGATCCTGTCATCATGATGCTATTTGGTTATTTTACACACTAGTCGATGCAGTTTCTTCATAGTGTCATTGCTCTTTATATTTTGGTGTGTTTTTGCAGTGGCTAGTACTGGTTTTTCCTTAACATATTTAGTACTTCTTTCAGGAGCTCTTGCAGGGCAGGCCTGGTGGTAACAAAATCCCTCAGCATTTGCTTGTCTGTAAAGGATTTTATTTCTCCTTCACTTATGAAGCTTAGTTTGGCTGGATATGAAATTCTGGGTAGAAAATTCTTTTCTTTAAGAATGTTGAATATTGGCCCCCAGTCTCTTCTGGCTGATAGAGTTTCTGCTGACAGGTCCGCTGTTAGTCTGATGGGCTTCCCTTTGTAGGTGACCTGGCCTTTGTCTCTGGCTGCCCTTAACAGTTTTTCCTTCTTTTTGACCTTGGAGAATCTGACGATCATGTGTCTTGGGGCTGATCTTCTCATGGAGTATCTTAATGGTGTTCTCTGTATTTCCTGAATTTGCACGTTGGCCTATCTTGCTAGGTTAGGGAAGTTCTCTTGGATAATATCTTGAGGTGTGTTTTCCAGCTCATTTCCATTCTCCTCATCTCCTTCTGGTACTCCAATCAATCAATTGCAGGTTCAGTCTTTTTAGGAAGTCCCTTTCATTCTTTTTTCTCTATTCTTGTCTGCATGCCTTATTTCTGCAAGGCGGTCTTCAAACTCTGAAATCCTTTCTTCTGCTTGGTCAGTTTAGCTGTAGATACTTGTATATGCTTCATGAGGTTCTTGTGCTGTTTTTTTCAGCTCCGTCAGGTCATTTATGTTCCTCTCTAAACTGGTTATTCTAGTTAGCAATTCCTCTGACCTTTCAGCAAGGCTCTTAGCTTCTTTACATTGAGTTAGAACATGCCCCTTGAGCTCAGTGTAGTTTTTTATTACCCATCTTCTGAAGCCTACTTCTGTCAAGTCATCCATCTGATGCTCCGTCCAGTTCTGCACCCTTGATGGAGAGACATTGCGATCATTTGGAGGAGAAGAGACACTCTGGCTTTTTGGGTTTTCAGCATTTTTGTTGATTCTTTCTCATCTTCGTGAATTTGTCTAGTTTCAGTCTTTGAGCCCACTGACCCTTGGATGGGGTTTTTGTGGGGGCTTTTTGTTGCTGTTGTTGATGATCTTGTTGTTGCTTTCTGCTTGTTTGTTTTTCTTTCAATAGTCAGGTCTCTCTTCTGTAGGGCTGCTGCAGTTTGCCGAGGGTTCACTTCAGGCCCTATTCATCTAATTCACTCCCGTGTTTGGAGATGTCATTTAAGGAGGCTGGAGAACAGCAAAGATGGGTGCCTCCTCCTTCTTCTGAGACCTCTGACCTCGAGGGGCACCAACCTGATGCCAGTAGGATCGCTCCTGTATAGGGTGTCTGACAACCCCTGTTGGAGGGGCTCCCCCAGTTGGGTGGCACGGGAAACAGAACCCATTTAAAGAGGCACTTTGTCCATTGGTGGAGGGAGTGTGCTTCACTCGCGGGAAACCCACTCATCTAGGCTGCCCGGATTCCTCAGAACTACCAGGAGGAGAGGATAAGTCTGCGGGTCCACAGAGACTGCAGCCACCCCTTCCCCTAGGGGTTCAGGCCCAGGGAGATTCGGATTCTGTCCCTGAGCCTCTGGCTGGAGTTATTGGCATTCCTGCAGGAAACCCCCACCTAATGGGGAAGGATGGGTCAGGCAGGGTCAGGCCTGAAGACATACTCTGGCTGCAAACTACCACATCCAGTGTGTTGGGCTGTGGGGACAAGTCTTGGGATCAAGCCATCCAGCCTCCCTGGCTCCAGCAGGGGAAAGGCGCAGACTGGAGCTATAGAAATGGGTTCCACCCTTCCCCCACCCAGGAAGCTTACCATATTAGGTAGTTGCCAGTCCCAATGCTGGCTGCTGCCCCTCCCCCAAGGTGCTCAAACAGTTTAGACAGCAGGCAGCCACAGCCATGGTGCTGGTCACCCCTCCTCCTGGGAGTTTGGTAGGCTTAAGCTGATTCCAGCTGAGAGGCTGTAAGAATCTGCACGTTCTGGGGTTGGAACACTAGGCCCCAGTGGCATGGGTTCACGAGTGGGATCTTCCGATCCATAGGTTGCACAGTTCCATGGAAAAAGCAGTTTCCCCGGCTGTGTAGCACTCTCACTCACCGCCACCCCTACCCCATGTGGTTCTCAGGTGGGCCACCACACTGCACTGTTCTTCCCTCTCTCTGTGGGTCATGCCAGCCTTCTAGTCAATTTTGATGAGAGAACCTGGATACCTTGGTTGCCAGGGAAACATTCACATGCTTATTATGGTTTTTTTCAATGGGAGCCTCGAACACTGCTGTTTCTAGTTGGCCATCTTGTCCCCACCCCCCAGGGGGATTACATTTCAACATGAGATTTGGGTAGGGCAAATATCTGAACTATAACAAAAATCAATATGCAAAAATCAATTTTATTTCTATACAATGGCAATGAACGAGCCAAAAATCACATTAATAAAATAATTCCACTTATAATCACATCCAAAAATTGAAATACACTTATGGTCAGTTGACTTTCAACAAGGGCACCAAAACAATTCAATGGGAAAAGAAGAGTCCTTTCAACAAATTGTGCTAGGGCAACTTAATAGCCACATGCGAAAGAATAAGGTTGAATTCACTATCTCACACCATACATAAAAATTAACTCAAAATGGATCAAAAACCTACAAATAAGGGCAACAATTATAAAACTCAGAAGAAAACACGGAGTTAAATCTTCATGACTTTGGATTGGCAAAGAATTTTTAGATATGAGATCAAAAACATGAGCAACAAAAGAAAAAAAAACAGATAAGTTGAACTTCATAAAAAAAAATTTTGTTAATAGAGATAAGGTCTCATTATGTTGCACAAGCTGGTCTTTAACTCCTGGCCTCAAACAATCCTTCTACCTTGGCCTCCCAAAGTGCTGGGATTACAGGTGTGAGACACCACACTCAGCCAAACTTCATCAAAATATTTAAATTAATTGTGTCAAAGGACACACTATCAAGAAAGTGGAAAGACAAAGTATTTGCAAATCATACACCTGATAGCCAGAACTGTACCTAGAATATATAAAGAACTTTTACAACTCAATAATAGAAAGACAAATGACCCAATTTAATAATGAGCAAAGAATTTGAATATACATTTCTCCAAAGAAGATATGCAAATGGCAAATAATCATATGAAAAGTTGCACATCAATATTTGTTAGGAAAATAGAAATACAAAACAAAATCACAATGAAATACCACTTCCCACTAGGATGGCAAATATCAAAACAGCAAAACAAATGTGGGCAAGTTGTGGAGAAACTGGAAACTTCATATACTGCTGGTCAGAATGTAAATGATGCAGCCACTTTGGAAAACAGTTTGGCAGTTCCTCAAAAAAATTTATACATATAATTACCATATGACCCAGAAATTCTACGCATAGGTACATATCCAAAAGAATTGAAAATATATGTCCACATAAAAACCTGTACACAAATGTTCATAGTAGCAAAGTTCATGGTATCCAAAAAGCCAAGACAACCAAAATATCCATTGACTAATGAATGGATAAACAAAATGTGGTCTATTCATACAGTACAATATTATTTGCCCATAAAAAAGAATGAAATGCTGATACATGCTGCCATGTGGCATGTATACTAAGTGAAAGAAGTGAGACAAAAAAGGCTACATATGGTATGATTCCATTTATATGAAGTGTCTAGATTAGACAAACCCATTGAGACAGAAAGATTAGTGGTTGCCAGGGCCTGGGGAGAGGGAGAAATAGGAAGTGACTGCCGACAAATAATGGAATTTCTTTTTGGAGTAATGGAAATATGCTAGAATTAGATAGTGGTGATGGTTGCACAACCTTGTGAATGTATTAAAACCACTGAATTGTACACTTCATTTATTTTGGTGATTTTTCATAAACACTAGATGACCAGGGAGAATTGTACAATTTAAAAGGGTAAATTTGCCAGCACAGTGGCTCAAGCCTGTAATCCCAACACTTTGGGAGGCCAATGCGGGTAGATCGCTTGAGCCCAGGAGTTCAAGAGCAGCCTGGGAAAGATGGCAAAACCTCATCTCTAAAAAAAAAATTTTTTTTAAATTAGCTGGTGTGGTGGCACATGCCTGTAGTCCCAGCTACTTGGGAAGCTGAGGTAAGAGGATCAATTGAGCCCGGGAGGTCAGAGCTGCAGTGAGTCATTATCATACCACTGCAGTCCAGCCTGGACAACAGAATGAGACCCTATGTCCAAAAAAAAAAAAAAAAAAGGGTGGGGGTAAGTTTTACGGTATGAAAAAGCCTATTTTTAATAGAAGTATTGCTTCTTCCTCCTGTCTCTCCCTCTCTCCTTGCATCCCCATACTACTTACTCCAGAAAAAGCTACCTGTCATGTCATAAGGACACTCAAGCAGCCCTATGAAGTCATGCATGTGGTTAAAAATTGAGGCCTCCCACCAATAAGCAGCAAAGGAACTGAAACTTTCTACTAGCATTCATGTGAATGAGCCTTCTAAGAAGTGTATCCTCCAACCCCAGTCAAGCCTTCAATGGCTGCAGCCTAACTAATATCAGAACCACTTAGCTAAGTCACTCCCAAATTCCTGACCCACAGAAACTGTAAGATAATAAATATATGTTGTTTTAAGCTGCTAAATTTTGGGGTAATCTGTTATGCAGCAACAAGATGACTAATACTTATAATCAGAAATAGTAGTGGGTCACTCTTAAAGAATTTGTAAAAAACCCACACATTCAGGCACTGTATTAGCCACTGGGATCCCTGGTAAATAAAAGTACCTACAATTCCTGGCCTTATATAGCTTAAAATATAGGATATATGATAGACATTAACCAAATAAATGCATAAATATGTCATTATAAACTATTATAGGTAACAAAAGAAAACTATGGGTTATCGTAAGAACGTAGAGTAGGAAAACCTCAGATCTCAATTTGTATTCTTATTTTGGAAGGTATTACTCAAAGCCTCTCCATTTTCCAGTTCACCTTTGTTCCACCCATCACTCGCTGATAGAGTCAGGGAGAATGTATTGAACGGGTCCTAAGCCTGTAGTACTGCTGCTGCTCATTGAACAGATAATGCACTTGCACTATCACCCTGTTACTGCATCCGGAGGAGTCCATTCCACAGCATCCGTGGCATGTTTCTGTATATCAGAGAACTCCCACCCTGTAGCTGACCAGTACACGGAGGAACTACAAGCAGCTAAAAGCATCAGTTGATCACCCTCTGGCATTCCAAGACTTACACTGATCACCGCTAAGCACTGGGGAGAGCAGATGCTGTTTTTCTATGTAAATGTAGTATCCATTCATAAAATTGGAAAGTGGCTATCTGAGGCCCCATGAAGTCACAAATGCCATTAATCCCTGGCATTCTCACTCTAATGACATCTATCTATCTGGATTCACTTTGCCTTTCACCCTTCCTAGATTAACCCTGACCAAGACCTGGCTGTCCATGCCATACATGTGTTTACAGCAATCAAGAAAGAACTGAAATAAACAGTGAGAGAGGTAGTAGAAAGAGTGCTGGCCTCCCGCTAGCACGATGGTCACTCCAACATTTGGTTGCAATGGAAAGTAACAGTCCTGAAAAGCAGTCATGGAATCTTGTTTTCTACCTCAAGAAAATCCTAGAGTACATCTGAACTTACACCTGAGACAACCAGGAAAGCCCCCAGAACAAACACTTTTAGGGAAAGAAGTCTGGTGCATGGGTGATGCCATTCATCCAGACAGCCCATCCACCAGCCACACACAATTGTAGGCAAATTTATTGAGAACTTCACCATGAATACACAAGCTCACACACACACACACACACACAGGTTTGTTCCAGTCACACACACATTTCACCTCAGTTCTATGAACCTAAATTTCCAGTTTTCTGCGCCTACCCCAATATCTACTTTTACTCTATTAAGTTTTGTCAACACTTACAAGTCTCTCCTGGTTTTCTTAGAACTCAGATATCCTAATATTAGATTTTCAAAATAAAACAAAATTCACCAAGATTGTGACTAAGTAGTAGTTATCCACATTCAGAGGATGAACTGGTCCACAAATATCTAACTCATCCCCGATTTCTTTCCTTGTCTTTCATTAATTGCTTCCATTACCCCAACCCCAGCCTGAAGAGGTGTTATGGCCCAGTTAGCCTGAGACTGAAAGAGTAGACATAAAAGCCTCCCATTAATTCTCTGTCATAGATTTTTTAAGCTTGAATAATGTTTAAAAGATAAAAAAAAACTCCCATAAAATCCTACTGTTGCTCTACATTATTTTTATTGTGTTACTTCAAAATGAACAGATATAAATTTCCCATACATATAGCTCTTAAATTACTTCAAAACTCAAGCAAAGCTGCAAATTAAAAACAAGCAAACATACAAAAGCCACTAGAGTTCATATAGAAAACATCAGTGTGATAAATGATATTTTGCTGGAACTAAATTGCTGGCGTTGGGTTTAATACACCTACTATTTGTATGTTTTATGCTTCACTTTCTGTCCTCTTGATTCTTTTGACTTTGAACAATACTGGAAGCATATCTTAAGTCTTTCTTCAAGTTATCGTAGGATTAATCGTTTTTGGTAAATAAGCTTGTTTAACTACTAATCCATTAGTTTGAGGGGCTGATAAATTTAATAGTGCACCACAATAAGTACATAATAATAAAAATACTGAAGATTAACATTAAAAATACTATTGAATAAAAATAACAGTATTCTTTCCTGCTATTGAATGACAGTTCAAGTTGGTATGTCTCACAATAACTTCTCAACATGATATGCCACTGCTATGACAGAAGACATTTTGAACTAATGATGTCTGTACTACCTTTGGGCCACAAAATTGATCAATTTTCCCACATCTTTCTCTATTCAAACTTAATGCAAAATCGACATTTCCATAGCATGCCGTGATGTTATTTGTTCTTCATTTGGCACCAAACTCAGCCTTCAGCACTAAAAATAATGTAGTAGAACATTTTGATTTTATTTCTTTAAGATTATCTTCAAAACGAAAGCAGAAAATTTGAAAATTCTCATGAAACACTCACTCTCTCAAGAACATCTACAGACCTACTTTGAGAAACAGAGCTTTAATAGCACAACTGAGTTACAGAGGAAATATTTAAATAGTGTTTTACTAATGCCTTAGGAGATATTCAGCGGTGAGAGAACTCTATCCGTCCATCGTTATCTTGAAGCCCCCAGCGGGGCTGTCTTTCAGCCTCACCTCAAGTCAGACCTCTTAAGCAGGTCAAGACCCACAACAGACAGCACTCCCTCTGCTGCTAGCCTGAGGACTGTTTTCCATCCCTTTCCCATGAAGGGACTCATTACATACGGTCTCTGTGCTGGCTTCCTCCTGTGGTTCACTCTTGTCTCATTACCTGGGGTAAGAACCCTCTTGCCAGCTTTAATTATGAACAAGTTTATAGTCTTACTAGACCATTAGCTCAAGGATCACAAATATGATTGCCTCCACTAATCGACAGATACAATGGTTCCAGTCCACTAGACCTTCCTCCCATAGCCCTGGGGATACCCTTGTTTTCTACCCACCTCAGACCCCTCCCTTCACCCCCGTGCCCCACCACCTGCCCAGGCCAACCAAAACAAAGATGCTGCAGGAAGTACTGGTAGTTCAGATATCTCCTTGGTCGATGTAGACATTATTTTCCTAGGCCTGAGGATCTACTCAATAACAAAGTCAAGGGGTTTTTGTGGAAGAAAATTCAACTTTGAGAAAAATGAGTGAATTAGTTGGGTTGCTGAAAAGTCCTCTTCAGGGAAAAGGTTTCCTCTTTATTTGGTCAAGGGCCCTCTTCACAATCTTCCCATTTGTGGCTCCACTTTGCTGTCCCCTTATATAGTTGTGGTCAAAGCCAGATAAAACATTATGTAGAAATAAATGAAGTTAGTAAAAGGAGCTTACTGCAAATATACTATTATCACAACAATAAGATAAAATAGCAGAAAAGAGAATAAGAAGCATGAACACCAAGAATAAATAATATAAAATACGAAAGATTAAAAACCAGAAGTTTAAAAGACAAAATAGGCAAAGAATAATACTAACTAAATGAATTTACTAGAAAGACAAAAAAAGAGTCATGCACTAAATGGAAGGAAAAATTAAATGTCAAAAATAGTGTGCAAAGGTTAACATCCTCCAACAGGGCAAACTGGGTGAGTCCTTTGAGCCGTGTGTGCTGCAAACTTCCCACTTGACTGACTTGCCAGCGTCAATCATCATCGCTGAAGGCAGCCCTGAGGGGAGGGTCTGTTCTTAGGGGAGGTCTCCTCAAGTCAGCAAACTTCAGCACAGAGGAGGTCAGGTCAATGAAGATCTCACCATTCAGCTCAAGCCTCCAGGCACTTTGAGGTAGCTTTCATTCCATAATTAAGAAGCTTTGCCAGTAGACATTAAATTGTTCTAGTTGAATTTCCAACCTAGCCCCTATGCAAAACCATGGCCAAATTTGATGGTTTCTCCATAATCAGAAAGTGTGCCTTCCAGTATCTATTAATTGTATATTTTATCCTGGGATGCCACGCTAGAAAGAAACAGGGTCTTCACGACATCCTTGTTTATTGCCTCTGCAGTCCACTCTGTTCCAGGCTGGTTCACGTTCAACTGGGGCTGCTTAGCTAATTCACAAAGTAGTAGATTCCAGGCCTCTGGTCAAAATACAGGCTTCTGTTGTTTTACTCTAATAATAGAAACAAATATTTGTTTCTATTTGGCACTTAATATATGCTGAAATCCTCACTGCCTACCTGCCCCAGTCTAGGGAGAACTGGCAGAGCTAAAGCCCATGGAAGCAGCCATCCCTGGTCAGAAGCCACGCAAGGAGCTTTCACCTCTTTGGCTCTATTTTTACATTTTCAGGGTAATATGTTCTCAAGACCATTAAGACAGTGCTGAAAAGACTATAAAAATATAAATGGAAGATTTAGCTTTCCATGGAGGTAGAAATAGAAGGGTGATTTGTCTTATCATTTTCTCACCTTAATAATGAAGACTCCATCTCTGTAGCCACTTCTGACTCCTGGACGTACACCGTGTGTTTGAGTGGGTGTGTGTGTGCATGCGCACGTGTGTGTATGGGTGTGTGTGTAGGGAAATCATGAAGGAAGGAAGATGTGCAGAGGTAGCAGGCTGTTAACATTTGCTATTACCTCAGGGGGATGGGAAGAGAGATGGTTATAGGAGGTCGAGATTATTAAGTTTTTCTCTACCGATCTTGGCATTATCTCTCTGGTTACAATAATATGCATTGCTCTTGTAATTTGAAAAAATAATAAATTAAACTTGAAAAACAGAGGAAATTTTTCCCATCAGAATAAGACTGCAACAGATGAAGAAATAGTTTACTAAATGTGGCTGAGGGTTTAAAGTTGCATTTGTGTACCTGGTGAATAAATATGCCTACCAAGATCAAAGCCCATAGAGATGACATATCTCTTCTTCTTCCAGACCAGACTAGGTCCTGCAGGATGTTGATATTTCAGATCATCACTCTAAGAGCAAACATTCATGCAAGATATGAAGAGGACATAATTACCTTAGCAGGGAGGGGTCTGTACAAACTCCTTTGACTTTAGAGCCCTAAGAATAGAATATGTTGGAGGCAGATTATCTGTACTACCCTTGAAAACAATGCTCTCTAAAACCAAAGTCCACAGTACTGAGTGGATTAGCCACTATAAATTACCTGTGCAGGAATGTGTGTGTGTGTGTGTGTATGCGTGTGTGTGTGTGTGTGTGTGTGTGTAGAAATGTTGTGAATAATAAATATATTGAAATAGGAATTCTGTGTACATTAATTTTGCTTTAATTCTACCTTCTGAAGATATCTCATTAGTAGAGATCATATTTGTCTTTTAAAAATCTCTTTGAAGATGTCCCATGGAAGTGGGGGAATGGATTATTCAAGATGGCCAACATTCTAATAAAAACTGGCTTCACTTTTCTGGCATCATAATCACTACCTCTATCAAAATAGTCTGCAAACACTTAGAGTGTCAGAATTCGGTCCAGGGACCCAGCCCAAAACCCAAATTTCTGGTAAGAGGGAAGATTCTGAGGGTCCTGGCGTCTTATGGGAAAAGAGGACAGGTGCAGCTGATGAAGCTAAAAGTACAGAAGCCCACAGCACCACCCAGACAGTCAGTGAGTGGCGCTTGAGAGTAGGAACACAGCCCTTGGCACAGAGAAGCTAGAATTTACCTAGCAGGCCCTGATATTTGTGATTTGGAAAGATTTCCTTTTATGAACATTTGGCTTCCCTGGGAGTTAACCTTGGTGCTTGACTCAGATCCTGGCCTTCGGTAGAACTCAGTAGCTAAGTTCTGCCCTTGTTCCTGGAAAACTTTTTTTTTTTTTTTTTTTTGAGATGGTGTCTCACTCTGTCACCCAGGCTGGAGTGCAGTGGCGCAATCTCGGCTCACTGCAATCTCTGTCTCCTGGGTTGAAGTGATTCTCCTGCCTCAGCCTCCTGAGTAGCTGGGATTACAGGCACGTGCCACCATGCCCAGATAGTTTTTGTATTTTTAGTAGAGACAGGGTATCTCCATGTTGGCCAGGCTGGTTTCAAACTCCTGACCTCAAGTGATCCGCCTACCTTGGCCTCCCAAAGTGCTGGAATTACAAGCATGAGCCACTGCGCCTGGCCTGGAACAATTTCTTACCAACTTTTTCTAACATTTTGGTTATGGCTCCTGCCTGGGTCATCCATGACTGGTTACCCTCCGTCACCTGACCTTCACCTGCACAACCAACACTGTGGCTCCTGCCTAAATTCTTGCCCTCACCTGTCTTTCTTCCCAACTTACATCCCCTGCTGACCTGCCTCACTTTTCTGCTTTTTTAAGACATCAGACTTTAATAAGGGAAATCAAACAAATGTAATTAAAGATAAACACATAAATAACTGGTGGACAGGAATGAAATTAGCTGCTCTTTTTTCTTCGTGTCAAGTTTCCACTGGCTTCTCCTAGCCAGGTGACTTTCCATTCTCTTTCTATTTTTGGAAATCCTAATGGACTACAAGGTCCTAGGTTGTTCCTCAATTGCTTTGTGTATACCACTCAGGTTTTCCCCAAAACACTAAATTCCCTGAGGCAGAGATGATGTCCTATTTCTTTTGTGCTCCCACAGCACCTAACAGATAGACGGCTTCAAAGGAGTTGCTCAATAAATTCTTACTGGTTGGTCAGTTGATTAATTTAGAATTCAACTATTGTTTAGTCATTAAGCATGTCCATGGAAAGTGTAAGCTCAGCATTTAAATATCAGTGAGAAGATGTGCAGAAAAAAACCAGTGACATCAACGGGGAGGATTATTTATCAAATTGATGCAGGGTTTTGTTTTGTTTTGTTTTGTTTTTTGTCGTCGTTGTTGTTGTTGTTTTGCCATAGTTAAGGGATGTCTTTTTACCTAAGAAGAGAGAGCAAACAAAATTGAGTACATTTATACTTTACATCAAACTCTAGGATATTACACCTCAATAGACACTAAAGATTTTCCTAATCCAACTCTACCTCCCTGATTTGAAGTGAGAAAGTAGAAGCCTAGGGAGGTGAAGGAATGACCCAATTTCCCAAGAGACAATTATCTCCTAGGTTCTCAAATTTTACTTTTTAGTAAATATTGCTCAATTTTTATTCTTACCACTACATTTACAAACCACTTATTATAATACATAATTTTTTTAACTTTTTAGTATGAAAAATTTCAAACATAGACAAAAGTTGAAAGAATAGTAAAATGAGGGGAGAAAGAGCATTAGGACAAACACCTAAACGCATGCAAGGCTTAAAACCTAGATGATAGGTTAATAGGTGCAGCAAATCACCATGGCACATGTATACCTATGTAACAAACCTGCATGGTCTACACATGTATCCCAGAACTTAAAGTAAAATTTTTTAAAAAATAGTAAAATAAATATTCATTTACTCTCCACCTAGATTTGACATTGCTAATATTTAGCCATGTTTGCTTCTCTCTGTGTAGATAGATAGACATCGTTTGTTTGTTTTTGGCTGAATCATCTAACACCGAGTTTCAGACATTGTAACTCTTCAACCCGAAACACCCTGCCTACATCTCTGGAGCATAGACAGTCCCCTACATTACCATTATTACACCAAATGAAATTAGCAATTGTTCATAATACCACTGAATAACAAGTTCATATTTGAATTTCCACTTTTCCCAACAATATCTCTTATAGTTGCATTTATATTTTTAACCTGAACCCAATCACGTTTCATGCATTATATTTCATTATGATGACTCTTTTAACAGAACAGTCCCCCCATTCTTTCTTGATATTAACATTTTGAAATATCCAACTGAGTTATCTTTTAGAGTGTCCCAGGTTATGGATCACATTGCCATTTACTCTTGAACAACATGGGCTTCAACTGCGTGGGTTCACGTATACACAGACTTTCTTCTTCCTCTGCTGCCCCTGAGACAGCAAGAACAACCTCTCCTCTTCCTCCTCTTCCTCAGCCTACTCAATGTGAAGACAATGAGGATGAAGATCTTTGTGATTATCTACTTCCACTTAATGAATAGTAAACATATTTTATCTTCCTTATGATTTTCTTAAAAACAGTTTCTTTTCTCTAGCTTATTTCACTGTAAGAATACAGTATATAGTACATAGAGCATACAAAATTACGTGTTAACCAACTCTGTTATGAGCCAGGCTTCTGGTCAACAGTAGACTACTGGTAGTTAAGTTTTGGAGGAGTCAAAAGTTATACATGGGTTTTCAACTGCATGGAGGGGAATGGCACTTCTAACTCCTGCATTGTTCCAAGGTCTGTGGTACTCAATGAGCAAATTTCAAAAATCAACAAGTAGTAATTAAGTTGGAGATTATCTACAAATGGAGAAAGTAAGTGATTTGGGCACAGTACAAAGATGAGACATAGAGTCTCTGATAAGTGTTCTCAAATATATCTTTCAAATAAAGTAAGATAGAACTACAAGAAGCCATCTATCTATTTGGCTATTGAAGAGTTTCGTGAGAACTTTCACAAATATGAGTAAATTAAAGAAATAAGATTATTGTCTGAGAATTAAGTTCTACACAAAACAGATCAAAACCAATGGATAAAGTCATCTGAAACAGACAGAATATGTCTGAAAGCTTAGCAAGTACAAAGACTAAAAGAGCCAGTCAAAGCAGGGTTAGTCAGCCATAAAAAGCATAAAAACAGGAGCATGAGAATGGTGAACATCAGCAGAGCCCGTGTAAGAAGTGCCCACTGGAGATGGTGCCTCAGCCAATGGCTTTGAATAATCTAACACCTTTAGAAAGGCCGTTCCTACAGTAAACGTGGCAGTATCGGCTCTCCTAGCTTAATGTCATTAAATGTTTGAATCATCTAACTAGCTAGCTCTTTTGGATTCCACGCTCACTAAGCAACATTCTGATAACTTGCCCTCCTTGGAGGTCTGACTTCATTAAAAGAATGTGCAAGTCATGTAGAGACAAGTGTTCCAGACACAGTGGCAGTTTTATCCCTCTTGTGAATCAATACATTGACATGCTGGTTTCATGCATCAGCTCTCTGAGCTTAATTAATTAGAGTTGAAGCTGAGGGATGGATCCACTCTCAGTGTGCTGACAGATCCAGTTTCTAAACCTGCAGGGCATAGACCAGACCCTGGACCGAGGCAGTGCCACCCTGTGAGGTCTCTCAGGAGACAGCAAATGCTCATCCTCTCATATCCCCACATTGCCTTTGGCAATTAAATTCCTCTAAGCTTTGTGTCTGTCTACTGACTCTGAGGGCATTGATTTACAGGGAGTGAACCAGATGTGGATTGGCAAATCTCTAATCCCTTTTACAGAGAGGACACTAGACTGAAATTGGAACAAATATGACCCTTCTCTTGGATCAGCTAAAGCAATCTTTAATGTAGTTTGTGTCTGAAGATGTTATTTTATCCTGGCCCACTTTCAACTAACTTTGGTTAAGGAAATGCCATTTGTGTCCCTAGGTTGTGAGTATTAAGCATCCTTTCATATCTGTCAATTTTCTCCACTTTAAAATGAGGATAATACTACCTATTATGTTATTGATTTACTAATCATTCATTCAACAAATATTTATTGAGTGTCTGCCATGTGAAAGCTACCATGCCAGGTACTGGTGGTATTTGGGAAATGGAGATGCTTGGTTTCTGCATTCTAATGGGGGAAATATAATTTAAATAAATTTCATTAGTCCAGTTGGGCTGCTATAACAAAATACCAGAGACTGGGTGGCTTAAACAGAAATTAATTTCTCGCAGTTCTGGAGGGGGAAGTCCAAGGTCGAGGTGTCAGCCAATTTGATGAGGGTTGTTTTCCTGGCTTGTAGATGGCCACCTTCGGGCTCCATGCTCACATGACCTCTTCTTTGTGCATGTGCAAAAAGGAAGAGAGGAGAGACAGAGAAAGAGAGAGAGAGAGAGAGAGAGAGAAAGCAGGAGCTCTCTGTTGTCTTTTCTTATAAGAACACTAATCCTGTGGGATTAATGCCCTACTTGTATGCCCTCATTTAACCTTAATTACTTCTGTAATGACCCTATCTCCAAATACAGTCATATTGGGGGTTAAGGCATCCACATATAAATTTAGGGCAGGGGGAGGGTACAGAAATATCAACAAAGGCAAGTGATAGATTGATTGATTAATATTACAATATGGTCAGAGTTGCAAAGAAACTGCAATAAGAAAAACCCTTTTGGGAGGATTAAATGAGTCAGCTACCTGGTTCTTTGCCCCCTCTACTTCTTTCTTCCTATCTATATAACCTTATTTAATCTTTGTCTATGGTCAAAGGCTAGAGGGCGAGTGGCACAGTCTCCCACCAACTTGTCCAATGTGTCTCTCCTCATTTTCTTTCTTTCCTATGGAACCTAATCCTCCAACCTATAAACAGTGCTCCCCATTGGGATAAAAATTTGTAGCTGCGAAGATTGAAAAAAAACATGCAGCTTGAGCATCAGCAGAAGATGCTGGGTCTTTCTGACTCCGGAACCAACTATGCCTCTACTGCTGCCCCTGAAAAGGGTAACCTGGGCAACCTTGGCTACTGGAGCTTATATACCCACTGTTCTTGCTGCTGCCGGAAGCTGGCCGAGCACATCTCCTTCAGTGATACATCCGTTTTTGTTTTTATCTTTCTCTTGTCTTGGGACCTTAGAATAAATTCACTCAGTACTTGCACTGGATGAACTTCAGCTCCTTTCTACCCTAAAAGGAGTTCTTTATCTACTCAGAAGACTCCCCTCACCCCAGATGAAGGAGGAGGCTTTGCCACCCCTTGTTCTCAGGAATATTAATTCTAGTTTTTATGGGTTGAATGTTGTCTCCGCAAAAATTCATGTTGTATTTCTATCAGTACCTCAGAATGTGAACTTATTTAGATAGAGGGTCTTTAGAGAGATCATTAAGTTAAAATGAAGTCATTAAGGAGTGAGCCTTAATCCAGCGTGACCGGTGTCCTTATAGAAAGGAGAAATAGGCAGACAGACATACATACAGCAGGAATATGATATAAACAAGGAGACACCCACCAATAAGCCAAGGAGAGAAGCCTGGAATGGATCCTTCCCTCACTGCCCTCAGAAGGAACCAATCCTGCCAACAACTTGATTTCAGAAGTCTAGCTTCCAGAGCTGTGAGATAACAAATGTCATTGTTTAATCTACCCAGTTGTGGTATTTTGTTATGGCAGTTCTAGCAAATTAATACACTAGTGTTTAGGGCCTGGCCTCAGTCTCAATAATCTACCTATTTTATTTATGTCAACAGGACTCCTAAAGACCTGTCCTGATATGCCAGGACCTTGAAGTCCTCATATGGATCAATCTTTCCCTCCCCCATGGCTGTCACTTCACTGAGAATGTACCCCCTTAGGGTCTCCTATATATGAAAGTCACTTCTTCAGCAACTAAGGATTAAATATGAGTAAGACTCAAAGTTTTTAAAGTCTAATGAAAACTTTTGTTGCTCTTCTTTATTCCTGGACCTGAGATGGTGCCAGGGAAAAGAATGGGAGAGTGGCCACAGCCCTAGCCACAGAGCAGACCCTCAGCTGGCCTTTGCCTGTCTTTTCATTCCAGGTCCCAGGCCTAAAGAGCAACCATACTGTGGGACATTCTCTTCTCATGGCAGACAGCAGAAGATCAAGAGGGACGAACCAAAATATGCCTTGTCTCATAACCTTGTGCTTAGAACTGGCACTTTGTCGCTTCCACCCATGTTCCACGGATCAAAGCAACAATTAAGGCCAAGCCCCACATCAGTGGAGCAGGGGTGCACGTGTCCCTTCAGGGAGAATGGGCAAGTCACACCATGGGCAGGGCTGTGTCACCCTATTACAGGGGGAAACTAGGAGTTGGGAACAACAGTTCTTTCTACCACAGATTTAGAGTGTACTCTTTTGAGGAACTTGATGGTAAAAGTAAACAGAGCAGTAACTAAAGGAAGATAAGAAGCCAACTATGGCTTCCATTTTGTTTTATTTTTCAGGTAGGAGACATTTGAGTAAGTTTATATATTACTGGGGAAGGAGACAGAAAGGAGCAATAAAAATACAGAAATGAAAAGAAAGAAGTGATGAACATCACTTCGACAATTCTTCACTTTCAAAACGCAAACTGTATCACCCGGGGTCCAATTAAGACACAGAAACCACACTATAATTTGGTTGGGGAAAGTTTAATATAAAAAAAGTTGGCTGCTAAGCAGTAACAAAAGAGAATTGGCTGCTAATGGGGTAACAAGAAGTCTAAAGAATAGAGGACTGACATGTACAGAAAGCGGCCACTATCCCCAGGGCTGAGGCAGAGCACACAAGGATGGAATGACTATGGAAGAGCAGCCCCCACTACCTGAGCTGAGATCCAGACCTTGATGGGAAGTACACAGCCATGACTTACTGGGTGGTGCAGTCACCGAGGGGCATCCTGGCAGGACTCACTGGCAATTCACCTTCTGGGGTACTGAGAGAAGATGCCTATGGAAACACATGCTGCTGGTCACCGGTCACTGTGCACTACAAAAGTCTGCCTAGAAAAAAAAAAAAAAACATTAAACTAGGAAATACTGTTCATCCTCCAGTGTCCCCTACTGATGAAGCATATAACATCATACTAGCTAAGCAAGGGGAAAGGTTCCAATATCACAAGCAAGCAATGAAGGTGGGTTTGGAGCTGAGAGGCAAGAGGTGATAACCAGCACCCCAACCCTGGTGAAATCAAATTCTATGCCTATTCCACACCAGCCCCTATGCAGCTATATGCGGCTAGAGAAAGCAACAACAATATCAACAACAACAACCCAACTGATTGGTCCAACTGGTCTTGTCATTAGGTCTCAAACGGTCATTAGTGTGGCCAGAAATCCTATCACATTTTCATGCTGCTCACTAATCTGCTCACCTGGATGATTATTTGACACCTTCTCCTCGCTCCTCAAACATACAACACCTTTTCCCCAACCCACTCACTCTCTCCATGGTGAACTTGGTTCCTATTTCACAAAGAAAATAGAAGCATTGGGAACTTTTGCAAGCTCGCACCACCACACCTGCACACCTACCAGTATCTGCACCCACATCCTTTGCCTTCCCACCAGCTAAGTGACTGAGATGTCAGGGCTCCTCTCTAAGGACATCCTCTCTACTTCTCCATCAGACTCCCATCCCCTCTTGCCTACTCAAGAAACTCACTCTGCTTCTCTCTCTTTCTCTCTCTCTCTCTCCTTTCCCTACATCATCAATTTCTCCCCTCCACTTGACCATTCCTAACAGAATACATGAATGCATCTAAAAAATACACACTCTTTACCCCACACCCCTCCAACTTCTGCCTCACTTCTTTGCTCTTATTTATAGAAAAAGTCCTTTTTATTAACTTGTCTATATTCATTGTCTCCAATTTTTCTCTTCTAACTCCGCTTGCACTTACTCCAGTGAGGTATTTATCACCACCAGGCCACTGAGACAATATCTTCAAGATCACCAGTAACCAGGGCCACCCCTAGTATACAAAGCCCTAAAAAAATATTTTATAAGACCCTTGCCTATCTAAACAATTTAATTTTAAAAGGTATTTCAAAATGTATGGGCCTATGTGAGGTGCTGACATTTGTCAATGAAGATTTAGAATAATCCATAGAGAAGAGGTACTTACAAATGTGTTTATTCTTCTATCACTGCACATGAAGATTCTTCATAGAGTCCAGACACCAGCTATTCCTGTTCAGATCCGGGAAATATCTGCCCATGCTCTTTTGGTTAAAGTTTTATTTCCTATTGTGAGAAAGAGGCGGCAACATTGTTGTCACTCACGATGTCATAGCTTTTGGAACCTGTTTGTATTGAAACAATATAGTTTTGGGTTTTGGTTTTGTTTTTTCGCCTCTGTGGTTCTCTGATACCATTTGTCTAATGTTGGTTGCATCTTGACTGATAGTGCTGCATCATTCATCGTGGCACCTGCAAATACTGGCATCCAACCACTCTCTCAGAGGTTGTTTCTGTACTTCATTAATAATGACCAAAATGCAAGCCTTACCCAGAATATTCAGGAAAGTATGAATGATAATTTATTTTTCATTTGGAGTTTTATAGTGTAACCATAAAGTGACACATCTTCCAACCATGTATTCTCTTGAATTCTTCAGGCCATTATAACTACATTCTTAGAATGTGATCCCTTTCAACATTTCCTGCACCTCTGCTTCTGCACACTACCACCAAAAGACAAGAAAGGCAAGGAGACGTGACTGGAGCAAGAAAAACAGTGTTTTTCACACAAGGATGTCCACTCCTTGTTGGGAATGGCTTAAGATCGACCTGGGAAAGCAAAACATCGCCATATCATTTGGAGGAAAGGCACTGGTTGGAAGAGCCTGTTGGCGTGGCAAAGCCAAGGTCTTTAAAGTCCTCAGAGAAGGCAGGCATAGCCACCACTGGAGGACTTCCTGATATGTGGTACAGAGACTGATGAGGGCATGGGGTGACAACCTTAGGTGCCAACAGCAAGGGGATGGATATACAGGGTAAAGGAGGCTTGCTGCCATCCTACGCCTTTGAACGCCACAAATCAGAGATGGTACCATGGAGGAACATGAACAGGTGAGAGCTGAGGCATGGGTGCCCACACACAGCCCAAGCCCAGGTGCTAACAGTTGACCATCAGTAGCCCAGTGCCCCGAATTCATCCTGCGCCTGATTATCACCCAAAAGCAGTGCATCGGCACCATTCTGGTGACTCAATATCACACAATGGCACCAGCCAGCAGGAACAATCCAATTGCCAGGCTGCCCTCCTGCACAGAGCCCAAGCCACAGAGCCCTCAGATAACTCCATTGATGCAAATCTCAGAGTTCCTCAAGGAAACAGGTCAACCCTGCACATGGAGTGGAGATTCAGAAAGGCCCCAAAAAGGAAAAAAACAAGGATCAGTGTCCATGTATGTCCCTGTATGGGGCTGCCATTTGTCCTAACCACCCTGGGGTCTGCCATAGCTGAGCCAGCCCTACTGGAAGAGGATAGTCAAATAACCTCACTCGTATTCTTTTGCCACTTACTGTGTTGCCCTAGCTTCCCTCCAGGGGATCCTCATTTTGTCCTAGGCTCAACCTTACCTTTGATCACTTTAGGACTCAGGCACAAGATTTCACATTGCTGGGAATCCATTTTCAGTCTTTGAAAAGACACAGTGATTCTTCAGGAAGTTTGTTATCCCAAAGATGCAACAGAGACAGAATTTCCCAGCTTGAAGGGATTTGAAACATCCATAAAGTTACAGAAATTCATATCTGGAGGAGTCTTAACGGTCATTCAGACCAACGCTTTCTCGGGTATCTATAACATCCAATGCCCTAGTTTCCCTGCTGTCTTT
Organism: Homo sapiens; assembly: GCF_000001405.40. Classification (NCBI taxonomy): domain Eukaryota; kingdom Metazoa; phylum Chordata; class Mammalia; order Primates; family Hominidae; genus Homo; species Homo sapiens. The sequence continues at coordinate 74,929,819 of NC_000002.12, read as the reverse complement.
TTTGGCCACTCCTTTTCAATCTCCTTTGCAGGCTACCCTTTACAGGGCTCAGTCTCCACACTCTTTTGTTCTAGATTTTCCCCTGGTGACCTCACCGAGGCCTACAGCTTTAAATACCATCCATATGCTGATAATTCCCAAATTTATATTTCCAGTCCCAAGCTCTCCACTGAGTTTCAGGCTCATATATCCAAATGTCTACTTCTTGCCTTCAGTATACCTTACAAACCTCTCAAGTTTGACGTGCCTAGAACTGGACTCTGGATTTTACCTTTTGCCCGTATCAACAAGTTCCTCTCTTAGTCTTCCAATCACAGAAAGGGCTCCACCATCAAGATGGACATGAGCCTAAAACCCAAGAATTCTTGTTTCCTGCCTTCCTTTCCTTCTCTCACATTCAGTCTCCTGGTAGACTTGTTCATTTACTTCCACCATTTCTATCTACTTCTTTTCATCTCCAGTGCCAACATTCTTGTCCAAGCCATCACTCTCTCTCCCCAAACCACTCCAATAGCATCCTAACTGGTTTTCCCTACCCTTATCTCACCTCAATCCATTCTCTGCATATTAGCTGGAGTGATCCTTTCAAGAAGTGAATACAAACCTTAAATCTTTCAACAGCCCTCACTGCATCCAGAATAAAATCCAAGCACCTATAACTGCCTAATATGGCTTCTGTCCACATCTAACCTCAAATCTTACCTTCTGCCCTTGCTGTGCTCAAGCCTTTCTGGCCTTTCATTTCCTTAAACACACCAAGCCTTTCCAGCATCAGAGACTTTACAATTCTTCCTGGAATGCTCTTCCACTAATTTCTTTAGGTCATAGTTTGTGGTCATTTGAAAACATGTCCACAAATTCTTTTCTATCCTAAAAAAAGGGGGAATCCAATTCCCCTCCTCTTGAACATGGACTAGCCTCAGTGGCTTGCTACTAATGAATTAAATGGTATAGAAGTGACTGTAACTTCTTAGACTAGGTGACCAAAGATGGCACAGCCTCCACCTGGTTCTCTGTCTTGTGAGGCTCACCCTTGGAACCCAGCCATCATGCTGTGACAAAGCCATGTACCACATGCAGGTGTTTCGGGGAACAGACCTGTCAGAGGTCCTTGCCAACAGCCAACATCAGTCAGCATCAACCACTAGACATGTAAGTGAGGAAGCCTCCAGATGATTCCAGTTCCCACCTTCAGCTGATGTTAGGTGGAGCAGAGACATGCTGTCCCCACCTGCCTAAACTGCAGATTCATGAGTAATGTAATTTCTGTCATTGTTTTAAGCCATTAAGTTTTGGGGCAGTTTGTCACACAGCAATAGACAACTGGAACACAGCTCATATGCCCCTTCTCAGAACTGCCCTCCCTGATCATCCTAAGTGCCCATTGGCATTATCCATAACCTGAAAATTATTATGATTGATCCTAAAGTCCAGCCTGGTGCCTGGCACGTAGGAGATGCTCAGTGAATATTTGTGGAATGATTGAATAAGGAAATGAATCCTCTTGTCACATTTGAAGTTATCAGTCATCAATAAAATGGGGATTTGTTTCATCGTTTGCAGGGTGATGACATCAAACTCAATTCGGAGAGAGGAAAGGGTAGTTATGAAGCATGCTCCACTGGTGCTGCTGGATAGTGAGGGTGGGCAGACTTGACGACCACCAGTCCAGGACCTAGACAGCCTGAAGACACGGGGGCCTGAAAAGGTAGTTGGGGATGCCCAAAGAATGCTAGTCCTGGTGCCAATGCAGCAGACAGTCACCTTGTCTGTTGTCGAGTAAACAAGTGCCTCCTCTTGGGCCTGTGATGCCTGCCAGCACATGTCTTTCTCAGAGGTGGGCATATTCTCTATTTGGGAAACAATGGGTAGAGGGATTGAAGCAGGAGAAGTTTCAGAGAATCACTCTTGCAAGAGATGCTGCACTCTGGCAGACTCGATAATGACAAATATGTCAAGCAACTGAGTTTCAGCAGGGTTCCTTCGGGCCTTGTTCACCAACTTGTGGTTTCCGTGGTGACAGGACAGCTGCCAGGTAGATGGCGGCTTTGGGGCCACCTGACTGGCTCTGACGATAACTGGCTTTGACAGCTTTGATTGGAATGAAAAGATTTAGGGTCCCTACTGGCTTTCTTAAATTAAACCCTCCCTCCTGGAGTTAGCTTGTTTATCAACATTATCTTAGATTAGGGGACTTTCTTGTGATCAGAGAGTTCTTTTACCACGATGGTTCACATGTTGGGGCCACTGGCAGGGTTTCTGAGATCAGGGTCCTCGGAGCAGCACAGAGAGGTAAGGCTACACCCTGATGTGCTTCTCAGGCAATGCCTCCAAGGGGCATGTTAACAGTCAGATCTAGTTAGGAAAGAAAACAGGAAAAGGACCTGCATTTTAACAGAAATAATTTAATCTAGGCAATTGAGTAAGCAGGTATTAGAGGCTGAAAGGCAAAAAGGAAGTATCAAGATAAACACAGGGATGGTAACTGCCAGAGGCAGCTCTACCTCTGGGGCTGAAGAACACAGGGAAGATACTGGGGTTGCAATAATTTCAAAGCTTGGAAGAGGAGCCCTGCGGAGCTGGGACCTAGGCTTCTAAGGAGCGGCGACTGCACAGTATCTGTGAGGCTGGATTTGAGAGTCCAGAAAATGTTGAAGACTGGAACCCATTGCTATTGAGGTAAACTGCCACTGCAAGGTGAAAAGTCATTGTTGGGGTGATGCTCACAGGGACAAGAAGCAGTCCCAGGAAGAGGCAAGTCCCTGCTCTGCCAATTTGCCATCCCTCCTTACTGACAGAGCCCCACATGGAGCCAGCTGGCCACAGAGCAGTGTGGTTCGCCAAGTTCCAGCCCCAGAATCACAGGGTAGAGTACAGACAGGTGGGTCTGACCTTAGAGACATCAGCTTCATAATCAGCACAGGGAGTGTGAACAAGACGACAATGGTAGGCCCTGAGATAGAACAGCCAGGCCCAAAACACCCACACCTACCCTTCACTGGTAGAAATCACCTCATGCAGCTGTGTGTGGTAGCTCACGCCTGTAATCCCAGCACTTTGGGAGACTGAGGCAGGTGGATCACCTGAGGTCAGGAGTTCAAGACCAGCCTGACCAACATGGAGAAACCCCATCTCCACTTAAAAAAAAAAAAAAATACAGGGCCGGGCACGGTGGCTCACACCTGTAATCCCAGCACTTTGGGAGGCTGAGGCAGGTGGATCACGAGGTCAGGAGATCGAGACCATCCTGGCCAACACGGTGAAATCCCATCTCTACTAAAAATACAAAAAATTAGCTGGGCGTGGTGGCAGGCAGCTGTAGTCCCAGCTACTCGGGAGGCTGAGGCAGGAGAATCGCTTGAACCTGGGAGGCAGAGGCTGCAGCGAGCCGAGATCGCGCCACTGCACTCCAGCCTGGGCAACAGAGCTAGACTCCATCTCAAAAAAAAAAAAAATACAAAATTAGCTAGGCGTGCTGGCACATGCCTGTAATCCCAGCAACTGGGGACACTGAGGCAGGAGACTCGCTTGAACCCGGGAGGCGGAGGTTGCGGCGTGCTGAGATTGCACCACTGCACTCTAGCCTGGGCAACAAGAGCAAAACTCTGTCTAAAAAAAAAAAAGAAAGAAAGAAAAGAAAAGAAAAAAAGAAAAGAAATCACCTAATGCGTGCTCAGTTCTTTACACTTTACAAACAGCTTCTTATGTTATCTTATTTAAAGGCAGAAAACTGCCTATGTGTACTGGCACTGACCACCACATGAGGAGAACAGGACACTGTCCCAAGCACCCAGCATTGGTGTCCTTTGCTTTCACTTTGTCCCTGAGCTCCTGAGGAACAGCCCTGATGCAGCCTGACCTGGGCATTTCCCGAGATGTGGAAGTTTTCAACTTGTTTCTTGGGCAAAGTAGGCAGGTCACCAAGCAGGACAGTAACCCTGCCCCCAACTCTGTTTTGGCCAGAATATCTCCACTAACATTTGTTTCTCATACTGGGTCTCCAGGTAAGCTTATGTATGAAGAGGAGGCTCTTCAGTGAACAATAGCTTGGAAACCTTTGCCCTAGAGGGAGAAACCTTCAAGCTGCCAGCCACCAAATAAGCCCACAAGGCTCACTTCCATTGTCTTCTCCTCTGCAATGCCCTTTGTCCCTACCAGCCTGAGGCAAACATCAGTCCCTATTGTCCCCTTCGGAGGTTAACCCTACCTCCAAAACCTCTTAAGAGTATCCTTTCAAAGCATGTTGGCAGAGTGGCCTGCTGAGTGTCCGATTTCTCAGTGTGTGGGTTGGGCCTGTTGTTTTGTATGCATAGCTTGGGGTGTTGATTTTTGTTCATTTGTTGGTTGGTGTGTTTTTCTGCCAAAAAAAAACTGTTAATCCACCCTACAAGAAAGGAAGGTTAGGGAAAGGGGGGACACAGTTGGAAAAAGGAATCACATTTTTCCCTTTCCTAAATAGACCCCAGACCCACATCTGCCTCTAATATTGGCAAAAGTATAAATGAAGGCAGTTGGTCAGCACCCCACCTTCTCTTCCCCTCTCAGGTCCACCAGCAGGCACTGAACAAACACTTCAGCCCGCATGCCCAAACTCTGTGTAAAGGCCGCTAATAAGAGCCACCCCTTAGCTATCCCTGAGGCCTCAGTGACCTCACCACAGACGGGACAGATGGGAAGAGGTTCACACAGCCCTGGAAGAGGCTGGGACATTTGAGCAGGGAATTCTGGGCCCTGGGTTACGAACCATGCACCAAAAGGAGGACTGGCCCTGGGTGGCACACAGACAAGGCCCATGAACTTCTTGTCCTATGGGGCGGGGCCAGCCCCACCAAGACCAGGGCAGGGCACCTAAAACCACAGCCCAGGGTTGCACCCTGAGAGAATAAAAGAGACTACCGGGGCAGAGCGGATCCTAGAAGGGAGAGGCACTATGGGGCCAGCCTCTTTCTGAAGCCCCACCCAGAGAAGCACCCTTTGCTGGAAAAGAAAACAGCAGAAGCCAAGGTAAGGGGCCATCACCCAGCAAAAGCATCCCGTGTCAGAGAGGGAAAGAGCAGCCACAGCCATGAAGCTGGCCAGTGCATGGCTTCCTTAGACAGAAGTCTCAGGGAGCCCCATTCAGGCCTGCATAAGCCCCCGGGATTCCAGCAAGACATGATGGAGGAGGTGGGCTCCCAGCAGTGGACCCTGGACTCCTGCTAGTCATAGCTGAGGACAGCGGGCCTGGGGCAGGGTTGGGAGAGCTGTGGCTGCTTACAGACTTATTCCAGGAAAGCAGAAATGTGCTGTACTTTGCCTCGTTGCACTCACCTACTTTAGGCCCCTTCCCAGTTCTGCCACCCCATTCTCACTCTTACATACACAGAGCTCTTGAGTTTACTGTCTTTCATTTTAATGCCTAACATTTAAAAAAAACTTTTTATCATGGAGAAATTCAGACAAATGCAAAAGTAGGTTAAATAGCACAATGAACCCTCATGTACCCAGCACCAAGGTTCAGCAACCATCAATTAATTTATAGTCAATCTTGTTTTAACCAAAAACCCTACTTATTTCTCCCCTCTGATATTATTTTGAGGCAAATCCCAAATATTTGGTTTGGGATTGGTTTCGTCAATTAATATTTTGAGCTATACCTCAGAAACTGATTCCTTTAAATATATATATAACCTCAGTGCCTTCACCACATCTAGATAACACAAATTCCTAACATTATCAAGTATCTGGTCAGTGATCTCATTTCCAAGAGTCTCCTAAATACCACTTTTACCATAAAACTTAAAGTATAATAATAATAAAATTTAAAAAAAAATACCACTTTTACCTGCCTCGGGAGGGGCGCTGGCTGAAGCACAATCAAAAAGCAAGGGGTGATCGGGCATGGTGGCTCACGCCTCTAATCCCAGCACTTTGGGAGGCTGAGGAGGGCAGATTGCTTGAGGTCAGTAGTTCAAGACCAGCTTGGGCAACATGGTGAAACCTCGTCTCTACTAAAAATATGGAAATTAGCTGGGTGTGGTGGTGGGTGCCTGTAGTCCCAGCTACTCAGGAGGCTGAGGCAGGAGAATCACTTGAACCCGGGAGGTGGAGGTTGCAGTGAGCCGAGATCACACCACTGCACTCCAGCCTGGATGACAGAGCGAGACTCCATCTCAACAAAAAAAGAAAGGGGCATGAAGTAAGACAGGAAAACATGTGACCCTGCTTGTGGCCAGGACCAGGCTGGTGGCAAAGTTTCAAATGGGGGACAAAAGGGTGAGAGATGGCTGGGCACAGTGGCTCATGCCTGTAATCCCAATACTTTGGGAGACCGAGGCAGGCCGATCACAAGGTCAGGAGTTTGAGACCAGCCTGGCCAACATGGTGAAACCCCATCTCTACTAAAAATACAAAAATTAACTGGCAGGTGCCTGTAATCCCAGCTACTTGGGAGGCTGAGGCAGGAGAATCGTTTGAACCCGGGAGGCAAAGGTTGCAATAAGCAGAGATCATGCCTTTGCACTCCAGCCTGGGTAACAGGGCAAGACTCCGTCTCCAAAAAAAAAAAAAAAAAAAAAAAAAGGAAAGAAAAGGAAAAGAGAAGAAAAAGAGAGATGCCCAGAGATAACCGGGGCCAGGGGCAAGTGGGGAGCAGAGAGGGACAAAATTCTCTCCCACTCTGGAAAGGTGAGGTTCAGATGAGGAGGGACTGTCAGAGAACAGCCAAATGACTTTTTCTTCCTGAGAGTTGGGTATTCTTTTTATCATCAGCGAGCAGAAGTGCTCAACTTGGCAGGTTCTGAGGATGAGATTAAATTTCCTCATGAGGCAATCATTGTGATGGTGGCAGGGGAGAGGGGGCAGGAAAGGAAGTTAGATTTGATTAGGGAATAACTGTCAAGGCCTAGCTCTGCCCCTTAGGAAAGCGAGATTCAAGGAGGAAAGGGTAGGATTTTGCCCTCACACCAACCTAGCCTTAAGGCCTGCTGCCACCAGTTACTAGCTGTGTGGGCTCGCAAGCTGCTTAACCTTTTTGAGCCTGTTTCCTCATCTCTACAATTATGAAACAGGAAAAATAAAAGGCCCCTAGAGAATTAGATTCAGGAAGTTGTGGAAAGTGCCCAGTTAGTCAGAATGGGAAGGAGCCTGCTTGTTGGTTCCTTCTCTACCTTCCGTCTTCTCCCTTGACATCTAGATCCAATCCCTGTACAGTTGAGGACACCAGCCTCTGCAGGGATCCCTGAAGACAGATTCTCAGTCATTGTCAACCACACCACCTGGTCCAGGTAGCTTTCCCACTGTTGGGAACTCCAGGCTTTCTCCTCCACTCTAGAAAGCCTGGGTGAATGCAAGTGAGGCTGCAGGGAATGTTGTCTGAGACTGGGATGGGATGGGATGGGATGGGATGGGATGGGATGGGATGGGATAGCTAAGGACAACCGTGGTGGCAGGCCACTTGAGAAGACAGGAGAGACCACAGGTCTGAGACTTCAGAGTAATCAGATAGCCCTGGAAGCTCTGAGAAGGTGGGGGCATTGGCCCAGCACTTCAGGGGGCTATAACCCATGCAGTCACACAGGCTCCATGAGTAGAAGGGCCCTGAACTTGGTTTAACTGCTGTCTACTGTTGTCATCTTGAAATTCTTAAAATTTTTGAACAAGGGCCCCATGTGTTTATTTTATTTATTTGTTTGTTTGTTTTTTACAGACAATAAAAAGTATGTTGTTTACGGACAGGGTTTCACTCTGTCACCCAGGTGAGAGTGCAGTGATGCAATCATAGCTCACTGCAACCTCAACCTTTTGGGCTCAAGCCATCCTCCCACCCCAGCCTCCCTAGTAGCTGGGGCTACAGGCACGCACCACCATGTCTGGCTAATTTTTTTTTAATTTTTGGCAGAGACAGGGTCTGGCTATGTTGCCCAGGCTGGTCTCAAACTCATGGTCTCAAGTGGTCTTCCTGAGTTGCCTCTCAAAGTGCTGGGATTATAGATGTGAGTCACTGTGCCTGGCCCCACATGTTTTTACACTGGGGCCTGAAAATCATGTTTCCAAAACTGCCCAGCACCAACCTGCCAGCTCTGGGAATTCCAGCTCAGCATCCCTGAGCACCCCAGGTGAAGAAGTGGAGAAAGGAGGGGGTTTCTAGAGCAAGTGTTTACAAGGAGACAGAAAATTGAGGGGCCAGCAAGAAAGTGGTTCAAGTGATCAACCGAGAAGGCATCTAGGATGGGTGGAGTCAGCAGGGGACTGATGTATCAGAGGAAAAGGAAAGAGTCTGGGATCTGGGGGTCTTACACATAGACACCACTAGTTGGAGCAGAGGTAGAAGTGTGATTGCACCAGAAGGACAGGGAGCTGGCTAGTCTGGGGCCACAAAAACCAGAGTTTAGGGGAAGATCAGGCAAGCTGTGGCTGTTGATCATGGGACCAGGCTGAGGATGGGAACCGGTGGGAGGATGGGAGCAGTGTCCAAGCAGCAAGTGGAGCACAGTCCCTGATATTCAGAAATTTAGGCAGGCAGGCAGCACCAGAGAAGTTGGCACTAAGGACAAGGGTCCCAGCCACTGTGCAGGGATTCAAGGACAAGACTGGAGTGGGGTGTGCCCAAGCCCTAGAGGGACTCGGGCCTGGACAGGCTCTCAGAACCGAGGCCAGAGCACCAGTGTCCCCATGCCTCCCCCAGAAAAACCCATAACAAGAGCGGCACACAAGAAAAGGGCCAGGTGGGCTGTCTGGGAAGGCCAGCATCTCCTTTGCCACGGCTCCTCCCATGGGTGCCCATTGTTACTCTGTCCATCATTACCGTTTGGCACAACCATCCCCCACAACACCTTTTTCACCCACAACACTTTTTTCTCCCTTGATAGCCTGGAGGCTTCTGAAAGGGAGACACTTTCTCCCCTTTACCTGCTCATCCCCAACACTAAGCAAGGTGTTTGGCACATAGTAAGTGCTTAATAAATGGTGTCTGGCTGGCTGAGCGCGGGCCAGCTGGAACACGGATGGTAGCCCTGCTGGACATTGAGAGGGAGGCAGGGGTGCATAAAAGGGGCATCTGCCAGCTCTGGTATAGACCGCCTGGGTTCTAACCATGCCTCTGCTACTGCTAAATGGACCATCTCGGCCAAGTTATCCAACCTCTGCCCCTATGTTTCCTCATTATAAAATGGAAATTTTTATTTTGTATTATCTTATGTACCTTTGAGTAAATGTGTACATAGCAGTTAGAATAGTGCTGGACAGCACTTTAGGAGGCGGGGGCGGGAGGATCACTAGGTCAGGTGATCCAGACCATCCTGGCCAACACGGTGAAACCCCGTCTCTACTAAAAATACAAAAAATTAGCCGGCCTTCGTCATGGGCTCCTGTAATCCCAGCTACTCGAGAGGCTGAGGCAGGAGAATCGCTTGAACCCGGGAGGCGGGGGTTGCTGTCAACCCAGATCGCGCCATTGCACTCCAGCCTGGGCGACAGAACGAGACTCCGTCTCAAAAAAAAAAAAAAGTACTGGACGTGCCACGCACTTGCTAACACTATCATTAATATGACAGGTAAATAACATCTTTGTGTGGCGTGTTGCAGCTGTCACAGCCGCCAGCAGACAGCCGACTCCCTCACCAGTAAACACCGCGGCTTAGGTGTTGCCCACCGGGCACCGGAAGGCGGCCCCCTTCTCGCTCTCCAGTGAATGTTCCTAAAACAACTGCGGGGTCCAAGAGCACAGGGAGAACAGCGCCCCTGACGCAGGCTGCGCACCCGCCCGGAGGAGGCAGTGCGTCAGTCCTGAGGTCACCGCCACCCGCTCCCGGGGGACGGCCGCCTGGGCAGGTGAGGAGGCGACCACCTCCCAGACGCCTGCCGGAGCTGCGGCGCACCGACTCCCTGCTTCTCCGAGCGGCGAGCGCCACCTGGAGGCTCCCTCGAGATCTGCATTTAGGAGGCGACGGGTCCTTTCATCGTTTTATTCATTAAACATTTATCGAGGCCTGGAGCGATGGTTCAAGCCTGTAATCCCAGCACTTTGGGAGACCGAGACGGGCGGATCACTTGAGGTCAGGAGTTGGAGACCAGCCTGGCCAACATGGCGAAACCCCATCTCTACTAAAAATACAAAAATTAGCCGGGCACGGTGGCGCACACCTGTAATCCCAGCTACTCATGATGAGGCTGAGGCACAAGAATCGCTTGAACCCGAGAGGCGGAAGTTGCAGTGAGCGGAGATGGAGCCACTGTGTGTTAGGCTCTGGCGACGTGGGGAGAAATAAAGATAATGTCTTGTTTCCCAGGGCATTAATAGCGTGATGGGGAAGACAGGCCATCAACAATGTGCAACACTAAGGGCTAGGAAAGAGGTGGATACAAAGGAGGGAATAAGGAATGTGGTCATTCCTTAAGGTGTTTATTGGTGCCAGGTACTGTTCAAGGCACCAAAAAGAATGGAACCAAACAGAGATCCTGCTCCCAAAGAGCTCATAGTGGAAGGACAGCCAGACAAGCTTAGAATTACGGGACAGGCCTAAGAAGGAGCCAGACTGGGGACCAGAGGCGTCCGAAGGGAAGTCCAGGAAGTACCGCAGGAAAACGTGATATATATTAAATCTTAAAGAATGGGCAGGATTTTGCCAGGCTTAGTGACAAGATATCTTCCGTAAAATCGTGGAACTGAAAAGAAAGGATATAGGTTGAAGAAGGGCTAGTTCTGTGTCTGAAATAGAAGGAACATGAAAGAGAAGTGCTGGGACATGGGGCAAAAAAGGGAGTTTGGGGCCAGATCGTGAAAGCCTTGGTTTAACAGGTGAAAAGTTCAAATTTGATCCAGGTAGCTGGCAGAGTCAGAGGTTCTAAAGCAGAGACCTGCTCTATAGAAAGCTCACCATGAAGTACAGCAGTGATGGTGGATGAAGATACCAACAGCTCAACCTCCTATGTGCCAGGGAAATGCTGAGCGCTTAGCACCTGATATTTATCTTAATTCTCTAAATGGGCCTATGGGGTAAGCATATTATTATCCCAATTTTATTGGAATACTTCCCTGGTAGGGCCCCTAAACAGGTAGCCATCAAATGCCTGATAAATTCCAGCTAGCTTTAAATTCTAGTCGCTACAGAGCAGAGCCCTTCCATCGCACTGAGCTGAAGGAGCCAGATGGGCATTACAGACAAGACCCACTCAGTAGGTGAAATCAACAGAGCCTAATGACTATCTAGATCTGCAAGATGAAGAATAGGAAAGAGCTAAAGACAAGATTATGATGAAAAGTTTGATTTTGAAATAATACATTTTTAAGAGCTGAGAAAAACCGTATCCATCATCCAGAACAACCGCCTATTCTACCCACACTCCCAGCACCACATCAGTACACGTGTGCCTGTACTCACCATTCTGCCTTGCCTCCTGCTGGCATGGACGAGTGCTGCGTGTTCCTAAGTGCCACCTTCCGCTGTGCACTCGATCCCATCCTCGCGCCCACGCAAGAACATCGCTTCATCAATTGGTCCTTCTCTCACATATGAAATTTTTGGTCTTTCTACTGAGTCATTCCCATAAATATACATGTGTACTACAATTTCTCTCATCGTAAAAAATAATAAAAATATTTCCTTGACCTCAAATCTCATACCCCTGCCATTCAATTACACCAATCCTCTCCAAAAGAGTTATTTATACTCAAACTCCACTTTCTCTCCTCTCGTTCTTTCTTGAACCCACTTCAGTTTCATTCTCACAACTTCACCACAATTACTCTTCAGGTCCACATTGCAAATCCAACGGTCAGTTGAGAGTCCTCATCTTAGATGACCTGTCAGCAGACTTCCACACAGTTGAGCCTATTCACTCAAGTGCCTAAGGCTATGCACATTCTTCTCTACTGACACTCACTTCCTCGTGATCCTGCCTGGCCTCACGTTTACAACTCCGAATATATTCTTTCCAGCCTGAACTCTCCTCTGAACTTCAGACCCATACATCCCCAACTGCTGACTCAATATCTGCACGTGGATGCCTAATGCGTTCAAACGTAGCATGTCCAAAAGCAAATTCCTAATCCTCCCCCTTCAAACCTTTTGCTCCCATTTGCTCCCACAGCCTTTTCCATCTCAATAAATCAAAACTCTAATCTTCCAGTTGTTCAGAATAAATGCTGTCATCATGTTATCTGTATTTGTCGATATAAATTAGGTGATGCTTCCGTAGCAAAGAACCCCAAAAACACCACAAATGTTCATGTTTTTGCTGATGTCCAGGCTGAGTTGACAGGAGACTCTACTCATCAGTTTCACTGAGGGACTAAGGCTGACGGAGGCTGTATCTTGACAAAATGTTTTCATGTTTTTAGAGACAGGGGAAGGTGCATGTTGCAGGGTCTTGCACTTGCAGTGAAATGCTTCTGCCCAGAAGCCCCGTGCACCTCTTCTGCTTACATTTTATTGTCCAAAACAAGTCATATGGCCACACCTAACTTAAAGGAGGGTTGGAAGCACAAACTTACTAAGTGCCCAAAAAAGAAAACAACTGGCTGGACACGGTGGCTCACACCTATAATCCCAGCACTTTGGGAGGCCGAGGCAGGCGGATCATGAGGTCGGGAATTCAAGACCAGCCTGGCCAACATGGTGAAACCCCATCTCTAATAAAAATACAAAAATGAGCTGGGCTTGGTGGCAGGTGCTTGTAATACCAGCTACTCTAGAGGCTGAGGCAGAGAATTGTTTGAACCCGGGAGGCAGAGGTTGCAGTGAGCTGAGATTGTGCCACTGCACTCCAACCTGGATGACAGAGCAAGACTCCATCTCAAAAAAAAAAAAAGAAAACAACCAAAATATTTGTGAACAGCTCTAATGATGACCACATCATGCTCAACTCCTTTTTTGCCCCTCCCTTTGCACATGCAATCCACCAGCAAAACTTTTCTGACTTTCCAAAATTATCCAGAAATCTGACCTCTTCTCCAGCTCCTCCAAAGCACCAACATCTTTCATCTGGGTCATTACAATAGCCTTTACTGGACCCCCAGCTCCTGCCCTTGCCTCCTCCCACCCCCTACAGCCTGTTCTCCACACAACACCAGAGCAATTCTTTTAAACATGTAACTCCACTCTCAAACCCCTCTAATATTTCCTATGTGACTGAGCACGAAAGCCAGAGACCTTCCAGTGACCCATGATGCTACACAACCTGCCCACTTTGTCCCCACTTCTGGAAACTAATCTCCTGCCAGCTTCCTCTTCAGTCCCTCTTGTCCAGCCACACAGGGCCCCAGTTCTTCCTGGGACGTCAAGCATGCTCAGCCTCAAGGCCTTTGCACCCACTGTTTCTTCTTCCTGGAATGCTCTCCCCAGGTAACCATATGCCTTTCTCCTTCAGGCCTCTGCTCAAATATCTCCTCCTAGAAGCTTTCCCTGATCACCTTATGTAAAATCACACACATGCACATACACACTCCACTCACACCTCCCTGCCCCCTATCCTGTTTTATTTCTCTTCATAGACCTTGTCACTGTCTGGCACATTATATGTTTAATTTGCTTAATATCTGTTTCCCCACTAGAATACACATTTTATGCAGGCAGGAATTTTCTTTTGTCACTACTGCATCTCCAATGCTTAGAATAAAAATGTGTCAAACGTGAAGAAGTGAGGCCCAAGGCTGGTCAGTGCAGAGCTTGAAGTAAACTGTAGCTCTCTGGACCCTCTGTCCAGGGCACCTCTCCGTGGTGCCATGAGGCATTTGTGAAAGGATGTAGTAGGACACACATCGCTTGGGGAATGAAGAGCTGGTGGGTTACCTAAGCCAGAGCTAATACCAGAGTGTGGGAAACTGGAGTGACTGCTCCACATTTTGCACTGAAGTCCCTCCCTGTGGGATGTGGCTGTGGGCAGTGGCTGGGGGGAAACCCTCAGAGCTCCGTTCTGTATGCTGAAGAAACCACATGCAGACACCCGGGAAGGATGACTCAGTCTAGTGGTGATCCTTGTGATTGGTACCCAAGGGGCTACCAGGCTTCTTATTATTAACATGGTGGAAATTAAATGAGACTTAATGCAGGGAAATGTTTGTGGGAAGAGACATTGTGTTGATCAAGCAACCAGCATTCTCCAGCTGCTCCATCCCAGCACCTGCTCTGCTCCCAGCTCCACCTCAGCCTTGCCTCTGGTCTCATCCTCAGACCCAGAAGCAGCATCTCGCCCTCCTGCCCCAGCAGAGCCTGGCCTGACCACAGGCCCCAGCACCAAATGCTGGCCCTTCCCCAATGTGTGTTCTGTGTTGTCTGGCCTCACCTCACCATTTTGTCCTCAGTGATGGGCAGCCACAAGAAGTGGCAGAGCAAGAGCACAGCCAGAGTTGTCGGGATCCTGCTGGAAACAGCAGGCACATGCTCCCGTTGGAACAGGAAGGCATCAGCTGCTTTTCAGTGCCAGCCAGTGAGTGAAAGGTGAGGGATTTACTAAGAACATGTACAAGTTGACCAAGAAAATGGCTCCAAGCGAGCTCAGCTGGGCTGACACTGCCTGTGCTGGCCTGTGAGCCCCACACCTGGAGGCCCAACCCATCCCCTCAATGTGGACACGGATTCAGAATAGCCACATGAGCATCAAGCCTGCATCAGCACCTCCATGAGGTCCCTGGGAAGACCTGGACGTGGTATTCAGGCCTCTGACCGTGAAATATATGTGTCCTGACACCAAATGCATCAGAGTTGACCTGATTACAAACCTGTTTCAGGCCCACCGGGTGATCCAGGACATCTGGCTAGTAATTGTCCCCCTCTCACATCATCACTGATTACTGTTCTCAGTCAATCTCTCTCTCTCTCTCTCTTCTTCTCTCCCTCTACCTTCATCACTTCCATCAGAATAAAACATGCTGGTAATTTCTCTCATCTCTTAAAAAAAAAAAAACCCTATTGGCCTTACATCCCACCCACACCTCTATCTGATTTCTCTGCTGATCTTTATTCTAAACTCCCCTAAGTCTCAACAGTGCTCATGGCTCTCATCTCCATCTCTGCCTTCAGTAATCCACACCAGGGTTTCTCCCCCCCAACTTGCCCAAAACTCCCCTGGTCCAGGTCAACACTTAACTCCTCTCTGCCCAATGCCCTAGTCAGCCCTCAGCCACATCCACTCCACCCTGCCCACATTTGACACAGATGATGGCGCGTGCCCCCTCCTTGATGACATGGTGTCCGACACATCAGTCCCCAGAACACCCCTTTCTTCTCTTCTCCCATTCTAGCTGCATCTGCATGGCCCCTTTTCTGCCTCTTCTTTCCTACCTCTTAATTTTGGAAATCCCCAAGATTTAGTAGTACTAAATCTCTGTCTCTTACTCATATTCATTTTTAAGGTGATCTCACACACTTCTGTGATTTTAATATTTATCAATTTAAGACTCCATAATTTTCAACTCTACCTTAATACTGTCCTGAACTTCAGTCCCTCCATGACTCAACTACCTATGCAACATCTCTGTGTGAACATGAAATTAGCAGCACAAACTTAACACACCCAAAAGTTTCTCCTTGCTTTCCTTTCTTCCTCCCTCCTTCCTTTCTTCCTTGCCATCTTTTTTCCATTCCTTCCATCTTCCTATCCTTCCTCCTTTTTTTTCCTTTTCCTTTTTTATCCTTTCTTTTTTGCTTCTTATAATAGGGAATTTCTAACATCCACAAAAATAGACAGACAGACTTGTATAGTGAATCCCCACATACCCATCACACAGGTTCAGCAATTGCTAACTCATGGTCAATCTTGTCTCTTTTCCCTCCGGCCTGAATTATTTTGAAGCCAGTCCTATAGATGTTGCATCATTTCATCTGTATATATTTCAGTTTGCATCTCAAAAAGATAAGGCCTCGTTTCTAAACATAACTATCATACTATTATTATATTCATTTAAAAAATCTTAACATCTCTAATAACCACAGTGTTCAAATTTCTCATTGTCTCATAATTTTTGTAAGTTTGATTCAAAATCCAAATAAAGCCCACCCAGTGTAATGCATGATATATCTTTTACATCTCTTTTAATCTATAAGTTCTCTCTCCATCTCTTTTTTCTTTTCAATGTGCTTGTTGAAACAAGGTCCTAGAGACTTTTCCTTACCTTACTTTTGCTGAATGCACCCCATGCTACAGTCTAACATGTCCCACCCCCTGCTCTAGTATCTGCAAATTGGTGTTTGGATTCTGGAGATGGTGGTATGGTCTCCCATCAAGAGGCACAAATTGTCTGCTTTTCTCTCTTTTTGCCGTATTCTGAGCAGTTTATGTTCACTGCCTGGGCCTATTACCTCATGAAGATTGCCAGATGGTGACATTCAAAACCTATCATTCTTCTTCATTCATTAACTGGGATCCTTCCATGCAAAGAAATGTCCCCTCATCTACTGCTTGGTTACCCTGAGGTAAAGTTTGTACAGGAAAGGCAGTACAAAATGGTTTTTCTTTCCATTTTTAACTAGTTTTTTAAATAATGAATTGATTCCCTGTCATTTTCTAAAAGATACCAATTATGAGACCAATGTTAATATCGCCATAAATTCATGGACCAAACACATTCGATGATGTTTCCATCCACTGTGGTTTTATCCTTTTGATGCTCACATTATCCCATTTTCAGCAAACGGGAGCTCCTCCTAGTTGGCTACTTAGTCCTGTTGACAGAACCCTAATCATCTTTGATAGTTTCCTTGCTATCTGGTACTTCAAGAAGCTCCAGGACATCTGGTCCATTTTCTGCCCCAGACTGTGGATCCGCAAACCTGGCAAATGGCGTTCAAGCCCACGGTCGGGGTGCTAGGGTCACTGTTGCTCCTGGGTTGGCTCAAAATAAGTCTCTTGATTTTCCCCTCAGAACTTGCACCTCCTTCAGTTTTCCCCATGTCTGTCGATGGCAGCTCCATTCTTTCATGGAATGGAGACCAAAAACCTTGGAGTCAGCCTTGAGTCTCTTTCCTTCACACATATATCCATTCTATCAGGAAATCTATTGGTTTCATCTTCAAAACACACCCAGACCCTGACCACTTCTTACGGCTGACGTCGCCACTCCCTGGTCTATCATCTCTCACCTGGCCTTCACAATCGCCTCATGACTGGTTTTTCTGTGTCTCCCTGTTGTCTCCATGGCAGCTAATGTACACTTTTTAAAATTTAACTCAGACCTTGGCACTCTTTTGCTCAAAACCATTTCCAGTGGCTTCTCATTTCACTTAAAAATCCAAAAGTCGGCCAGGTACAGTGGCTCACCCCCATAATCCCAGCACTTTGGGAGGCCAAGACAAGCAGATCACTTGAGCCCAGAAGTTCAAGACAAGCCTAGGCAACATGACAAAACCCCGACTCTACAAAGTACCAAAAGATCAGCTGGGTATGGTTTTGCACGCTTGTAGGCCCAACTACACGGGAGGCTGGGGCAGAAGGATAGCCTCAGCCTGGGAGGTCAAGGCTGTAGTGAGCCATGTTTGTACCACTGCACCACAGCCTAAGCAACAGAGTGAGACACTGTCTTAAAAAAAAATGGTCATTTGCCACGTGCAGTGCCCAGTGCTGCATCCTGGGGTGCTATCTCTCAGCAGGGTCTGGGTCAGCATCTGGTGCGAAGTGGGGTGGATACCTGAGCACAGGGGTCGCAGCTGACTGGCAGTCACTGGGAGCCCTCCAAGAGGCCACTTGGGCTCAGAAATCAGGGGACCACATGGGCTGAAGACTGGAGGCTCTTTCTCAGGTGGTTCTGGCCTTGTCATCCCCCAGGGACTCTTGCTCCATCCTGGAGAATACCTGATTTGGGACATCAGATCCCCCTGGTGAGGGAGGGCTCAGAACTAGATCTAATCTGATTTCAGTAGTATGACATTTCTTGGATCCCAGTGTTTGTGCAGCAATTTCATACTTGCTTCATGCATAATGTGTATAAACTGAATAATAAACATGCACAAACCATTTTCCTGATATTTTCATCCTATGGAGCATAGGAAAATGGCCTTAGGGCAACATCAGGGGCTTAGAAATGTATAGAAAGTTGCCAAAGAAGGGGTCACCTGGTCCTGTTAGAGGTAGAATTCTGCTTGTATAGAAGGCGGAGCTGATTCCCTAGGATGATTCTGGAGCACCAAGGCGAGTATACTCCTGGCACAACTGAGCTATCAGAGAAGAAAAACACAACTGGAGGCTGAGTGCTGCATCCCCTACTCCAGTCCCAGGGTCAGCAGGCAGCTGCAGGTGGTCCTGACATTTCCCACTGCTTATTAAAAAGGAAAACATTTAATAAAACAAAACACACGCTTGTCGCTCAGCAGGTCCAGGCACTGCCAAGGATACTGATTCCCATTTACTTCAACGCTCCGATTGGTGCTTCTTGTCTGCTTTCCCTGGAAATGGGCTTGCAGACTGGAAAACAGAGTACAGTGAGAGAAAAAACCACGCTTATCCCAAAATGAAAGAAGGGGAAAGGCACACCCTCTCCAGATAATACTATGAGAAAGGCTTCACCCCAGCCCCTTCACACGTGAGATTCTGCACTCCCTCCAGGGATAGGTTTGTGGGATTCCCTGCGATGCTGACACCTGAGAGCCTGGACCACATCCCACAGTCCCAGGATTTTCAGGTATTCATGCCAGCAGCAGATGGAGCTTATAAATAACAATACAAATGTTCAAGTTGAGTGGGAGCTTAAATATCCTCATTTCTTTATTATTTTATTTATTTATTTATTTATTTTTTTGAGATGGAGTCTCACTCAGTCACCCAGGCTGGAGTGCAGTGGCACGATCTCAGCCCACCACAACCTCCATCTCCTGGGTTTAACCAATTCTCCTGCCTCAGCCTCCCGAGTAGCTGGGACTACAGACGCATGCCACCATGCCCAGCAATTTTTTGTATTTTTATTAGAGACAGGGTTTCACCATATTGGCCAGGCTGGTCTAGAACTCCTGGCCTCAGGTGACCCACCCACCTCAGCCTCCCAAAGTGCTGGGATTACAGGTGTGAGCCACTGCACCCAGCCAAATATCCTCATTTCATAGAACAGGATGGCAGGCCCAGAAGGTCAGGTGAACAACCCAGATGATGGGCAATGGCAAATGTTCCCTCTTGTCCACACCAGTGCTCTTACCCACCCAGGGCAGTGGGAGGCCTATGAGATCTCTGACATTGTTTTCAAACATGTTTGGAATCACAGGCAAGTAAAGACTACTGCTGTCCAAGAAGAAAATAAAGATCACCTGTAATTTTCCCATCCCAGAAATAACTTCTGTGAATGCTGTGGAATATATCTGCCTCTGTGCTTGCCTCTCCCCCTCCCTTCTAATTCTATGCTCAACACTAGAGAAAACAGTTTTCAAGCACATATATAAGGGTTATGACATTGTCCGTATACCAGGCCTCAAAGGATTACTTGATAAATTCCAAAGAATCAATGTCATACAGATCATGTTCTCAGACCAGAATGCCAAAAAATTAGAAATGAATAACAGAGGGATAGTTTATACAAACATATTACTGGAAACTAAATAATATATTTTAAAAGGTAAAAAAAAAAAAAAAGTATAGCAAATTGCTAGTTGCTTAGAGTATCAATGAAATGGCAATGTATCAAAATGTGTAGGACTTACAGCAGTAGATAGAAATTATAACTTCAAACACAAGTAAAACTGTAAATTCAAGAAGTTGGAATAAGATCAACAGAGCCAAGAAACAAGAAGGAAAAATAAGTAAAGAAAGGCAAAAATCAATAAAATGGAGAAGGAAAAAACAGAAAGAAATGACCAAATCAAAAGCTAATTATTTGAAAAGATTAGTGAAATAAAATTCTGGCAAGACTGATCGAGAAAAAGAGTGAGAAAGGCCAGGAACGGTGGCTCACGCCTGTAATCCCAGCACTTTGGGAGGCTGAGGCGGGCGGATCACAAGGTCGGGAGTTCAAGACCAGCCTGGCCAATATGGTGAAACCCCATTTCTACTAAAAATACAAAAATTAGCTGGGCGTGGTTGTGCGCACCTGTAATCCCAGCTACTCAGGAGGCTGAGCCAGGAGAATCGCTTGAACCTGGGAGGCGGAGGTTGCAGTGAGCCGAGATCACACTATTGCACTCCAGCCTGGAGCAATAGAGTGAGACTCCGTCTCAAAAAAAAAAAAAAGAAAAAAGAAAAAAAGAAAAAGAGTGAGAAAATGAAATTGCAATAGATAAAACCTACAATGAAAAAGGGGGAAAAACAATTACAGGCACAACAAAGATGAAAGAATAATGTAATTGCAGTAACCCTTCTGAAGTAACGTTGTCAAAATATCAAACCTAAACCTGATCATGGATTTGAGATGGGATAGTTCCTTTGACCCCCTTCATGGGCAGGAACTGGAGTGGCTCGTTTCACTCAGCCCGTCACTGGCCACTCCTCGCATGGGGGAGCGTAAGAGCAAGCGGGTGCAGGAACCCAAGCAAACGAACCCCAGAACCCGCCGGTCGCTCCTCTCTGGAGGGAGCAGGCTCTATGCATGCTACACAGCAGTGTCCATGCATGTTTCAACCAGCGCTCTTTCAGCTCTGCCGTCCAGGTACGGCCAAGTGCCAACCAGCTCAGTGGAGAGTCAGGGTGGTAGCCCCTGCCCTCTTGGCACCTGAGTTCTCGTTTGGCGTCCAGGAAGAATCAGCTCACACGAACCGTTTGAAAGGTGATGAATGCGGAAGACTTCATTGAGCGGTGGGTGGCTCTCAGCGGAAAGGGAGGCTGGAAAGCAGATGGGAACGTGAGCTTTCTCTGAAGCCCGGCAGTCTCCGGCCAGGTCCCTCTCTGAAGCCGCACCGTCTGAAGTTAGCCGCATCTATCCATTGTCTCTGACACTCAGCTGCGTGTATCCTCGCCGCTCAGCCGCTTCTATTGCGCTGCCAGCTGAAGTCTTTTATGGGCACAGGATAGGGGCGGGGCAGGCCAAAAAGGCAACATTTGCTTGGAAAACCAGGATCACCTGTTTTCACTTAGGGCGGTGGTTCCTGGCTTAGGGGTGGGGTTTAGCTGGGAGCCCAGCCCTTCTGTATCAGATTGAGATTTAACTACCAATTTACAGGAATACAGAGGACAAGGGAACGTGTCAAACTAGAGATGCAATCATAGGAAACTCTGGGAGGAAAACAGAAAGCTGAAAAGAAACAGAGGTTATGAGAAATTAAAAGGCAGGTCTGCCAAGTGCAATGTGTAAACTTTGGATTCTGATTCAAATGACAAAGTTATCTCCCCCGCCAAAAAAAAAAAAAAAGACATTTGTGAGAAAATTGGAAGTTTAAACACTAATGGGGAGTTTCTTGATGTTGATAAATTATTATCTGGGGAGGAGGTAATGACACTGTGAACAGGTTGAAAAAGAGTCTTTGTCTTTTGAAGATTTTTACCGGAGCATTTGCAGGTGTCATTATACAATGTCAGAGATTTACTTCAAAGAATTGTGAGGGGATGTGGGCGGGGCTCTAGATGAAACAACATTGGCCATGAATTGATAACTGCTGAAGCACCAGAGGTTTATCAATCCACTTTTGAATGTATTCGAAATTTTCTAAAAAAAAAAAAAGTTTTTAGAGTATTATGAACAACTGTATCCAAATAATGTGAAACTTTAGATATTATAGACAACTTTGTGGGGAAATACTAAATGCCAAGATATAGTATACTTGAATAGACTAACAAGCATTAAAGAAATTGAAACGCTAATCATAGCTCCTCTCCCTAAAGCCCAGATAGCTTTACAAATATGCTCTACCTGTCTTCAAGAGACAGATTTTTTTATCTCACAAATTGTTGCAGCAAGTGAAAAAGAGAAAATTGTCCAGCCTTTTTTATGAAGCTAATGTAATCTTGATTCAAAACTAGATTGGGCCAATACAAAAAAAAAAAAAAATTACATGCTCATTGTATTTCTGAATAAGTGATATGGTTTGGCTGTGTCCCCACCCAAATCTCAAATTGAATTGTATCTCCCAGAATTCCCACGTGTTGTGGGAGGGACCCAGGGAGAGGCAATTAAATCATGGGGGTTGGTCTTTCCTGTGCTATTCTCATGATAGTGAATAAGTCTCACGAGATCTGATGGGCTTATCAGAGGTTTCTGCTTTTGCTTCTTCCTCTTTTTTTTTTTTTTTTTTTTTAGACAGAGTCTTGCTTTGTCACCCAGGCTGGAGTGCAGTCGCTCAATCTTGGCTCACTGCAACCTCCGCCTCCCAGGTTCAAGCAATTCTCCTGCCTCAGCCTCCTGAGTAACTAGGATTACAAGCACCCGCCATCACATCTGGCTAATTTTTGTATTTTTAGTAGAGACAATTTCACCATGTTGGCCAGGCTGGTCTTGAACTCCTGACCTCATGATCTACTCGTCTTGGCCTCCCAAAGTGTTGGGATTACAGGCGTGAGCCACCATGCCCAGCCACTTTTTCCTCATTTTTTCTTGCCATGTAAGAAGTGCCTTTTGCCTCCTGCCATGATTCTGAGGCCTCCCCAGCCATGTGAAACTGTAAGTCTAACTAAACCTCTTTTTCTTCCCAGTGGGTAAGAAATACCAGGAGTGGGGTATTGCTGAAAAGATACCTGAAAATGTGGAAGTGACTTTGGAACCGGGTAACAGGCAGAGATTGGAACAGTTTGAAGGGCTCAGAAGAAGACAAGGAAAAGTGGAAAAGTTTGGAACTTCCTAGAGACGTGTTGAATGGCTTTGCCCAAAATGCTGATAGCAATATGGACAGTAAGGTGCAAGCTGAGGTGGTCTCAGATGGAGATGAGGAACTTGTTGGGAACTGGAGTAAAGGTGACTCTTGTTATGTTTTAGCAAAGAGAATGGTGGCATTTTGCCCCTGCCCTAGAGATTTGTGAAACTTTGAACTTGAGAAAGATGTTTTAGGGTACCTGGCAGGAGAAATTTCTAAGCAGAATTCTAGATGTGACTTGGGTACTGTTAAAGGCATTCAGTTTTGTAAGGGAAACAGCATAAGAGTTTGGAAAATTTGCAACCGGACTATGCGATAGAAAAGAAAAACCCATTTTTTCTGGGGAGAAATTCAAACCAGCTGTAGAAATTTGCATAAGTAGCAGGGAACCTAATGTTAATCCCCAAGAACATGGAGAGAAATGTCTCCAGGCCATGTCAGAGAACTTGACGGCAGCCCCTCCCACAGGCCCGGAGGTCCTGGAGGAAAAAGTGGTTTCATAAAATGGGCCAAGAGTCCCCATACTGTGTGCAGCCTAGGGACTTGGTGCCCTGTGTCCCAGCTGCTCCAGCTGTGGCTGAAAGTGGCCAACATACAGCTTGGGCTGCGGCTTCAGAAGGTGCAAGCCCCAAGCCTTGGCAGCTTCCGTGTGGTATTGAGCCTGCGGGTGCTCAGAAGTCAAGAATTGAGGTTTAGGAACCTCTGCCTAGATTTCAGATGATGTATGGAAATGCCTGGATACCCAGGCAAAAGTTTGCTGCAGAGGCAGTGCCCTCATGGAGAACCTCTGCTAGGGCAGTGTGGAAGGGAAATGTGGGGTCAGAGCCCCCACACAGAGTCCCTACTGGGGCACTACCTAGTGGAGCTGTGAGAAGAGGGCCACTATCCTCCAGACCCCAGAATAGTAGGTGCACCAACAGCTTGCACCATGCACGTGGAAAAGCCACAGACACTCAATGCCAGCCCATGAAAGCAGCCAGGAGGGAGGCTGTGCCCTGAAAAGCCACAGGGGTGGAGCTGCTCAAGGCCATGGGAGCCCATCTCTTGCATCACCATAACCTGGATGTGAGACTTGGAGTCAAAGGAGATCATTTTGGAGCTTTAAAATTTGACTGCCCCACTGGATTTTGGACTTGCATGGGCCCTGTAACCCCTTTGTTTTGGACGATTTCTCCCATTTGGAAAGGCTGCATTTACCCAATACCTGTACCCCCATTGTATCTAGGAAGTAACTAGCTTGCTTTTGATTTTACAGGCTCATAGGCGGAAGGTACTTGCCTTGTCTCAGATGAGACTTTGGACTGTGGACTTTTGAGTTAAGACTTTGGGGGACTGTTGGGAAGGCATGATTGGTTTTGAAAAGTGAGGACATGGGATTTGGAGGGGCCAGGGACAAAGTGATATGGTTTGGCTGCATTCCCACCCAAATCTCAACTTGAACGGTATCTCCCAGAATTCCCACATGTGGGAGGGACTCGGGGGAGGTAATTGAATCATGGGGCCAGTCTTTCCCTTGCTATTCTTGTGCTAGTGAATAAGTCTCATGAGATCTGATGGGTTTATCAGGGGTTTCCGCTTTTGCTTCTTCTTCATTTTCTCCTGCTGCCACCATGTAAGAAGTGCCTTTTGCCTCCTGCCATGATTCGGAGGCCTTCCCAGCCACGTGAAACTGTAAGTCCAATTAAACCTCTTTTTTCTTCCCAGTCTCAGGTATGTCTTTATCAGCAGCATGAAAACAGACTAATACAAGATGTCTGCAAAAATAACAAATAAAATATTAACTGAACTAATCCAACAATGTAGTAAACAATAGATATGGTTTATCCCAGCAATATAAGGAAGACTTATCAGAGAATGCATCCATGTTATTCATTGTAGTAAAGAGTAAACAAGGAAAAATGTACATTTATTTTAAAAGATGCAGAAAAACCATTTAATAAAGTTCAACAGCTATTTTTTATAATTAAAAATCTTAGCAAACCAAGTTCTATAGATTGAATGTTTGTGACCCCCCCAAAATTCATAGATTTAAACCTAATTTCCAATGTGATGGTTTTAGGAAGTAGGTTCTTTTGGAGGTGATTAAGTTATGAGGTGAAACCCTTATAAGGGGCTGAAAAGACCACAGTTTCTTCATCCAACATGTAAGAATGAAGGGAGAGATGCCGTCTATGAACAAGCACCAAATCTTCCAGTGTCTTGATCTTGGATTTCCCAGCCTCCACAGCTTTGAGAAATAAATTTCTGCTATTTATAAGTCACAGATTTATGGCATTTTGTTGGAGCAGCCTGAACAGACTAAGACACTAAAAATGGGAAAGAAAACCCTTAAATTGCTACCAAAAAAAATCTATAGCAAACATTTTTCATATAGAGAAAATTTAGGCACATTCCCTTTAAGATTGAAAATGGGACCAAAATGCCCTGTGACTTCTATTATATGACTTCGTACTGGAGATCCTAACCATTACTGTAAGAAAAGAAAATATTTAAAGAAAAAAAAGCAGGTTTAGCTACTTGAAGGGAAAAGAAGAGATGAAACTGCCATTATGGTAGGATTGTCTATGTAGAAAAACCAACAGAGCAAAGAACCCATTATAATTAATAATAAAATTCAGCAAGGTTCTCAGGAATAAGATCAACTTATAGAAATGTCTAACATTTCTCTACACCAGTTGTTCTCAACCAGGAATGATTTTGTTCCTCAGGTACAGTTGACATATTTAGTAAATAAAAATATAGGATACCTGGTTAAATTTTAATTTCAGATAAACCATGAGTAATTATTTAGTATAATTTTGTCCCATGCAATATTGAGACAAAACACTGGGTATCCTGTATTTTATCTGTCAATCCTATGGGAACATTTGGCATCTGAAGACATTTTGTCACAACTAGGGTTGGGGTGCTACTGGCATCCGATGTATATAAGCTAAGGATGCCACTAAACATCCTACAGTGCACAGAACAGACCCTCCTTCCCACCCCGACAAAGAATTACCTGGCCTGAAATGTCGATAATGCTGAGGTCGAAAAATTGTGTTGTAATCTGCAATAACCAACCAGAAAAAATAATAAAAATCAAGGACCATGCACAGCAGCTATGAACTGTCTGTGTAATAACTTAAATAATTCACAAAACTATAGAAAAAACTTTGAAACTGATAAAAAGGCAGAAAAGATTTTATAATTTTATAATTTTATGCAAGGAGATATTCTATGCTCTGGCAAATATTGTAAAAGTCAATTCTACACCTAGATCAGTACATCCATTACACCTCTAATCAAAACTTAAATTGAATTTTTTCAGAGACTAGATAAACTTATTCTAAAATTTACATGGAAGAATAAAGAGCCATGAATAGCAAAAGTCAGCTTTGAAAAAGAAGAGGGGAGTCTAGCCCTGCTAGATATTAGGGCACGCTCTCAAGCCCTGGTAATACAAACGGTATGTTACTGGCCCAAGAACAAGCAAAACAGATCAATGAGACAGAATAAAACACTCAGAAACAGACCCTTGCAAACTTAGAATATTTAAGAAGACTGGGCGCGGTGGCTCACGCCTGTAATCCCAGCACTTTGGGAGGCTGAGGCAGGTGGATCACGAGGTCAGGAGTTCAAGACCAGCCTGGCCAAGATGGTGAAACCCCGTCTCTACTAAAAATACAAAAAATTAGCCGGACGCAGTGGCAGGCACCTGTAGTCGCAGCTACTCAGGAGGCTGAGGAAGGAGAATCATTTGAACCCGGAGGGTGGAGGTTGCAGTGAGCCGAGATCGTGCCACTGCACTCCAGCCTGGGTGACAGAGTGAAACTCTGTCTCATAAAAAAAAAAAAAAAAAAAAAAAAAAAAAGATGTCCCAGATCAGTAATAAAAAATCTAATAACTTGCTAATCATGTGAACAAAAATAAAATAAAACAAGAACCTACTTAATGTTACATAAAAAGATGGATTCTCTGAGGGTTTTGTTAATCATTTAATTGATTGGAAACAGGGCCTTTAAGGTAAAAAGTAAACCTACAAATAAAATTAATAGAAGGCCACGTTAGTGGTCTAAGACTGAGAAAGGTCCAAAGTACAAGCCATAAAGCAAAAAAAAACTGGTGGAATTAATTACACCAAAATAAAGGATTCCTGGTCATTAAATGACACCATGGACAACAGGTTAGGAGAAGATACATGCACTATCTAAAGCCAACAAGGGACTAATCTAGATTAAACAAAAAACTCTAACAAATCAGGAAGGAAAAAGAAAGAATCCTGGGTGAAAAATTAGCAGTGAATATGAAAAGGCAATTAAGGAAAATCCAAAAGCTTAAGAAACATGAAGAGATGCTCAAGTTCATAGTAATTAGAGAAATGTAAATTAAAACACCCAAAAGATCTCACTTTCCACTCAACAGATTAACAGCAATTAGGAAGTGGATAATGCCAGTGTTAGTGGAGATTTGCTGCTGGTGGGATTAGGGGCTGGGTAGGGCAGCCTTTCAGAAGAGTAATCTGGTAGTTCAGGGTCAAAAGAAACAAATGTACACACTGTGATCCCCCTTATTGTACCCCTGTGTAGACGCCCAGCGAGATTATCACAAAGACAATTAAGAGAACATGTGCAAAGATGCTTATTACAATGATGTTTGTGTAGCTGGAGTTGAGCTAATGCACATATTTACCACTGAGGGAGTGAATAGGAACACACAGTGCATCCAAACAATGGGACATTGTGCAGCCACTGGAAGTAATGAGTTAGATGTACACTGTCAGGCCTCTGAGCCCAAGCTAAACCATCATATTCCCTGTGACCTGCACGTATACATCCAGATGGCCTGAAGCAACTGAACATCCACAAAAGTGAAAATAGCCTTAACTGATGACATTCCACCATTTTGATTTGTTTCTGCCCCACCCTAACTGATCAATGTACTTTGTAATCTCCCCCACCCTTAAGAAGGTTCTTTGTAATCTCCTCCACCCTTAAGAAGGTTCTTTGTAATTCTCCCCACCCTTGAGAATGTACTTTGTGAGATCCACTTCCTGCCTGCAAAACATTGCTCCTAACTCCACCGCCTATCCCAAAACCTATAAGAACTAATGATAAGCCCACCACCCTTTGCTGACTCTCTTTTCAGACTCAGCCCGCCTGCACCCAGGTGAAATAAACAGCCTTGTTGCTCACACAAAGCCTGTTTGATGGCCTCTTCACACGGACGCGTGAGACATACACATAGCAGCGTCTGTGGATCTTTAAAAGTATGGTGCTTAGTGGATGGAAAAAAGAGACTTTTAGCCAATAGAATTTTGTAAATTTTGTGTGCATGTAAAATTTCATGCACACAATATATGCTTTATAAAAACACATACAAAAATAAGTTGCACATCAAACACAATAACACATTTGTTGATTGTAAGTAGAGAATGGAAAATGAGGATAAAAGGGAATAAGAAAATGAAAAAGCAAGAAAGGTTTATGCAAAGACTAGAAAAGGCCCGGAATAAGGCAGAACTATAAGTAATTTAGGCTTCTGCACCTGAGGCCCAAACTAAAGAAAACAAAGCAGAAAGGAAAGAAAGAAAAGGACCCAACAGGCTTGGAAGAAGGTGGAAAAGCAATTTCCAAGCAACAAACAACTTAGGCACAGACCACCCATTTCTTTGAAGGTTTAGGATAAAGAGAAAATCTTTCCCCTTCACTCTCTGAAGGTTTGCAAAGATGAACTGACAAAAGGCAGATTAATTGGAGATAAAATGCATACAAATTTATTTTAACATGCATAAGCACAGGATAATCACAAGAGTATTACCCAATAACCCAATGAGGTCCAGATGCATATATACCCTTCTTCATAAAGGAAGAAGAGATGGGGAAAATGTGGCAATTTTTTTGAGGGATAATAAATCGGTATTAGGGAGAATGACTGGACTCAAAAGACAGAAATTAACTTGTAAATAATTCCCTTTGAAATTGAATGAGCCTAAGAGGCAGACATTATTTTGTGAAAAAGTCTGTCCAGGTGTGGTTGCATTCCTCAGGCTTCTTTTCTGAAATAGATAATGAAATATCAGGGAGAGGTTAGAGGACAGTTGTGCTCTCCCAGTTGGGTCGTCCTTATGCAGATAAAGGGGTATTAGAGAAAAGCCTCATCCTATGCTTTGGACAGACAGAGGCTTGGGGCAGGAGGGGAGCATAGAGAGCTCCTGAAGCTGCTTCTTTATTTGGCATGTCCATGCACCTTATATTGGGGTATTGTTTTCTGAGACCCAACATTCCCTGTCTGAAACTTTCCTAGAAGGTTTATATATTAAAAATTTTGTGAGTAGCTGTGGACAGAAAAATCAAGTTAGTAGCTGAATGGCAACGGGTCCCATTCAACCAGCCTCGCACTCTTGGGAATAGACCAGTTCAATAAATGGTTGGCATTGCAGATGGGATCTCAAAGGTAGGCCTCCATACATGATTTGGCAAAAAGATCCTTAATTAGAGGCATTTCTATGGAAATAAGAAAAACAAATGTCTGCAGTAGTCTATAAGCTGGTTCCTTTAGAGTCTAGAAGGCAGTCAGTTAAGAAGATTTGTGGCAATCTGACAGATTTTTTTTTGTTTGTAGTTTGCATGCACAAAGTTTGTCCAAATATAAGTGTCAGAGGCATTTGAACCAGAGCAACTTCATCTTGAATATAGGCTGGGTAAAATAAGGCTGAGACCTACTGGACTGCATTCCCAGGAGGTGAGACATTCCTAGTGACAGGATGAGATAGGAGGTCAGCACAAGATACAGGTCACAAAGACCTTGCTGATAAAACAGCAAATGGTAAAGAAGCTGGCCAAAACCCACCAAAACCAAGATGGCGATGAAAGTGACCTCTGGTCGTCCTCCTTGCTCATTATATGCTAATTATAATGCATTAGCATGCTAACAGACACTCCCACCAGTTCATGACAGTTTAAAAATGCCATAGCAACATCAGCAAGTTACCCTATATGTCTAAAAGGAGGAGGAACCTCAGTTCCAGGAATTGCCTACCCCTTTTCTAGAAAACTCATAAATAATCCACCCCTTGTTTAGTATATAATCAAGGAATAGGGCCAGGCGCGGTGGCTCACACCTGTAATACCAGCACTTTGGGAGGCCAAGGCGGATGGATCACCTGAGGTCAGGAGTTCGAGACCAGCCTGACCAATATGGTGAAACCCCATCACTACTAAAAATACAAAAATTGGATGGGTATAGTGGCGGGTGCCTGTAACCCCAGCTACTCAATAGTCTGAGGCAAGAGAGCTGCTTGAACACAGGAGGCGGAGGTTGCAGTGAGCCGAGATCACATCATTGTACTCCAGCCTGGGTGACAGAGCAAGACTGTCTCAAAAAAAAAAAAAAAAAAAAATTCAATAAGCAAAAATCTTTACTCTTTAATAGATACTTAGTTTTTCAAGTAATCAAAAGAACTAAGAAAGACAGCATGAGGCATACAGAGTCTGTCTCTCTCTTCCCTTTTAAAATTTCTTTTGTACTTTGTGCAAAAGGTGAACAGCCTTTTATTATCTTATTGATGCAAGAAAATCTTATTTAAAAGGGAAAAACAAATTTTACTTTTGTTTCATCAATACTAAAGCTAATTTTAATGAAACCTAATAAATCCACTCAATCTCAGTTTTGACCACACAAAATAACATTTTCATAAACCTTTTATAATCTCTTACAACTTTTTTATTCTTTCTTCCCCCAACTTTTTATATTCATTTAGTTTTATCTATATCATTTGTTCCTTTATTCATTTATTCTAAAATGAACTTTAAATAACTTCCCCCTAGACAAAAACATTTCTTTCCACAACAAAATACCTATTTTCATACCTTATAACATCTTGCTTTCCTCATATACTCTGTATACAGAATTGTTTCTTAGAGATAGTAGTTTTAATTATACATATTAATTATAATTTTAACTCTTGGTAGCTATAATTTCTATTGAAAACTTAGGAAGTAAGTTATTTTGAATTGTTTTGTATAAGTATTTGTGGATGAAAAACATTTTGTATTTTTTAGAAATATATGTTCCTGGCCAGACATGGTGGCTCACACTTGTAATCCCATCATTTTGGGAGGCTGAGGCAGGAGGAGTGCTTGAAGCCAGGAGCTTGAGAAATATATGTTCTCTCCATTTTTTTTTCTGTTGTTTATTAACAGATCCAGATATGTTTAGCTTTTCTATACCATGTACAATAATATGTCAAAATGTATAAACATATTTATGTTTAATAATTAATATTTCTGTATTTTAACTTACTGAGAAATGAGTGAGATATTTTATGATTATCTACTACTTAATCGAACATGACTTGACTTTAAGATTTTAAGTTACCAAAAAGATTTCTGAAATGATGGCAAGCTTATAAAAGCATTTATCCCATTTACACTTACCTAATTTGCTCATTCTTAACAATTATATTTGAATTGCTCATGTAAAAGTTAGCCATTTATGTTATTTTTTCTTTTGAAAAAGCAAAACCTGTATTAGCCAATCTCATCTTAACCAAGATCTTTAAGATACTGGACACAGGTACTCTCCTCAATGTGCCCCTCAGCCCCAGTCATCCTAGCTCCCAAATACCAATGTGGTACCCAGAGCAGTTATGAAGGGTGGGGCCTATCTGTGTCCTGGATTTATATAGCGAGTGCTGAGCCCAAGACAGAGGATGGAGCTGTGAAGACAATGCCTGGAGAATCCAGTGTCTCCCAGCATGGCCAGGAGGTAGAGCTGAGCCAAGGAAGATGTGGTCATATTGGGCTTGGCTCTGCCCTGTGCTGCGCACGCACATATCTCAAGTACTCACCATGGCCACCTATCCAGACCCCAGAATACAGCTGCTGAAAACCAAAGATATAAGCTTGCAGCAAGATGTGTGTAAGGTTTTGGGGGAGTCCAGAAGCCAGCCCTTACAGCTTTAGCTTACCAACAAATCAAGCAAGTATCAAAAATATCACAGAAGCAAGTTTTATGACTTTAATACATCTACAGAGACAGCCTAAACCTGTCTAACCAGTAGACTCAGGCAAAAATGTCAGAATGAATGTTGACATGACATTTCAAAATTGTCAACATTCATTCTGACATTTTTGCCTGGGTTAGACAGGTTTATTTTACCAACAATTTTTGAACTAACTTTATTTACCAAAGATTTATTGAAGTGACATGAACTTGAAAAGCATTTGGACTTAAGTAAGTGTAAGAACAGGTCTTAGAAGAGCCAGTTTGGGGAGTTTTTAAGTTTCCCAGAATGCCAATGAAGTTCTAGTTACCAGGGGTCCCAGAAAAAGAGGCCTAGTTGACTAAGAAGTTCCCACAGGAGAAATAGGACCTAAAAGATAACTTTTACAGAAATACCTGAATATCACCTTTTAATTAAGCTGACTTCTGACCATACCATATAGGTCTCAACAAAAATCCTTTTAAATATACGAGCGGCAAACTTTCTGCCCTATGAGCAACCGACCTTCCCTGGAGCTGAGGAGTGGTGGTAGTTGTGGCAGCCGTGGCTGTGGGAGCAGTATCTCCCCTTTTTGCCTGGGAGAGGCACCTTGCTTGCTCATGGCTTTGGCTGTCCTGCCCAGAAAGTAAAATAAATGGGGCGGCGGCGGCGGGGAGGGGGAGGTGGGGAGTTGCCATCACACTCTAAACACAAACCAAAGTTTTAAACCAAAGGCATAACTTCAAATGACTCAAAACGGAAACAAATTAACACATATGAGACTAAAACCATGAAGCCCTTTATGCCTTTAACCAAGGTCTCCAAAACGGGAGTGAAAAGCTGCAACATTTCCAAGATCCAGACTACTCCCAACGACAACTTAAAAAAAGGAAAGTTTCACCAGTTGCAAATGGGGTGCAACTCACACCTCCATCTGGACATATTCTCTAGGGTCCCAACCTCTCAGCTGGTCACCTGCATCAAAGACCCAACAACACATGTGACCCAACGGATGGAAAATAGAAGCAGGAAACCTGATGCTGTTCATGAGGGAAGAAAGGATTACAAATGACTGGATACCTCCAAAAGTCAAGAGTCATAGAAATGTAAATTCAAGATAAGTAATTTAAACTCTCATAAATGCTTTTTTTTCCCCCTACTGAGTCAAAGGACTTTTATTTCCAAAGAACTGGTTCCCTGACCAGGAATTGAACCTGGACTAGAGCACTGAAAACACTGAATTCTAACCACTAGACCACAGGCTAGAGTGCGTTGCTTATAAAATCCAAAGCAGACAGTGTGAGCATTTGAAGGATATTAACTTTGTTTTAAACCTAATATTTTAAACCTAATATTAGGTTTAAAACAAAGTTTTTCTTTTATTCTTGTCAAATAAGTCTCTGAGGCTATATTTCTTTTGTGTCTTTTCATGGGTACTAAGAAGACAGTCATGGGAACCCAGGACTTGACAAACTGGCAAAACAGTTGTTTAAATACGGCTGATTTATTTATCCCATAAGTGACTCAAACCAATAAGCCTTCTTTATGGAAAGTCCCAAAGGTAACTTTCTAGATTTACAATAACATGGGGCATTTTTTAAATGGGTGCAAAAAATGCAGCCCCCATGATAAAAATATACCATGGTCACTAAACCTAAGGCAAGTCTGTACAAATGCTTTTCTCCCCCACTAACCTGAATTTGGAAAGGAAACAGAGACAGTGATTTTTACCATCTGCTCTATTGGATTCCATAGACAGACACCTGGGAATCTGACTGGTGAGAAATTCTTACCCTTTTTGCCAGTTTGTCAGGTCCTAGATTCCCTTGACTGTGGTTTCCAGAAGAGCAGACTAGATGTGGTTTATCCTGCTCACAGCCTCAAATCTGCAGAAGCAAAGAGAGAAACCTTCCCCCTCCACCCTCTGAAGGTTTTCTGAAGATGAACTGACAAAAGGCAGATTAATAGGATTGTTCTCCTATTGCAGTTTTATTTTGTGTACAAATTTATTTTAACATACATAACATGGAAGAATCACAGAATGATTACCCAATAATGTAGTGAAGTCCAGATGCTTATAAACCCTTCTTCATAGGGGAAGGAGAGATAGGGGAAATGTGATGACTTTTTCAAGGGGCGGAAATGTTTATTAGAGAGAATGAATGTGCCAGGTAGACAGAAATTAACTTGTAAATGATTCTCTTTGGAATTTGAATGAAATGCTGGAATCCACAAACATTATCTTGTGAAAAAATCCATCCAGCTGTGGTTGCATTCCTCAGTCTTCCTTTCTGCAACAGATAATAAAATTTCAGAGAGAGGATAGAGGACAATTGTGTTCTTCTAGGTGGGTCCGGTCCTTAAGAGATTTCAGGGAAAGGACAGAAGGCAGTTGTGTTCTCCTTGTGAGGAGGGGGTTCAGTCTTTACACAGATCAGGGAATATCAGAGAAAAGCCTTATCCTTTGCTTTGGGAGAAACAGGGGGTTGAGGGTGGGGCAGGAGTATATAAAGACCTTGAGGTTGCCTCTTTATTCAGCATGTCAAAGGACCATTATTTTGGAATATCGTTTTCTGAGTCCCATTAAAGGACATGGCTTTCTCCTGTGGTGAGGAATCCCACAGAGCAGGTGGGAGTTGGGCAGGGAGGCAGCCCAAGCGAAGCCATGAGCATGGGGAATCCAGGGCTTGGAGGGCATTCTAGTGCAAATACCTGCGTTAAATTATACACTAAAAAAAGTGTGTTTATCCATCCTTCCATTGCTACAAAGAACTGCCTGAGATTGGGTAATTTATAAGAAAAGAGGTTTAATTGACTAATCGTTCTGCAAGATGCACAGGAAGCATGGCTGGGGAGGCCTCAGGAAACTTACAATCATGGCAGAAGGTAAGTGGAAGCATGCACATCTTCACATGGCCAACAAGAGGAAGAGAGAGAAGGGGGAGGTGCTATATAGTTTCAAACAACCAGATCTCCTAAGAACTGTATCATGAGAACAGCAAGGGGGAAGTCCGTCCCCATGATTCAATCACCTCCCCCCTCACCAGACCCCTCCTCCAACACTGTGAATTATGAGATATGTGACATGAGATATGGGTAGGGAGAGAGAGCCAAACCATCTCACAAAGTATCTTCTGAATGTTTTGCCAGTATTATGGTCTGTGGAGAATGTGTCTATGTCCACTTTGAGCCCCCAGTGGGAAATGGGAGTGCAGATCTTCCCTGAGGCTGTGAAGTGGGGGCAGCAGTGGCCTAGGGAGGGTAGGTGGCACCAAAACTGCACTGAGTAGCAGCCTGGCTAAGGCTGGTGAACACCACCAAGCTGAACTGCAGCATGCAGACTCCCAGAGGGGTGAGTCATTTGAGGGAGAGCTGCTGAGAAAGGGGGCTGAGGCCTCTACCAGAATTCAGCAAGGCAGAGGAGGCACTCAGGGAAACCCATTACAACTCTTATGTCATATATCGTAATTTTTAACAAGTATTTTTTTTAACAAAAACAGGATCACAATACACTGTTCTGAAATATTCTTTGGCATGAAGCAGCATACTGGCAATGTTTTCTATATTACTAAATGGAGAATATTTAGTAATAACCCTGCTCAATAATATTCTATAAAACCACATAGTGGTTTTATAAGTCGCATGCCGGTTACTTTCCTAATTGCGCCATATCACAGGAGGCTCCATTTCCCAGGCTCCCTGTGCCAACACACTTCCTGCTAGGTTCAACCAATGGAAACACTGCAGAAAATGAGTGGGCGGGAGGAAGGCAGAGAATTTCTTCATCTCCCACCCCATTCCACAGTCCCAGTACTTGCCCCCTTACCCCAGCTTTGGGACTCGGATCCAGCCAGTGGGATTGAAGCTACTTTTCTTGATGTTGCTAATCCCTGGGTTGCTTCTCTGTACTGCTTGGCTTCTCAGCATTGCCGTCACCCTATGCAACCAAGTCACAGTATTAAAATGTTTACAATGACTGGAATGGATTGTTTTCCTGACTGTACCCTGATAAAGGGTGAGTGGGTCTATTATATAGAGACGGTTTCTCTCTTTAGCTATTATAAGCCATATGATAGTCAATATCCTTAAAGTTAAATCTTAGTCCTCAACTATATGTATTTCCTTAGCACAAATTTCTAGAAAATTACACAAAACCTGCTGTGAGGCATATTGCCTGTTTTCCCCACATAAGGGCTATACCAATCATACTTCCACCAACAGTGTAGGAGAATGCTCCCATAATCTCACCAGTTTGATATCAGAAAAAATAGGGTCTAATTTTAAACTTTCCCTCACCCATTGGCTATCTCCATTATCCTCTTAGCCATGGTCATCTTCTTCCCTCGGTTATTGTCAAACAGGGCCATGTGAATGTTAATGGGTATCACTAGGGACTTTTGATGAATTTACTCCCCAGACCTGTGTTCTGCTTACTGGGGAGAAGGAAAAGCTTGGTAGGGAGAGGACAGAGGCAAGTGCTTTTTGGATGTTCACGAGAGCTATATATCCTGAATATGAATCACATTTGCCAACCAAGACCAGCCAGAGGCCCTCAGGGTGGTGCTAATTTCAGCCAAGCTATTTAAACAGTAGACCGCAGGACTAGCCATAGCTCTTCAGTGGCTTGAAATCTAAGGGGTCCAAGGCAGTCCAGGAAAAGCTGCCTTCTAATTCCACTGGGACTGAGTTTCTGGAAAAGCCACATGCCTCTCAAACACACACACTCAAAATCAAGACACCCATAAATTACTCATCGGGCTGGCCAGGAAGTACTGATACGACCGGAAGATGACTACTCTCTTAAAAACACTCATGAATCACATTTGATTATTTTGGAAAATGTTAAAATTTATTAATAATAGTTAACATCACATAGTTAATTAAACTAGTTATGTATTGTACATAATGACAACATCTTCACTAGACTGAGTGCTCAAGGATTTGAGATGATTCGCTATTCATCACACCCCGAAGATTGAGATCCACTGTATTTACACAAAGCAAAGCCATGTCAGCAAGGGACTGTCAACCTGATTCTGAGAACATAAACATTCAAAATTTATTTTCCAGTGTTCCTTTTTGGAAACCAACAACACATCTTTAATACCTACACACACACACATCTCTACCTTTAAAAAAAAAAAAAAAAGTGTAACTTCACAGATAGTACCTAATCTTCAAGCTTAAAATTTAAGTTAAAATTAATCTCTATTTTGTGGGCACCCTTTAGTGAACTAAAATCTACATGAAACCTTTTGGCTTTTGTGTAGCAGGAAATACCCACGTTTTGGGTCAATTAGTGCAGATGGGAGCAGCAGAGGAGCTACACCAGACAGCAAAGCAAGACTAGAGCAAACGAGAAGGACCAGCCCCTAGCCCCTCTGTGCTCCCGGGAGGACCTGGGCTGTTTTCACCTAATTACACCCAACTTTGCTTAAAAGTCGTATAATCAGACACTATTCTCAGCACAAGTTTGATAAATATACAAAAACCAGGTTCAATTTCATCGTGAGTTTCTTTCCATTCTGATCCTTGTATCCAATTCAATAGTTACATCCCTCTTTATCATATAGTATCCAGGTTTAATGTCTGTGCTTGTTTGTATTTTAGGACAGAGGCGGGCTTTCAGATTCAGAATCAACTGCACTCTTGAAAAGTAGGGATGGAAGTTTTTAAGCCACTCTCATCCCTCCCAATAGTTTGAAATAAATGTTGTGTATAAAAAAAAGAAAAACACAAAAACAGGTCAGCAGACCAATGCCAGCTCAGCCTAGGGAAGCACATGGACAATTCTTGTAAAACATTTAAAATACAAACCCAAGGTGAAACTTGCTGGGAGGGCTCAAATACACCAAAAATGTTGTCCCTGAGGTTTTATTTGGCTGTTTAATTGTTCTGTTTTGGTTTGTTGTTGAGGATTAGATACAATTTAAAAAAAGAAATTTTGGTGACTTCCTTTATCTTGTCAGAAAGCTTTAGAATACTACTGACTGCCCTAAGAATAAAGATTTCTAAGCCATGAGTCCATTTGAAACGATTCCTTTGGTTTCCTTTGCTTAACATCCCATGGAATACTGCCAAGAAAATCTCTAGATGGAGGAGCCAATTGCTGTGGTCTCTTCAGTCTATTGGCTCGGCCTCCATCTCTGTCCCTGCCTTCCACACACTTCCAAGACCACAGGGGAAGGAGGAGCCAGAAGCAACCGCTTTGCCATTCACTCACCCTGAAGAGGCTTCCCTTCTCTTCCCACAGGCGAATGAGGTATTTCTATGACTAGTCAGTATCTTCCCCTTCTGCCCTTTAACTACACTGAGGCCAATTCTGACAAGACTTGCACATCTATATACATAACAAATTAACATATAAATACATTACGTACAACTGACCATTCATTACATGTCAAGATGAAGAAGCAGATCTACTCAAGAACTAAATAAAATTTCAAATATAAATTAAAATGAAAATACAGTGATTCCACTTTTGCAGGAAAAATTTGTAAAACAAACTAAAAACTCCCCCTTCCCCAAAGGTCCATTGCTTGTGGATAACATGTGCGCCCCGCTGAGATGCGACAGCTGGCCCAACTGCAGGATGCGTCAACTCCTGGCTTTGGTTTCATTGCCCAGACTCAGGATTCCTTGATTCCAGGAATGGCAAATGCTGGAATCCACAGGGCAAATGCTTGTAGATGAGGTTAAAGAGGGGCTGCTGCGTGGATATCCATGGATTTTCCTCCACTGTCACCCCTCCACCCTCCCCACGTCTGCCTATAGGATAATCAGGCTCACATCCTCAGTGGAGACCTCCCAGATCTCTGACAGGAGAATCAGTAACAACATCAGTGCTGGGGGATGCACCCCACTTAGAAATGTCATGTTCAGGCTCCAAGGTGAAGCAACCGTATCTTCATTAGTGTCCCCATCCTGTAGAATTATACAGGGACATGGAATTTGGCAAGGGGGATTACTAAGGGAGATAATTTTCATGTTTTAGGAGAACCAATGGGAATGGTTATGATGCATGTGAACAAATCCTTATTTGGAACTCTATTTATCTTAATAGGGCCAAGCTCAGCCACCAAGCTCTACAATGAGATGCAGAGACAAAACCCAGTCCAGTGGGGTCCTCTCTGCCAAGCAAAAGCCAAGGGGTCTGTCTCTGACACAAGGGGATGACATCTTATAATTTAAAACAGGGAAGAAGGAGAGAAAGAGGAAGTCCCTTCCGATTTCAGGGGTTCTATCGCTGTCCAGCCTCACGGATGCGGCAGGCCACAGCAGTGATGAGCGCCGCCCCCTTCCCGCTGCCATCCTCTGACTGCAGGAAAGACACATCACATTTCGGAGCCAGGTCCTTCACTGTCTCATGCATGACTTTGGCAAAGCTGGAAAAGGTGGGAGGAAGACACAGGAAAAACCATCTTAGTCATGATTGGTTTGTATTTGCACTTAGAAATGAAAGCTAAGAAGCGATGCTGGAAACACAGAAATAATTAAGAAGAGGAGAAGGATGACAGCTATAATGTATTAAACATTTACTATATATTATTAAGTACCAGAAAACCGTGGCTTGGAGACACTAGTACTATGCCCAATTTCCACATCATATCAGCCATTAGGAGAGCTAGGATTCAATTCTGGGACAAACGTCTGAGATCCTGGCAAACTGTGTTCTTAAAACTAATAGTCAGTAAAAGAGAAGTTCAACAACCATGGAAGCCACAAGTGTGCCTAACAGAGGAGCACAACTCTGGAGGGGGAGACCAGGACCAGGACTCATGAATGTGATTTTCTATTTTCCTGGCGCATAGCCTCATATCAGAGCCACATGTGCTCCAAAATGTCATCGGAGGCAAAAGAAGCAGACTTACAGAGTCACTGCTAGGATATCACAGTGATCACAGATCCTTCCTATATGGACCAGAGAAAGAGAGAGTTGTGATCTGCCCCAATACAGCAGGGTCAGGACACCCTCCCCATCTACAAAGCTGAGGATGCCATGTCCCAGGGTTGGTGGCTGGGCTTCTGCCCCCTCCCAATCCTCATGAAACTATATGTACAATAACAGCCTGTGGCTGTTGCCTGTCAACCCCTGCTCTAGAATGTTGAAAAAAAATCTTGCTCCAGAGTTCTAGCATTACATTTGCCAGAATGTTCACAGTAGCACTGTTTGTAATGGTCAAAATCTAGAAGTAACCTAAATATCACCTCAACGATAGAAAAAACAACATACTCAAAGGTACGCTATACAGCTCTGAAAATTAATGAACTACCAACTGTATACTTCAATGCGGATGCGTCTCAAAACAAACACTGTGTGAGAAAAGCCAGCCACAGAAGAGATACCATGTGATTCTATTTGTGGCAAGTTCAAAAATAAGTAAAACTAAACAATATGGATGCATACCTACATATATGGGGGTGGAAAAGAAAAGCAAGGGACTGATTCAGCACAACACTTACCCCTGGCATGGGAGAATGATGACACAGTTGTGGAGGGGCTCGGAGGGGGCTTCCCACGGTGGGGGGTGAAACACAGGCCTACTTCTGATTATGAATCTTTAAACTATAATCCATGTATTATATACACTATTTGGAATGGCTGATAATTCACTATAAAGTAACAAAGGAAAGAGAGAAAGAAAAGGGAAAGAACAAAGACAGAAAGAAGGTAGGCAGGGGGGGCTGGGATCAGGCACTCACTGAGGATGTAGCTTGTAGAGGGTCCCATCCACACCCACTGTCACTTTGAGAGCGTCCAGCCCACGGTTTTCTCGTATCCTGTCCACCACAGCGGCCATGCCTGCGCCACAGAGCTGGGCTGCCCGCCGGGCCACCACAGTGCACACCTCCTTAACAATGATGCTGTCGTCACAGGTGCTCTCAAGCCCTAAGTGTTGCAGGATGGCTCGGACTTGCAGCAGGGCCAGGCAGTCACTGGGGTGGGAGGGAGACAGCAAGTGTTCAGTCATGCACCAAGAAGGCTGGTAGCCTACCACACCAGGGCCTGAGTCCTTACAGGGGAGGCTCTGTGGGGGTCTAGCTCTCCAGGAGCTGGCCCCTCGAGGTGGTTCCCATTCCTAAATTCAGACCACTGCTCAACCTACTGCACTGCATTGACTCTTCCTGACGGTGACAGGAATACAAACAGCTCCTCATTCTACTCTCCCTACTCCAGATAGACCATTACTACTACAAAGTAGATACTCAAAACAAAGCAAATTCACTGTTTATCACAGTGGTCAGTTACAAAGCTCTTTCATGTCCATTTTCTCGCTGCTGTTCATGGGTTTGCAGGGCAGGAACTAACCAAGCAGCATTAGACTCGTGCTTTATTTCTGCTCTGCTGCTCTGGGTGGTCTGAACTGTATTTATATGCTATTTACGAAGGAAGTGTAAATAAAGTTATAGAAAGAAAATAAACCCTCCTATATAAAGAAAGCTATTTTAGAAGCCTGGAATCACCTCGCTGAACATAACA
The DNA here is from genome assembly GCF_000001405.40 of Homo sapiens. Taxonomy (NCBI): domain Eukaryota; kingdom Metazoa; phylum Chordata; class Mammalia; order Primates; family Hominidae; genus Homo; species Homo sapiens. Next base: position 74,888,700 of record NC_000002.12, on the reverse strand, counting down.
GACCTATAAGCTAGAATATATCTTTCTATTCACTGGTGCAGATGCCCGAGGGGTCTACTCACATCAGTTGTCTAGTTCCTGTTCTTCTCTGCCCTGAGAGTAATGGCACAGCATTAATTTTTAAAGGGCTCTGAAATTCACTGTTCTAATTTGGAGATTTTCCACCATTTGACTGTAGGAGGGAGGCTTTGCTCTAATGAGCCACTGTGTGGCATGTGTCTGCATTGCCTGACGTTCCAACCTTTACTCAATCCTGGCTGCCTGATTACTGCAGCCAGCAGTTAGGAAGGGCTTTCAAGCCAAGTGTGGATGCTTTAATAGGTTATCTTCCTCTGTGCGTTTCAATTTACATGCTATGAGCAGGTATCTTTCTACCTTTGATACATGGTCTAAAACCCAACAATATCACTTTGCATGACCTCAGGCCAGGCTTAGCACAAACTTTCATGAGAATGCTCTGTTTGCCCTTAAAATGACAACTGCCCATAATGTGCTTTTAGTAAACACTATAGACATGAATGTGTTTGCCACTAAACTGACTTTTGTATGAGTCATGCCCTGAGTTATGGAAATCCTTCAGTTTGTCTGCCAGTGAGAAAAAAGGACATGGCCCCCCTGCTACCCTGAGCCCTAAGCTCTCACCTCTCAATCTGAGACAAGAACTTGGTTTCAAAGATGCCCCTTGTCTTGAGCCGCTCTGAGATGCGGCCTCGGAAGAGTAGTCCACGCTTGGTGAAATCGATGAGAATGTTACGGACAATCTCACCCAGGTACATTCCACTGATCATTTTCTCGAACCTGCAATGCAAGTAACATTCATGGAGGTTAAGTAGGAAGGTGGAGGGATGTGTTGAGACAGGACAGGCCAGCTTAGTCACCCCCAGTGCATCAGCAGTGGCAGACAGGCAGACTCCCCTGATGGGAAAGGAATTGCTACTTGATTCACTTGGGCAGGATCCCTGGTGTCTTTGCATGCTAATTCACAACCTTCAGCAACACTGACCACAGTGCCCGAGGCCCGTGGGGCTCCTGGGGAAATAAGCCTTGGAAAGGAACCCACAGGGAAAGGAACTCATTTCCTTTCCAAGGCTTATTTCGAAATTTCAAGAAGCAACTCGAGAAGGAACACACCATAACCCCACTGGACTTCTCGGAGCAGGGGAGAATGCTGAGTCTTAATCTTTAACCTCACTAGGCATTCAGTATACATTCTCTTGGACCTAACCATCATTACTCAAGTAACTACTGCCAGCTGTAGGGCCCCCATCCTGGCCACTGGAACTAAACGTTATTATGCAGTGGCTTGAGGGTCTTTTGGTCCTGAATCCTGCCTTGAAAAAAAAACGAGGTCCCTAGTTTCAACCAATAGCCCATCACCACCCCATCTTATCTTGACCCAGCCTGCTTCCTTCATTAATGTTGCCTGCCTGGCCCCTAGAGGCATTTTAGTCTGTAACTTCTATTCTAGACACATGTTTTGCAAAGCGTATTCTGCAGGACTAGGGTGTTTGATTAATCTAGTTAGGAAACACTACAGACAACATCTTAATGAGAAGTGTGTTAGATCTTAAGCTATTGTCTCTTAGCTCAGACCCCGCTCCCCTACCATGCACAGGACCTTGTGACACTGGGGCTGGCCCCTTGCTCAATTCTGACAGTAGGTGGTGCTCGGCGCTGGAAGATGGAGGAGGGAGAGGATTTGCTCCTGTCTGCATCACCCAAGAGATGCTCTTCAGCCTGTCAGCAGCAGGTGCTTCAACTTTCTACTTGTTTCTCCTTAGAGTGCCAGACCTAGGGTCTAGTATTCTCCCACCTGTTCTCCTAGGCTTTTGGGTGGGAGATGCTTCTTACATTTACTAACTCAGAACTTTCCAGGTGCATTCGACAAGAAACCCTTTCCAAGAAAACCTCCTTTATTAACATCTCACGAGAACCGGCGTCCTGGGAGATGCCATTGTGGAAGCTCTGATCACTTGTTGCCATCCAGTCCTGGGATACACTTAACAGGGCCCCAGTTGGGTGCCTACCTCTGCTTGCCGGGGTTGAGTGAAAGCTCATCCACAGCCACATCAAATTCTGTGCGGAAGTCATCTAGGCATCCATTGTCCCCGAAGGCCCCCCATTCCATGTTCACACACATCCGCCCCTCTTCTCCTTCCACCAGTTCCACGTTGCGCATCTCCTCCATGTAGCAGGCATTGCTGCCCGTGCCTGCCAATCACAGGATACCAGGGCCTCACTCAGCACCAACCCCTCCACACCCAAGGCTGTGCATCCCCATGTGGAAAGGACAGTCTGGGTCCTTACCAACAATGAGGCCAACTTCACAGTGAGGGTCTTCAAAGCCACAGGTCATCATAGTTCCGACTGTGTCGTTCACCACAGCAACCACATCCAGGTCAAACTCCTGAGAGGGAAGAAGCAGATGCCCAGTTCACAGGTGAACCCCAATATTCTCCTTTCAGACAATTGCATGGGAGATTTACAGGTATATAAAATATATATCATACACCATGGCTGACCCTCTCATTCCATTCAGGTCTGTGCTTAAATGTCACCTCTTTGGTGAGACCCTCCCAAGTTGTGCTATTTAACAGTGCCCCTTTCCAGCACACTTGCTCCATCTGCTCTCCTCACCCCACTTCACTCCTTTTCTTTCTTTTTTTTTTTTAAACTCTATATGGTCTAAAAAGGGAAGGCATGAATAATACACCCCTTGTTTAGCATATAATCAAGAAATAACCATAAAAATGTGCAACCAGCAGCCCTCATGGCTGTTTTGCTTATGGAGTGGCCATTCTTTTATTCCTTTACTGTGTGTGTGTGTGTGTGTGTGTGTGTGTGTGTGTGTGTGTTTCACAGCTCTTAACAGCACCTGCCACTAGGTCATGGACTTTATAGAACAAAGCTTTGTTGTGGTCACTCCTGAACCGCCAGTGCTGAGAGCATTGCTTGACACACAGTGCACACTAAACTGCTGAACGACGCTTGAGTTAATCTTCCTCCCAACCCATGCAGCCACACTTACTGTTGCCTTCACTTTCTGAACACACAGACCAGGCCAATCATTGAGGAGCTGACACATCAGACCTCGTGCCATGTGTCTCCTACCTCTCGCCGGTGGATCGCTTCCTTCAGCAGGGTCACCACGTCCTCGCCCTCGCAGCCAGATGCCTTGAAGCCTTTTGTCCACTTGAGGAGGATGCTCTAAAAATCACACACAAGCATGGAAAGGACATCAGGGAAGAGCTCCCAGGTCAGTTCTGGGGGTCCAGCTGTGCTTCTAGCTCTCAACCTCACAGGTCAGACGGATCCCCCAGAGTCACCAATCATCTCACCCGCAAATTAAACTGTTCCTAAGGTACTTACTTGGATTTATTGAGCACCTACTGTGTAGCAGGTACTGGGCTAAGCATAGATCATGCATTACATTATTTAACCCTCACAGCACCCTTGTGGAACATCTATCATGTTTATGGCCACTTTATAAGAAACTGAGGCTCTGGAGTGACTTGCTCAAGGCCTACAGCTTGGAAGAGAGAAGCAGGATGCACTCCGAGGCCCTCCGACCCCAGTGAATGGGCTCATAAGCACCACGCAGCTGACCCTGCTGTGCAACTTCTTCCTATGTGCTTGGTTCGCTCACTGGGCAAAGCAGTTTGCTCTGTCCCTATCCTTTACATCAGAAGGGTCAGTGTATGTCTCCTAATTTTCAAACTCCAGCATCTGGCGAACAAGTGCTTTGCCCACAGCTGGGTGACAGCTAGGCTTCACCACCACCCCATGTCTTTCAGTGAGGAAAACAACTCCAGGCTCCTCCTCAGCATCCTCAGTGGCCCCTTGCCTTCAATGTGGTCCTCTGGGAGCAGATGCTTGACGGCTTTGAACCTGGGAGAAATGCTTTGGGTTTTATTCCCTGATGCCCTCTCTGCTGCCACAGCCCACCAGGAAACAAGCCTCAGGGCTTCAGACTCCTTACCCAAGAGCTCGGCTTCCATAAATGAGCTGTGTGCTCATAACCCACCCACTTGCATGATTTCTCCAGGCCTTGCTCAGGGATTCATGCCCATCAGCTTGGCATTTCATTCACATCAACCTGGAGGTGTCACACTGTGTTCAGACCCCAGGAGATTCAGAAAAACAAAGCACATACCCTCAGAGAGCTGGCTGACCAGTGTGTGCTGATCTCCACCCAGCTCTCTACAAGTTAGCTTCACATGTTTGACGCAAGTTTGTGTTTACGGGATGTTCAAATAACATAATTTCAGGTGATCCTTACTGATGAGGCAAGTGGAGGCCCAACAGCTGGGAAACACAGCTGGGGGCCACAGAGCCCTGGGGTCTCTAACCCCAGGGGCCTCTGCACTGGTGGGATTTCCCCATCACAGGAGGGTCTTGCCAGAGCCCACAGGAAGAAATGACTTCTGCTTTATTTGCTCTTAATTTTTACGGCTCTAGACCTAACACGTGCTCCTCAGAGAAACCTGGAACACAGAATAAAACCTAATCCAATGGCCTGGAATCTCACAATTCAGACAGAAACAGTTAACACACATTCTGGTTTCCCTGGCAAATATATAAATAAATATATAACCTGTTGGCATGAAAAGTTAAGATAGTATCTACTTGAAAATATTTTGGTAGGAAGTCTAGAAGAAGGATATACACTGGAGGGTTATGCTTTTATCATCCCATTAATTGTATTTTATGTTTTTTTATAAAGAGATTACCATTTCTAAAGAAAAGTAGTTTTAAAACTTTTTAGTCATATCACCAGTAATTTTTCATGTGATTAAAATTTATTACAAATAACTAGTGGCTGATACTAGCTAATAAGTGGGTCATAATTTATTTAACTACTATCTCACTATTCAGCAAGTTTGTTTCTAATATCTTTGTTATAATAAGTAATGGTCCATTAAATAGTACATAAGAATTTGTCCACATGAGGCATAAAGCAACGCTAGTCTGGTTAACACTACATGAATGTTAATAGGTGTTGAGAAATGCCAGACTAAGCTGAGTTTTTATTGCAGAACTTCCTAAAACCTTAATTATACTAGTGCACATGGGGAATTCTCTCAGATAAGGAGGAGAAGGAGGCATCTACAAAACTCAGTGAAGCCAAGGTGAGGGCCACTGTTGCAGGGACCCTGTGGGAAATGCTGCTCTTTCCTTGTCACTAGGGTAGGCTCTTCTGCGCTGGCCCAGCTCTTTCTGTCACTTGCTCCCACCTACATGACCCTCTCCACAATGGGCAGCCTGCTCACCTTTCTTTCCCATCAACTCATTCTTCTGACTTGTTCCAAGTCCTCCTGACATCCCCCAGGTATGCACTCGGATTAACATCTGTCTCACTACCTGTCCTGGGGGCTTCAGTATCCATCCCACGAGGGCCACATTCCAAACAGCAGCTCTTCCTTTTCTGAGCTTGCTTCATCAGCCCAGCTTGTTTGTAAGCATCTAAAGGTAGGAGCCATGCCTTTTATACCTAGCAGTGGCATGTGCAACATACCACACACCGGCAGCGTGCACGTGCACTCCTACATGACTGAGACAGAGACACAACTGCTTAAAAACAGTCTCCAGATACCTAATGCTTAGGGCTACCAGTCATCAGCAGATCCAGCACTGCCTACTCAGTTCTCCTCCACTTCTCGGGGCACTCATGTCCAGAACATCTGGGAGTGCCAGATCCTCATGCACCTACTTCATTCACCCAAGGTAACCTGAAGAGGAGTGAGAAGCAAGATGAGACCAGAGAAGAGCCAGGGCATCCAAACAACAGGATATGGCATGAAAATGCCCTGAGCCCATAACAAGGGCCTCAGGAGCCCCACAGCATAACTGACAGCACAGGCTCAGGCATCAGGAACCCAGAATCCAAATCTTGGCTTGGCCAGTCCCAAGCTATTATGACCTGGAGCAAGACACCCAGCACCTCTGTGGGGCTTATCTTCCTTTCTGTAGAATGGGTATTCAAACATATCTCTTATATGGTTGCTGTGAGGGTTAAACGAGATAATGCAGGTAAGAAACCTAACATAGTACCTGGCACACAGTAAGTGCTTAAAAATGCTATATATATATATATAAGTTCAATAGAGATGGGGTCTTCCTATGTTGCCTAGGCTAGTCTTGAAATCCTGGCCTCAAGTAATCCTCCTGCCTCAGCCTCCCAAAGTGCTGAGATTACAGGTATGAGTCACCACACCCGGCAGTTGTTAACATTGAGTAGCATCATCATCGTTGTCCCAAAGGCTGTCACAGCTGAGCTAACCTACTTAACCTCCACCAGCCTCAACTTACTCATTCCCATCAAGGAGCCCCTCCCCACTACTGGTAACTCACGCCCTCCTTTCCTTAGTCTTAGCTCAACTTTCTCCCCTGCTCCATACCTGGCTGGTTTTGTTTAGAGTCAATAAAGCCCACAGGAGAGCCCTCCAGGAAGGTGCTGTTACCTCGTCCAGGCTGTTCTGCTGGCAGGGGAAGGAGAAGGTAAAACCCAGAGGCAGGGACACGCCCTTCATGCCCATGTACTCGAGGAAGTCCGCGATGCACTGGACAATGTGGTCAAAGAGCTGCAGGGAGAAGTTAGGACACTGAGGGAGGGGCCCTGGGCAGGGCAGGCTGCCCCCAGTAGGGCCTGCGCACAACATCAATGTTTCTTTCCACCCAGAAGAAATGCAGGCTCAGGCACAAACCTGAGTCAAGACCAGGCTGCAGCCCTGGGTCCAGCTAGCCCTCCCCAGGGTCACAGATGAGCAGAGAAAGCACTGTCCTCGAAGGCAAGAGGTGACGTCCACCAGGGGCCCCCTCCTGAAGGCGCCGCCCTGCTCACCTCGTCCCCGGTGCCGTGCATGACCTCCTGCGGGATGGCGTAGATCTTGTTGTGCATCTCCACTCCACCCCACTTCCCATTCCGAACACGGACCAGCAGGACCCGGAAATTTGTTCCTCCAAGGTCCAAGGCCAAGAAGTCCCCTTTCTCTGGAAAATAAGCCCAGGGAAGTGATAAGTTGGGGCAGAACATGGGGAATGTGGAGACAGTACACTTAAAACGATCCAAATACACCATTCCTGTTCCATCAAATGCCACTTTATATTACATTCTAGAATACAGAAGGAACAGAAGAGTCCAGCTCCCTGAAGGAAGCTGAAGGGAAATCTTTTAAACTGAGAAAACCCTCCCTTGTTGGACAATTACAGTGTGCCACATGCTTCACACACAGTCCTCGTTCAACCCTTAGGCAGCCCTGTGAGGGAGACACTGCATTCCTCTCTTAAGGATGATTGGGATCTGGCTGATAGTTAAATCACTTGCCCGGGGCCATACGACCAGGACAGGGTAGAGCAGGGACCAAATCCCAGTCTGTCTCTGGAACCTGTAACAACTGTGCTACACTGGCCTGCTCATCGACTGTCTTCTCTGAATTGGAATAAGACCACCATTTCTGAGGTTACAAGACTTACAGCAGGGGTCAGAAATCTTTTTCTGTAAAGGCCCAGACAGCAAACGTTTTAGGCCCTGTGGGTCATGCAGTCTTTGCTGCCACCACTCAACTTTGCCAAGACAGTGCAAAACAACCATAAGCAACGTGCAGACGCATGGGCATGGCTGTGTAATAAAACCTTATGTACAAAAACAGGTGGTGGGCCAGATTCAGCCCATGGGCCATAGTTTGCCAACCCTGACTCAGACCAATGTGGTGATTGCAAGAGCAGATTCTAGAACCTGAATTCCTGGGTTTGAATCCCAGCTCCGACATTTTCTAGTTGTGTGAATTTAGGCAGGTGTCTTAACTTCTCTGCGCCTCAGTTTTCTGTCAAACATAGGTGAATACATAAAATTAACTGCTAATATTTTTTAACAGTTAACAAAGATTAAATGAGCTCATACACATAAAGTGCTTTGACACACAGTAAGCATTCAATAAGTGTTGACCATTACTACTGTTTGCAGAGGAGCACCTTGTTTGAGTTTATCAAAGACTAGAACTCCCTAGTAATACGGCTGAAGAAACGTGTTCTGGTTCAAATGTCCAATGCTAATGCTAAGGGATCCCTCCCAGGGTATCAACACCAGGACAAAGGCCCACCATGTGAGCCAGGTGGCAACCCTGCCGTGTACCTGTGCCGTCCGGGGTAGCACACACGTAGGTGGGCAGCATCTTGACGGGGGCACTGGCATGAGTCTCCTTGCTCAGACCTCGCTCCATTTCTACCTTCATCCTCCTCTTGACCTCCAGCAGCTGGTCATGGCTCAGCTGCAGATGCTCTAATGTCTTCTGGCGGGCACGGTGTTGATCGGCCAGCCGGTAAGCCACTGCTGTCACCATGGCTGCACCTTTGCCACTGCCATCCTCGGAGCGGAGGAAGCGGACATCGCAGCCGGGCACCAGCCGCCGCACGGTCTTATGTAGACGCTTGGCAAAACTGCAGTTCCCCAGGGCGGGTAAGAGACAGGTGTCCATGGTTAGGGTCAATGGTGCAAATAGTTAGACAGTTGCCCACCGCCTTAATCCAAATGCCAAAAGGCACCTGCAGGAGTGGGTGCTGCCCTAAACATCCTCTCTCCACTGTCCCAAGTTAGGAACCACTACAAGAACCATATCAACTATGACCACCCAGGATTGGTTCACCCCCGCCAATGAAAGGAAAAGACCTTTTAATAAGCCACTGTCCCCTACATGCAGCCACACAAGACCTCCTCTTCCTCACTGAAGAAGGCCCCCTGGCCACTGCTCCCTTGCCCAACATGGTACCATCAGCCTCTTTGCTGGAGCAGCCCTGTGGTATTAGGTGGTTCTGATGCCACCTATCTGTCTTGTTCTATCACTCATTTCACTAGCTGCTGTCTGGGAAAGACCCAAAATTAAAAGCTAGAGATGCTCTTCTGGACTTTAGCCTCTCTTTTGCCAGTTTCTGCCAATGATCCCAAAGGTGTCTGCACAGCTAAAGACAACGTGTTCAGCCAGGAACTCTCTGGGTAGTGGCCACTTGGAGCCATGGTCTCCAGGGCCTTCCTACTCCAAGTGCAGGAGTAGGCTGCAGCCTACTGGGGGCTGTTAGAGATGCGGGATCTCAGACTCACCCCAGACCTTCTGATCAGAATCTGCCTCTTAGCAAGATCCCCATGTGATTCACGTGCACACTCGAGTTTTTGCAACACTGGGTAGGAAGAGGGAATCTCAGGGCTGAGGCCTCCTGCACCGACAAGTTAAGAAAACAAAGGCACATTGACCTGGCATTCTTATTAGGTGAAAATGATGGGGAAATAAGTAGGCACAATAAAGAGACATCTTCCAGGTCTCAGCTGACATGTGAATATTCTGGTACCTATGACCTGAGGGATCAAAATGTGGACAGGGCAGGATCAATTTAATACCAAGGTCAGCCAGAGAAGCTGGTAACCCTCACTGGGCTGGGGTGGTCCCTGGCAGAGGACATAGCACCTGCAGGAATCACCAAGAATTCTAAGAGTAAAGACAGGAACAATAACGCATACAAGAGGGTGGCAAAGAGAGTGTCCAGCAGCCAGAGGAGCTCTGCGGAGAGCCCGAGTCATCAGTAGCCTTCAGAAATCACCTCCACCCACACCAGATATGACTTCCTCCCATTCCCCCTTGCCCAGGTGGGAACTTTCATTCCACCAAGACCCTCAGCTCTATGGTCCCTCCACACCACCCCTGAAATGCAAAATGGAGCTGGCATGAGGAGTCACTCAGCCCCAGGTACTCCAGGAACTCCGCATCTCCAGGCCCTGCACACTGACTCACTGGGGGTGTTTCTTGTAGACGGAACCGTCGACCCCAATAGTAGAGCGCAGCCGCTCCTCGCCTTTGTTCTCCTTGATGCGCTGCAGCACGGCGGCCAGGGTGGCTGCGCACAGGCTGGCGGAGCGTGTGGACACGATCTGGCAGATCCGGTGAGTGGCCACGCAGTCCTCCTGAGTCGGGTCCAGGCCCAACCGCATCAGGACCTCACGGGCCTTCCGGATGCCATCCTTCTCCCTGGGAAACAGAAAGATAGCATGTGGGCCTGTGTCTGACCCACTGTGGCCAGTGTGTGTGTCGGGGGGTGGCAAGGAAGCCCTTTAGTTCCAGCAAATTCACCACCCAGTGGGGACAGAATCCCTCTTCATTGCTTAGTCCACCTGTGCAGGGGCAGGAGGAGGAGGAAGGGGGTGCAAAATATAGCACAGCCACCCTGAGGCTCCTCTCCCAGACACCACACACACACGCACACGCATGTGCGTGCGCACACACACACACACACACACACACAGAGACACACGGAGTTGAGAAACACAAGTATTTCTTATGCATGTGCTATGTAAAAACAAGGCCCTGTTCTTGGTGCTTTACCACCAAGTTGTGTGTGTGAGAGTTTGTGTTACATCTGCTTGTGTTAGGGGAGACAGACAGTGTCTCTGCTGTCAGCCACTCTCAACATGTGAACCCTGCGGTGATGCCCACCTGGTTTCTCTCTCTAAAGCAGTAGGAGTCTATTGCATTTCACCATGGACTTGGCACTGCTTTAGCTTGTGTCTAAAGATGGTTGGTAAGGGGCTAGTGCTATAACCTTAGCACCCTTCTCAAGGGAACTAAATCTTGCATCACCTTGGGGTACTTGCATCACCTTGGGGTATAGCAACAAGTAGGCCCCATTCCTTCAAGAGTTTCCCCTTAAAACAAAGTCATTGGCACTGTTCCACTGCTCCATTTGGCTCCAAAGACACCTCCTCTCCACCATCTGGTCCCTGAAACACCAGGACTTCTTCAATCTACAAGTGGAAATCTCAAGAACAGTAAACGAGGCCCGCCTGACTCTTGGGATATTGTTAACAACAACAAAAATCAAGCCATCCTCACTCTTGCCCCTGCTGGGCTGTGAAAATGCAGGCCCCAGCTCTGCTTATTAGAATTAATTGGGTAGCTATATCTCTGGCCAATTCAAAGACCTAGCTTTCTATTATGAAGCAGGGGTCATGACAGAGTCCTTTTTGAGAATTGCCAATAGGGAATCAGATGTCAGAGCTTCAGGAGAAGGAAAAGGAGGCAGATGCAGCTAAGTCTTTCGGGGGCCCTCTGGGGTCCTCCAGCTTTAAACCCAGTGCAACAGCCCAAGTCCCTGCATATGGAGGCCAACCACCGTTCCCAGTACCATGAGTCACTGGTAGCAATCACAATCGAAATCGACAAGAGTGGAGACTGGTAAGTGAAGTGAAGCCACAGGCCCGCCATGGTCCACGTCATGTGAGACCCTCTTGCAGTCTATACTTGAAGAGTCAAAAGGTACAGCCCCCTCCTCATTCCCCAACTACCCGTCAACTCGTGTGGTGATCCAGCAAATAGAGGGGGCTGGCCAGAAGCTCACCCTTCAATGTCTGAGATGTCTTTGGTCTCAAAGCGACCGGTGTTGAGAAGCTCTGGGCTGAGCTTCCCCCCAAAGAGCAGCTCCTCCTTGGCCATCTTCACCAGGATAAGCCTCACCAGCTCCCCCATGTACATCCCACTGATCATCTTCTCAAACCTGCCGGAAGACACAAACCAAAAACATAAAGTCCCCACTGCCCATGTACTCATAGCTTCCCTGTTGAAGCAAGATGCGCACACGTGCAACTTCACAACTAAGGGTTAATGTGTGCAGCACGGCCCAGGAGTAAGATACGTGGAGAGGTGACGGCTCAGAGGGGCTGGCTTGGGTTGTCCCTGCAGGCTGATGGGCCTTGACCTATGGAGAAGAATAAATGAAACTTAAGCAGCCAAATGAAACACACAGGGAGTATGGAACATTCTGGAACAGCCTGTATTTTAGGTAAAGTTATGCGTAGGGTGGTAATCTTTAAAATTCTTCTCTAGCCAGGAAATCATTTTTAAAATTAATATCTTACATAGCCCAATATTTATTTACAAGAGAAAAAAGGCGATCTGATTAGATATGTAGCACAGGCCTAGAAACTCATCAGCTCATACTGTCCACCCCTGCAAGCCGTTCATGGGCTCCAGAGAAAATGGTGTGAAAACCACCTGGGGCAGGGGATGATGGGGCAACATTATAAAGGCAGGTTGGGATAGAGGAATCTGCACTGGGCTCCGAGCTCTAAATGACAGGTCTCAGGGGTCTGGGAGTGAAACAGGCTTCTAAGCAGGCAGGTGACAAGATGTTTTAGAAAGGCAGGGGACGGCCCCCAAACCAGCAGTGCGGTCCGGTGATTTAATTTTAACACTAGGTGGCACTGTTTTCTTTCATAATTGGTCTTTCTGACTAGAACTGAGAGGAAACCAAGCCCTGGTGATAATTCTTTTTGACAAAAGGCCCATTTCTGGGTGTTTGAGAAAGAACCTGTGTCTTAGAGGAGGCACATGGGCCTGCTGCCACTAACTAGGATGAGCCCCAGCGAGGAGGAGGCCCAGGACTGAGATGTGGAAGGGATTCCAAGGTTACCTTTCCGAGAGGAAACCCAGGCCTCCAGGAAGCAGCCTGCTCAAGACCCAAGGCCGAGTACAGCAGCATCAGGGCTAACTGAGAGCTGGCAAAATTGTGAAGATGACAGCGCGCATTTTAAATGTTAGTGCACCCACACAGGCAGAGCTTCAGGAGAAGGAAACCAGCGTGGATGGGAGCCTGGCTTCAACAGTAAGGAACTCCGTGTTGCTAAGTTTTTATTCTAGTTTTTAAAAACACTTTGTTCCAGTCAACATTTGGAAGATACTTACTTGGAAATATATTAGAGGGGACAAAAATTGTCTGTAGTGACTTCAGGGCTACCATGGATGACAATTTGGTGGGTGTCAAAGGATAAGCCGGGGGTGTGCTGTCATGGTCTGGCTGGCAAATTTGTCTTTTGACATTTGAAAGGGCCTTTAGTTCCTCGGAATGACTTGGGTGTGCCTCATTCATGGAGGCAGGCACTGAGTGACTTTTCAGCTCATAAACCTCTCATCAGCCATGGCAGACACAACCAGTATGATCCTCAGAAATTTCAAGTAAAGGACTCATTTCAACATGTGAAACAAGCTTGTGACTTAGATAAATAAACCATGCTTTGACAAAGCAAGGACTCTCAGGCCGGGCGCGGTGGCTCACGCCTGTAATCCCAGCACTTTGGGAGGCCGAGGAGGGCGGACCGCCTGAGGTCGGGAGTTCGAGACCAGTCTGGCCAGCATGGTGAAACCCTGTCTCTAATAAAAATACAAAAATTAGCTGGGCGTGGTGGCAGGCGCCTGTAATCCCAGCTACTCAGGAAGCTGAGGTAGGAGAATCGCTTGAACCCGGGAGGCAGAGATTGCGGTGAGCCAAGATTGCGCCATTGCACACCAGCCTGGGCAACAGAGAGAGACTCTGTCTCAAAAAAAAAAAAAAAAAAACGAAAGCAAGGACTCTCCTGGGTTACCCACCACTGACTTGATTTATAGGGTTCAATTTTCCTGTCCAAGTAGAGATCTGCACGAAAAGCTTTTCTACAACAGTCACAAGACCAGAGATGATCTGTATTGCTCAAAATATTTTGCAACTGCTTCAGACCTTGAAGCAATCCCTGTTTCAAGATCTTTCACACGCACATTTGGCAAATGTTTGTGAGGGTGAAATAAGGTTTTGTAAGAGATAAAAGCAACTAAAAACAAAGGCAGGCCAGGCTGGAGAATACAATATTCAGGATCCAAAATGCTAGACGCCCCTCCTCCAATCCATCCCAGGACATAGTTGGGCCAAGGTCCAAGTGAAGGAGGCCAAGGAAGCTCCTCAGCCAATGTCTCCAGGGGCCATGGGTCTGCCTGCAGCTGCAGCAGGAGGCCCTGGGACCCCAGGGAGCAGCAATGAGCAGCCAGCTGTCAGCCTGTCCTCTGGGTGGTGATGGAGTTGGAGCTATGAAAGGAGCTTTCAGAGACCCCAATCTTGGCCACCTCAACACAACTTTCCTTAGGTGGCTCACAGTTCCCATGGACAATTTACAAATAGAAGGTGGAAAGAAAGAGCAGGGCCACCCACTTACACTCAGAATAGAACCTTCCAAAATGACTCCTGTGAAGGAAACACATTATTAGCTATAATCTGGTATATCCGCTTGCTCTCTGTTTTAGATCCTCTCAGCAATTTATAGTCACAGACATTCCTATGACCAGTGGCCACCTTGGCAAGCTTTGGGGATGTAAGACTGTAAAGAAACAACCCCCTGGCCCCGACCAGCCCCAGACTCAGCTCCAGGCCCCCGCCAAGCCCACTCGCACAGGAAGGGCCTACTCACAGTTGCTTTCCCGGGTTCAGTGAGCCCATGTCAATCTCCTGGTCAAACTCAGTGCGAATGTCGTTGAGCGAGCCATCGTCCCCGAAGGCCCCCCACTCCATATTGATACACATCCGCCCCTCATCGCCTTCCACCATGTCGATGTGGCGCATCTCTTCCATGTAGCAGGCGTTGCTGCCCGTGCCTGCCAAAACAAGGGACGGCTATGCACACGCCTGCTCCGGCCCCTTCCCACCCCTCTTCCCTCTTATACTACTGTCCCGAGACTGCCCGGCCAGGATGGCTGGGATTTCTCACTGCAGACTCTGGGGGCATCACAATACATGGTCTAATCTTCTGCCACCCCCAACTCCATGAGTCCCTGCTCGGCTCTCCAAAGTGACTGGACCATTATCTTCTAATATGAACTACAAAGGAACACCCAGCCCATGGGCCCCTTCTCCCTTTCCAGCCCACACCCCCATCCCTTGGCCAGCACGGGCCCTTCATGCACGGTGTTCACTCACCCACAATGAGACCAATCTCACAGTTGTGGTCATCATAACCACAGGTCATCATGGTCCCAACTGTGTCATTCACCACAGCCACAATGTCGATATCAAAGTCCTGTGGAGACAAATGGGAGGGCTCTGACCTTCATCATCACAGAGGGCGACTTTCCTAACACCAGCTATATATCACTCCTCCTCCTCCTCCTCCTCCTTCTCTCTCTCTCCCCCCTCCCTCCCCATAACTCCTCCTGTGATAAGACTTTTAATTCATTCTCTCTCTGAGCCATTCCACTCCCATGTCAACATCATTCCAACTTTCTTACTTGGAAATCACATTCAAGTCTTCTTCAGGTTAAGAACTAAAGAGCTTTTCTTGTGCCAAGGCTAAGATTATTTATCCATTTGATAATCTAAAAACCCCCAAAGCAGCAGATCGCATACAAAATTATTGAGTACATGTGTCAGGGAAAAGAGAACTCTCCTTAAGCTCCACGTAAGCAAACAATGATGAGTCAAGGACACTCAGGGAGTCTTCAGGGTGGACCCAGAAAAGCCCACAGACCCCAAGCTCCTGCCACCCCACTCACCCCTCTCCTCTGGATGGCCTTCCGGATCAGAGCCACAACGTCTCTGCCTTCCACTCCACTGGACTTGAATCCCTTGGTCCATGAGACCAGGAAACTCTGGAAAGGGACCAAGAAGTGAATATTGATTTCCCACTAAAACTGAAACTCACACCACACCCCTCAAACCTCCGTCATTAGCAGAGACCTCTGCCACTGGGGTAAAGTCATGATTGAATTTGTGTGTTACTTCCTGGCTAGCCTAGGAAAAAGAAACTCAGGACAACTGGCACTATAAGACACAGTCATGTGCCGCATAACAATGTTTCAGTCAGTGACAGATTGTGTATACTGCGGTGGTAACAAGATTATAATAGAGCTGAAAAGTTCCTATTGCCTAGTTAGATACACAGATATCACTGTGTTACAATTGCCTATAGCATTCAGTACAGTAACATGCTATACAGATTTGTGGCCTAGGAGTTAACAGGCTGTCCCATACAGCCTAGGTGTGTAGTAGTCTATACCATCTAGGTTTGTGTAAGTGCACTCTATGATGTTTATACATAAGTGAAATCACCTAATAAAGCATTTCTCAGAACATATCCCCATTGTTATGCAATACATGACTGTACTTGTGTCCTTACATCATTAACTCTCCAAGTATCTTTCTTCCAAGGGTCTTTATCATAACACTTTAGACTGGGGAGTTCCTGATTTCTCATTCCTGTTTCTGTGGAGGGGATAAGGATACTGTGCAATGTGTGTGGGAGAGAGGGTGATAAAGGGCACTCCCAACCCCCCAGATTTCTTCACCAGCCCCCCCATCGACATACACAGTCACCCAGAAAGGCAGAACTTCATCTCCACAATCCTCCAGTGCTACCACCACCACCACAGCAGGTGGCTCAGAAGTCCCTCTCAGCCCTCCCAGCCCCAAGAGTGAAGCAACAAGTGTCTGAGGAGCCCATCTTACCTCGTCTAGTTTAGTCTGGTGGCAGGGGAACGAGAAGGTAAAACCCAGTGGGAGCTTCTTGTCTTTGATTTGTAGCTTATCCATGAAGTTAGCCAGGCATTCGGCAATGTGGTCAAACAGCTAAGGATACATGACACAGGGTGGTGAGCAGAGAGGTCGAACAGCATAGAGATTAAGGGCATGCACTTCAGGCTCAGCACGTAACTAGCTGAATGTGTGCAAAACCCATATCTCCTCTGATATCTTCATTTGCTCACCTACAAAAAGGGAATTATAACTGGACCTGTCCTCATGGAGTTATGAAAAGGAGTACATGAGTCAATACATAAAGGCTTAACATTAGTTTTTGCCCACTAAATATTGTCCTCTACTTAAGCCATTTTTCTAAACTGCTGTCAAGATAACCCTGTGAGGTAGGGGAAATCATGGCCAACATTAATCAGAAAGTCACTTCATGCCCGGGGAACAGAACATTCTTTGGTGGCCCTGTCAGAAACCCATTGACATGGAAGCCCAGTTGACGATCATACCAAAGGCCAGCCCATCTTGCTGCCAAGAAGTATTTTAGTATCCCTGTCTCTGGTGATGGGGTGGGGGGTGGTTTGCAGGGACAGCATTCTCTGTTGGCATTCTATGAACCAACTTAACAAAAACAAGTAATTTTTATATTTTTTTCTCCATTCTAGAAAACTAATCTCCTGAGGGCAATTCAAAGAAGTTATCTTTGTTTTCTAACTTTCTAAACAGAACATCCAGTAAGTCCATGAAGAGCGCTGAGAAATAAATCACATTTTGTGGGTGAGCAGCCTCACAACCGTGACCGCACGCACTCACTGTGCAGGACCCAGAGCTCCTAAGCCTTAAAAAAGCTGTATTCATAATAAGCCAGGCTTTCAATCAGCCCCAAAGCCCACAATCCCCTGGCGTCCTTCTTGCCCCACCCTACACGCTCAAAGAGAAGCTGCTGACCCTTTAGGTGAAGGCTGAGACTAGAGGCATTCAGGTGTAAAAAGTAAGCAGAGGCCAAAGAGGCTGGGCAGATTCCAAGGGCCAGGTTGACTACGTGGCAAAATCTAAAAGCCAAGGTGGATAAGAGGTCAACTATCCTTTTCCTATCCAGGAAGGTGCAAGAAGATTCGACTAAACCATGGCTTTTCAAAGTGTGCTCCTGGAACAGCAACCTCACTCCCTTAACCTGGGAACATGTTAGAAATGTACATTCTAGGGTCTAGGCCCGCCCCCACAGACCGACTATAGCAGAAACTCTGGGGGTGGGGCCCAGCCATCTGTTAGCAAGCCTTCCGCCCTCCAGGTGATCCTGGAGCAGTAGGTTGAGAACCACTATGCCAAACCACAGAAAGTTCTTACATTTATAAAGGAACTGAGAGGTTGGGAGAGGGAAACTGACAGACCTGTTGGATCTCCTGATGCCTAGGGTATGGTCAGCAGGAGGGACCCAGGAAGACAAGGCCACCCCAATCTGGAAGATGGCCAGATCTAACTAAACTTCCCACATCCATTCTGTCTGTCCCTCTGTCTGATCCCATGCAAAGTTAACAACAGCTGAGGCTGAACCTTCGACCTCCAAACCAAAACATTTTCAAGAGCAAAGGCTGGGGAGGACAAGGCTCTCTTGCCATGGGGATCACCAGTGCAGGTGAGCCAACTCCCTTGAACAGAGTTCAAGTATTTTAACATGAAAATAGGGATATATTCAGCAAATTCTGTTCTGTCGGGAAGGTGACTAGAGATGAATTATATGATACGTATATTAAACAAATTCCCAGCACCTTCTTCCTGGCACTCTAGTCAAAATGATCTTTAGTACAAATAGTTTTTATCCCAAAAAAAAAAAAAAAAAAAAAGGGAGATGCAGAAGTTGTGCAAAGAGATAAGGCCAATCATCAAAGACTGGAGGTGGGGGTTAGAAGGGGGAAAAGCAAAATGGTTTCTCCTCCCCCAGCTCTGATCACTGCTTTCTTTCCAGTTGCGCTCCTAACATAGGAAGGTAGAGAAAAATAGACCGTGAAGAAGCATTAAATACTGCCCTGCCCAATATAGTAGCCACTGGCCATCTGTGGCTATGTCAATTAATTAGAATTTTTAAAACAGGCCGGCGCAGTGGCTCCTGCCTGTAATCCCAGCACTTCGGGAGGCGAAGACGGGCAGATCACTTGAGGTCAGAAGCTCAAAGCCAACATGGTGATTCAAAAAATTAGCTGTCTCTACTAAAAATTCAAAAAATTAGCCGGGCCTGGTGGTGCACACCTGTAGTCCCAGCTACTCGGGAGGCTGAGGAAGGAGAATCGCTTGAACCTGGGGGGCAGAAATTGCAGAGAGCCGGGATGGTGCCACCGCACTCTTGGGTGTCACGCTTGGGTGACAGAGTGAGACTGTCTCAAAAAAAAAAAAAAAAAAGAAAAGAAAAGAAAAAAGACCTTAAAAATTCAGTTCCTCCGTCACACCAGCCACACTTCAAGGGCTCGATGCCACAGGGTCAGTGCCTATCATATTGCACAGGGAAGATAGGAGACAGTTCCATTGCTGCAAGAAGTTCCACTGGCTAGGGCTGGGTTCAAAGAACCTACATCTTTTCTCAAGTGGGAAGAGGAGACCTTCTGCTTCCTTGAATTGGAAGACAATCTCGTTCTCTTTGAGGAGGATCTATGGGTAAGATGCAGAGAAAGAGCTAACACGTTCCTGTCATAAAAAGGCTCAAAGGGCATCATTTTATGAAGTTAAAATGGTTTCCTTTTCCTTACTGGTCTGAAAATCTGCTCACTTCCCTTTCCACGAGATATACGTTTAAAATCTTAAAGTGGCTGCCATTCAGGTTTGCAATCCACTGCTCTTCAGGAGAAGTTAATGTGCCGGAAGACAGACTTTACCGAAGGACCCCCATTGCCCAGGTTCACAATTCTTCAAAAACCTTTGCAAGTTTGGGATTCCAAGATTTGTTCTTAACCAAAGTGTATATTTACAATCCATTTGTTTTCCTTTAAGTAAAATACTGATACCAAGTACCAAAAAAGGGGGAAAATATGGGAAAAATAGCACCAGTAATTCCACCACTAAAATAGCCACAATGAACTTCCTTTCAGCCTTTTTTCCAAGTGTTTTCTGCTGCTTTTAGGTACACAGCAGTCTTCCTATTCCTTAGGATCAAAGATACCTATATTTTCTTCTAGCTTTCTTTCCTTTTCATTTTTAAATAGCATTTTTCACTTACTTAAAATCTTTCTAATATCTCAACAGTTTTAATGCTCTTCAAGGTGGGTCTCATAGTTGTTTTTTTTTTTAATCCGGACTATACTGTTTTTCTTATATATTGCATGGAGAGTAGGTTTTCTTGATACCCTCTAACTAGGTGGTCTGAGCAATTTTAAGCTTTTTTCAAGAAGAACTTCACTCACATCTTGAATGTTTAAAATGGATTTTTTTTCTCAATTGGCAGAGACGCACTTCATTGTCCTTGCCAGGCTCTAGGGATGACGCTGCAGGGACTGCAAGGTGCCTGGCCCCTGCATGTTGTCAGGATACAAGCAACAGGGAGGGTGTTGTTCTTGTAAAACTTAAAAATCCACCTAACAAGTCACCATCACGTTACAAGTCTTTTACATAATCACAGCCAAACTTTAGATGTTATTTTGTTTGTTTTGTTTTGTCTTATCTAGTTTACTTGGTTCTTAAACATTTATCATCTGGGGGATGTGGCCCAAGGCAGGAGATCGAGGCAACGGGAAGAAAAGGCAACCACATCCCCCACAACAGGGAACAATGCAATTACTAGCCACAGAAAGTGACAGCACAAGAAGCAATTAGATAAACAGACAAAAACCCCTGTGAAAAAAACACGAAGAGTACTAGATTATGCACCAGCACTATGCCAAATACTTAACAGGTATCATCTCCTCTAATCTACACCACAATCCGTACACTATCATCCCTTTTTACAGATGAATAAACTGAGGTCTATCACTTGCCCAGAATCACACAGCTAGAGTGCCTGAATACAGGACCCAATCTCTTTAATACCTCAGCTTGGTGCAGGCATAGGAGTGGCAGTGGAAGGGCCGCTACCCTCTGTGTCCCTCCTGACGTTATACTGGAGCCACGTGACAACTTCGGTAAAGCTCAAATGCCCACAGCCCTAGGGATGCAGCCTCCCTTCTCCAACCCCAGCATGATAACAAGGAAAGCAGGTTTACCTCAAGGCCACCCCAAAGACAAATAATGAGTCTAAAAATATCTCCCCAGCGTGTTCTACTCATGGTCAGAAATTCCTTTCCCAGGAGGGAGCCTTGTGTGGGAGAGGGAACAGCCGACCACGAATCAGAGGGCTTGACCTCTTCCAAGCCCTGAGGCCCGAGATGTGACAACACTGAACAGCGTCTTACTTGGATTTCATGCTTCTTCTCTAGTCACTCCTTTTAATACTGAGTACATGTTGGGTATAAAATACAACCAGAACAGCCTGAGCTCCGGCTGAGAGGGAGCCCTTACAGCTGTGCTGGCATCCATGAGTGTCTTGGGTGACTGCCTATCCACACGCTGGGAGCGGCTGGAGAAAGTACAGAAAGAACATGCCAAGGAAGTTTTTTGTCACCAGGGGCTGCCCTGAGAGAAGGGTCATACCTGGGTGCCACTGCCTCGCATGATGTCCTCAGGGATGGCATAGATCTGATTCTCCATCTCCACCTTCTGGAGCCCATTGTCCGTTACTTTCACCCAAAGCACACGGAAGTTGGTCCCTCCAAGATCCAGAGCCAGGAACTCTCCGTGTTCTGCAGAGAAAGGAAGGGCCACTATTAATTTTGGGCAAAATTCTTCCAGGAACCAACCGAGACTTAAAACTCCAAGTCCCTCCAGGAATATCTGTGGGTAAGGGGCGGCCAGTGGGATTCACTCCTCTACAGACATTACATATAGTCTAATTTCATGCTATACACCTTTACATTATTATTTTTTTAATTCTCAGAGCTTTATTAAAACTGGAAACTCACAGGGCTGTTTTTTTTTTAATCCCTCACTCCCTTCCCATCCTTTCCTCTGAGTCTCCAAAGTCAATTGTATTATTCTTATGCTTTTGCATCCTCATAGCTTAGTTCCCAATTATGAGTGAGAACATATGATGTTTGGTTTTCCATTCCAGAGTTACTTCACTTAGAATAATGGTCTCCAATCCCATCCAGGTTGCTACGAATGCCATTAATTTGTTCCTTTTTATGGCTAAGTAGTATTCTGTCGCATATACATTACTTTTATAATTCAATCAACAATATAAGACAGTTTCGCATCCAACGATGTGCTCACCCCCTCCTGAGAGCCGACTACCTCCTCAGTGCTTTCAGCAAGCCCCATGCCAGGGGTGCATGCCTCCATCCTGTTCCTCATACCCCCAGAACACCAAATTGCAAGCACGGTATTAAATTTACTTTCTAATGTTTGCATATTATGTTTGCATATTGCAATTGCAGTACTAAATTTACTTTCTAATGTTTGCATATTATGAGGGCCATGTCCTGCAGCAAGACCAGAGGGGTCATGTGATGGAGTGGAATGAGGACCAACACATTGAGGCCTGGTGAATAAGGCAAGCAGGTGCCCCCTCAAAGGATCTCAGGCTTATCAGAATGCAAGAGAATGCTGACCCCAGAGCATGTATGTACGACAAGAGTCAGGCCACTGAAGCAACAGAAAAGCTGTGGGGGAGCAGGAAAGAGGATGAGTGAGACTCCAGAAAGGAGCCACAGACACAGATGGGTGAAGACTGTCATGTGTCACTGGGAAGGTGCAGTTCCTACCCTCCAGGAAACAGCAGTGTAGACAGGAAACATCCAGATCCTGGGTGATAATACCACCGACTATGGGGAAGGGCCCCATTGTGTGGCACAGAATGAAAGTGCTGAAGAGGCGCGGAACCTGCAGCAGGGCAGGGGCTGGCGGAGCAGGCAAGGCGCATCCGCAGGTGACTGCCCCAACTGCGAGCAGCACCGCCAGTCTTCTGCTGCCCTGCCACAACCTTCTCAAAGGATACAAGGATACAAGGCAATTTCCTGGGGGGTTCACTTATTGGCATGTTTGTCAACACTCAACCCCTTTCCTGGTGGGAGAACAGCACTGAAGTGAAGCGGAATGGGTCAGAGGTCAGGGAGATGCTCTGACTCAATAACCCAAGAATGTTTGTTTTACACCCAGGTGCACTCAGCACCTCCAGCACTTAGGCCCTGAGAAAAGTCACATCTGACCAGCTCCCTGAGAACACCACCCACAGTCCCTAGGGTCCCAAGAGGGAAAACGGTAGACATCATCCACCAGAGACCACACAACCAGAAGTGTGTCAGGCGATGTGACACACGGAGACTGGCTCTGGAGCCCACATCACCTGCTCCAGAACCCCGGCCACTATTTAGCAGAGGCAAGTTCCTGAGCCTCTGAGCCTCAGCTGCTTCATCTCTAAAATGGGAACATTGCATCTCATTGGGTTGCTGTGAGGGGAAAAATTAGACACACAAGTGTGGTGCAGGACCAAGAACTCAGGACACACTCAGTAAGTACTAGGTACTCTCTCTCCGGGCTCTAGGCAGACCCTGTCCCACAGCCTCACTTGACTCTTCCAGGCCAACGAAAGCAGAAGGGATTGCAGAAACCTGTCCAAGAAAAGTCACTGGAATTGGCTCCAGTGACGGCAGCATTCCTCCTTAGGGGCACTAATTTTCCATTTCCTGCCCAGTGACTAGAGGTGGCCCCACCACTAGCTACAGCTGCGGGCTAGCTACAGCAACATCGCCCTCATCTGGGGTTAGCCTGCCTGCCTCATGGCCATGGGTGGCTTTTCCAGACACTCCAGCTCTGAGCCTTCCCTGGTAGTGGGAACTCAGCCAAATTCTAGGAAACACAACGTGGTGGCTGTCATGAGGGATGAAAGGGATATCAAAGATGAAATGCCTCATCAGCACTCTCAAGTCCAGGATACACGCGATCCGCTGAATCAGTGACCACAGGGGACCGAGGTGGCGAGGCTGCCCCTGGTGGGTCATCATCCGAGGCCAGCCCAGCTGGACTCAGAGGCCACAGCTCCACCAAGAACGGGTGGTGTGCAGGATTTTCTGATGGACTGAAGGGAAAACACAAATAATAAAGTATTGCTGATGAACCTGTTCCCAGGAAGGAGGTCCTCTCTTGCTTTGCTTACAGGACTCCTCTGGAACACACATTCCCTGACACCCCTCCTCCCTGCAGCCCTCCTCCACACACATAGGAAGCCACAACCACCATAGCCAATGACTGCATTCCTTCCAAGTCCGGAATCTGAGGCAGGCCTAGCACTGTGACTCGGCAATCCTGAGACGGGCCCTCTCGTAACGCCCACGCATGGTTACGTGCCCATGCCAGAGCAGTGGTTAGGCACTGGACCTTAGACAGGTAGGCAGGCCTCATTTTGAATTCCAGCTCAGCAGCTTCACTACCTGTGTGGTGTGGGCACATCACAGGGCTCTCTGAGCATGTCACCTCACCTGTAGAACAGGATTCATAATGCTGACATCTCCCAGCGGTTGTGATGCTTACGTGAAACATGGACTATGTTGTATGTGAACATATAGAAACACACAGGCTGGGTGTGGTGGCTCATGCTTGTATTCCCAGCACTTTGGGAGGCCAAGGCGGGCAGATTACTTGAGGTCTGGAGTTTGAGACCAGCCTGGTCAACATGGTGAAACCCTGTCTCTACTAATAATACAAAAATTTGCCGGGCATGGTGGCGTAGCCCTGTAATCCCAGTTACTTGGGAGGCTGAGGCAAGAGAATCACTAGAACCCAGGAAGTGGAGGTTGCAGTGAACTGAGATCTCGCCACTGTACCCCAGCCTGGGCAATAGAGCCAGACTCTGTCTCAAAAAAAAAACAAACAAATGACAACAACAACAAAGAAGAAACACAGTAAATTATTCCTCCGTTAATAGATCCTATCAAGGTACTTGTTCCCTTTCTCCCTGTCAAGGCCATGGAGGTTTGTGGCATGCTCTGGTGTCCAGTAAGGCAGGACAGAGGTTTGGTATAACTATAAGTTGGCATTAATTTGTGGGTGCCAAAAAATGGCATGTCCAGAGTAGCTACAACATAGGGCTCACGTGACATGGCTATAAACGCACAGCAAATACCATTGCCAAGGACTTTCTTTCGTTCTTAAGAAGGTCAGATCTGTTTCCAAAAGGGCTCTAGTGGCTCTAGTGGCACTGTGGAGGGCTGGGATAGCACAAGGAAGCAGCTCAAGGGCTGCTGCCACAGTTGAGCTGAGCAGCAGTGAGGGCATGAGCTCCAGGGCCATGTAGGGTGGCCAACCATCCCAGTTTGCCCAGGATGGAGGGGTTTCCTATGACATGGGACTTTCAATGCCAAAACTGGGAGAGGCTCAGGCAAATCAGAACACTGGACTGTATTTGATCCAACCTTAGAGCCTCTGGCTCTTCCTTGTCACTCAATGCCTGAGGCATGCAGCCGTAAACTTGGAGGTGGGTCAAAGTCACAAACGCATACTTTCACATTCAGTTCCTGAACCAGCCCTATATTTATAACTTAATGCCCCTAAAGGGACCTGCCCTTTCTGCCCTACAATATCATTTCCAGTGGCCCCAGGTAACTGCACTGAACATTCCAATCATCCTCTATGGGGTGACTCTGGGTTGAGGGGATCTTGTTTTTTTCCTTTAGTTTTCAAGCACCTGCTAGCACACAACAGTGGACTGCTCTGAGAATGTATGGCATATACTCCAAATGAAACGAGGACCGAAAAGATACATCTCCAAGTCCTAAGCAGGTAATGTAGCAAGACACAGGTCTCAAGGCACGTATTTTCCATGTACCCGGAATCGCCATGATCACTACCACACCTGGCAGCCTCTTTTTAAACCCCAGGATTCCAATTACTCCATTACAATGCAATGCCGGCCACCATTCAAGAGCTCAGCCATACAGAAGTATTCAATACTCCGTGTCATTAAAGGCACTGAATCACAGTTAACGCTGGTGTCTGGTACAGACTAGGAATGGAGTGATCTGATCTTCTACATCATTTGTTTTCAAACCATTTTAAGCAACAGAATGCTTATTTCCAAATAAAATTGGTGGGCCAAATGCCACAACGTAAAATAGAGAAAAACAGAGCTGCTCCAACTGAAGGGAGGGGTGTGGAACACGTAAAACACATGACTGGCACCCTAAAGCTCCTAGGACACCTCTTGGAATGCACCACTCTGGTGCTCTTTTTACCCAGGAAGTGTTTCTTAAGCTCAAAATACGTGCCAGTCACAGAGAGGTGTAATTAGCCCCACAGATGTGAAACCACTCTTCAAAGGGTTAAAACATGATTATGTTTCAATATTGTGTAAGCTCTGAGCATGTTCAGCTTTTTAGGCAGGCAGACCTGGGTTCAAATCCCACTCTAACATGCATTAGCCATGTGGCTTTGGGCAATTTATTAGAAATCTGACACTCAGATTTCATCATCTGTTTTAAAAGGGTAACGATAACCTCCTTCTAGTCAGCACCTCCCTCCACAACCCAGAACAAGAACACAGGAAAACACACACATATACACGCACACATACACACACGCACCTTGTCAAGATTCAGTGCAAGGAAGTGTAAGGCGTTTGGCACAACGCCTGACAATGTAAGTGCCATCTGCTGTACTGAGGCTATCTATCAGTACAATCTTCAATTTATATCGCCTGGACTACGTAAGTACCCCAATTAACTTGCTGTGTGCTAGCTCTGGATGTATGTCTCCGCTGTACAGTTGTTAATATAATGCAGAGCAACCAAGATAAGGGCTTCCTTCAGGTTTAACCAGCTTCCATGCAACGTATCACCAGCCCGGTCTCCCTTTATCACATCATGTGCTTGCATTATATGGCCCGATATCTCTAATTGTTTTGTCTACATGGGCCTTATCTCCCCAGCACAACTTTCACTCTTTAAAGGGCACGAGGCAGCTTAGCACACTGCTGCTGCACAGAGGACCAAGCCTCGGAGAGGACTGTTGAATGAGCTGAACAGCTAGGCCTAGGTTAGTAAGAGAAGAATCCACACATTGTGCTAGCAGCACAGCACCAATGTGCCACTGGTGGTGTGCTTAAAAGCCCAGGCATTAGCAATTTGGCTGGCCAAGTTCCAATCCCAATGCTGCCACTTGCTCACTGTGACTTTGGGCAAGTTGCCTAATTGCTCCAAATCTATTGCCTTTTTCTGTAAAGTGAAGTTCAGCGTACCTACCACTGGATGACTGTAAGAAATGATGAGATAGCTCAAACACAGCGTTCAGCACAGTACCTGGCACTAACGATGTCTACAATTTTTATCATCATCATCATCACCGTCACCATCAGCATCATGGTTCCCTGCTCTCTAGAGGGTTTAAGTCTGGCTAGAGGATGGAGGTATACTTACCTGTGAACATAATTCACAATTCCGAGGTGAAGAAGAGTCAAATGATCGATCTGACACTGCCTTACCCTCACTCTGTCTCATAAGGCATAGTTATAACCAAACGATCTTGCCAAGACAAGGGTGATAAAGGCACCACAGTTACTTCATTTCTAAGTTAGAACATGCGGCTGGCACATTTTCAGTTGGGTTGTACTTGAGCTTCTTATTGGAATGATACAAAGCCAACTCGTATTTAGGATCCATTTAAAAAGATAATCATCTGATTTTCCCTAGAAACTTTGGTTCAGCAGTACAAGCCAATGTAAACTGTGAATCTTATGGCCGTGGAGTCAGGACTATCTATGCTTACATCCCAACTGTCACCATCTGCCCACAGGTGACCTTGGCAGCCATCAATCCTTTTTTAGCCTTGGTTGCCTCATTTTTAAAGTGAGAATGACTCTCTTGTAAAGTTTTTGTGGAGAGTAAAACAGATTTATGTAAATGGCCTAGTACAGACACCATGGGTGCTCATTAAATGCTATCAATTCTTCCTGCATTCCCTTTTTTTTTTTTTCGGAGTCTCACTCTGTCGCCCAGGCTGGAGTGCAGCAGCATGATCTCAGCTCACTGCAACCTCTGCCTCCCAGATTCAAGCGATTCTCGTGTCTCAGCCCCCCAGTAGCTGGGATTACAGGTCCATGCCACCACAACCGGCTAATTTTTTATATTTTTAGTAGAGATGGGGTTTCAACATGTTGGCCAGGCTGGTCCTGACCTCAAGTGATCCACCCACCTTGGCCTCCCAAAGTGTTAGGATTACAGGCGTAAGCCACCGTGCCCGACCCCTGCATTCCCTTTTAAAATGGAACTGTCCTCTGAAAGCCAGGCCCCTATGTGTGGCCCCTATGTGTGTGGTGGGGCCCCTGACAGAACTGCGTTAGGGCTGGTACCACAGTCACACGCAGGGTTGTGGCACAGATTAGGGCTGCCTACAGAGAGGTCAAGATGGTGTGTTTCCTAGCAAACGCAAATGAATGCTTTCTTTAATTAACTCTCCACTGAAAAAAAGAAACAAGGACATACAGACAACAAATGCTATTGAGGATATGGAGCAGGCAGAGCTCTCATACATTATTAGTGGGAGTATAAATGGTTCAACAATTTGGGGGAAATGTCTGGCAGTTTCTAAAAATTAAACATATACCAAATTCTATGAATGACCCAGTAATTCCACTCCTAGTTGTTTATACAAGGAACTAAAAACGTGTCCACAAAAGGGCTTGTGCAATAATGTTCATAGCAGCTTTACTCAAATAGCCAAAAACTGGAAACTGCCCGGGTGTCCATCAATATTCATATCAGATTCTAATCATACCATGGAATCAGCAGCCAAAAGGAACGAGACACTGATAGACACAACACAGATAAATCCCACATTATGACAAATAAAAAAAGACTTGCATAAAAAACAAATACTGTGTGAGTCGATTTATATGTGAAGTTCTGGAACAGGCAAAACTCACATATGTGGAAAATAGTAGAATGTGATTGCCTCTGGGGGGATCAGGTACAGGGATTGACTGGGAAGGGGCTCAAGGTAACTTTCTGGGGTGATGGTAATGTTCTGTATCTTGATGGAGGTTTTTTTTAGTTGTTTAAATTTATGAGGTGCAAACATAATTTTGTTACATGGATATACTGCACAATGGTGAAGTGAGGGCTTTTAGTGTATCCAACACCCACTACATCCGTTAAGTAATTTCTCATCATCCACACCACCCCCCACCCTCCTACCCTCATGCCCCCCACCCTCCTACCCTCACCCTTCCAAGTCTCCATGGTCTATCATTCCACTTTCTATGTCCATGTGGACACACTGTTTAGCTCCCACTTATAAGTGAAAACGTGCGGTATTTGTCTGTTTTGGAGCTGTTTCACTTAAAATAACAGCCTCCAGTTCCATCCATGATGCTGCAAAATACATTATTTCATTCTATTTTAAGACTGAACAGTATTCTATTATGTATATATACCACAGTTTCTTTATCCAATCATCTGTCCATTGATGGGCATCGACTCCACATCTTTGCTATTGTGAATGGTGCTGTGATAAACATACAAGTGCAGGCATCTTTTTGGTATGATTTCTTTTCCTTTGGGTAGATACTCAATAGTGAGATTGCTGGATGGAATGGCAGTTCTATTTTTAGTTCTTTGAGAAATCTCCATACTGTTTTCCATAGAGGATGTACTTATTTACATTCCCACCAACAGTGTATAAGCATTCCCTTTTCTGATGGAGGTTGTATTAAACAGGTGTATTTGTCAATTCATCAGATAATACTCTTTTTTTTTGAGATGGAGTCTCGCTCTGTGGCCCAGGCTGGAATGCTCTGCCTCCCGGGTTCACACCATTCTTCCTGCTTCAGCCGCCTGCCACCACGCCTGGCTAATTTTTTGTATTTTTAGTAGAGACAGGGTTTCACCGTGTTAGCCAGGATGATCTCGATCTCCTGACCTTGTGATCTGCCCGCCTCAGCCTCCCAAAGTGCTGGGATTGCAGGCATGAGACACCATGCCCGGCCTTCTATTTATTTTTTTATCAGATAATACTCTTAAGATTTATTTCACTTCATCTAGATCTTACATCACAAGAAAATACAGCAAATATTGAACTCTAGTTACTATGTAAGTATACGTCTGAACCCTAAAACTTCAGCATACATAGTAACTAGAGTTCAGTATTAGTATTTACTATACTTTCTCAGCAATTTATGTTTTGTAATGCATCAATTATAACAAGCTGGACTGATGGATAGAAGGATTGGGGGGTTGATAAAGCAAACCAAGTAAAATATAGATGACCACTATAGAATTCTTTCAACTTCTTAAAACTGTTTGGGAAAGAAGCAAAACGACAAATAGAGACCATTTTTAATGTATTCTGGCTGACACCAAATTCAGTCATTGAGTAAGACATTCCTGGACCGTTTATGTCTATTGCACTTTTAATTATGCCAACTGTGTTTCTTCACACTGTGTAGGCCACACAACCTATGAAGCACAGGTACTTCACGATTTACCTTGAACATTTCACCCCTACGGGGTTCAGTGGCTACTGACATTCCCTGCCTTCTCACACAAGAGCCCATAAGCCGTGATGGGGAGGCCTCCACCACAAATAAATGGCCTGAAACTTTCTGGTTTCTCCACATTTTCTAATAGGACTTTGATTACAATTAGATAATTGGAGCTGGTATAAGAGCTGGGGCCTGGTCTTCACTCCAAAATGCAGGGCCCCTGGTGATGGGGATGAACCCTCACACCTGCTCCCTTGATGCCAATCTTCCAAAATTAAAACCTGGGAGTCTTACACACCTTTTCTTAGTAAATTTGGCAATGAGAGTGCCTTTTGCAGTGGTGGTTTGTGGCTGCAGGAGTGTTTGTAACACATGTGAGAAAGTCACATATCTGATTCTCCCTTAATTCTCAGAAAACCGATCCCCCTGAAGTTTCCCCTTTTCACAAATGAGGAAATAGAGGATCACATCATAAATCGCTCTGAAGCACACAGCTTGAATTCAAACCCATTTGAACCTATAATTCTGATTCTCACCTCTCACCCCACACTGTCCTGAAACTACATATTTCGTGCCAGCAAGAAAGGAAATGCTCATCTAGAATCAAACTGGGCCAAGGATCATTTAAGGCAGTGGCTTTCAAACTGCAAAGTGAAAAACATTTAGCAGGTTCTGACTAGCAACTTTCTTAAAGAATAGAAGACAAACCCAACTTCATCATGTTTAAGAATAAATTCTGGTCCCCAAATTTATTTCCTTTCATATAAATATTTATATGCATGTGTTTCTTGCTGTGAAGATATAGCCCAGAAAAGTTAGAAAGCTATGGATTTAAAAATTGGCTCCCTCTAGATCTGGGGTTTGGTTTCTCAGGTTTGAAAAGAATACTAGCCATGAACGGGCTGAGAAACGAATGTTCTGAGAAAGGTGGCACTGAACAGGTGCCCCTGGAGAAAAGGCCTCGAGCCTTCTGTGGGAGAGGGATGCAGCTTCACCCCCAGCAGCAGCGGCAGGCACCCAGGCTGTGTGCGACCACATGGGGGGAATCGCTAACACAACTTCACCTCGGCCTTTCCTCGCAGCACTTCACTGGGGTGCTGACAATAGAGAATTTTCATTTTTGATAGTCTGTATCAACTTAGGAGTCACCTATTTTCACTGCCATATTCCATAACTCATACCCCCAACTGACAAAGCAAAACTTGAGAGCCCTGATGCTGACCACTTTATTTTTTTTAAATTTATCTATTTTTGTTTGTTTTTTGAGACAGAGTCTCATGCTGTCACCCAGGCTGGAGTGCAGTGGCGCAACTTCGGCTCACTGCAACCTCCATCTCCCAGGTTCAGGTGATTGATTCTCTCTGCCTCGGCCTCCTGAGTAGCTGGGATTATAGGTGCGATTAAGCAACACTGTAATGAACATTATTCAGCCATGTCTCCTTGGATTCATACAGGAGTCTGTTCAGGGCATATAGTTGGAAGTGGAATTGCTGAGTTGTCATATATACATATGTCCCACTTTACAGCAACACAAAAATGAACTAAGACACCATCCAATGAACACCAAGGGTTTATCTCCCATTACAGGATCTCAGAAGTGTTTGTGTGAATAGACTAGCACAATAGTTCTAGTAGATGTGCAGAACAGACTAGAACTGCTAGGTCCAACCTCTTTACTTTACAAAAGCAAAGGCTGAGTCCCAGAGAGTATGGAGGTGAGGAGCTAACCTATGGACCCCCTGCAAATGCGGAGGGAGGGATTAGGTGTGGGTTTCCTGCAATCTGGTCTCCATTATTCCAGGGGCCACTTCCTTTGTTTCAGTGAGTAAGACATTCCAGTATGTGCTGCAAACAGTGCAAGCTTCAAGGTGCATGGGAGGTCTTGGAGCCTCCAGCTTCAGGAAAGCAATGAGAATTTTGAAAGCTTGCCCCATAATTAGTTCTCCCCAACAAACTTAATTCACCTGCCTATAATACAGTCCAAACAATCAGTCCCAACTCCGTTCCAAAAAAATTTTAGTTGAGCATTTGCAGTGTGCTCCAGCGCCAAGTGCACAGGCTAACACATACATGAACACATATAACACATCACGTGCAGTACCGATGCCTGAACTTTGGCTTACACAAGCTTGATTCCTAACTCGGCCTCCCACTGGCTGTAGGATTTTGGACAACTTGTTTGACATTTGAACCTCAAATTCCTCATCTAAAAATTGTGGATAAAATTTGTACTTACCATAAAGGTTTTTGAAAAGTAAATGAGTTAATACATTGAGGTGCCCAAAAGAGTCCTTAGCCCATATGTATTTAGAAAAGATTTAGGGTACTTACTTAGTGTTAGTGCTGGGTGAAATAAAGACAAGGCCCTGGCCTTCCGGAGTGTGTACATTTATCTGAATGTCAAATAAAAATCTCAGAAGTGGGTGTGGTTTCCAGTCAGAGGGAGTGGTAGGTAAACATGCCAATCTAGAGGACATGGAAGAGATAAGAGGCCCCTCACCTCGAGGGGCTCTTTGAAGGGCCAAGAAACACACTCAGGAAACAATCCTAAGCAAGGTCATACCCTCAGCACTGGGTCCAGGCTGGGTCCCAAGGCTTCAGCAAACACTTACTTATTTTGGGAACGATACAGTCTCAGACGAACCAGGTCCCTAGAGGCACTTAGGGAGATGAGCCTCAAGGACACACATGTGCTGGAAACAGCACAGGCGCGTGGCATTAACAAGCCCTGACCCACGCCCTGCCCCTACTCCCCTCCCAACAACGCCCCTGTAGATGCCTCACCAGCGACCTGCCAGCTTCCTGGAGATCTCGTCCCCCTTAGATTCTTGGACACTGTGCCTCCTGGTTCTTCCTCTGCCCTGGCAGCTGCCCCTTGGGTTCTCTCTCCTGTCCTCTAGATGTGAGTACCTACCCCCCACCCACCACCCGTCATGGGCCTCACAAGCACCTCATCTCTAAAATGGAGGCACCTATTATGAGGATTAAATAAAAGCTCTGACACAACTTTGTTCGGTCCCCTTCTCTGGGATGTTGCCATTCCCAGGCAGCTGGGCTCAACAGCCGGGCCCCACCCTTGAATACTCTTTTTGCCCACCCACCAGAGCCATGTCTTGTGCTCTACCAGCTGGGCCTCGCTCCCCCTCCACTCTACCTATACTGCCAATGATGTAACATTACCAAGACACCCCTCAAAACCTTGCATTTACTCCCCAATGCTACTGCAGAGATTAAATGTTTTAGGCTTGCATTCAAGGCCTTCAGTGACCTAGCCCTAATCCACTGGACCTTTCCAACTTGAATCTCCACCGTGATCCTTTTTCCCCTGCCTGATTAAATCACTTGCTGGGTGGTGTACCATAAAATAAGGATTCTGGGCTGGGTGCGGTAGCCACGCCTGTAATCCCAGCACTTTGGGAGGCCGAGGTGGGCGGGTACGAGGTCAAAAGATATAGACCATTCTGGCTAATGGAGATCACGCCACTGCGCTCTAGCCTGGGTGACAGAGCGAGACTCCATCTCAAAAAAAAGTACTCTGTATCCAAATAAGATGATTAAACAAAGCTTAATAGGTTTGTATTGCAGGACTTCTGAGCCTTTAATTCCTTAATATGCACTGTGGCAGCGGGCGCGGTAGCTGTAATCCTAGCACTTTGGGAGGCTGAAGCGGGCGGATCACCTGAGGTCAGGAGTTCGAGACCAACCTGACCAACATGAGAAACCCCATCTCTACTAAAAATACAAAATTAGCCGGGCTTGGTGGCACATGCCTGTAATCCCAGCTACTCCAGAGGGTGAGGCAGGAGAATCACTTGAACCCAGGAGGCGGAGGTTGCGGTGAGCCGAGATCGCATCATTGCACGCCAGCCTGGGCAACAAGAGTGAAACTGTCTCAAAAAAATATATATATATGCACTGTGACGCTCCATACTTTGTCCAAGTCTATTTGGATTTCTAGTACTTTTTACATGGGGCTCAAGAAAAAAATCTAGGTCAATCTGCACTACACTGTCCCTCCCACATGCCTACACGGCGTCCGGCGTCCCAGTTAGAGCATGCACAGGTGAGCCACAGAGCGGCTCCCACGGCCTACAGTTGTGGCCACGTGAGGTACGTTTGTTGTAGTTCATCACCATCACTGCGTGCAATCTCAGTGGGACCATAAAATGCCAAACTGAGCCAAGCAGCCTTTCTCAGCACACAGGTAGAAAACAAATGGCCAACAGTGATGCCACAGTAGGGCTGACAAAGGTGCCCTCCCTTAACTGCCAGGACTGCCAGCTTTTCCCAAGCTTCCTGTCCATCCGTCACACAGCCTTCCATTCAATTCCCTGGATGCTTCCCTTAGCCAGGGTTGGTTTCTGAGGCTTTTGAGTTATTTGGGTCCCTGAGCAAAGCCAACTAAATCACCCCTGAGTAACGCAGCAGCTAGAGCCATCCCCCAGATGCAGTACCTGTCCCATCTGGAGTGGACCTCACAAAGGTGGGCAGCATCTTCACTGCTGCAGTAGGGTGAGTGGTGGCTCCAAGCCCTTTCTCCATCTCCTTGCGGAACCGCTTAGAGATCTCCAAGAGGGTCTCATCAGAGAGGCGCATGTGGTAGAGATACTGGTCAACCTGAAAAAGGAGGAAGACAAGAGCAGAAACCACTGGTTAAATAAATTATGGCATAGGTGTACGTCATGGAACACCACTCAGCTCTTCAAAAGAACAAAATCTGTTATGTACAGAAAGTTATTATTAAAGA
Organism: Homo sapiens; assembly: GCF_000001405.40. NCBI lineage: Eukaryota > Metazoa > Chordata > Mammalia > Primates > Hominidae > Homo > Homo sapiens. The sequence continues at coordinate 74,854,162 of NC_000002.12, read as the reverse complement.
CCATTAGTAGGAACCGATTTGACAGGACTTTGTCTTAAAAAAAAAAAACCAAAAAATTAAAATTATAAAAATAGACCTAATTTTTGGAGAACTGGTGCATACCTGAGGAAAGGCCTATTAGGACAGAGGAGAGTTCTTTTCAGAATGGTTGAGTCGGAAGGCCTGTGACAACATCACTGGAGCCAGGGTTCATTACCCTCATCTCTTGTTCCCCCAGCACCTGACATGGCCAGTCACAGCAATCCCATTGCCCCTCACCCTAGGCCAGGTAGCCATCACCTTTTTCCCGGACGCCTACAATCCCCAGTTCCGCTTTTACCTCTTCCATCCACTTTCCACACCCAGCCAGACTCCGCTGATCCCCGGCTTTCAGGGCTTTCCATTGGAACAAAGCTCAAAATCCTTTCAGGGCCCCACATGATCGGGCCTCTAGCCACCTCCTAATCTTTTTATCTTTTTTTTTTTTGACAGGGTATCGCTCCAGTTGTCCAGGCTGGAGTGCAGTGATGAGATCTCAGCCAGCCTCAGGTGATCCTCCCACCTCAGCCTCCTGAGCAGCTGGGACTTTCAGGCACGTGCCACCATGTCTGGCTAATTTTGTTGTTGTTGTTGTTGTTGTTGTTGTTGTTGTTGTTGTTGTTGTTTTGAGGCTGAGTCTCACCCTGTCACCCAGGCTGGAGTAGAGTGGCGCAATCTCGACTCACTGCAACCTCTGCCTCCCGGGTTCAAGCAATTCTAGTGCCTCAGCCTCCCGAGTAGCTGGGATTACAGCGGTGCACCACCACACCCAGCTAATTTTTGTATTTTTAGCAGAGACAGGGTTTCACCATGTTGTCTAGGCTGGTCTCAAACTCCTGGACTCAAGCTATCCACCTGCCTCGGCCTCCCAAAGTGCTGGGATTAAAGGAGCGAGCCACCACACCCGGCCCCACCTCCTAATCTTATGGTAAGGTCTGGACTCTTTGTGTAGATTCTCTCCCTGGTTCAGTTCCCCAACTTCCCCAACTTGCCCATCCCTGCCTTGGAGCTCACACACACAGGCCCTCCAGGTACATGCCCTGACGATCTGCTACCACTCCTTCAGGCCTCTCTCTGTAGAGGCCTCTTCTCATCCTCCAGATCACAACAGCCAGGCCTCCCTGTTATTCTAAGAACTTGAGCTTTTCCCTTCGCAACACTATCCACAATTTGGAACTAAATATTTATTAGGGTCCAAATCATAAGTACCAAAGGCTAGAACAATGTCTGCTTGTTCACCTTTGCATACCTGGAGGCTGGCACGGTGCCTGGCACAATGGAGAGGCTCTATGTAAATGATAATGCAGCCTCTGTGCTCATGCGGAGGCAACTCTCCCTAGTTCTTTCACTGATCCTGTTTCCCACATAAATTCACATGAACTTTTCCCAGATTTAATACCAGGAGAATGAGAAGCATCAGATAACTCTCACTCGTTTTTTGTTGTTTTTTTTTTTTAATCTTTTAATTGTTATTTTTGAGACAGGGTCTTGCTATATTGCCCAGCTTGTTTCCAACTCCTGGAATCTACCACAACCTCCAGGGCTGTGGGGCACTAGCCCCCCACCCTCCATCCCACAAGCTGGGTCTCTGATCTCTGGTTCCTACAATATCTGGGAACCAAGGTGCTCCTGAGGAGGCCTGGGCCTCCCCAACAAGGACATTTGAGGCTCCCCAGGAGGAAAAAGGGTGCAGCTTCAGCCTGACACTAGACAAGGCCCCTTTCTTTTCAGTGAAGTGTCAGACAAATCTCTAGCCATCTCCAGTGACCCTAGTTCAAGGGTAACTCTGACCACCCTGGAGGCTTCCCACTCCAGATCCAATGAGACACTGACTGGCCCAGGAATGCTACATTACAACTTTCACATCTCAGGGCTAATGTGCAAAGTCTGGGGCTACCCAGACCAGAAGCCAATGCGAGGCCACATCCAGGAAAAGCCTGAGATGTCCTCATGGGCAACTGTAATAATGGCAAGCCCTCACGTGGCTCCTGCTTTGTGCCAGATCCTATTCTCCGGGTTTGCTCCCATTAGTTCATTTCATCCTTAGAACAGCCCTCTGAGGTAGGAAGTGCCAGCATCTCTATTCTACAGAGAGGGGAAGTCACACAGACACGAGGGGCCACGTTTGGCTTGATAGAGAAGTTTGGCTGGTCTGTGCTCTTGTCCACTCTGCTAGATGACTGCCCCCTGCCTGCCTGGATACAGCAGGGTCTATACAGGTCAAACAGCATTGCAGGGAATGCAGGCTGTCCATATCCATTAAAAGGCCATCTTCTATTCCAGTCACCTCCCAATGCAGACATGAACAGCACGCAGTGGAGAGTGAGGCACACAGAGGTGACTGAGCAGGTCTGGGGCAGCAGACATGTCTCTGAACATTGTCATGAGGGTGACACCTGACAAAGACACTCTCACCTCACTACTTTCCCAAAGAGAAGAGAGGCCCAGAAGCTTCTTGGTGCCCCCGCCCCACCTCCACCCTCTATGGAAGGCTTCAGGTGTTTGCAAAGGGCACAGGAGTTCCTGCACTGAGGAGCTGAGCCTGTTCCACCTCATTAAATGGTCCTATCATCATGTCCAGAAGCATGAGGTTATGCACACAAAAAAGCAAATTCTACGACAGCCAATCTTAGTTTATCTTCGATGTTTAAACTGTTTCAAGACATGTTGGAAATCCAGTCAGACACTTCTCATCCTCAACCCTTGAAGAATCGAGTTAAACAGTCACCCTTTATCCACGTTGCCTTTTGCCCCATAGATAACCATCTTCCACATGTTCAATGACAGATGAAAACAGTAATGGGGTGATGGTTACAGCGGCTAAGCATTCCTCAAGCATTTCTCACCTGTCAGGCACTTCCGGCTTTCCTGACCTGTTCTCCATTGTCTTCGTAAAACTTCTGCACCTCCGTTTTATAGATCACTTGGGTAATGAGGGGCAGAGATGGGATTCCACAGAGGTCTGTCTGGCCCCACTGCCAGGCCGTCAGGACAGCCACCCTCGCCTGTCCTGTGGGCCCCTCTTAGTGTGGATGGGCACTCCCAGCCTGCCCTGTGGTTTCTTGGATGACCCTGGGACCTTATTTTCCTCTCCATCACATGAGGAGACTAAGAGAGAAGATATGAAACAGCTGTGGATATGAAACAGTGAAAAATGTCCAGGCCAGTAGCTTGGCCCAAACTTCCCCTCTTTCACATCAGAGCTCTTTGAACTCTCAAAACTTGAGAACAGATGGCACCAGGGCATGATGATGTGTCCACTCAGCTTATTAGGGCCACTCAGGAAGGGATAATTAATAATCACTTAATGCCACAGTTTCCTAAACACACCAGTGGAGCCCACCCAGCCCTGGTAGGCACTGCTGTGTTGGTAGCCAAGGGAAGCAGAAGTCAGAAACAAGAAGCAGCCACCATACAAAGATGATTTTCCTGGATTGAGAAGGAGATGAATGCAATTTTCAGAATCTTGCCAACTTTCACCCACAGTGCCATCAGTGGGAGGGAGCACCAGGCCCAAAGTCAAAGGAGAAAGCCAAGCAGGTGATAGCAGATGTACACACAGCAGTGGGACTGCAGCTGAAAAGTATTCATCCATAGAAAGGAAAGGCCCTTAGGGTAACTAGTTCGAAAATCCCACTAAACATAGTATTCGAATTTATCTAGTTTGTCTCTCTCCACCCAATTGATAGTCATGTGGCCTAGGTTTGAATACTTCCAAGCCTGAGAGGCTCGCTATTTCTCTAAATTCCATTTTTGAACAGCTCTACTTGTTTCAAAGAGTTTCCTCAATCAAAGATAAATCTGCTTTCTGATACTTCTGCCTAATCTCCATTCTGTCACTTGTGATAAGAGTTTCCAAACTTGCTGCACATCAGAATCACATGAGGAGCTTTTAAAGAAAACAGTAAGAATTCCAAGGATCCATTCCAGACTAACCAAATGACACCTCTAAGGCTGGGGCTCAAACACCTTCCCCTCTCCTCTGGGAGGTTTCCAATATGCCAATAACGTGATCGTGGTTGGCCCTGTTCTGATCAACACTGCATATCACTTTTCTGCCTGGAATCTTTGAGAGTCGGTGGTTAAGATATTAGGCCAGGTGTGACCCTGTGAAGTAATCCTGTGTTGATCCAGCCTGCTGGGAGTTGGGAAGACAAACTCTGCATTTGTTTTTAAGAGATGTAAGTTTCTGGATACTATCAAAGCAGACTCATTCAGGTCAACCCTTGATTTGTAGCTGGTGGTGGTGAAAGGAGTGCTCTGGCATCAGAAACACCAGTATGCAAATCCTAGTGGTAGCGTTCGTACAGGTGTGCGACATTAGAGGACTCTTCATCTGAACCCCAGCTTCCTTGCCACAAAACAGGATGAATAGCCCCACATGACAGAGTCATTAGCATAACTGTGGGGACAAAAGAGTTCTCTATCACCCCCCCTTTCCTTCCACCCCTTCTTTCTTCTAAAGCTTCTCTCCACCCAGGGTCACCTTCAGGCAATCACAGACATTTCTCAACCCTCCTTAGTCACAAAGCAGAGGCTGTTTCCCCAAACTATTCCTTCTCTTTCTGTGATGGGCATGGACAAGGCTGCTTCTCTTTAAATCTCTATCTGGGAGAGGAGGAAAGGAGGAGGGGGCATTCCAGGCTGGGGAATCGGAGGCAGGCCAGAGCAAAGCCTGGCTGAAGAACGGGTTACCTTCCCGTCTGCCTGCCAAGCTGCCAGCCCAGGAAGCGAGGGCGTGTTAGACAGAGATAGCACTGTTAGTTGATATTTCTTCAGCAAGGGTTAGATCAGAGCTTCCTCATTGGGTAATTTTGGTCAGTTTCAGTTTTTCCCATAACATACCAGTCTGACATGCCCACTTCCTCTACAGAATTGGGGTTGGTGTCAGGGGAAGCCCTAAAGACAAATTAACCCCATACTCTCTAGGAAATAAGATAATACCCAAAATGGGAAGCCATTAACACCCATCCCCTTAAGTACCTGCATTTTCCTCCAGACCAGCACTTAAAAAAGGAGAGGAAATTGTGTCACTGTCACAAAGCAACAAATGGAGAGAACAAAAGGGGACATTCATGGAGGCTCCACTTCGAAGTATGCAGTGTGCAGGGTGGGCCATACACAGTCCTGGCCAGGTATGGGGAAGCCCAGGAAGGAAAGGCCTGGAGGTGACTGCAAGAAAGGGATCTCAGAGAAACCAGGCCCATCGGGGAGCAGCCTCGACCCAGGTCACACAGTTGAAACTAGAATCTGGATCACCTGGATGAATGTCAACCCTTCTGGCCCAGAAGCGCCCATCTCATTCTGCAGGCCCAATGCAACTGAAAGACTGGTGCCACTGCCTGGATCCTGAGCCCACCCCATCTGGTCCCTGTGGGAACCTGGCCTTGATCAAATTATTTACATCCAGAAGACAGCAATATTCCAATTTTGACAGTTTTTATATGAAGTACTACAGATCCTACCTTGAGTAAGGTACTCAAGGGTTTTAAAAGGGAAGTGTAGACGAAACGAAACCTTAAATTTCAATGTCTAAGTCTGTAAGATCCGTATCATTCAATCCCTGAATCCTGACTACTGTTGCAACCCCAGCATCTTCCATGTTATGGCATTTATGGAACAGCTATTAAATACAAAGCACTAGTGTACAGAAACATAATTTTACAAGAAATTAATTCTGGAAATGAATAGTGGTGGTAGTTGCACAGCAATGTGAATAACACACTTAATGCCACTAAATTGTACACTTAAAATGGTTAAAATGGTAAATTTTGTGATTAATATTTTATTACAATTCTTAAAAATTTTAAGAAATCAACAGCCCTGCTCTCTAGGACTTTATATCAAAGAAGCTGGCTCATATTATAGATCAATGAGTGTCTCTAGAATGCGTGGAGAGATGAGTCTTGTCTAATAAGAATGTCGGGCACAATACAAGGCAGCCCATGGGAAGTGTCACAGATTTAAGTGGCCTGAGAGACTGGCAATCAAAGGGGATACTTTTGGAGCTCAGCCACCTTAGCAGATAAATGCTTACCTAGAGACAGCAGTGTGAAAAGGCTCAGGAGGCATGGGCAAGCCCCTAAGACCCTGGGAAATTACCAATTCCAGGAACAGAAAGCTCCTCACCTTCACAACATTACATTAGCTCCCCATGAAATGCTTCATAGGTTTAGTTCTATCACTTTTAATCAAGGGCTCACAGGAAAGACTATAAAGACCACTGCACCAGGTAAAGCTGCTGTGTCTTTCACTAATGCTTCCCTAGCCATTCAGTCCCCAGTAAGGGTTAGTGTCAGGAGAAAGTCTGGCTGCCCAGACACACTGTGCTACCTGTTATAGGCCGATGGGATGAAAACGACTGACTCAAAGAGAACTAACTATCCTTTTTGCCTTGACTGTCAGGAAGCTTGGAGCTTCGTCAAGTTTGTTTAACTTTAGAGACAGAGTCTTGCTCGGCTGCCCAGGCTGGAGTGCAATGACGCAATCATGGTTCACTGCAGCCTCAAACTCCTAGGCTGCAGCCTTAAACTCCTGGGCTCATGATCCTTCCACTGCAGCCTCCCAAGTAGCTAAGACTATAGGTATGCACCCTCGTACCCAGCTGATTTTTTTAATTTTATTTTTTCTGTAGAGACAGAGTCTCACTGCGTTGTCCAGACTGGTCTCAAACTCCTGGCCTTAAGCAATCCTTCCATCTTGGCCTCCCAAAGTGCTGGGATTACAAGCATGAGCCACCACACCTGGCCTGTCAAGTTTTTCAGTAATCATCTCGCCAGTTTGATGACTCTCGTTCTAGAAATCTTTTTACTGAAAGCTGAACCAAATCACTAAATCCTTTTAGTAAGCAAGCAGAAAATACATAATACATGAATAAGCAAATGTTCATCACTTGTGTCTGCAGGGCACACCCTCCTGGTAGAGGGCTGAATTCAAGTGATCACATAGGATAAGAAAGTTACTCCACAAGCATAGAAGCATCAAAGCAAAGGATGCAGGATGCCTGTGGCACAGCTGAACTTTGTCTCCCCAGTCTTGGGATATTTCTAATTGATTATCTAGAACCGTCTCTCCAGGTGCCCTAGATGACCACAGCTAAAAATCCTACCTTTTAGTTTCTAGACCCTAGAAGACCAACTGATTGAACTTCACCTTTCTTAACATGCATGTTCTTGTCCTGAAGATACAATCGGGTCATCTATATATTAGGTCAACACTCCTATTTGGCCCCTTTGACAGAAACTTAGAAAGGACCATACCTTCTGGAAGTCAGGGGCCTTATTATGACTACTTTCGTCTGCTTTAAATCAACCACAGTCAAAACAGGGTGGTGGGATGGGCACAGTGGCTCACACCAGTAATCCTAATACTTTGGCTGAGGAGGATCATTTGAAGCCAGGAGGTCAAGGCTGTAGTGAGCCATGATCACGCTGCTGCACTCAGCCTGGGCAACAGTGCAAGACCCTGTCTCTTAAAAACAAAAACAAGCCAGAGTGGTGCAAGAGATAGTATACAGCAACAAGAATGCACCACCTACCACTACATGCAACCACATAGATGAATCTCAAAATACAGTAAAACACTGGCTGAAAAATGCCAGACACAAATGGCATCTTTTATATCCTGTATGAGTCTATTTATATTAAGTACAAAAACAGACCTATGCTGTTAGTCAGGACAGTGATTACACTTGATGGTGGTGGTGGGTAGGAGAACACGGGGCTGGTTCAGGTAATGATCTGTTACTGGATCTGGATGGTGGTTACCTGCTGCTTTCAGTTTCCCATGTGCATTATACTTCAATTCAAAAGACGCTGGAAAAAAAAGGCAGGTTGCACTGACTTGGCCCAAGTTTACCCACTATACACAGTCAAAGAGCCAAAGAAGATTAAAGAGGTCAAAAGAGGCCAAACAAAGAGAGATCCATCATTTAAATCTGGCCACACAAAGACTTCCAGTGACTCTGTGCTGACACATGCTTGCAACTTAATTTCAAAAGAATTTCATATTTTTGCATTATTCCTTTGCCAGTGTTTTACCACAACTCTCTGACAAGGAAACCAAGACTTGGAGAAGCCTCCCCAAATCACAGGCCTAGTCCCTGAAGACCCATAGCATCCAGTGACCAGCCGAGTGCCCTAACCTAGGGCACAGGTGTGCCCACCCTGGGAAAGCCAAGCAACTGCTGTCAGTGACCTCATTAATAATAATGCCCTCACAGACTCCTCCTGGGAAGGCTGAGGCTGTACAAAGAGCAGCAAGTTTATTCTACAAAGTTGCCAGGGCAGGGCCAGATGTTTCTGATAAAAGAAAAAAAGATGAGCCGGGGGGAAGACACACAGCAGAACATGGATTCTGTAAGTCTCCTGTCCTCTGAAAGCCCATGAACCGAAACTCAGATCTCCTATGCCACTTCTTCAGATGGGACAAGGAACTTGTCCTCGCCAGGGCAGCCATGCCACCTCAGGCCAATGCCAGCTCTGACACACTGCAGACTCACAAACCCGAGGCAGCGGGTAAGCGCAGAGCTGACCAGGGAGGCATACGGGCCACTCCTCCAGGATCCTGTTGCAGCGGTTGTGAGTCACAGGGCTTCCTGTTCTTCCAGTTCTCAGTCTCAGCTGCATCAAGTTACAGCCAGACAGACCTTAGGCAGCAGCACCTGTCCAGGGTCCAGGAGATGGGCATTTGGGACACCCGGCCCAGGGTCCTCCTGTCCTCAGACATTCTGTTCTGACTGCGGAGCAGCAGAGCAAAGGGGGATTATGTCCCAGATGCATGTGACCCTGGCACAGTTCACCTGCCAACAGATATTGACTGAGTGCCAAGTTGAGTGTGCCAGGGCTGGGCACTGAGGATACTGGGATAAAGGAGACACCAGCCTCTGCCAGGAAGGGGCTGAGTCTATTGGCAGAAGACAGATACATTAACAAGTAATTACAAACTGACAGGAAGGGCAGAACAGTAGGCAGTTTCCTTTACATTAATAAAATATGGATTTACAATCACTTAAATCACATACATCAATGTGAATCTGAGGAGTGTTTGTCTTGAAATGGTTAGAAATGTGTATGTGTTGGCCTCACTGCCCAAAATGTCCCCTCCCCTTGTCTAACAAACTCCCACTGACCCTCCATAGCCCAGCATAAATGGCCTCTCTGCAGTCATAGCAGCAGCTATCTCAATACTAGGATATAATAGGTGCTCAAGAAACCTTTGTTATAGTTATACACAAGGGGCTATGGGAACACCAAAGAGAAAAGTTGACAAGTAACTTGGTGAAGGGGAAGAGCTGGCTACTCCCGACTGACCAGGTGCTCTGTGTCGGGCCTTGCTCTTCAGGCTGGCGCCCACACTGCATGGGATCCCCGCAGCAGCATGGTTTCCTCCCAGTCCACCTGTCTGCCCTGCCTAGGATGCTAGGTCCCTAGAAGTCAGACTCTGCCTACCCCTCGACAGCCCCAGGCCAGGGACCAGAATCTGCCTCTGAGCCTCTTGCCCCACAGTGGCATCTGAACTCCCCACTCCTGTCTGCTGCCAGCGGTCCACTTGCTGGATCAAATACCTCTGGGTCTGTCCCAGTCTGCCCCATCCACCCCAAGATCACACCCACCACAGGCAAGGTACCCACACTTCCCTGCTTACCCAAGACAATCTCAGTTTACACCTGTGGTCATGGCATAACTACTGATAGTGCTTTCCTCCATTTTCAAAAGCGGCCCAGTTTGGACAATTAGGGCATCCCCCTAGATACAGCTAAGTAAATCCTGCCTTTGATCTTGGGAAACTGACACCTAAAATGATAAGAGTTCATGCTGCACAAACTGTGTTTTAAAAAAACATGATGGGGATCAAGAAACTGGGTTCCAGATCTGGGGCTTATCCTATGTGAGCTTGGGCTGGTCCCTTAGTACACAACATCTGGTTTCCTTAACTGTAAAATGAAGGGTTTGTTTAGACTACATGGTCCCAAAGGTCCCTTCCCAGCTGATACCTGACTCATAACCCCATGAAACTGAAACATAAGTGAAACTGAAACATAGTTGTCCCAGCAGCTTTGTGCTGGGGGTTAAGGGCACTGGCTCTGGAGTCACATTGCCTGGGTCTGGATTCTGGCTTGCCCTGGGGCAAGGTACTATCCTATTTTGTGCCTGGTCTCTTCATTTGAATAATAGATAATAACAGGACCTACCTGGAGGGCAGCTTGAGGGTGGCCTGAGTTACTACACACAGAGCTGATGGGAAGAGGCTACAGGACTTCATGGAGGGGACTGAGACAGAAAAGTTTGGGAGGAAACAGGAAGCAGGAAGAGGAAGTCCCTCAAATGGGAAAGAAGGAAAAGTGGCAGTTTCGAATGCCCTCATTTAACCCTAATTAAAGCTGTCAGATGGTTCATCTGGCTTTATTCCTTCAGACAATATGGAGATGCCAGAAGGAAGGGATTGGGAAAAAGGCCTTTTAAGAACATGGACCACCTCCAAGCATCCAGGGCAGAAATGGTGGAAAGGCAGGAAGGCTGAGTGGGCAGGAGGTGGGTGGGCCCCAAGGGCTTCCAGAGCCAGTTTCTCAGAGCCTGACTCACTCTCCTGGTTAACGCTGAGATAAGATTTAACCAAGGCAGGAAAGAATGTCCGGGAAATGCTTAGAGATCCATCTGCAAACAAAATGAGTGACCACCCCTAAAAGAGGGCAGCATTTTAGGGGAAATGAGATTCTCTGTTCACAGGAACAGGGCCAAGACTCCTGACTCCTGACGTGGATAAGGCAACGGCTGTTCAAGAGGTGGGATGGAGGGTATGGGTTGCACATGCAGAATCCCCCTGGGCTTCGTGAAGAACCCAGGGCACCCTGGGCTCAGCAGGAAGGAACACACTCAACAGCCCAGGGTCTGTATATGAGGGGCAAAGAGCTGACTGCCAAATCCCAGGATGCCCAGGGAACCTCACCCAATCTGCCGAAAGAATGTGAGAATGGCCATTCCCTTCTGTGAAATTCCAGGGGTCGGTGGGGCCAAACCTATCATGGCGGGTCCTGTGACTCTTCAGCACAGGGCACTGCAAATGATTTCCCCTGTGGAAAGCCAGGTCTGGGAGAGATGTGAGGATGAGTGAGCAAGTATTTAACTGACAAACTCCACAGCAGAAGAATATGAAATCCCAAGTAAGCAGCCTCCACAATGCCCTCTGAAGCCTCTGCTCTTCTCTGGGTTAGTTACCGGGGAGACAGAGGTTAGGGAAAAGGAGCTGGAACTAACCCTGTGATCATTCAGCACAACTGTGTCTCCTGCGACATCGCAAGGATGCTTCAACCTGAAGTGCACTAATGTCCCAGGCATCCCAGAGACCTCGAATGGGGGAGCCACCTCTGTAGAGGACCAGAAGAAAAGCAATTTAGAGGAAGAGCTTAAGGATGGATCTCCTACGCCCAGGAAAGAGAAGGTTTTAGAAGCACGGTGGACGCATCCTTCTTCCCTGGCTTCAGGAACTTTCCATCCTTCTGACTTCTCTGTCCTCTGATTCAATCCAACGTCACACAGAGACACAAATGGACCTGAAACCACTTACTCTAAAAGAAGCTCTTGGGAGTTATCCAGGGTAAAGCAGGGCCTCTTTTTGCTCCTGTCCAGGCGGACGGTGCAGTGGGACATCTAAGACTGTGTCTCTCCCTATGTACAGATGCTCCGACTTACAATGAGGTTATGTCCCGATTAGTAAGTCAAAAATGCATTTCGTACACCTAACCTACCATCGAACACAAAGCCTATTTTACAATAAAGTGTTGAATATCTCATGTAATTTATTGAATACTGTACTGAAAGTGCAAAACATAATGGTTATATAAATACTGAAAGTACAGGTTCTACTGAATGCGTATCACTTTTGTGCCATTGTGAAGTCAAAAAAAAATCAAGTTGAACCATTGTTAAGTACCAATACTTAATACATAAAGCATTGACTATATGTCAGGCACAGTTCTCAGAGCTTGACACCTGTTAACCCTCTTTCTCTTTCATTCTTACAACTACTCAATTAAAGTGTTATCCAAACAATCTTTGCATTTTATAGGGAAAAGAAACTGAGGCCTAGACAGGTAGAGTAACTGACCCAAGCTCACACTGCGTGTTATGCAGAAAGCCAGAGTTCAACCCCAGGGAGCCTGACTCCAGCTCATCAAACAGCCTCTCCCAGTAACTGTCAGGCTGTCCCTCAGTGGATGTCACTGGCCTACCTCCTCTGCTCCCCAGCTCAAGTGCCTTCTGAATTTCCATTACACCAGCTCACATGCCTGTCTTGTTGGGAAGCCTGGCTCATGCCCAGCCTCCATGGAAACTACAGCAGCACCAGGGTGAGCATCTTCCAAGGGCAACTGACTAAACTCCTCTTGCTGGCTTTCTGGAGCACTTGTATTGCCCACATTTCTCTGGTTGAGAATACAGAAACAGCAACTAGCTCCCGTTCCCTGGAAACCTGCCCCCCAGCAAGGAACTGTGGGCATCTGCAGACTGCTGTGAACTGTAGACCTCATCTTAAGTTCGTCTTTTGTAGAAGCCCATTTCCCACCATGACGGTCACAAGACATGGCACACTGTTGACAACTCAGGGCTCTGATCCCAACTAGGGCTACTAACTTGCTGTATGACCATCAGCAATACACCTGAAAACTGAAGGGGGTGGCAGGGATGGACCATGTTCTTCTAAAGCAGTTTCTCAAATTTGACACTGTAGACATTTTGGGCCAGGTAATTTTTTGTTGTGGGGAGCTATCTTGTGCATGGTGGAATATTCAGCAACATTCCTAGCCTCTGCTTACTAGATATCAGTAACACACACTCACCCAAACCTGCCTCTGCTTACTAGATGTCAGTAACACACACTCACCCAAACCTTTGTGACAACCAAAAATGTCTCCAGACATTGCCAAAGTCCACTGGGGTATAAAATCACTCCTACTTGAAAACTACTGCTCTAAATGAAGAATTTTAAAAAGATAGGCTTTGTCTCTGGAAATTTGAGTAAGGTGGAAATTCTTGCTCTTTATGATAGGCTGGGATAGCCCCTCACAAAAAACGTATCTGTCCCAAAATGTCAATAGCACCAAGGCTGAGAAAACTGCTTTAAAGATAAGCAGAAAGAGCCACTCCAGCACAAGGAAGCATGGTGTGTGATCCACAGAGTGTGATATGAAGACGTGTCCAGTGAGCTATGGGGATTTAATTTGCCACATCCCAACCCCCACAGCTTTTTTTTTTTTTTTTTTTTTTTTTTGAGACAGAGTCTTGCTCTGTCGCCCAGGCTGGAGTGCATTGGTGCGATCTCAGCTCACTGCAAGCTCCACCTCCCGGGCTCAACTGATTCTCCTGCCTCAGCCTCCCAAGTAGCTGGGACTACAGGTGCCTGCCACCACGCCCGGCTAATTTTTTTTTTTTTTTTTTGTATTTTTAGTAGAGACGGGGTTTCACCGTGTTAGCCAGGATGGTCTTGATATCCTGACCTCGTGATCCGCCCGCCTTGGCCTCTCAAAGTGCTGGGATTACAGGCGTGAGCCACCGCGCCCGGCATAACCCCCACAGCTTTGAAAAGGCAAAGACAGACTACGTACAGTGTTGGAAAACAAACCAAACCTGCTGACTTCAAAGCTCAACGATGATAATGAGGAACGTCTTATCAAGATGTGGTCTTTTAAACCGGAAGTATCTGAACAAAGGAAGCCAGTTTTCTGGGGCTCCAAGTTCTTTCAGTTCATCAGATCTCCTTACTCCCATTGCCAACTGTGGTTTGTGTTGCTCTGATTCCCCCCTTGGAAAAGGACCTCCAATTGCCCCAAACTCCCCAGAGTACTGGAAAAGTTCAACTTTGAAAAGTGATGTTTAAAAAAAAAAAAAAAATGCCTGGCGCGGTGGCTCACGCCAAAGTAATCCCAGTACTTTGGGAGGCCTAGGCAGGTGGATCATGAGGTCAGGAGATAAGACCATCCTGGCTAACACAGTGAAAAACCCCATCTCTACTAAAGATATAAAAAAATTAACCGGACATGGTGGTGGGCGCCTGTAGTCCCAGCTACTCGGGAGGCTGAGGCAGGCGAACGGCAGGAACCCAGGAGGCCGAGGTTGCAGTGAGCTGAGATCACGCCACTGTACTCCAGCCTGGGCGACAGAGTGAGACTCCATCTCAAAAAAAAAAAAAAAAAAAAAAGGCCAGGCGCAGTGGCTCACGCCTGTAATCCCAGCACTTTGGGAGGCCAAAGTGGGCAGATCACGAGGTCAAGAGATCGAGACCATCCTGGTCAACATGGTGAAACCCCATCTCTACTAAAAAAAAATTAGCTGGGCATGGTGGTGCGCACCTGTAGTCCCAGCTACTTGGGAGACTGAGGTAGGAGAATCACTTGAACCCAGGAGGTGGAGGTTGCAGTGAGCCAAGATTGTGCCACTGCACTCCAGCCTGGTGACAGAGCGAAACTCTGTCTCACAAAAAAAAAAAAAAATTGACTTTGGCTGAGCTCAGGGGAGTTAATTCATTCAAAGGTAGAGGAAAAAGTGCTTCTTAGCTCTCTCTGAAATGTAAGTTTGGCAATATAAAACAAACGGATGGTTAACAAAAGCTACAAAGTATTCCTAACTACCATCAGTTGTCTTCTGAGCAGAGAAAGGGACAGAGTTAGGTTACCAAGATGTTACATATTGAACAAATGGAGTGAATTGTACCTGTCAATGTCAGTTTGTCCAATCAAAATTAACATAGACAAAAATAATATTATTAAGGTTTCAATCAGCAATTTACTCTTGATACTCTAATCCCATACGTGCGGACTAATGGCACGTGGTAGGTGTCCAAAATGTGCCAAGGTTCCTTGAGGCTCTAACTCCAGCCCCACCCATGGTAATTCACTCTTTTGACCTAGCAGCCATATCTCTCTAGACAACTGAAAAGTATCTGGGTTTCTGTCTCCCATATCACACTCAGAGGGCCTTGCACTCACTGTAGGTTCTTAAAAAAACATTAAAATTCTTGGCTTTCTTGACTCTTGGGGTCTCTGTTCAATCTTTTCGCTTCCAAGATATTCCTCTCAAGCCCAGCATTGAAGGTCACCCCTTGCTCATACAACAAGGAATCTACATGAGCTATGTCTATTACAGGATTCCAGTGCAAATGTCACCAGTCTATGCGTATTAAAACAATTTGGTCAATGGTCAGAGAAAGGAGTATATACTTCATTTTATCTCTATGGTTAACCCTGATTCTCCATTCTTAAATGACAAAATCCTGCATCTTGTATACTAACTTATCTCAATCAATAGAAAGAATCAGCCAGGCGCGGTGGCTCACTCCTGTAATCCCACCACTTTGGGAGGCGGAGTCAGGCAGATCACGAGGTCAGGAGATTGAGACCATCCTGGATAACACGGTGAAACCTCGTCTCTACTAAAAATACAAAAAAATACCCGGGCATGGTGGCAGGCGCCTGTAGTCCCAGCTACTCGGGAGGCTGAGGCAGGAGAATGGCGTGAACCCGGGAGGTGGAGTTTGCAGTGAGCTGAGATTGCGCCACTGCACTCCAGCCTGGGCGACAGAGCGAGACTCCGTCTCAAAAAAAAAAAAAAAAAAATAGAAAGAATCTTCCATCTCTCCATAGGCAGGACACACAGTCTTGATTGCTGAAGGACAGGAAACTCTCCTCCCTTTCTCTCTCCCTCCTCAGGACCGGCCTCAGGTCATGCTTTGGCCTCAGGTCATGCTTTGGATGAAGAGATAACTGCGAACTACCCCTCCAAGTGTCCACCCATATACCATCCCTTTAGCCTAAGACTAGCTGGCCCTGCCCAGCTCCTCCACTTCCTGCAGCCCTGGTTTAGCTTCTTTCTCCAGAAAGGTCTCCTCCTTTACTCTTGTACTCACTGAGCACCTCACCAGTGGCCAGGAACTGCAGCGACAAACCTAACAGCCAAGATTCTCCCTGCCCTGAGGAAGGAACCCAAACTGAAAACCATCAACTCTAACAGATGGTGGAATGAAACAAATGTCATGCAAGGTTCAAACACACTAATGTTGGCACACAGGAGGGGGAGAAGGAAGCAGAAAGAAAATTAAGACAGTAAACTGCATTTGAGCTGGAAGGGGTTAAGTGGAAAGAAGCCAAGCAGAGTTCAGGGCCACAAAAATGGCAAGGGCAGGCCTCGTGCGGTGGCTCACGCCTGTAATCCCAACACTACGGGAGGCTGAGGCAGGTGGATCACAAGGTAAGGAGATCGAGACCATCC
Organism: Homo sapiens; assembly: GCF_000001405.40. Classification (NCBI taxonomy): domain Eukaryota; kingdom Metazoa; phylum Chordata; class Mammalia; order Primates; family Hominidae; genus Homo; species Homo sapiens. The sequence continues at coordinate 74,837,885 of NC_000002.12, read as the reverse complement.
TGGCCAACATGGTGAAACCCTGTCTCTACTAAAAATACAAAAAATAGCTGGGCATGGTGGCGCACGCCTGTAATCCCAACTACTCAGGAGGCTGAGGCAGGAGAATCGCTTGAACCTGGGAGGCAGAGGTTGCACTAAGCAGAGATAGCGCCACTGCACTCCAGCCTGGTGACAGAGTGAAACTGTGTCTCAAAAAAAAAAAAAAAAAAAAAAGACAAGGGCAAAAGGACCTAGTGTGAACAGGCAGGACAGAGGAATGAAAGGATGGAGAGGAAGATGAGGCTAAGCTGGGGGGTAGAAGCGGGAGGCAATTAAGAGCTGTAGAGAGCTCCTGAAATGATCCAGTCTGGCTCCAGAAAGAGTTTTAGGGACACCCTTAGCAGGCCTCCAAAGTAACCAAGAGACCAGTTGACAGAGTTAGAGAGTTGATGAAAATGAATCCAGGACTCTCAGCTGGAGTAGCCAGAGGGTACTGGTGCCACTGATCAAACCAACAGAAGAGCTAGTTCCATCTGTGGTCATGATGGGTGGGGGTGCTACCAGCAGCCAGGAGTGGGCAGAGGCCCGGGCCAGGAGCCCGCTCACATTCCCCAGAGACAGGCAAGTATGTGCTCAAGAGCATGGTGCTCTAAAGCCAAATGCATGGCTTCGATTCCCAGCTCGTACAGAAAAGCTGGAGACCTTGGGCAAGTTACCCCTGGGCCTCAGTTAAACAGGGATGCTAATAACAATCAGTCTTCACCTCATGGGGCTGATTTGAATGTTAATAAGCTGACATACCTAAGAGCTTAGAACAGTGCCAGGTACACAGTAGGTGCTCTGCAGTCGCTCCTGAGTTCCAATTGGCAAAAGTGAGGAAATAACCCTGATTCTCATCTCTAATGCCCCAAAACACTGGGCTTGTCCATCAGGAGACGACAAGTGACCTCGTTGGGCAGGTGAACCCAAGCCTTCCACGTCCTCAGACTACAACCCAGAATATGTAAGATTATCTTATCACAAGGGGATTTCAGAAGGGTCCAAATCAAAAGGTCTTTTCAAAAGACTCTAAAGTTATACTAAATTTTCATTCTTCTCTCTTAATTCTTCTTTCCAATGGCAGCTCAGAAAGATGGTTCCAAGATACTCTGAGTCTCTGCTTTCTATGTAACTGCCACTGGAATCAAACAGCTTCGCTCACCTAAGCTGGGAGTCAAATCCCAGGTTCTGACAATTACTGAGTTAAAGGCCTGATTCAATTCTGCCCCTATTGGTAGTTTAGAGGAAATACACCCAAGGGTCTTCAGGGACACTTCTCAAACTGACAGGTGGCTGCAAGGGTAGAGAAAACCTACAGGAATGACAGTTGCACACTGCAGCGCTTAATAATCGCAACTCCATAAAGTGGACAAGCCTACTGTTATTATTGCATTTCACAAAGAGAAACGGGCTGTCCAAAGAGGCTCAGGGTGCTATGGTTAATAAACCACAAGACAGAGATTACAACTCATTTCCAGATACCCTGGTTAATTCCCGTTCCACTCTGGGGGAAGAGAGATGACCCCCATTCCAAGATTGAGAGTGGTATAACTCCAACGGGGTTCCAACCCTGGTGCCCTCCTCTGGATTGAGGAAGAGTAAATTTATGCAAGGATTCAAATGTCCTGGGGTAATACCCAAAGGAGAACTCCCTGAGATTAATGACGCTCCACTGTGTATTTTAGGACTTGCCAAGAGATGATAGCCTTCCCCAAGAGTTCTTAGAAGTTGAGAAGTTACCAAGATCCTGCCAGCTCAAATCAAAGGCACGTTTTTAAGTAAACTGAATCAAGGTGCAGAGCCACATCCCAGGAATTAGAGAATAACAGCCATTTACAAACAGTAAAACCCAAGTAAATCAACCGCCTCTGCTCGCTCCTCCAGACTTGAGGCTGGGTAACTTCTGCTTTTCTTGGAGGTTCACGCGCCATCACTACATTAATATGCCTCCTATGCCCTCGGGACCGCCAGAATGGGAATATGAGCAGGTTGTCGCACAGAACGGTAATGGCAAGACATTTTCCCAAAAATGTGTTCCCATCAGATATTGAAATTCCAAGTATGTAACTGAGCAACGCTCCGTTGCCTCACAGCTCTTAAAACAACCTCCCTCCAGCTAATCCCCTCCCAACTTGTCCCCTACCTCAAATCGTAGCCCAGGCCCGGGCCAGGAGCCAATCCCCTAATCCCGGGCATTTCAGAAACTCAATTCTGAGCGCGCCCCTGGCCCTGCCCGTCCCCGGCCCCGGCCCCATCCCCACCCCCATACCCCGAGGCGGGGAATGAGAGCTTCCCGGCTTGGCCTGAGGCTCTTTCTTATGTAAATGACCCGGCCGCGGTGAGCGCTCAGCCATAGGGAGCTGCGGAGCCAGGTGGGAACAGACAGGTCGAGGCTTAAGGAAAAAAAAGCTCGTTTTCGGAAGGACATAAATCTCAAGAATCTCAAGTAATCCAGGAACGCGGCGCGTTGGCCTCTCCGAGTAACTTTTAGGGCAAACCAGAAAGTAACAACCAAAGTCCTCCCCTTACTCAGAGGCAGATCCTGAGGACACGAGGCTGGGCGGTCCCGAGGCTGATTTGGAGGGGCGGGGGTTAATGGGGGACGCCCCTCGCCGAGCCTCAGTTCCGGGCGCCACAGTTCCGGGGAGGGGGCGCGGCGGGCGGAGTTCCTCTGCCCCTTTCCTACTCCTTCCCGGGTCAGCTTCTCCTCGAGCCCACCCCCGCAGGGCCGCGGGGAAGGAGAAGGGAACCGCTCGTCTCCTACACGCGGTCCGCGAGCGCGGACGGCCCCCGGCGGCCCCACGCGGCAGCGGAGCAGCCTCCCGCAGCCACGATTCTCTCCACGTGCTCTCGCCGGAACTCGCGCTGCAGAAGGGGGCTCCCTCCCACGTGGGCGCAGCAATCCCTGACTACCTGCGGGGTGACCCGCCCCTCCAGTAACAGGGAAAAAGGGACTGGGGGAGAGAGCGTGAGCGCGTGCCGGAGCTCAGGGAGGGAGGGCGCCCGGCGGAGCGCGACCTCGGCTCCCCGCCCGCGCGCACTCGCCGGCTGTGCTTAGCGGACGTGGCTCCTGGCGCCCAGGAGTGTCCCGGCTGCCCAAACTTTTTCCGCTCCCAGGCCCGGAGTAGGGAGGAAGCGGGTCCCCGCAGGGTCGAGGAAGAGACTGATGGAGGCCAGACCACTTTGCCAGAGCCCAGCCTGCCGCCCCGCCCGCGCTGACTTACCTTCTGCACTTGGTCATGGTTGAGCTCCGTGAAGAAGTAGGCAAGCAGATGCGAGGCAATCATCCTGCCGCGGCCCGACGGCGCAGAGTTGGGAAACCGAGGCGGAGACGCGAGAGGGGAGGCGGGCGGCGCGGTCCGACTGCTTTGTGCTGGGGCTCGGCTGCCGGGCCGGGAGCTGGGAGTCCGGACGGCGCACAAAGAAGGCTACCGGCGAGGGTGCGCCCGGCTGGCGGAGGGCGCGGGTCTCCGGAGACGTGATTTTGGCGTCACAACTGCTAGAAGGCGCCTCAGTTCTCTCCTGGCGACGTGTCCGGTTGTCCCACGTCAAGGCGCTAACTTCGGCCACAGGATCACTGAGGCTCAACTTGAGAAGAATCTCAGCCCGGCTCCACTCGGGCAGTGGGACCTCTCCGATTCACAGGCGCGTGGCTCGGGCCCGCGGATTTTCTTAGCTGGGTGACACGATGTTGCCAGCGGCAGCCCGGGACTCCTGCGCCGGAGTTTCATGCAACAATGTGGCTTATTGAGGGGCTGCCGGCCCGCGGGCCTCCGGATCAGTGACGTGCGCACGCCCATTGGCTGCGCGGGGAGGGTGTGTGCGCCCACGGACCGCCCGCCGCCGTGGCGCAGCCAATCATCGCTCACGGCTCGCGGGCGCGGCCGCTCAGACACCGGAGCCGGCAGCCTGGGGAGGCGCGCCGGGGGCGGGGGGCGGGGGAGGGGCGGGGCGCCTGAGATGGGACGTGTGGTCCGTGGCTAAAGGCTGGGACGGAAAGGCGCATGAGCCACCGCCGCGTCAGGCTCGGCTATGGGTGGGGGGAGCGTGATCGCGGACCCGGGGTGTGGGGCGACTGGAAAAACGGGCCTCTGGACCAGCACACGCCCTGTGCGGAGAGACACTGTCTGGCATCTCGGGATCATGTGAGGGGCTCCCACTGCCCAGTCACACGTCTAAAGCATCCTAGTTCTTACCTATTGTAGCACGGCCGGAAAGTGAGCCGCCTTAGCTGCTGATTGTACTAGAGCAGGCAATACAAGAGTCGGCCCATCCTCAAAACCACTGATAGGATGTGAGTTTCACTAACCCCGTTTTACAGATGAGGAAATTGAGGCAAGGCCAGGGCTCACACCTGTAATCCCAGCACTTTGGGAGTCCAAGGTTGGAGGGTTGCTTGAGACCAGGAGTTCATGACCAGCCTGGGCGACATAGTGAGACCCCCATCTTCCCAAATAAAAATAAATAAATCAGCCGGACATGGTGGCATGTGCCTGTAGTCCCTGCTGCTCAGAAGGCTAAGGTGGAAGGATAGCTTGAGCCCAGGAGTTCGAGGCTGCAGTGAGCTATGATCATACCACTGTACTCCAGCCTAGGTGACAGAGGGAGACCCTGTCTCAAAAAGAAAAGAGACTTACACGAGGTCACATAGCTAATAAGTGGCAGATAGGGAAGAGAACCCTTGTCCCTCTACTTTAAGGCCCTATTCGCTTGCCCCATTATCCCATGCTGCCTCTCTAAGAGCCAGAGAAGTAGGAGGTAGAAAAAGAGCATCTCTGCAGCTCTGGGACTGATGATGTGAATGAACTGGGTAGATGGTAAGTGTGTAACTGGGTGATCTTGGACATGGGATGGGGTGGGTGAGGAGGCTTACCAATGCTGAGAGGAGTGGAAGCTCCAACCCCAGCTAATGCTAGACACCAGACTCCAAATTTAAACACACAGTGGAAACTGGCAAGAATGAAATACTGACTTCAATACAGATTTCAAGAGACATGACATTAGCACTGGTGGAGAATGGCAAGCCTAAGGTTGGAAAAGGTTCAGGGAAGGAAGATGAAGGTCTGCCATGTTCTACTGAGGAGGAGTTTTTCAAACAGTGGGGTGCTGTCTGCAATGTGTACAGCCTTAAAATTATTATATAAGTAATCAATACTCATTGTTGAAAAATAATATATGGATAAACAGGAAAAATAAACAAAAATCATAATCCATCTAGCCTCTCAGCAAAACTTCCTTTTTTTTTTTTTTAAAGCAGGGACTCGATATGTTGCCCAGGCTGGTCTTGAACTCCTGGGCTCAAGCAGTCCTCCCACTTCAGCGTCCCAAATAGCTGGGATTACAGATGTGCTCAGCAAAACTTCTTGAGAACTATGTACCCTTCTAAATGCACGTCCTCAACCCTCCTTCCCTATACTCCACACAGAATTGAGCTCAAACTGCTTTTGTCATAGTCATCATAATGACCTACATGTTGCCAAATCTTGCATTCTCTTCTCTTCCCTGCCCTTGTCTTACTCCTTCTCTCAGGGATGTTGAGGACAGTTAATCACATCCTCCATCTGGACACACCTTCCTCTCTCAGTAAGAGCACCAGTGCTCCACTCTGAGGGTTTCTGGCTAACCTCACTCCCCAGGCTCCTGAGTCCCTGTTTGCTCTATTGGTAAATGCTGGGGTATTCGGGGCTGCCCTCCACCCTCTTCTCTGAACTAGTTACAGTTTCAAACTCCCTGAGGAGAAACTAACTTCCTAGCCCCATGACTGTTATATCATATGCATGCTGATGACTCACCATAGTAAATCTACAGCGAGGTCCTCTCCTGGAGTTGCAGGCTTATTTCTCCAGCTTGCCATTTGTCATCTCCACTGAAGTGACTAGCATATCACACTTAACATGTCCAAAGCTGAACTCAACTTTTTTTCCCAAATCTTTTTCTTTCCCAGTTGTCTCAGCAAATGGCATCGCCATCCACCCTAACTCGTCTTCGATTCCTTCTTGCCACTCACCCTCACAGCCAGTCAATCCATCAGCAAGCAGTTAATTCCACCTATAAAACAGACCGTGCATCTGACCACTTATCTCCATGCCCTTAGACACCTCCTGAGATCTTCCCACAGAATACTGCTTGGCATTCACACTAGCATGCTTTCCTCAAAAATACAAACTCTTTCTCACCCAAGGGTCTTTGCTCTTCCTTTTCCTTCTATCTAGAATATTCTTCTCCAGGCCTGTCTCCAACTCATTCTTCCTCCTCATTGACGTTCCACTCAGATACCTCCTCATGATGCAGGGCAGGCAGGCCCCAAAATTTGGACTTAGCCTGGGAAGATTTTTGGCTTCACCCAGTAAAGAATTCAAGGGATGCCGGGCGCGGTGGCTCACACCTGTAATCCCAGCACTTTGGGAGGCTGAGGTGGACGGATCACGAGGTCAGGAGATCGAGACCATCCTAGCTAACACGGTGAAACCCCATCTCTACTAAAAAAAAAAAAAATACAAAAAATTAGGCGTGGTGGCGGGCTCCTGTAGTCCCAGCTACTCGGGAGGCTGAGGCAGGAGAATGGCGTGAACCCGGGAGGCGGAGCTTGCAGTGAGCCGAGATCGCGCCACTGCACTCCAGCCTGGGCAACAGAAAGAGACTCCATTTCAAAAAAAAAAAAAAATTCAAGGGCAAGCAGGTGGCATTAGACAGCAGCTTATATTGAAGTGGCAGTGTACATCAGGAGCAGAGGCACTGGTCTTTGCAGAGCAGGGCTACCCCATAAGGCCGTGTGCCCAGAGTAGCAGCTCAGAGGCAGCTCTGCACTCATATTTCTACCCACTTTTAGTTAACATGCAAATTAAGGGGCAGGTTATACAGAAATTTCTAGAAAAAGGTTGGTAACGGGTTGTTGAGTCATTGCCATGGAAAGGGGCAGTGACTTCTAGGTGTTAAATCTGGAACTCTAATCTAGAGTCTGGTCCCGAGTCTTAGCCCCCACCTCCAGAGTCAAGTCCCCACCTTCTACCTCATCAGGCTTTCCTTGACCAGTTTATCTCAAATAGTTCCCCAAGTCACTATCACTTGGCCCTAGTTGATTTCCTATTTATTTTCGCTATGTTCTTCCTCTCCTCAATAGATGATAAGCTAAAAGACAGCAGGGTCTGTGTCTGTCATTCCTTCAAGTTTGCAGTGCCTAAAATGGTGCCTGACGCATGGCAGACATGCAATAAACATTTATTGAATGAATTCATAGAAGAATCTTAGAGATGACTACTGTTCACATGTTGTGTAACAATACACACACACATAGAGTTTATAGTTTTATATATTATTTCCCAAATCTTTTCCCATTTCTCTGTCTACCCTAGATCATATGCCCAGTTATCTCTCACCTGACTGGAACAGCCTCATAACTGGGCTTCCCTCTTCAGATATAGACACCATAAATATATAGACTTAGATATTTAACAAAGATTCTTTGTTTGTTTGTTGTTTGTTTTTTGTTTTTTTTAGATAGGGTCTTGCTCTATCGCCCAGGCTGGGGTGCAGTGGCACAATCTCGGCTCACTGCCACCTCCGCCTCCTGGGTTCAAGCGATTCTCCTGCCTCAGCCTCCCAAATAGCTGAAATTATAGGCACTCACCACCATGTCCAGCTAATTTTTATATTTTTAGTAGAGACAGGGTTTTGACATGTTGGCCAGGCTGGTCTCAAACTCCTAACCTCAAGTGATCGCCCATCTCAGCTTCCCAAAGTGCTGGGATTATAGACATGAGGCACCACACCTGGCCCCAAGATTCTCAAAGCAGGAAATTATACAATCGCGTTTGCTTTTTTAGGGCCATAACTGCCCTCCATGTGGATGGGGAGGGAAAGAGGTCAGAGACCAAAGGCAGAAAGAGGCAGAAGCTATAAGGTAAGACTAGGACCTAAGCCAAGATGAGAGTGGGGCAGGGAGGAAGGTTATGGGTTTAGGTATTGTGAAGTCAGAGGTGGAACTGATGGATTTGGCTGGGGTGGGTGAAGGAAAATGAAGAGGAGGATGCCTGCTGCCTAGAATCGGATGGAAATTCAATAGCCTGGTGCTACAAAATGTATTGTCTCCAGGCAGGTAGAACCAAAGCCAGTGGGGTTGGGTCAGCTATGATACTTTCTTCACACACTAGTTTTAATGCCTCTTCTCCACTCCCCTCTGTGGTCCCATTTCATGTGAACCGGATAATAATCATAAGGAACTTTAAGTACATGTTATCTCTTACAAAGTTCCCAGTAATCCTGGGAGGTGGTTGGAATCAGTATTGTTATAGGCCAGGCACAGTGGCTCATGCCTGTAATCCCAGCACTTTGAGAGGCCGAGGTGGGCGGATCATGAGATCAGGAGATCGAGACCATCCTGGCTAACACGGTGAAACCCCATCTCTACTAAAAATACAGAAAAAATAGCCGGGTATGGTGGTGGGCGCCTGTAGTCACAGCTACTCAGGAGGCTGAGGCCGGAGAATGGCGTGAACCCGGGAGGCGGAGCTTGCAGTGAGCAGAGATCATGCCACTGCACTTCAGCCTAGGGGACAGAGCGAGACAGGTCTCAAAAAAAAAAAATTGTTATTAACCCCAATTGATACACAACAAACGGAGGGGAGGCTACCCACATAAGGCTGACTTGTTTCTGTGGTTCTTCTGCCTCTGAACTCCATTCCTCAAGTTTATTATTTATTGAATCTCAGATCTCTCTTATACATACGTGCACATGTACACACATGCACACACAGAGATGTTGAAAATTGAAGAGACAGATGGTCATGTAATTTATATTCCACAGCCCTAGGAAGGAAATCAATCAGCAAAGATTAGTAAACCCTTACAGTGTTCAGGACACTCTCCTCAAAGTGAAATACAAAAAGAAACACAAAATGTGGGTCTTGCACCTGAGGGATTAACTGTTTAGTCAGAGATATAAACGAACACATGAAACAAATATTACAGAATAGAAAAGCCTATCATTAAGAGCCAAATATGTATCTGTCTTTATACATGGTGGAGTTCTGAAGGAGGAAGAGACAGAGCCACAGGCTAGAGTTGGCCAAGGGTGGTCTGACAGATGCAAATGCAGCTTCCTGATCTTAACACAAGGCTACTGCTGGTGCTGGTTCCACATATGACTGACCTTAGCCTAGCCATCAGGCTCCAGGGAGCTATATCCTGGGAAGAGACCACTTTGCCAAATGACCTCCAACTGCCAAATATTCCTTTTTCTAATTAGGATTTATCAAGTTTGCAGCATATCATAAGCGATGGTATTATGTAGAAAATTTTAAGACTGAGGGTGGACCTGCCCTGCATGTAAATACTCATGAGTCTATGCATCCTATTACATTTAATACTGTGCCCTATGTTTTATAGTTCAATTATAATGTATGTATTTGAGGGATTGGGAAAGAAAGAAAATGGAAAGCAGTTAGAAAAGTGGAAGCCACACAGATACACAACACCCCACTTTATCTGTCACAGTTGCAAACAAAACCCATTCAAGCTAATTTATACAGAAAATGAGTTTATTGAAGAATATTTAAGTCCCTTGCAGGCTCTTCAGGAGGGCCAGAGGATCAGGCTCAGAGGCTAACTGAGCCAAGAGTGATGCTCGAGTTATACCACTAAACTCTGCCAGGGGAGATGCTATTGCTATGGCTACTGGGCTGGCATCTCTGCCCACACTCCTGACACTGAACATGGGATGCTATTTAGCCTGGAGGTGCCACAGCCACCTTTGACAGCTGAATATCTGTCTCTCAGCACCCTTGATAAAAGGAATTCTGCATGGCACCTCCTATCTTATGGTATTTATTTCCAAATTGGCACTTTACAGCTGGTTGGCAGAGCTTGGATCACATTCCCATGCCCTCGCTGCAAGAGAATCTGGGAAAGTGGGCTCAGGGGGTGAGGAGCCATAATGCAGAAAAGTTCCAAAACATAAGAAAGATGTTCAAAGGGGCTGGCCAGTCCCAAAGCCTGACAAACCTCCACCACTCGCAACAGTCACTGAATGTGCTAAGTTTAAAATGCCCTTAGACAAACTGGCTTTATGACATCTGAAATATATCAGAAAGATTAAAAAATAAGACATCTGTACTGGATTGGAGTTAAATTCAGGGGAAAAGTAGTCAGGAGGCAAATCAGCACCAGGAAATCTGACTATAAATCAATTGACACGGAGCTGGATTATTTATGCTCTCCACACACAAGGTGTAACCCAGCACCTGTCCACAGATGCCGTCAGTGTCACAGAAGATAAGGAAAAGGCCACTGTGAAATGTTGCCAGGGAGTCCCATCCAAGGCCATCCCAAATGTGAGGCCTGTCATGCCTGATCTTCTCATCCTAATGGACATAGAGCCATAGGTATACCCCTCCAACAATCCGCATGAGAAGGGCATGGTGGCATGCTGAGGCTGGCATGGAAACACTGTGGTCTTGGGCCTTTCTGAGCCCTAGTTTCCGCATCAGCACAGTGGACATCATGATGTAGAATGGGCAAAATCTTTAGTTCAGAGCCTGGTACCTAGTAGATCCTGAATCTAGTTTCCTAAACACACTGCTTGTAATATCCAGTCCCCTATTCTATAAGAACTCAGTGATTAAAAGCCCAGGTGTCTGGATCACTTGAGGTCAGGAGTTCAAGACCAGCCTGGCCAACATGGTGAAGCCCCATCTCTACTAAAAATACAAAAATTAGCCGGGCATGGTGGCGGGTGCCTGTAATCCCAGCTCCTCGGGAGGCTGAGGCAGGAGAATTGCTGGAGCCCAGGAGGCAGAAGTTGCAGTGAGCTGAGATCATGCCACTGCATTCCAGCCTGGGCAACAGAGGGAGACTCTGTCTCAAAAGAATAGAAGAAAAAAAAGTCCAGGTGTCAAGACTAGCAAATGTGGAGTCTCAGGTACATGGGAGAGTGGTTTGTTCCAAATGGAAATGCAGTGCTCTGGTCTAGAGAGATAATTTCGTGGGGAATGGCAGGAAGGATGCTGGGCAAGTAGACAGGGCTCAGCTGAAAGGATGGGAGGTAATAGAATCCCATCAGTGCTTAAAGACATAGTATCTGGGCTGGAAGCAATGTGGAAGATAGATTAGTAAAGAGTGAAACCAGAGTCCTGAGAAAAGATGCTGGAGGCCTCTACTAGACTCATGGCAGAAGGACAGAGAAGAGGGGAAAGAAGTGAAGAAAATGTAAGAGGTAGCCTGAACGGGACACATGAAGTGATTGAGTGTGGAGAGACGTGGGAGAGAGTTGGAAGACTCCAAGACAACGCTTTTCAACCTTGACTGCTCTTTAGAACAGGCTGTACCAAGGGGAGTGAGTGGTTGGCCCTGGGTACAGGCAATGATGGGTGCCTTGCTGCAGAGAATTTATAAACAATAATAAAATCTTTACCCTGTCTGGTTTTTTTAATTATCACCATAGGCTGGCAATTTAAACAATATCAGTGACAAAATACTTCTTCCTGAATTACAGCCAGCTGACCCAGAGTATCCCTCCCTTCCTTTTTTTTTTTTTGTGAGACCGAGTCTCGCTCTGTCGCCCAGGCTGGAGTGCAGTGGTGTGATCTCAGCTCACTGCAAGCTCCGCCTCCCAGGTTCATGCCATTCTCCTGCCTCAGCCTCGCGAGTAGCTGGGACTACAGGCACCCGCCACCACGCCTGGCTAATTTTTTGTTTTTTTTGGTATTTTTAGTAGAGACGGGGTTTCACCATGATAGCCAGGATGGTCTTAATCTCCTAGCCTTGTGATCCATCCGCCTCAGCCTCCCAAAGTGCTGGGATTACAGGCGTGAGCCACAGCGCCCATCTTATCCCTCCCTTCCTGCTCCTTGTCCACTCACTGTATCAGAATCACCTGAAGAGCTTTTAATAATCCTGATGCCAAATTAATAATCAAAAGATATTAATGAGGGCTAGGTGCGGTTGCTGATGCTTATAATGTCAGCATTTTGGAAGGCCGAGGTGGGAAGACAACTTGAGGCCAATTGTTCAAGACCAAGCCTGGACAACATAGCAATACTCCCATCTCTACACCAAATTTAAAAATTAGCCAGGCATGGCGGTGTGCATCTGCAGTCCCAGCTACTCTAGAGGCTGAGGCCTCTGAGAGGATCGCTTGAGCCCAGGAGTTCAAGGCTGCAGTGAGCTATGATCGAGCCGCTTGCACACCAGACTGGGCGATAGAGTGAGACCCTGTCTTTTAAAAAAAATTTTTTTAAGATGTTAATGGCATATTTTCTTCTATTATAATAGTGGAAAAAATATTAAATTCCTGGGGACTTCCACTGTGCAATGAACTCAGAAGAAAACTAGAACAAATAGGGAGTCCCAACAGTACTTCATGAATTTCACCTCCTCTTAGGTTAATCTGTAAATTTTAAATGCAATCCACGTAAAAATAATGAACTTAAAAAGAAACCAGGCTGATTATAATGTTCCTATGGAAAAGTAAACAAGTAGGACTACCCCCAAAATTTCTGCAAACCATAGCAAGAAGCTTGCTCATTTGCTTTTTAAATATTAGACTGGTGATAAAAATAAATAAATAAATAAATAAATATTAGACTGCTGAAGCCATTTCTAAGACTAAAAACCTGTCACAAAAGACCCACAAAAGAGTCTCTATTAAGCAATGTCAAAAAACAATCTAGACAAAAATATATATCAGAAGCAAAAGGCTCATTTTCCTGCTGTATAAAAGAGCTTTTTCAAATTACTAAGAAAAAGAAATCCAACCCTTGGGTAAGGGACACATTAGAGAGTTAACAGAAAAGGAACAAATGTCTATTTGATATATGAAAAGATAATTAACATCACCCAGAATAATGATGAATGCAAATTTAAACCATATCGACATACCATTTTTTGCCCATCAGCTGAACAAAAATCAAATAATGACAACATACGTTACCATAGGGAAAGAGGCACTCTTTAAAGTAAACAGATTTCCCTAAGAGGAAATGAAATTCGTGAAGTACTGTTAACCTTCTCTACTTATTCTAGCCTTCTGAGTTCCTTGTACAGTTTAAGTTCCCAAGCATTGTGTCTTGTTCACTATTATAAGGGAAGAATACATTGTAGGTGGGAGAACACAGCCTCCATGAGGTCAGTTTGACACTATCAATTATAAGTACACCTGTCCTTTAACCCAGCAATCCGATTTTTCTTTTTTCTTTTTCTTTTTTTTTTTTAGACAGAGTTTTGCTCTTATTGCCCAGGCTGGAGTGTAGTGGGGCGATCTCAGCTCACTGTAACCTTCGCCTTCCAGGTTCAAGCAATTCTTCTGCCTCAGCCTCCCAAGTAGCTAGGATTACAGGCATGTGCCACCACGCCCAGCTAATTTTTATTTTTAGTAGAGATGGGGTTTCACCAGGTTGGCCAGGCTGGTCTTGAACTCCTGACCTCAGGTGATCCACCCGCCTCGGCGTCCCAAAGTGCTGGGATTACAGGCATGAGCCACCGCACCCAGCCAAATAAGAGAATATTTTGTAGACTCTTGTGCACTTGAACCTCAGAAGCTTCTTTTTTTTTTTTTCTTGAGACGGAGTCTCGCTCTGTCGCCCAGGCTGGAGTGCAGTGGCGCCATCTCTGCTCACTGCAAGCTCCGCCTTCCGGGTTCACACCGTCCTCCTGCCTCAGTCTCCTGAGTAGCTGGGACTACAGGCACCCACCACCACGCCTGGCTAATTTTTTTATATTTTTAGTAGAGATGGGGTTTAACCATGTTAGCCAGGATGGTCTCGATCTCCTGACCTCGTGATCCGCCTGCCTCGGCCTCCCAAAGTGCTGGGATTACAGGGTTGAGCCACTGCACCCAGCCTCCATTTTTCTTATAGGTACACCCATACATGCTGTGTAAGGTTATTCATTGCAACATCCTTTGCCATAGAAAGACTGAGACCATGCTAAATGCTATCATGTGGGGACTGGTTAGGTAGCTTACAGCATACTCACAAAATTAACTTGCCATCACATTAAATAAAAATAAGCTCTCAAAATATTAATATAGAATGATCTATAAAATACAGTTAAGTTTAAAAAGGGGATGTAGAACAATGTGCATAGGAAGTCATCATTGGTATATACAGAGTAACTGAAAATAAAATAAACATATACCTGTGTATAGTCATAAACTATCTTCTAGGTGGAAGAATTAGGGGACTGGGAGACAGGCATGGGAGAGAGATCTTATTGTATAGCCTTGTATGAGTCACAAGTATTATCTCTTCACATACACACACACAAAATTGAAGTAAATTAAGAAAAGGACCTACTGGTATGAAGGCAGCACAATTGAGTAGAAAGGACGAGAGTAGTAAAGACATCTGAATCCACAAAAATTATAATTTAAAAATTGAAAAAGATTATATCCAGGCCACACCCCAGTCCAATACATAAGTAACTCTGTGGGTGGGACCAAGGCATCAATATTTTTAAAGCTCCCCAGGCAATTCCAAAGTGCAGCCAGTGGTAAAAACCAGGACTCTCACATGACTGTGAGTGTTTTGGTTTCAGAGTTTGGGAGATCTGTTGAGTTAGTGTCAGTCTTAGCATCTAAATCTGAGTCCTCCACCCCCTAAGCACTAGTTTGATCCCTTTGTATTTCTCTGAGCCCATATCTCTTCCTGCATAAGTAGCATCTGCTTCTCATCTTCGTAGCTGCCTCATCCCTCCCCTCCAGACAGTGGGAGCTCAGTTTCCTTCTTATGAACTTGCCAAAACCCAAGTTAATTTCCTAATCTCCTGTCACTTTACAGATGGGCAATGTATTCCTTCTAATTAGAAAGGTACTTGTCCCAGCAGGAATGAGCCAGGGCCCTGTTTCTGGCAGCTCCAGCAGGACCTCTCTCTGTGACACTTCTTTTCAATGACTTCAGTTAGAATGTCACTTCTGATGCAAGTAACAGGACACTTTGCCTCTAACAATAAGGATATTTGTTGTTTCAGATAAAAAGCTGCCCAGCAGTGGGCCAGGCTCCAGGCCAGGCTCCAGGCTGGTGCATCAGGGCTCTGGCCCTGCTTCTCAGAGAATCTCTTGGCTCTGCCTCCCTCTGAGTTGGCTTCATCTTCAAACCGGTGCTAAGACGACTGCAGTGTGACCAGGTTTCGAATGTAAACAACAAGATCCAGAGAAAGAGAAGGACACAATCTCCTCCTGAGTCTCTTTCTTATAAGGAAAAAAAAAAATGTTTCCTGAAACCCCTCAGCAGCTTTCTTTCCCCTTAATCTCATTAGCCAAATTGTCACATACCCATTTTTAAACCAGTTACCTGGAAAGAGGAAAAGGATTACCATGCTGGGCTTATACCAGTGGCTCTCAACTGGGTGGGAGTTTGACTCCCAGGAACAATTTGACAATATCTGGAGGCATTTTGGGCTGTTAAACTGCACTAGGGCATGCCCCTGGCAGGGATGCTATTAAACATCCTCTAATACCTACTATAGCCCCCACAACAAAGAATTATCCAGCTCAGAATGTCAACAGTGCTGAGACTGAAACACCCTGGATTAGACTAATCAGGACCTACCCCGAGAGCTGAGGATGGGGTCACCTTCCCCTTAGTGATCTGATGGATCCCAAACAATATTAGGGTTTTTTTTTTAGAGAGAAGAAGGGGTGTAGTAGACAGCCAGCAATGTCCCCCATGTCAGTGCTTCACAGTTGCTGAGGTTCAGCATCTGCCTCCTTCAGGGTAACCCAGACAGACAGTTTAGAAATTGGTGGTTAATTACAATAGATTATATGGCTCTATCATCCCAGAACCCAGTGAGGCTAACATTCTTTATTTAATATTTATACTTCTGCAGAACGAGAAGGCTGTCACTCAAAATGGCCTTGAGACACTTACTTATTGGCCAGTCTGAGAACATTACAAAATTGCTTCTCTAAATCTTATCAGAGAGCAAAGCATGACATCACTATTGGTAGAATTTAGCCAGCAAGGAAAATGTGGGGTTGGCTGCTCCCATTTGCAACATTGTTTGGTATCCCAAGGGGACATGGGAGCCCAGGGAGTTAAGATTAAAGTATCAGCTGAAACACCCAAAAGAACAATATGTCCCTGTTCTTTTTTTTTTTTTCTGCAACAGTTACTTATCCACTATCTCTTTAGACTGAAAACAAAATCATTAATTATAGAGACCAGCTTTTTAGGGCAAAGATCAGGGTTGACATGCCCTCCTAGGAATTGTGTATGCATGTGTGTGTTACTGATTGCTAAGCCTTTGGCAAGGCCTTGAGGACTAACTCATGCCTATAGAACAGGTGCAGACAGCTGGTGTCACCAGGACTCAACCACTGCCCAGTGGACATCAGCTGATTCTGAGCCAACATGACTTCATCCCAGAGTTCTGTCCTAACATTTAAAGTCAGGTTAATTCACCCTATGTCTCATATCCCTAAAAGCTATAGTCACTACCTGTAGTAATCATTAGTTCTATTCACCAAATATTTCTAGTCTTCTCTCTAAGTTCATGGTAGGATTGCATAATCATATCCCTTTATAGTTAGATAAAGTCATGTGACTTGCTTTGGCCAATGAAAAATTGAGCAAGTGCACACAAAAAGTTGAGCTTTGGCTATCGTGGAAGCACAGAGAGAGAGCCTTTGTCATCCTGGATCCCTAAGTGAGGACAACATGGAAGAGAGTCCCCATCCACCTGCAACGGACAAGTAGCAAGAAACCCTTTTAATTTTAAGCCACTGAGATTTGAGGTCATTTGTTAACTCAGTATAACCTATTTTATCCTGACTGATACAATACCTGAAATGCTGGTTCTCCTTCAGTCATCTGCCTCCTCCTACATCTCCTCCTTGTATTGCCCCATTTTTGCTCTCCTCTATCTAATTTCCTACTACTCTTTTCATATCCCAACATTTGGAGTTTTACATTTTGACTTTTAATTTTTTAAAAGACCTCAGATGTAAGTGGTTCACTATTCTTTAATGCATAGCACACTGTCATCTGCCCAGGGAGGGCCCCTCTATTTGTAGTTTATTTCTTTTCATTTTTTTTCTTTTTACCCTTCAACCCTGATACCTGTACCCTTTTTTCTCCCTAGCCCTTGTCATAGGCTAGAATTCTAATATGTTTCAAGTAGGTCTTTAAATAGACATTTATTCAGGCTGGGTGCAGTGGCTCACACCTGCAATCCCAGCACTTTGGGAGGATGAGGTAGGTGGATTGCTTGAGCCCAGGCTAGTTTGAGACATAGGGAGACCCTATTTCTACAAAAAATACAAAAATTGGCAGGACATGGTGGTGCATGCCTGTAATCCCAGCTACTCAGGAGGCTGAGGTGGGAGGACCACTTGAGCCAGGGAGGTTGAGGCTGCAGAGAGAAGTGATCACACCACTGCACTCCAGCCTGGGTGAGAGCCAGACTCTGTCTCAAAACTGTATTCAAGGCTGGGGCGGTGGCTTATGCCTGTAATCCCAGCACTTTGGGAGGCCAAGGCGAGCAGATCACTTGAGGCCAAAAGTTCGAGACCAGGCTGGCCAACATGGTGAAACTCCGTCTCTGCTAAAAATACAAAAATTAACTGGGTGTGGTGGTGCGTGCCTGTAATCCCAACTACTCGGAAGGCTGAGGCAGGAGAATCGCTTGAACCTAGGAGGCGGAAGTTGCAGTGAGCC
This sequence comes from Homo sapiens, assembly GCF_000001405.40. Taxonomy (NCBI): domain Eukaryota; kingdom Metazoa; phylum Chordata; class Mammalia; order Primates; family Hominidae; genus Homo; species Homo sapiens. The sequence goes on along the minus strand of NC_000002.12, from coordinate 74,820,216 downwards.
AAGATCAGGCCACTGCACTCCAGCCTGGGAGACAAAGGAAGACTCCATCTCAAAAAACAAACAAACAAAAAAACTATATTCAAGTATTCAAGCTCATAAAATAAAAATAAATAAATAAATAAAAGAGAGATCTTCCTATGAGGTCTTGTGACATGGCTTCTGATGAAATGGCTGAGATTCTTGTCTCCCATATACACATATCAGTATAATATCTCTTAGTATTTGAACCAGCCTCAGTGAGTCTGTTTCTTGAAACTAAAAGAATCCAAAGAACACATTACCTCACAGGATGGTTGTGGGGCTTAACTGAGAGCAGGATGTGGTGTCTAGACATCTCAGACCAGTGTTCCTTAAAAGTATCAGGACCTGTTTTATAGTAGTTGGCACTGAGCTGAATGAAGAGTTATTTAGGCCAGAATTAATGATTCAGTCTCCATATAGCCCTCTGTTAGCTTTGCCAGATACCAACACCATCCCCAATGCTAGCCTAAAAACTGTTGTAACACCTTTGACATAACAGTAGAGGTTAAAGAGTTTAACACATGACACCAGACATGATTAGACAGACTAGTGGACAGAATAAAAAGCCCAGAGCCATGTAGTGGCTTAGTATACGATAAAGTTTTGGTTTTTCAAGTCATCAGGGAAAAGATGGATTAACCAGTAAATGGTGTTGGAACATCAGGAACATCAGGGTGACCATCTGGGAAGAAAAATTTATTTTGGATTCCTATCTTATTGGTTACAACAAGATAAATTACAGGTGGAGCAAAGATTTATGTGTAAAAAATCAAATTATTAGAAAAAATCATGGGAGAATGTACGTAATACCCTGTAATTAAAGCTTTCCTAAGTATCACACAAAAACCCAGATGCCTTAAAAGAAAGCTGAATTGAATTACATTAAAATTTTTTTAATTACTCAAGACAAGCCCACCATAAACAAACTTCCTGAAAATATAAATAACTTTTACAAATCAATAAGGAAAAAATTATTGTTCCATTTGAAAAAATAGGCAGATTATGAAGCGTTCATAGAAAAGGAAATATAAATGCTCAAAATCAAGCTTGTCCAACTCACGGCTCACAAGCCACATGTGGCCTAGGACAGCTTTGAATGTGGCCCAACACAAATCCATAAACTTTCTTAAAACATTATGAGATTTTTTTTTTTTTGAGATGGAGTTTCGCTCTTGTTGCCCAGGATGGAGTGCAATGGCGTGATCTCGGCTCACTGCAACCTCCACCTCCCAGGTTCAAGCAATTCTCCTGCCTCAGCCTCCCGAGTAGCTGGGATTACAGGCCTGCACCACCACGCCTGGCTAATTTTGTATTTTTAGTAGAGACGGGGTTCCTCCATGTTAAGGCTGGTCTTGAACTCCTGACTTCAGGTGTTCCGCCCGTCTCGGCCTCCCAAAGTGCTGGGATTACAGGCGTGAGCCACTGCGCCCGGCCAACATTATGAGATTTTTTTGTGATTTTTGTTTTGTTTTTCAGTTCATCAGCTATTGTTGGTGTTAGCGTATTTTCTGTGTGGCCCAAGACAATTCTTCTTCTTCCAATGTGGCCCAGGGAAGCCAAAAGATTGGACACCCCTGCTCTAAACATACAAATATATGCTTGTGGTCAAATAAAATGCGGCCGGGCGCAGTGGCTCATGCCTGTAATACCAGCACTTTGTGAGGCCGAGGTGGGCGGTCACAAGGTCAGGAGGTCAAGATCATCCTGGCTAACACGGTGAAACCCCATCTCTACTAAAAATACAGAAAAAAATAGCCTGGCGTGGTGGCGGTTGCCTGTAGTCCCAGCTACTCAGGAGGCTGAGACAGGAGAATGGCGTGAACCCGGGAGGCGGAGCCTGCAGTGAGCCGAGATCGTGCCACTGCACTCCAGCCTGGGAGACAGAGCCAGACTCCATCTCAAAAAAAAAAAAAAAAAAAAGCAAATTAAAATTATAATAACTGCATTTTTCAGTTCACAGATTAGCAAAATAGAAAAATTTTGTAAACTATACTGACAAAGATGTATAGAACAAGCATGGTCATAAATTACTCCAGATGGCAATTCAACAATCTCTATCAAATTAAAAATGAATGTATTTATACCCCTTGATTTTGAGGAATTTATTCATAAATATATTGTAATATATGTGTGAAATTTCATGCCATTTTCTTAATGTAAATTATGATTTGTCCAAAAAATGAAATACTATGTAGCTATAAAAACTTAGAACACTTTTTTGAGGCCAGGCACAGTGGCTCAAGCCTATAATCCCAGCACTTTGGGAGGCTGAGGCGGGCAGATCACTTGAGGCCAGGAGTTCGAGACCAGCCTGGCCAACATGGTGAAACTTCATCTCTACTAAAAATACAAAAATTAGCTGGGCATGGTGGCACGTGCCCTTAGTTCCAGCTACTCAGGAGGCTGAGGCAGGAGAATCACTTGGACCCGGGAGGCAGAGGTTGCAGTAAGCCGAGATTGAGCCATTGCACTCTAGCCTGGGTGACAGAGCAAGACTCCATCTTGAAAAGAAAAAAAAAAAAGTTAGAACACTTTTGGATTCCTGATGCAGAACATATTGTTCAGAGAACAGAGCAAGGTGCAGAACAATGGAAGAGTGGGAGGAGGGGAAGGAAAGTGCACTTATATGCATGTTTGTAAATGCACAGGATCTTCAGAATGTTATGCAAGAAACTTGCTAAGGGGAAGTGGGGCGGTGTGGACATAGAAGGGAAATTTAACATTTCATGTCTACCTTTCACACCCATTGAAGTTTATAGTATGTGCATCATGATAACATGTAATGACATTTTGAATAAAAGTATATACACATAATGCTACCAGTAGTTTTTCCAACAGTAACTTGATATCCACTGACTGATGGTTTTAATTTCTGTTGACTATATGTACAACCAAAAAAAGAGAAGTTTAAAAAGGAAGCAGAAAGAGACCACAGAGAAAGGGATCTGTTTTTATTCTGGGCTATGGTTTTTCTGGGCGCTTTGTGATAAAGTAATGCCTGCCTTTTTAAATCACAGGAGCATGAGAAATGGCTCTCCCTCCCTCTAGAGAGAGAGCTACGTGCAGCCTCAGAGAGTGAGGATCAGGGAGCAAAGATAACAGACTGATCGGTGGGAGCCTGTGCTGGTCAGCAGGGCCAGGCAGGTGGCTGGGGCTCTCTAGCCAAGACTGTCCGAAAGACCCGAAGGAAAGACATGAGAATGGGGCGGTTGATTCAGCAGTGGTGACCCAAGTCAAGGGCTAGAATGCCTGAGATCCCTCTGGAATACAGGGGCCAAAAAGAAAGGGCAGCCTCCTGGGCATGGAGAAAGGAGAAGCAAAAGAATAAATAAATAGTGAAGGCAGAGCACAGAAGCTTGAAAGGGCAAAGAATACCAGGATATGGAGTGGAAGTGTGGGAGGAGGGAGAGAAGCATAGAATACTGATCTCTCTTCATTTGTGTCTGGTGATTGTAGCAAGAGATAAGGCCTTTAACTCGGACCACATAGGTTGAGTTCACAGTTGGGGTAATCCTGGTGTGTTAATATTTACCCTCACTTAAAGAGCTATCAGCACACAGTTCTAAGAGCCTGGGCAGATGGGACTCTCAGAGAAGCACCAGCATGCCATGCCCTCAAGCCTGGAGTTTGCTCAGTATTGGTGTCATATTTTTGCTTAATTCACTCTCACCCAGCCCTGTTAGACCCTGTTCCCCTTGCCCTGTGGGTTTTCCTTACTTCATTCATTCCACAAGAATTTACAGAACACCGATTTACACCAAGCACTGTATCAAGCCCATAGATATACAGTGGTTAACATGTCAAGTGTGATCCTTACCTGAAGGAAGCTTACAGTCTAAGGAGGCATGAGAGATTTAAAAAGTAAATACCCAAATAAATATGTATTACAAGTTGTGTTACAGGCTATGAGGGAAAAAAAATGTGGTCTCTGAGAGTGAGAAGCTGGCAGCTGATTTTAGGTTGTGTGGTCAGGAAAGAGGGCTGCCTTGATGGACAGCTCTAAGGGACATTGTTCATGAAAATACAATGTGCATGACATGCCTCAGTGCCAGGCAGAGTGGGGGCCAGAAAGCCTTGCAGGAGAGGGAACCACATGCTCACAGGCACTGAAGCAGGAAATATCTTGGCAAGAACATGCCTCTGTGAGAAGTAGAGCAGGGCCAGCATAGATGAAGGGGGCGTGAGATGAACCTCAGCTCCAGGGAGAATCTGAAAGGCTATGAGAGGAAGGTGGGATTTTTATTCCAAGTTCAATGGGAAGCCTCTAAAGGGTACTAAGCAGGTCAGTGGCATGGTTCAGTGTGTGTGTGTGTGTGTGTGTGTGTGTGTGTGTGTGTGTATACATGTCATATGCCACATAATGATATTTCAGTCAACAATAGACCGCATATACAACAGCAGTCTCATAAGATTATAATATCATATTTTTACTGTACCTTATCTATGTTTAGATACACAAATACTATTGTACTCCAATTGCCTACAGTACTCAATAGAGTACCATGCTGTACAGGTTTGTAGCCTAGGAGCAATAGGCTATACCATACAGCCTAGGTGTGTAGTAGGCTCTACCATCTAGGTTTGTGTAAGAACACTCAATGATGTTCCCATAATGACAAAATCACCTAATGACGCATTTCTCAGGACATATTTTCATTGTTAAGAGACATGTTGACTGTGTATATATACAGCATTCCTAGGTATCTTCAAGGAATTGCTTCCAGAACTCCCCAGGGACACCAAAATACTCAAATTCCTGATATAAAATGGCATAGTTTTGGCATATAACCTACACACATCCTCCCATATACTTTAAATCATCCCTAGATTACTCCTAATACCTCATACAATGTAAATGCTATGCAAACAGTTGTACTGTATTGGTTTTTTAATTTGCATTATTTTTATTGTTGTATTGTTATTTTTAATTTTTTTCAAATATTTCTGATCCGCAGTTGGTTGAATTTCTGAATGCAGAATCTGCAAATACAGAGGGGTGATATTTTAATCACTCAGGCTGTTGTCTGGAACAAGGATTGGAAAAGAGCAGAAGGGGAACTGGTCAACCAGTTAGGAGGCCACTGAGCCAAACAGGCAAAAGATGATTGTGGTCTGGCAAACGATGATGGCTGTAGAGAGGGAGAAAAGCGGGTGGAGTCAAGACATGTTTTGGAGATAGAACTGACAGCACTTGCTGGTGGATTGGATATGAAGGATGAAGAGCGACTCCAGGTTCCTGACTTAAGCAAGTGAGAAGTACCCTTTATTGAGACAGAAATATGGGGAAGAATGGATTTGATGGATAGATCTGGAGTTCCATTTCAGACATGCTAAACTGAAATGCCTGTGATAACTCAAGCGGAGATCACAAGTGGACAGTTACATGAGTTTCTGTTCATATCAGAAATCTGGCTGCAGGTAAAATTTGGGAGTTGTCAAGTTCACTTATATTTAGAGGCATGGGAAAGGATGAGATCCTCTACTGAAGGGGTGTGGACAAAGAAGCTTTCATTCCTAATGTGCTTGAACTTTTTTAGTCTCTCATACATTGTGGACCACACTATAGAATGTTTTCCTGCAGCAGCTGGGAGCAAGTCTTCACCTTTGTCTTTGACAGTACCGACAGCGAAGCTACCTTTCTCTCCTCACCAGCAGATGTCTGCCTAACTTGATGCTTATAGAGTGCTGGGCTAGAGCACAGTGCCTCTTCTCCAGGGTCTCAGATCTTCTGCATGTGGGATTTACTTTCCACCTCTTTAACTCTAATCCTAGGTCTGTTTACACATTGATTAAAAGGTCCTTAAATTGTTTTAGGACATAAAGATGTTTTTCTATTTCAAGGATGGCTTGGAAATAGAGATGAGCATACAAGGGAATGTGAGAGCATGCAGGATCTGTTTATTCTTCTCAACTCTTCTGTTTGTTTGAGTCCCAGTGTATGCTGGGTTTGATAACCAGGACTCAAGGAGAACTGAACCACCGACAGCTTTGTTTACTAAGGGTATACCAACATCCCTCTGTGGATCTGACATTTATATGCCTTATAGAGAAGATTTGGTTGGGTTTTTCTGTCCCATCCGATGTGGATCACCTGTACTAAGAGCTAAATTTTTCTCCAAGCCACCTCACAATGGGTTGAGCTCCATGATGTCCAATCTATACCCAGTCGCCTTTGGTTTGGGTAATGATCCCTGGTTCAATCAGTTATTGCAGCAGAAGCAAAGTTAGTTTCACTTGATATACAAGGCGGGTCCACTGCAATAAGACGCAGCCTCTGCTGGAGACCTCTAGACTCAGAAGCGGGTAAGGGGATCCCCTTTAGAGATCTGGCTCAAAGGAACTACAGTTCCTCGTCCCATCTGCAGAGCTGTTTTGACAAAACTCATCATATCTGTAGGTTCCAGAGTGTGACTCTTCAGTGTGGTGAGATTATAAAGTAACAAGACTGGTAGCTTAGAAGAACCCGCAAGATATGGAAGTACTTTCTTCAATTGCCTCATTAAATCTTTCACCATGATGTGTTGGCTGCTCTATTTTACAACTGCTTTCTGCAAAGCTCTATATGCATTTTATTTCTTTCAAACTTGAGAAAATTATTTAGGAGAGTTTCTGAACGTTCCTCATAGACCTCTTAATTTTGAGTTTAGCAATTTGGTCCAAGTAAATAGGATTGGTTCAGTTTTACAAAATTTCAAGCTACTAAAGAAGCTGAGAGCTTTGAGGTAAGAAGAATCAAAGTAACTTAAAGGCATGGTCAGTGAAAAATCATTAAACTAGCCATGCATAGACAAGTAGAACTTCCCTTCAGGGTAGAACTTCAGATACCTAGTGGTCAGATATCTGAGACACTTCAAAGAATTCCAGTGTGAGAGAAGACTTGACCTTTTAGGTCAACTGGAAAAGTCATCTAGTATGATGGGTTCCACGGAGGAAAAAGATATGGAGTGAAAGAAATGTGTCTTCTCTTCAGCTCAGCATTATCAGAGCCTTGTCATGTTAGGAGACAATTCTTCACAGGTCTCTGGCATTTGTGCATATCTTAGAGTCGGAGCACTCCCTGCCTCTATTTCAGACTATCTTTTCAAGGATGTCTGTGCAGCTAACAGCCCTGGAAGGTATAGTGTCTCCCTCCAGGGCAGGGTCAGGTTTGTTTACGCCCAGTATTAACAAAGATAGTATCTTTTTTCAGGGCAAAGTTCAGGTAGGCTTATTGTCTGTCACAAAACATTTTGTTTTTCTGAGACAGGGTCTCCCTCTGTCACCCAGGCTGGAGTGCAGTGGTGCAATCTCAGCTGACTGCAACCTCGACCTCCCCGGCTCAAGCCGTCCTCCTACCTTAGCCACCCAGGTAGCTGGGACCATAGGTGCATGCTACCACCCCTGACTATTTTTGTATTTTTTGTAGAGATGGGGTTTCATCATGTTGCCCAGGCTGCCTCCAACTTCTGGGCTCAAGCAATTCTCCCACCTCAGCCTCCCAAAGTGCTGGGATTCCAGATGTGAGCCACCGCACCTGGCCCATCACAAAAGATTTGAGTTCACTAAGCCTGGAATTCCTCTCTTATAATGTAACCCACAACAAGTGCAAGAATTACCTGGGTCTTTTGTCACCCTGTGGAAATTGAGGTTTGAGGAACCAATGCAAAAATAGGGATACTAGGCTGCTGCTATTACTTAAGTACTAACCTGTTCTTTGCCTCTGACCCAGGAGTCTTCTGTCTTCTGTTGGCATCTGTGAGTCAGGCTTGTTAGCTTGCAAGTACAGCAAAATCTCAAATCCTTCACAATTCTCGACAGTCAGGGATCTGTATAGGTCATTTTAGCCCAGGACTCAAGCTTATTTTTGTTAGCAATACCAAGAACTGTGTCACATAGACACATGGACACACAGGGGGGAACAACGCACACTGGGGCCTACTGGAGGGCAGAGGGTGGGAGAAAGGAGAGGATCAGGAAAAATAGCTAATGGATACTAGGCTCAATACCTGGCCGATGACATAATCTGTACAACAAACTCCCTTAACACACATTTACCTATGTAAAAAGCCTGCACATCCTGCACATGTACCCCTGAACTTAAAATAAAAATTAAAAAAGAAAAGGCACTGTGTTGGAACTTTCAAACAAAACTTTTCTGACAGCCCAGATAGAAGAGTTGTTTTACTTCTGATTCTCAGACTGCATGGACACATGCACAGTATTGTACTTTTTGTAAGACTCAAAATTCAAATCTTCTTCCAAAAGTTCCTCCAAAAAGTCTCAGCACTGAACAAAGTTTAGGGGACAGGCAGTACTGTCCATCCGTAGCAGAGGCCACACAACTGGACCAGATGTTTTCAAGTTCTCCTCCCTGATGGCAGCCAAGAACCTCACCCCACAACCACCATCAAGGGCTCTGCTTTCTCTTTCCTGGCTGGGATTGGGCTCTTCCCCTCTCCTCCCTGTTGCTTCTCCCTCCTAAACCCTTCAAATCCATCTCGCTCCCTTCTTCTCCACCATCCACACCTTCATCATCTCTTTCTAACCTGCCTCTAGCCTTCAGCTTCTCTCCTGTCAATCAGATCCTACACTGCCATCAGAGTTTACAACTTCCTTGAATCCCCATTGCTTTCAGCAGTTTTTGAACCAAGCAAACTTGATGGCTGCTGGTTTCTGTTTGATATTTTGAACTTCTGCTAAGATTATTTTGAAAAAAAAACAGGGGGGCAGGTGCCACTGCTTTAAAACTTTTTGGAAAAACACTAGTAACCTGAAGGATAAACTTCAAAGCCTTTAGCTTATTGTTCAAAGCTCTTTATAATATTGCCCCATCCCTGATCTTGCTCCCTCCCTCAAAATCCCTACACTTCAGCTGCTCTTCCTACACCCACATCACCATCTTACACACCTAAAATTTTGCCACACTCCTGTTTTGATCAAGCCTTACTGCCCACGGGATGAAGTCCAAGTTACTTCAGCTGGTGTTTATCACTCTCCCAGTTCCACCCTGCCCTAGCCTCCTTCCTGATGCAAACTCTTCTATCCAGCAAATTTGATTTCTTCCCAGGGTAGTGGAAACTGGGCTCCTCTGAGCCTTCTTTGAACCTTTGCTTACATATGGCTGCACCCTTTCTCTATTGTCCCTCCCCTTCACCCTGGTCTACTCCCATCTTCCACCCCAGACACAAGACATATACAACTACAATGGACAAAACCATCTCGGATCACTCCAGCCTATGCAGAATGCTCTGTGTGTGTGTGTGTGTGTGTGTGTGTGTGTGTGTGTGTGTGTCCAGCCTATCTGTTAACTCCTTGAAGGCAGAAACACCACACTCTTCTTCATACTCCATCCCCCCTCCCCAACACCCACACACATGCTCAGTACCTGGCAATAGCAGACTCCCAGTAAATATAGGTTGCTTCATGGATCTCAAGAATCTTTCCTGTGGCTCTCCCCACTTTTCCCACTTGAGTAACACAAATTCCTGATGCACCATGCTCTCTCTGATTCGACTCATGCTGTGTGCTACCCCATCGTCCCATTCTCAACCTGGAATGCACTGTCCTCTTCCCCCTTCATGAGCATTTCTACTTATTCTTTAGATGCAGTTCAGTGTCACCTTTTTGTCTAAACCAAGTTCTGTGTCATCCTAGACAACTTTAGTCATGAGGTTGGTTCATTCTGCGTCTGGATTCAGACATAAGCTCCTTGATCTTATGGTTCATTTCATAGACTTATATCAAATTTTGTAGCTCCCCCCAAAAAAAAGATAACACCCCACTCACCTCCAGGAGCCTTTCCACCATTGCTCTTATCATCTTGTATTATTATTGTCTGCTTCTTTGACCACCTTCTTCTAAAAGATGAGGAGCTTCTTGGGGGAAAGGACTAGGTTTTATCCAACTTTGTGCTCTCAACACATCACATATTCTATGTGCTTAATAAATACTTCTTAATAAAAATGTGAATTTTTTCAGCTACTCAACTAGGATAGTTAATTTTATGTTATTAATTTTTTTTTTTTTTGAGACGGAATCTCGCTCTGTCGCTCAGGCTGGAGTGCAGTGGCGTGATCTCGGCTCACTGCAAACTCCGCCCCCACCAGGTTCATGCCATTCTCCTGCTTCAGCCTCCCAAGTAGCTGGGACTACAGGCGCCCTCCACCACGCCCGGCTAATTTTTTGTATTTTTTTTAGTAGAGACAGGGTTTCACCGTGTTAGCCAGGATGGTCTTGATCTCCCGACCTCATGATCTACCCACCTCGGCCTCCCAAAGTGCTGGGATTACAGGCGTGAGCCACTGCGCCCGGCCTTATGTTATTAAATTTTAAGGACTTTATCTAATTGGATGAAGCCCACTGCATAATGAAAGGTAATCTGCTTTACTCAAAGTCTACTGATTTAAGTGATAATCACATTTAAAAGAATAGTTTGTCTGGCCGGGCGAGGTGGCTCACGCCTATAATCCCAGCACTTTGGGAGGCTGAGGCGGGCGGATTACCTGAGGTCGGGAGTTTGAGACCAGCCTGACCAAATGAAGAAACCCCGTCTCTACTAAAAATACAAAATTAGCCAGGCTTGGTGGCACATGCCTGTAATCTCAGCTACTCGGGAGGCTGAAGCAGGAGAATCACTTGAACCTCGGAGGCGGAGGCTGTGGTGAGCTGAGATTGTGCCATTGCACTCTAGCCTGGGCAACAAGAGCGAAACTCCATCTCAGAAAAAAAAAAAAAGAATAGTTTGTCCAAACATCTTTAGCCTAATGAAGCTGAAACAGAGACTTCAAACCAAAAACCAAACATATTATTTATTTATGCAAGTAATACATGTTCATTGAGAAAAAGCTAGAAGACATAGATTTTTTAAAAGCTATAACCTTATAATCTAGAACAATTACTGTAAATATTTTTATATTTGTCCTTTCAGATACTTTAAATGCATATGTAGTGTATGGTTACAGTTTTCCTTTTTTTTTTTGAGACAGAGTCTTGCTCTTGTCACCCACACTGGAGTGCAATAGCACGATCTCGGCTCACCACAACCTCTGCCTCCCAAGTTCAAGAGATTCTCCTGCCTCAGCCTCCCAAGTAGTTGGAATTACAGGCATGTGCCGCTACACCCAGCTAATTTTTCCATTTTTAGTAGAGATAGGGTTTCACCATGTTGGTCATGCTAGTCTAGAACTCCTGACCTCAGATGATCCGCCCACCTGGGCCTCCCAAAGTCTTGGGATTACAGGCGTGAGCCACCGTGCCCAGCCACAGTTGTACTTTTATAGCAAACTGGTAGCACACTATCCTTACTGGTTTGTAACCTACTTTTAAAATTTATTAATAGGCCGGGTGCGGTGGCTCACGCCTATAATCCCAGCACTTTGGGAGGCCGAGGCAGGCAGATCACGAGGTCAGGAGATCAAGACCATCCTGGCTAACACAGTGAAACCTCGTCTCTACTAAAAATACAAAAAAAATTAGCCGGGCGTGGTGGTAGGCGCCTGTAGTCCCAGCTACTTGGGAGGCTGAGGCAGGAGAATGGCGTGAACCCGGGAGGCGGAGCTTGCAGTGAGCCGAGACGGCACCGCTGCACTCCAGCCTGAGTGCAGAGACACTGTCTCAGAAAAAATAAAATAAAATAAAATTTATTAATATAGCAAGAATGTTTTTCCATTCAATAAATATGTAGCTCTGACATCAGTTTTAAAGGATCAAAATATTCCACTGCATGGACATAAATTCATTTAATAAATTGATCTCCCATATTGTAACAGATATGTTGTTCCAAATTTTTGCTATTATAAAAAGTGTTGAGATAAATATCCTTGTCTAAAATCAGATCATTTTTTATAAGTTTTTCATGCATATACAACTTTGTGTCTTAATATAACACATTCCCTTTTCCAAAGCATTATGTACCTGGAATATGGATCAGTCAAATGAATGCCGAAATTGCAGAGCATGATGCCAGGTCTTGGGGTAGAAAGGAAGCCTGTGGGACATGAGGGTAAGTCCTGGATGATTGGGGCAGGGCCAGCTACATAATTTGTAGGTCCCAGTATAAAATTAAAATGTAGACCCTTTGTTCAAAGAGTAAGGGCCATTAAAGATACTAAAATATAAGGCTTTTTTTTCTTCCACTTTCTCTCTGTTGATTCGTCGTGGTGTTTTTCATTTACTACTAGTGTCATTCTAAGTACAGAAAATTTAAAATTTAAATTATTAGCATAAATTTTACTGTTCTTCTTTATATTGTCCAATGCCAGTTTTGTTTTGTTTTTTTTTTTTTGAGACGGAGTCTCACTCTTTCACCCTGGCTGGAGTGCAGTGGCACAATCTCAGCTCACTGCAACCTCCACCCTCTGAGTTCAAGCAATTCTCCCGCCTCAGTCTCCCAAGTAGCTGGGATTACAGGTGCCTGCCACTGCGCCTGGCTAATTTTTGTATTTTTAGTAGAGATGGGGTTTCACCATATTGGCCAGGCTGGTCTTGAACTCCTGACCTTGTGATCCACCTGCCTCGGCCTCCCAAAGTGCTGGGATCACAGGCGTGAGCCACCGCGCCCGGCAATGCCAGTTTTAAATGCAAAGAAGCACATTTAACTCATATTCGAAATCATTAAAATTACACAGTTTGTTTATTTTATTTTATTTTATTTTTTGAGACAGAGTCTTGCTCTCGCCCAGGCTAGAGTGCAGTGGCGCGATCTTGGCTCATTGCAAGCTCCGCCTCCCAGGTTCATGCCATTCTCCTGCCTCAGCCTCCCAAGTAGCTGGGACTACAGGCGCCTGCTACCATGCCCGGCTAATTTTTTTTTGTATTTTTAGTAGAGACGGGGTTTCACCATGTTAGCCAGGATGGTCTCGATCTCCTGACCTCGTGATCCACCCGCCTTGGCCTCCCAAAGTGCTGGGATTATAGGCGTGAGCCACCGCGCCCGGCCCACAGTTTGTATTTCAAAGCTCAAATGTGCATGTGTATTTCATTCTTACCAGGACAGTAGAAATGCTGTGCAAAACGAACTCAACTATTTTTGTACCACTTCTCAATACGTGCACATTCTAATACTATCTTAGGCTTACTGATGGGGAAAGAAGGACTGAAGGGAAGAGAAACTATGGGTTGTGCAATCTTTTCCTTTCCTTCTATGTCATCTTATTCAGCATGAGTGGTTGACTGGTACAGTAAGAAAAAATGATAGGTTCCTTGATTGCTTTTTTTCTTAAAATGCCTTCTCTCTGTATTTGAAGCAAGTTCTAGTTGGAACAGAAGGTGTGGCATCTAGGGCTGTAATATCCCCTACTTACTCAGTTATAGATATACCACACTTAATTTGCACTCATGTGCACTTCCTTGTATTCATTAAACTCCTACATGCCATGAGTCCACTAGATTCTATGCTCATGGGGTCTCGTGAATACTACAGGCAAATGGGGCAGAAAGGAATGGCGGACACACATTCCTCCTCTGTTTACACGTGTGCTTCATTGTCCTGTTGGACTTCACTAAATAAACACAAGTTCAAAGATAAAGTCATTAGAATTTCAAGATGGCAACAGCAGAGTATCACATCAAGCATGGGGCCCTTCTGAGCATGGCCCTGTGTGACTACCCGGGGCATATGCCCATGAGGGTGGCTCTATTTGGTAAGCCATAGATGTCACTAATGAGACAAGGTGATATGGTCAGATGATTCATGTGTGGTCACCTCCCAACACCTCCCTGGGATGAGTTATTAGCCACCTGATCCTTGAACCTGAGGCCAATATTTTCCTTCCCATTCTGTGACAGCCACCACCCTCTGCCGGAGTGACAACAATGTTATTCCTCCATTGCCCTCCAGCCTCAGCCAGGGATTGGGTGCATAAATGGGGAGGATCAGGGTTGGGCATGCTCCTTGCAGGACAAGGTAACAGCCATCCCTGCCCTGGATTGCAAGTGCCCTCGGTTGCAAGTGCCCTGGTGATGATGTGTTTGGCAAGTCACTCAGTGGGTCCTCTCAACCATCTCAGTTTTGAAGCATGTCCCTGCAAGGAGGTTGCAACCTCTTGGGGGTTACCTATCAGACATGGCCTGGAAGAGTGGGCCCATGGGAAGGAGAGAGTTTTTCCAGCATCCAAGCTTCACATTTTCACTTTGCTCGGGGCCCCGCAAATTATGTAGCTGGCTCTAATTGTCCCTCTCCTTAGGGTTTCCTCCCTCTTTTCTCCCTGTTTAATGAAAAAAAAAAAACCCACCAAAAATAGTAATTATCATTTATTGGGTTCTTTCCCATATGCTAAGCACTTTAGACTGTAAGGAAAACAAGACACACAGGCAGTAATCCCAGGTAGAAATTGGGAGTAAAGTAAGTTCTGGTGAAGCAGAGATGGCTTCCAGGTGAGGGGTCTGAAAGTCAAAGGCATTGGAGCTGCCCCTGAGGGTTCACGGCAATTTCAAACAGCCACGGCCTCCTTGTTCTGCAGGGAGGTCAGAGTGGGATGCTCTGTCCTTAGATAATGGGAACAGACAGAAAAGAGCCACATAATCTAGAGAAACAGCAGAGAACACATTGTAACATCCTAGCACTAGATGACCCAGTGCCTCCTGAGCACCTCTTCTGGGTTACTTCTAGGTCTTTTTAACCCAAAGAGAGAAGTATATGGATTTGGGCAAGCACTGTGAAGTGCGGCCCTCCCAGACGCTTCTTTGCCTGTAAATAAAATCCCATCTATTCATTCAGAGGCAAGTACTTACCTCCTTGCCATTATTTCAGAGAAGAGGGCTTCTCTGGGGTTTAGAGAACCAAGACAGGGGACCCTGTACAAGAGGATGGGCTAAGAGATCAGGAAGGCAGCTGGCTTTTTGGCTAGCTCACTGGGGAGCTAGCCAAATTGGGAGATTTCCAATCTCAAATTGGAAATATTTTAAGCCAGTGGTTTTCAGGTTTCAACATGGATAAAAAATCACCTGGCAGGCTCATTAAAACACAGAGCTGAGCCTGATTCGAGTTTTGATGCAAAATGTTTGAGGTGGGGCCTGAGAATTTGCATTTCTAACAAGCTCTCAGGCAAGGTCAATGCTGCTGGTCTGGGTGTAACACATTGAGATCCACTGCTTTAAACCCGGAGCAGAATGGCTGTAAGGACCTTTGCAAAAAGGACCCCACAGACACAATCTCCTTTACGGCCATCATGGAGCTCCTGCCCTATCTCCTGCCACTTCCCCATATATCCAACTTCTAGCCACACCTGACTTCTTGAGGTTTCCCAAACTCTCCCCAACTATACGCATTTCTATGCTTTTGTTTTTTTAAATGCAGAGCCATATAAAAAATAAAATAAGATTTGCATCCATTGAAGTATAGGGAGAAAAAGAAATAAAAAAATAAAATAAGAATCAGTTCTAATTCTGCTCCTCAGAGGAGCAGAAATGGTGGACAACTGCCACAGGATAACTGCCTGGAAAGAAAGAACTTAGTGAAAGAAGTTACCTTGTAAGTTGCTAGCAAGTCACTTTGGTGCAAAGCTTGCAAATAAATCTCTCAAGGGCCTCCTTTTAAATGCCAAAGTGTAAGACAGCAGGCACCATTGCCTCAAGAAAGGTGATAAAAGACATTCTCTCCCACGGATTGCCTTCCTGAGGAAGGTTTGTCGATGTTTCACAATACTATAATATCTTCTCATGTAGCATTTTACACTTTTGCATAAGTTGTCTTTTTTTTTTTTTTGGACGGAGTTTCGCTTTTGTTGCCCAGGCTGGAGTGCAATGGCATGATCTCGGCTCACGCAACCTCCGCCTCCCAGGTTCAAGCGATTCTCCTGCCTTAGCCTCGGGCATGTGCCACCACGCCCGGCTAATTTTTGTATTTTCAGTAGAGACAGGGTTTCTCCATGTTGGCCAGGCTGGTCTTGAACTCTTGACCTCAGGTGATCCGCCCGCCTCAGCCTCCCAAAGTGCTGGGATTACAGGCGTGAGCCACCGCGCCCGGCTGCATATGTTGTCTTAATTAGGGTAATTATCCTCTTCCAGCCCCTGGCAACCAATAACCTGAACTATGCCCCTATAGTTTCGTTTTTTCAAAAAAAATCTTATAAATGGGACATGCAGTATGCTGCCAGTTATGTCTGCTTCCTCCATTTAGCATATTGCTTTCGAGATCATGTAGTTCCACTTATCAATAGTTCAGTCCTTCTTATTACTGAGTAGGATTCCATCTTGTGGATGTACCATGGTTTCTTTATTCACCAGTTGAGGGACATTGGTTTGTTTCCAGTTCTGAGATATTATGAGTAAAGCTGCTATTCCCATACAGTAAAATATATTTTTATTTCTCTTGGTTTAATATTTAAGACTGGGTTATGTGTAAAGAATATCTTTAACTTTATAAGAAATTGCCAAACTGCTTTTCCAAAGCGGCTATACCATTTTGCATTCCCATAAGCAATGCATGAGAATTCCAGCACTTCTGCATTCTGTCAGCACTTGATATCATCAGATTTTTTTATGTCCTTTAGTAGGTATGTAATGATATCTCATTATGATTTCAATTTGCTAATTACTAACAATGTTGAGCATCTTTTTCTGCCCTTATTTGCCAGCCATATCTCTTCTAATGTGAAGTGTCTGTTCAAATCTTTTGCTCACATTTTTAAATACATCTTTTTTATTTCAATAGCTTTTGGAATATAAGTGGTTTTTTATTACATGGATGAATTGTGTAGTGGTGAAGTCTGAGATTTTAGCACACTCATCACCTAAGTAGTATACACTGTACCCAATATGTAGTTTTTAATCCCTTATCCCCTTCCCATCCTCTCTCCTCCTAAGTCTTCAAAGTCCATTATACCACTCTCTTTCCCTTTGTGTACCCATAGCTTAGCTGTCACTTATAAGTGAGAACATCCATATTTGGCTTTCCATTCCCGAGTTACTTCACTTAGAATAATGGCCTCCGGCTTCATCCAAGTTGCTGCAAGAGACATGATTTCATTCTTTTTTATGGCTAAGTAGTATTCCATGGTATATATAAACTACGTTTTCTTTATCCACTCATTGATTGATGGGCACTTAGGTTGGTTCCATATTTTTGCAATTGTGAATTGTGCTGTGATAAACATAGGAGTGCAGACGTGTTTTTGATATAATGACTTATTTTCCTTTGTGTAGATGACCCGTGGTGGGATTGTTGGATAGAATGATATATCTACTTTTAGTTATTTGAGAAATCTTCATACTGTTTTGCATAGAGGTTGTATTAATTTCCATTCCATCAGTGTATAAACCTTCCCTTTTCACCACATCCATGCCAACATCTATTGTTTTTTGACTTTCTAATAATGGCCATTTTGGCTGTGGTATCTCATTGTGGTTTTAATTTGCATTTCCCTCATGATTAGTGATGCTGAGCATTTTTTCATATATTGTTGGCCATTTGTATATCTTCTTTTGAAAAGTGTCTATTCATGTCATTTGCCCACTTTTTGATGAGATTATTTGTTTTTTCCTGCTGATTTGTTTGAATTTCTTATAGATTCTGGATATTAGTCCTTGGTTAGATGCATAGTTTGCACATATTTTCTCTCATTCTGTGGGTTGTCTGTTTACTCTGAAGATTATTTCTTTTGCTGTGCAGAAGCATTTTAGTTTAATTAGATCTCATTTATTTATTTTTGGTTTTGTTGCATTTGCTTTTGGGGTCTTAGTCACAGATTCTTTGCCTAGGCCAATGTCCAGAAGAGTTTCTCCTAGATTTTCTTCTAGAATTTGTATGGTTTCAAGTCTTAGATTTAAGTCTTTAATCCATCTTGATTTTTGTATATGGTGAGAGAGATAAATCCAGTTTCATTCTTCTACATGTGACTATCCTGTTTTCCCAGCACATTTATTGAATAGGGTATCCTTTCCCCAGTTTATGTTTTTGTACATTTTGTCAAAGATTGGTTGGTTGTAAGTATTTGGCTTTATTTTGGGTTCTCTATTCTGTTCCAATGGTCTATGTATCTACTTTCATACCACTACCATGCTATTGTTTTGGTTACTATAGCCTTGTAACATAATTTGAAGTCAGGTAATGTGATGCCTCCAGATTTGTTCTGTTTGCTTAGGATTGCTTTGGCTATTCAACCTCTTCTTTTTTTATTTCATATGAATTTTATGATTGCTTTCTAAGTCTATGAAAAATGATGTTGGCATTTTGATAGAATTTGCATTGAATCTATAGAATGCTTTGGGCAATATGGTCATTTTCATGATATTGATTCTTCTAATCCATGAGTGTGGGATGTATTTCCATCTGTTTGTGTCATTTCTGATGTCTTTCAGAATTGTTTTGTAGTTCTCCTTGTAGAGATCTTTTACCTACTTGGTTAACTGGTGTTTTATTTAGGTGGCTTATATATTTTGGATACAAGTGCTTTATCAGATATGTGTTTTGCCAATATTTTCTCCCAGTCTGATTTGTCTTCATTTTCTGAACAGTGTCTTTTGAAGAGCAAAAGACTTTTCTTTTCAATTGTTCATTCCTAGGATGTAGGGAGGATTGCTTCAAAAATATCTGGCCAACTAGGTGACTTCCTTTCCTGACAGGAATCCTGAACTAGGGGATTAAGAGGAGGGTCTGTGTCTGGGTTTCAGGAAAGCATTTAAAATTGGTATTAGTTTGCTAGGGCTGCCATAAACAAATACCCAGAGTGGGTGGCTTAAACAGCAGAAAGTTGTTTCTCACAGTTCTGGAGGCTGGAAGTCAAGACCAAGGTGTAGGGTGGCAGGTTTGGTTTCTTCTGATGCCTCTCTCCTTGGCTTGCAGATGGCCGCCTTCTCGCCATGTCCTCATGTGGCCTTCTCTCTGTGTACTCGTATCCCTGCTGTCTCTTTGTGTATCCAAATTTCCTCTTCTTATAAGGATATTAGTCAGAGTGTTTTAGGAACCCCTAGCTAATGGCCTCATTTTAACTCAATTACCTCTCCAAAGACCCAGTCTCCAAATACAGTCACATTCTGAGGTACTGAGGGATTGGGCTGCAACATATGGATTAGGGTGGAGAACTTAATTCAGCCCATAACAGAATTACATGCTCATTTGTGTGGGAACAGCCTACAAGGTCCTTAGGAGTTAAAGAGTAGATGGACTTTGATATAATAACTAATTTTCCTGTTTCTACTCTTGCCTACCCAAAACAATTTTCAACACAGTATCTGTAATGACTCTTAGAAAGCACATAACACTGTCACAGCTCTGATGGCTTCTTGTGGTAGGCTGAATAATGCTCTCCCCAAATATTTTCACATCCTATTTCACAGAACCTGAGATGATGTCACTTTACACAGTAAAAAAGATATTGCAGATGTGATTAAGGATCTTGAGATGGAGAGATTATTCTGGGTTATCCAGGTGGACCCAATGTCATCATGAGTGTCTTTAAAACAGGAAGACAGGAGGGTCCAAGTCAGAGAAGGAGATATATCAGAAGCCGAGTTTGGAGTGGTGCAGCTACTAGCCAAGGAGTGCCAGTGGGCTCTCAAAGCTGGAAAGTGCAAGGACTGGATCATCCCCTGAAGTCTCCAGAGGGAACTGGCCCTGCAGACACCTTGCTTTTGGCCATAGAAGACTCGTTTTTGGACTTCTGACCTCCAGAACTGAAAGAGAATAAATCTACATTGCTTTAAGCTACGAAATTTGTGGTAATTTATGATAGCAGCAACAAGAAAATTAATACACTTCCCATCTCACACAGTGTAAGAGCCAAAGTCCTCGTAATGTCTGTGAGACCCTTTACGGCATGTCCGCTGTTAGCAATCTGGCCACACTTCCTGCAGCTCTCCCCCACTTACTCACTGTGCTCCAGCCACACTTGCCTCCTTAGTGCTATGCCTCAGGACTCTAGCACCGGCTGTCCCCTTGCTTCCTGAAATGACCTTCCCCAGGTACACATATGGCTCCTCCCTCACTTCCTTCAGGATTTTATTGAATTGCCACTTTTTCACTCAGAACTTTTTTTTTTTTTTTTTTTTTGAGACAGAGTCTCACTCTGTCACCCAGGCTGGAATGCAGTGGTGCGATCTCAGCTCACTGAAACCTCTGCCACCTGGGTTCAAGCGATTCTCCTGCCTCAGCCTCCCGAGTAGCTGGGATTACAGGCACACGCCACCAAGCCCCGCTAATTTTTTGTATTTTTAGTAGAGACGGGGGTTTCACCATGTTGGCCAGGCTGGTCTCGAACTCCTGACCTCAGATGATCCAGCTGCCTTGGCCCCCCAAAGTGCTGGGATTATAGGCGTGAGCCACCGCGCCCGGCCATCAGGCCTTTTTTTTTTTCCGAGATGGAGTCTCGCTCTGTCGCCCAGGCTGGAGTGCAGTGGTGCAATCTTGGCTCACTACAACCTCCACCTCCCGGGTTCACGCCATTCTCCTGCCTCAGCCTCCCGAGTAGCTGGGACAACAGGCGCCCGCCACCATGCCCTGCTAATTTTTTGTATTTTTAGTGGAGACAGGGTATCACCGTGATAGCCAGGATGGTCTCAATCTCCTGACCTCGTGATCTGCCTGCCTCGGCCTCCCAAAGTGCTGGGATTACAGGCATGAGCCACCTCGCCCAGCCTCCACAGGCCTTCTTTAGCCACTTTTTGGTACACAGCAAACCCTTTCTCTGTCCCCACCCACAGGCTGCTCATTTCCCCTCCCTGCTTTGTTTGTCTCTATCACTTTTCACCTTTTAAATATCACATCTTTTATTTTTATTTTATTTATTTATTTGTTTTTTGAGATGGAGTCTCACTCTGTCACTAGGCTGGAGTGCAGTGACGTCATCTTGGCTCACTGCAACCTCCGCCTCCCGGGTTCAAGTGATTCTTCTGCCTCAGCCTCCCAAGTAGCTGGGACTACAAGCGTGCACCACCAAGCCCAGCAAATTTTTGTATTTTTTTAATTATTATTTTTGTATTTTCAGTAGAGATGGGGTTTCACCATGTTGGCCAGGATGGTCTTGATCTCTTGACCTCGTGATCCGCCCACCTCGGCCTCCCAAAGTGCTGGGATTACAAGCATTAGCCACTGTGCCTGGCCCACATCTTTTATTCTTTTATCTCAATTATTAAGTTTCCCCACGAGAACAAGGCCAAGAGTTTTTGTCCGTTTTGTTTAGTTATATCCACAGTGCCAGAATAACACCTGGCCCAACAAATGTGTGTTAAATAAATGAATAAATAATATAGTAATTTTACTTCAACTGCCCATTTATTCCCCCAATAATACAGTAATTTTACTCCAACTGCTCATTTATTCCCCCAATAATACAATAATTTTACTCCAACTGCTCATTTATTCCCCCAATAATACAGTAATTTTACTTCAACTGCTCATTTATTCCAACTGTCTTTTCTTTATTCATCTATCAGCAACTTGTTATGAATCATGTAGTTGGGGATATTATCCTACATTCCCATACACCTCACTTGCTGTTGAAGATGCTCTCTAATTTGAGCAGGCAACAGAATCTCTGAAGGGTGTGTGAAAACAGGTTTCTGAGCCCCACCCGCAGAGTTTTCGATTCAGCAGGTCTGGGCAGGGGTTGAGGTTCTGCAAGGCTGGCAACCTCCCAGGTTGTATGGATGCTGCCAATCCCAAGACCACAGTTGAAGTTGAAAGTGTCTAGATTCAGGAACTGGGTGATGTAGAGAGCTGGGATTCTACATCCCATTGCCCAGTGACTACTGGCATTCACTCTATTCCCAGCTCAGATCATTTTTCATCTACCTCCCTGCAGAATAGGTTTCACCCGCTCATACCTTAGACCCCTGCTTGAGCTTTTCCTGACATGCTCTGGATGGACTGAGAGAATTTTGAAAAACACTGGAGGGGTATATTAACAATAACAACATGCCGGGTGCAGTGGCTCATGCCTGTAATCCTAGCACTTTGGGAGGCCGAGGCAGGTGGATCACTTAAGGTCAGGAGTTCAGGACCAGCCTGGTCAACAGGTGAAACCTGTCTCTATTAAAAACACACAAAAAAATGCAGGGTGCAGTGGCTCACGCCTGTAATCCCAGCACTTTGGGAGGCCAAGGCAGGAGGCTCACCTGAGGTCAGGAGTTTGAGACCAGCCTCAACATGGAGAAACCCCATCTCTACTAAAAATACAAAATTAGCCGGGAGTGGTGGTGCATGCCTGTAATCCCAGCTACTCCGGAGGCTGAGGCAGGAGAATTGCTTGAACCTGGGAGGCAGAGGTTTCGGTGAGCCAAGATCGCGCCATTGCACTCCAGCCTGGGCAACAAGAGCCAAACTTCGTCTCAAAAAACAAAAACAAACAAACAAAAAAACACAAAAAATTAGCCAGGTGTGGTGGCACATGTCTGTAGTCCCAGGTACTAGGGAGGCAGAGGCAGAAGAATCGCTTGAACCCAGGAGGCAGAGGCTGCAGTGAGCCAAGATTATGCCACTGCACTCCAGCCTGGGCAAAGAGTGAAACTCCATCTCCAAAAAAAAAGAACAACAGAGCTGGAGGCATCACACTACCTGACTTCAAACTATACTACAAGGCTACAGTAACCAAAACAGCATGGTACTGGTACCAAAACAGAGATATAGATGCATGGAACAGAACAGAGCCCTCAGAAATAACGCTGCATATCTACAACTATCTGATCTTTGACAAACCTGAGAAAAACAAGCAATGGGGAAAGGATTCCCTATTTAATAAATGGTGCTGGGAAAACTGGCTAGCCATATGTAGAAAGCTGAAACTGGATCCCTTCCTTACACCTTATACAAAAATCAATTCAAGATGGATTAAAGACTTAAACGTTAGACCTAAAACCATAAAAACCCTAGAAGAAAACCTAGGCATTACCATTCAGGACATAGGCATGGGCAAGGACTTCATGTCTAAAACGCCAAAAGCAATGGCAACAAAAGACAAAATTGACAAATGGGATCTAATTAAACTAAAGAGCTTCTGCACAGCAAAAGAAACTACCATCAGAGTGAACAGGCAACCTACAAAATGGGAGAAAATTTTCGCAACCTACTCATCTGACAAAGGGCTAATATCCAGAATCTACAATGAACTCAAACAAATTTACAAGAAAAAAACAAATAACCCCATCAAAAAGTGGGCGAAGGACATGAACAGACACTTCTCAAAAGAAGACATTTATCTTTCCCTTTCCCTCTCCCTCT
This sequence comes from Homo sapiens, assembly GCF_000001405.40. Classification (NCBI taxonomy): domain Eukaryota; kingdom Metazoa; phylum Chordata; class Mammalia; order Primates; family Hominidae; genus Homo; species Homo sapiens. The sequence goes on along the minus strand of NC_000002.12, from coordinate 74,797,064 downwards.
CCCTCTCCCTCTCCCTCTCCACTGTCTCCCTCTCCCTCTCTTTCCACGGTCTCCCTCTGATGCTGAGCCGAAGCTGGACTGTACTGCTGCCATCTCGGCTCACTGCAACCTCCCTGCCTGATTCTCCTGCCTCAGCCTGCCGAGTGCCTGTGATTGCAGGCGCGCGCCACCACACCTGACTGGTTTTCGTATTTTTTTTGGTGGAGACGGGGTTTCGCTGTGTTGGCCGGGCTGGTCTCCAGCTCCTAACCGCGAGTGATCCGCCAGCCTTGGCCTTCCGAGGTGCCAGGATTGCAGACGGAGTCTGGTTCACTCAGTGCTCAATGGTGCCCAGGCTGGAGTGCAGTGGCGTGATCTCGGCTCGCTACAACCTCCACCTCCCAGCCGCCTGCCTTGGCCTCCCAAAGTGCCGAGATTGCAGCCTCTGCCCAGCCGCCACCCCGTCTGGGAAGTGAGGAGCGTCTCTGCCTGGCCGTCCGTCGTCTGGGACGTGAGGAGCCCCTCTGCCTGGCTGCCCAGTCTGGAAAGTGAGGAGCGTCTCTGCCCGGCCGCCATCCCATCTAGGAAGTGAGGAGCGCCTCTTCCCGGCCGCCATCCCATCTAGGAAGTGAGGAGCTTCTCTGCCCGGCCGCCCATCGTCTGAGATGTGGGGAGCGCCTCTGCCCCGCCACCCCGTCTGGGATGTGAGGAGCGCCTCTACCCGGCCGTGACCCCGTCTGGGAGGTGAGGAGCGTCTCTGCCCGGCCGCCCCGTCTGAGAAGAGAGGAGACCCTCCGCCTGACAACCGCCCCGTCTGAGAAGTGAGGAGCCCCTCCGCCCGGCAGCCACCCCGTCTGAGAAGTGAGGAGCCCCTCTGCCCAGCAGCCACCCCGTCCGGGAGGGAGGTGGGGGTCAGCCCCCGCCAGGCCAGCCGCCCCGACCGGGAGGGAGGTGGGGGGGGTCAGCCCCCCCGCCCGGCCAGCCGCCCCATCCAGGAGGTGAGGGGCGCCTCTGCCCAGCCGCCCCTACTGGGAAGTGAGGAGCCCCTCTGCCCAGCCAGCCGCCTCATCCGGGAAGGAGGTGGGGGGGTCAGCCCCCCACCCAGCCAGCCGCCCCATCCGGGAGGGAGGTGGGGGGTCAGCCCCCCGCCCAGCCAGCCGTCCCGTTCGGGAGGGAGGTGGGGGGGCGTCAGCCCCCACGCCCGGCCAGCCGCCCCGTCCGGGAGGTGAGGGGCGCCTCTGCCCGGCCGCCCCTACTGGGAAGTGAGGAGCCCCTCTGCCCGGCCAGCCGCCCCGTCCAGGAGGGAGGTGGGGGGGTCAGCCCCCCACCCGGCCAGCCGCCCCATCCGGGAGGGAGGTGGGGGGTCAGCCCCCCGCCCAGCCAGCCGCCCCGTCTGGGAGGTGAGGGGCGCCTCTGCCCAGCCGCCCCTACTGGGAAGTGAGGAGCCCCTCTGCCCGGCCACCACCCTGTCTGGGAGGTGTACCCAACAGCTCATTGAGAACGGGCCATGATGACAATGGCGGTTTTGTGGAATAGAAAGGGGGGAAAGGTGGGGAAAAGATTGAGAAATCGGATGGTTGCCGTGTCTGTGTAGAAAGAGGTAGACATGGGAGACTTTTCATTTTGCTCTGTACTAAGAAAAATTCTTATCCTGTTGATCTGTGACCTTACCCCCAACCCTGTGCTCTCTGAAACATGTGCTGTGTCCACTCAGGGTTAAATGGATTAAGGGCGGTGCAAGATGTGCTTTGTTAAACAGATGCTTGAAGGCAGCATGCTCGTTAAGAGTCATCACCACTCCCTAATCTCAAGTACCCAGGGACACAAACACTGCGGAAGGCCGCAGGGTCCTCTGCCTAGGAAAACCAGAGACCTTTGTTCACTTGTTTATCTGCTGACCTTCCCTCCACTATTGTCCTATGACCCTGCCAAATCCCCCTCTGTGAGAAACACCCAAGAATGAACAATAAAAAAAATAAATAAATAAATAAATAAATAAATAAATAAATAAACAAAAGAAACAAAAAATAAATAAATAAATAAATAAAAACACATTTATTGAATAATTACTAGGCTAGACATATCAGAGGATAAAAATGTCACTGGCTCAATTGTTTTAATGTTAAACTAATAAAAAAGATAGAAGGGCAAAAAAAAAAAAAAAAAAGAACTAGCCAAGGTGTAAGTGCCCAGTAGTGTGTTTCAGTGTGGCTCCTGGCTACTGTGTTGGTCAACACAGCTTTAGCTCATGCAGCTAAGCTATAAGGTCAGATGAAATCAAGAAATAAGATGTCTTCATTCTGTTATGAAAACCTGTTATGTTGGCTGGAACCACTCAGCCTTTTTTGGGTCATTTGTAATGTTTATATATTGTCTGTACCTTCTGATCACTTAATTGAAGTGACAAACAAAATAAATAAAACAACATTTAAAGCAAAAAAAAAAAAAAAGAAGACATTTATGCAGCCAAAAAACACATGAAAAAATGCTCACCATCACTGGCCATCAGAGAAATGCAAATCAAAACCACAATGAGATACCATCTCACACCAGTTAGAATGGCAATCATTAAAAAGTCAGGAAACAACAGGTGCTGGAGAGGATGTGGAGAAATAGGAACACTTTTACACTGTTGGTGGGACTGTAAACTAGTTCAACCATTGTGGAAGTCAGTGTGGCGATTCCTCAGGGATCTAGAACTAGAAATACCATTTGACCCAGCCATCCCATTACTCGGTATATACCCAAAGGACTATAAATCATGCTGCTATAAAGACACATGCACACGTATGTTTATTGCGGCATTATTCACAATAGCAAAGACTTGGAACCAACCCAAATGTCCAACAATGATAGACTGGATTAAGAAAATGTGGCACATATACACCATGGAATACTATGCAGCCATAAAAAATGATGAGTTCATGTCCTTTGTAGGGACATGGATGAAATTGGAAATCATCATTCTCAGTAAACTATCGCAAGAACAAAAAACCAAACACCTCATATTCTCACTCATAGGTGGGAATTGAACAATGAGATCACATGGACACAGGAGGGGGAACATCACACTCTGGGGACTGTTGTGGAGTAGGGGGAAGGGGAAGGGATAGCATTGGGAGATATACCTAATGCTAGATGACGAGTTAGTGGGTGCAGCACACCAGCATGGTGCATGTATACGTATGTAACTAACCTGCACAATGTGCACATGTACCCTAAAACTTAAAGTATAATAATAAAAAATAAATAAATAAATAAAAATAAAAATAAATAAATAAATAAATAAATAAATAAAAAGAACAACAAACCTTAATGGTTGTTGAAGCTGGGTCCCAGACTCAAAGACGGTGCATTGCTGGATTCTCTTCACTATTTGAGTGTTGTTTGTTTGTTTGTTTGTTTGTTTTGTTTTGTTTTGTTTTTAATTTCCATAGTAAAAAGTTCAAAATGAAAAAAGCCAGAATGAGGGCTGGGTGTGGTGGCTCACGCCTGTAATCCCAGCACTTTGGGAGGCTGAGGCGGACAGATCACTTGAGGTCAGGAGTTCAAGACCAGCCTGGCCAACATGGTGAAACCCCGTCTCTACTAAAAATACAAAAATTAGCCAGGCATGGTGGTGCATATCTGTAGTCCAAGCTACTCAGGAGGCTGAATCATGAGAATCACTTAAACTGGGAGGCAGCGGTTGCAGACTCCGTCAAAAAAAAAAAAAAAAAGTCAGAATAGAATAACTCCTGCAGACAAGCAAAAGCTCTTTGGAATTGCCCACCCACCCTCCTGTTAGACAGTAAAAGGGTAATTCTTTAAATGCCCACATCCACACAGAGTTCACGTCCTGTTGTCCAGTTCAGTGATTTTTTTTTTTTTTTGGTGGTGGTGGTAAAATAAATGTAACATAAATATGCATTTTTATATTTTACCTCAATTTATCATTTTTCTTGTACTAAAATACACATAACAAAAATTACAAAATGAGTAATTTAAAATTTTACTCATTTTAAGAGTAAAATTTAGTGGCATACATTACATTTGCAGTGTTGTGCCACCATATTAGTAGCTCTTAAATGTTAGTGAGCAAAAGAGAATTTCTAAATAGGGTGGGACATGGTTATCCTAAACATTAGATTTTTTTTTTTTTTTTTTTTTTTTGAGATGGAGTCTCGCTCTGTTGCCCAGGCTGGAGTACAGTGGCACGATCTTGGCTCACTGCAAGCTCCTCCTCCTGGGTTCACGCCATTCTCCTGTCTCAGCCTCCCGAGTAGCTGGGACTACAGGTGCCCACCACCATGCCTGGCTAATTTTTGGTATTTTTAGTAGAGACGGGGTTTCACCGTGTTAGCCAGGATGGTCTCAATCTCCTGACCTCGTGATCCGCCTGCCTCGGCCTCCCAAAGTGCAGGGATTACAGGCGTGAGCCACCGCTCCCGGCCAACCATTAGACTTTGTGGGAAAATTGA